>NW_011332701.1:2448509-3132908 GCF_000001405.40 Homo sapiens
AAAAACTGATGTCTGGAACTGGCAGGGAACCTGAAGAGTTTATGTGGTTTACCATTGTGTCTGTGCCTTGGACTCTTTTTAGCAAGTAAAATCTAATTGAGTTTAATTGAATGTGTTCCCAAATAAAAGGCAGAGATTTTCAGATTGGGCAGAGAAAGTAAAACCAACATCAAAAAATTAACCTTCAGTCCCAGCTTACTCGGGAGGCTAAGGTGGGAGGATCACTTGAGCCCAGAAGTTCAAGGTTACAGTGAGCTATAATTGCACCACTGCACTGTAGCTTGGGTGACAGAGCAAGACCCCATCTCTAAAAAAAGAAAAAAGAAAAAGAAATCAGCTGGACATGGTGGCTCATGCCTGTAATCCCAACCCTTTGGGAAACCAAGGCATGCGGATCACCTGAGGTCGGGAGTTCAAGACCAGCCTGACCAACATGGAGAAACCCCGTCTGTACTAAAAATACAAAACTAGGTGGGTGTGGTGGCGCATGCCTTTAATCCCAGCTACTTGGGAGGCTGAGGCAGGAGAATCACTTGAACCTGGGAGGCAGGCAGATGTTGCGGTGAGCTGAGATTGCGCCATTGCACTCCAGCCTGGGCAACAAAAGCGAAACTCCATCTCAAAAAAAAAAAAAAAAAAAAAAAAGAAAGAAAGAAAAAGAAAAACAACAGTGAAATAGTGGAAACAATAAGCCAGAAGATAGTGGAAAAACATCTTTCAAGTACTGAAGGAAAAATCTGGCAACCTAGAATTCTGCACCCAACAAAAATAGAAAAACCAGAAATTGACTTTCTCCATAAAAGCAGATAGGAATGTGCATCTACCTAAATGAATGAAGAACACTGGAAATGGAGATGTGTGTGTTAATATTTGGGTGAATACAATGACATTTTTATATTTTGAAATCACTCTGAAAATAGATGATTAAAGCAAAGTAACCATGTATTTTAATTTTAAAACAAATTCAGAAGTAAAATGTGACAACAATCATGCAATAATGGGAGAGGAAAATGTAAGTATACAGTTGTAAAGCTCTTATACGAGATTTGAAGTGGTAATATTATTTGAAATCAGACTTTCATAAGTCAAGATGCACATTATAAACTAAGAGCAAATAGCCATGAGTGAAAAAATAACTAAGAAGATAAATTAAAAGTATGAAAGGTGCTCAGTTGACCCAAGTGAAGGCAGAAAAATATAAGAAAGGAGAACAAAGAACAGATGGGAAACTATATTAATATCAAGGTATATTTCAGGACAAGGGATGGTGCCAAGAAAAAAGAGGGTCTTTCATAATGATTACAGGAGCAATTCATCAAAACAATATAATAACCCTAAATGTTATGCTCCTAATAACATAACTTCAAAATACATGAAGGAAAAAAATCTGAGAATTACAAGAAGAAACAAATTCACATTTATAGTTGGAGATCTCAACATCCCACTGACAATAATCAGTGAGAAGTAGATAGAAAATCAGTAAAAATATAGCCAACTTAAGCAACATTACCATAATCCTGACCTAATAGACATTTATAGAATACTCCATCATACATATTCCTTTCAAGTGAACATGCACTATTTACCAAAATAGACTATATCATAAACCACAGAAAAATTCTCAATAAAAAAGGACTGAAATCATCCACAATTCTTCTGACAACAATTATATTAAATTAGAAATGAGTAACATGAAAATCTGAAAAATCTTCAAATATTTGCAAATAATAAACATGACAGCAGAAATCAATGAAATAGAATAACAATCAGAAATAAAACTAAAATCCACTTTTTAAAAAGCAGTAATAAAATTAGTTCATTATTATCAGGAATTAAAAAGGGACATCACTACAAATCCTACAACTATTAAAAAGATGATTTTTAAAGTATTATAAACACCTCATTACGGTAAGTGTGGTAACTTAGATAAAGTGGACATATTTCTTGGAATATCCAAATTATCGAAGCTCTGAGTAGCTCTGTATCTATTTTTAAAATTGCATTCATAGTTAAAATATTCGCACAATAAAAATTTCAGACGTACCTGGCTCCACTGATTATTTCTACATTCAAGGAAGAAACAATAACAATTCTCAAAGTTTAGATAAAGAAAAAGGGATCAAATCATTAGTCTGGGTTCCTACCTCAAGAAACTGAAAAAAGGAGAGCAAAATACATTCAAGGTAAGCAAAAGAAAGGAAATAATAAAGATAAAAGCAGGAATTTATAACACTAAAAATATAAAAACAATGGAAGAAAACCAATAAATCAAAAGCAGCTTTTTTGAAAAGAAAATAAAAAATGATAAACATCTAGCAAGTTGACAAAGATATAAAAGAGAGAGACGTGTCACCAGTATGAGGAAGGAAACAGGAGTTATTACTGCAGATCATGTAGCCATTAAAAGAATAAGGGAATATTATGAACAACTTCACACTCATAAATTCAACAACTGAGAAGAAATGGATCAATTTCTCAAAAGTCACAAGCTATGAAACTCAATCAAGAAGAAATAGAAAATCTGATTAGTCTTACAATCATTAAATTAATTGAATACATAATAAAAATCTCCCGCAATGAGATGTTCAGGCCCCGATGGTTTTACTAGAGAATTCCACCAAACATTTAGGAGAGAATTGACACAAATTTTATGCAATCACTTCCAGAAAATAGAAGAGAAGGAAACACTAACTCATTTATGAAGTTAGTATTACCCTAATACAAAATTAAACAAAGAGTACAAAAAACCCCCAAACTATGGACCAATATCTCCCATAAACTTGGATGCAAAAATCCTCAAAAGTATTAGCAAATCAAATCCAAATGCATAGAAAGAATTACACGTTTGACCAAGTGGGATATATTCCAGAGATATATATCTGGTTCAATATCTGAAAATCAATTAATATAATAATTATATCAATAGGCTAAAGAAAAATCATATAATCATATAGATATCCTCAGAAAAATATGACACAATCCAACACTCATTCAAAAGACACGCCTATCACTCGGGAAATTGCAGTTCTGTGCCAGGAACCAGGGACAAAAACCAAATATATTTCATCTTGTGTATCCATAGGTTCTGCATCTGTGGATCCAACCTATCATGAATCAAAAATATTTTAAAAAAATGGAGTTCGTATTGAACATATACAGACTTTTATCATTATTGCAAATAATACTGTATAAGTATAATAATTATTTACATAGTGTTTACATGGTACTAGGCAATATAACTAATAATAGAGATGATTTAAAGTATATGGGAGGAGGCGCATAAGTTATATGCTAATACTATGCCATTTTATATCAGAGACTTGAACACCTGGGGATTCTGATTGTCAGTGGGAGGTTCTGGAACTCTGCCCCATTGATATCGAGGGATAACCGTACATGAAGTTGACGCTTGAACAATGTGAGCATCAGGAGCTCCCCTCCCCGACATATATGTGGATTTTTGTGCAGTCAAAAATCCACATACGACTTTTGACTCCCCAAAGCTTAACTACTAATACCCTGTTGAGTGGAAGATCTACTGATCACACAAACAGGTGAGTGAAAAAATCTTTGTATGTTATATGTATTATGTACTGTATTCTTACAATAAAATAAGCTAGAGAAAAGAAAATGTTATTAGGAAAATCGTAAGGAAGATAAAATATATTTACTATTCATTAAGTGGAAGTGAGTCATCATAAAGGCCTTCATTATCATTGTCTCCATGTTGAGTGAGCTGAGGAGGAAGAGGAAGGGAAGGGTTTGGTCTTGCTGTCTCGGGGTGGCAGAAGAAAATCCACATATAAATAGATTTGCACAGTTCAAACCCATGTTGTTCAAGGGTCAATTGTATGCATATTTTATTAGATACACAATAAGGGATATTATGTAGCTACAATAATCAAGACAATGTTTATTAGCAAATAATAGATACACAGATAGATGGAACAGGATAAAGAACCCAAAAATAAACCCACACAAATAAGCCCAACTGACTAATAAAGGAATTCATTTCAACAGAGATGATAAAGCAATTTAATGGAGGAAGGATCGTCTTTTTAACAAGTGACGCTGGAACAATTTGGCATTCATAAGCCAAAAAACGAACATTGTCCTAAACATCACAGCCTACACAAAAGACTAACTCAAAGTGCATCACACACACAAATGCAAAACATAAATTAGAAAACCTTTTTAAAAAGACAAATGAAAATCTTCCACGATATATGGCTAGGCAAAAACTTCTTAGACTTGGCACAGAAATCATGATCTAGAAAGGGGAAGAAAAAATTGATAATAGGACTTCACCAAAACTTTTGCTCTGTGAAAGCCTATGTGAAAAGAATAAAAACCTGGGAGAAAATATTTATAAACCACGTATCTAAACAATGACTTGTATCTATAATGTATATAGAACACTTAACACTCAACAGTTAAAAATCAATCCAATGAGAAATTAGCAAAATATATTTCACTAAGTAGGACAGACAGATGATGAACATATGAAAAGACATGCAATATCATTAGCCGTTAGAGAAATGCACATTAAAATCCCAGTGAAATATCACTATACACCTGTCAAAATGGCTAAAACAAACAGGCAAACTAACAGTGATGACACCAAATCCTGGCAGAAATGCCACATAACTGGATAACTCATAGATTTTTGGTGGAAATATAAAATGGGACAATAGTATATACAGCCTCTCTGGGAAAGGTTCAGCAGAAACACTTCTTACAAAACACTTACAGTATACTTATTATACAACCCAGGAATTACACTCTTGGGCATTTATCCCAGAGAAATGAAAACTTATGTTCACAAAAAACCAGTATGTGAATATTCACAGCAGTTTTGTTTATAATAATTGAAAACTGGAAACAGCTCAAATGTCCCTCAGTGGGCAAATGGTACAACTGTGGTACATGCATATGGAACACTCAGAAATAAAAAGGAACAAACTATTAATATGCTTAACAACTTTGGTGAACTCCAGGAATTTGTGCCCACCAAAAAAAAGAAAAATAAAGCCAATCGTAAGAAGTTACATGTGATATGATTCCATTAATATAGCACTCTCAAAATGACAAAATTATAGAGTTGGAAGACAGATTAATGATTGCCAAGGGCTCAAGATACAGGGAGAGGCTGTGACTATGAAGGTTAGTAAAGAATTGTTGATGGGTCTGTTTGTATCTTGACTGTGGCGGTGGTCACACAAATCTATAAGTAAGGTAAAATTTCATAGAAATAAATATCCACACACAGACAAATGAGTGCATGTAAAGCAGGTGAAATTTGAATAGAGGCAATGGATTGCATCAATGCCAGTGTCCCACTTTTGATACTGTACTCTTGTCATGCAATATGTTACCACTGAGTGAAATTGGGGGAAGAGTTTATGGGATGTGATTATTTCTTAGAACTGCATGTGAATCTATAATTATCGTAAAATAAAGAGTAAAAAATGTATAAATACCTCATATACTGGTGCTTAGTCTACCACTAAAATTTGGAGATGACTCAGAAGTTGTCTCCAGAACCTGAACTGAGCAGCCTAGCTGGGGTCTCAGGTGAAGGAGCCCTGCTCAAGGGGCTGGATTACCCCCATAAACTCAGGCTTAAGGTACAGCAAAGCCAGCCTTGGTGGAGAAGTGTGGGGTTGAAATATTTTGATAATTGATATTTTAATAGAAGCATTTCAGTAGTCATTATGAGGGGGGAAAGAGGAAAATCAGTAAATAAATGTAGAAGGAATGAACAAAATAGAAAAATCACCATAGTGTAAACTAGTAAAATAAGGGATTCAGATAAGGATCATCAAGAGATGCTGAAAAGCAGTAAAGGCAGGGTAATAAGGAACACGATATTCCTGCAGTCTCATAACATCACCCCATGGAGTGCTTGCGGACTGGAAAGGGTAAACATACCTTAGATAACGGAGCACCGTTACACATTTAGCTATGCAATACAATTAACATCACTAACAGAAACTTCCTAATATTATGTGCCTCTTGGTGCAAGGTGGTATGAAATACACAGAAGCCGTATTCTTGCCAAAAATATTTAGTACAAATCTAAACAAGCTTTTAAATCTAGTTTCTCAGTTGTATGAAATATGGAAAATAGAAGATTCAACCATGAATCCAGAATACAAAATATTCCACAAGCTCAGTTCCCTCAATAAATCAATACCACGACAAAAGAAAAAAGGAGAGGGCTTTCTTTATTGAAGAGACGCAATAACAAAATGTAATATGCGAATGTAGACTGTATTCTTGTTTTAATAAAATTATAAAAGTCATTTTTGAAGCACTTGGAGAAATTTGAATATGGACTGTGTACGAGATGATAGTGGGGATTAGTTTAATTTTCTTCGCTTTGATTATGGGGGTGTCATTTTATAGCAGGATATTTCCATTTTAAGGAGATATATAATGGACATTTTTTAGTGGTGAAATGTCATATTGACAGTATCTTCCTTCTGAAAGAAAAAGTATGGAAGAGACAAAAATAGATCAGAAAGAGCTTTTCCCCAGTGTCTCAGAGACGTTTTCTACCTGGACTGGATGTTGTGTACTGGATGCGCTCCGAATGTGACTTCAAAGGGAACGTAGTTGGGTGCTTACTAAGTGCCAGTCTTCTTACACAGCAGGCTTTTAGGGATTATCTCGTTTAGTCCGCACAGCAATCCTCTCAGTTGAAATGCAATAGATTGTCTATTAAGATTATCTGAAATAAGAATCTTCTCGGGCAGATGAATTGGTTCTGAGAGTCAGGAGAGTGCATCAGGAAGTGAGATCATGGAAAAGTGGCTTTCTTAAGAAGGGAGTGAAGCTTCAAACATGGATTCACTTTTGGACATGTAGCGAATCGAAGATTTGGATTCCTTAACCGAGAATGCTTTTAAGAAATTGAACTTCCTGGCCGGGCGCCGTGGCTCACGCCTGTAATCCCAGCACTTTGGGAGGCCGAGGCGGGCAGATCACGAGGTCAGGAGATCGAGACCATCCTGGCGAACACGGTGAAACCCCGTCTCTACTGAAAAATACAACAAATTAGCCGGGCGTGGTGGCAGGCGCCTGTAGTCCCAGCTACTCGGGAGGCTGAGGCAGGAGAATGGCGTGAACCCGGGAGGCGGAGCTTGCAGTGAGCCGAGATGGCGCCACTGCACTCCGGCCTGGGTGAAAGAGCGGGACTCCGTCTCAAAAAAAAAAAAAAAAAAAAAAAAAAAAAGAAAGAAAAGAAATTGAACTTTCTTCCCGAGGACCAAATAGATTCATTTTGCCTTAACGAGATGTTACTACTTTGTGACTCAAGTGAGTTTATAAGTATTATATGTATTTCTACACAAAATGCAAATTTGAATAATAAAAATTTAGGAAATTTTTCCTGTATTCACTTTACATCCCTTAACTTCACATTCAGTTTTGAATGAGTAACAATAATGTGTGCAGAGCCTACCAAAGATGCAGAAAGGGAAAGCTCAGAACAAGCAGAAATAAAAGCTGTAACTTCTGAAAAAACTGAATTAATAGGCTGGGCGCGGTGGCTCACGCCTGTAATCCCAGCACTTTGGGAGGCTGAGGCGGGCAGATCACAAGGTCAGGAGATCGAGACCATCCTGGCTAACACGGTGAAACCCCGTTTCTACTAAAAGTACAAAAAATTAGCCAGGCGTGGTGGCGGGCGCCTGTAGTCCCAGCTACTCGGGAGGCTAAGGCTGGAGAATGGCATGAACCCAGGAGGTGGAGCTTGCAGTGAGCCGAGATCGGGCCGTTGCACTCCAGCCTGGGGGACAGAGGGAGACTCTGCCTCAAACAAACAAACAAATAAAAACAACAACAAAAAAACTGAATTAATAGCAAGTGTATTTCCTGATGCTGTTGTAGACCCAAAGAATACTAACGAACTGCTCCCTAATAGTTAGGCAGAACTTTTAGGCTTACATAGCATCAAGTAGTCTTTTCTAGGTATCTAAACGCTACAACCCCTAAAGACATGAATGGAATGGAGAAGAACCCAGTAGCTCCAGACATTGGACACAGTATACATTCTTCTTTGAATCTGTGTGATATTTTGAACTCTGTGTTGAGCTCTTCACATCTTGAATTAAATGAGGAAATTAATTGTGTTGATATACCTAATGCTAAATGACGAGTTAATGGGTGCAGCACACCAGCATGGCACATGTATACATATGTAACTAACCTGCACATTGTGCACATGTACCCTAAAATTTAAAGTATAATAAAAAAAGAAAGAAAAAAATGAAAGATTTCCAAAGGATTATGTGAAATTTTATTTTATTGTTTAAATTATTTTATTTTATTTTATTGTTTAAATTATTTTATTTTATTGTTTAAATTATTTTATTTTATTTTATTGTTTAAATTATTTTATTTTATTTTATTTTATTTTATTTATTTTATTTATTTTATGTTATTTGAGACTGAGTCTCTGTTGCCCAGGCTGGAGTGCAGTAGCACGATCACACCTCACTGCAACCTCTGCCTTCTGGGTTCAAGCGATTCTCCTTCCTCAGCCTCCCAAGTAGCTGGGACTACAGGCATGCACCACCAAGCCCGGCTAATTTTTATATTTTTAGTAGAGACAGGGTTTCACCATGTTGGGCAGGCTGGTCTCGAACTCCTGACCTCAGGTGATTCGTATGCCTCGGCCTCCCAAAGTGCTGGGATTACAGGTATGAGCCACTGCGCCGGGCCAGATTATGTGAAATTTTAGATAAACACAGAAGAATTTATGAATGACGATGAACAGGAAATGGAGAAAATTCTAATATCATGCGGTACTTTGTCAGCCAGAGTCAGTGACAATTATTAGGCTGATATGTTGACTGCCATGCCAGGGATGATCAAATCTCTTACCATCCACTGTCTGGAGGTGCCAACACCTGCTGAACTGGCTTTCCAGATCAATGAATTACAGTCAGACACTGTGTAATAATGTTTCAGTCAGTGACAAACCGCGTATACGACAGTGATCCCATGGATTATAACAGAGCTGAAAAATTCCTATAGCCTCTTGAAGTTGTAGCCATCGTAACATAGTGCAGTGTTTTCCTCCCATGTTTGCGGTGATGCTGTGAAAATAAACCTATTGCACTACCAGTCTTATAAAACGGTAGCACGTAGAATTATGTACAGTATTAATGCTTGATAATGGCAATAACTATGTTGCTGGTTTATGTATTTACTATACCATAGGTTTTATTGTTATTTTAGAATGTATGTTTCTACTTATAAAAAAGGTTAACTGTAAAACAGCCTCAGGCAGGTTGTCAGGAGTTATTCCAGAAGAAGGCACTGTTATCTTAGGAAGTGACAGCTCCATGCGTGTTACTGCCCCTGAAGACCTTCCAGTGGGACAAGTTGTGGAGGTGGAAGACAGTGACACTGATGCTCCTGACCCTGGGTAGGCCTCGGCTAATGTGTGGGCTCATGTTTTAATTTTTAACAAAAAAGTTTAAAAAGTCGAAAGAGTAAAAATTAAATTAAAAAAGCTTATAGGATAAGAATATAAAGAATTTTTTTTATAGCTGGACAATCTGTGTTTTAAACTAAGTATTATTACACAGTAGTCAAAAAGTAAAAAACAAAAACAAAAAAATACTAAAACGCTCATAGGGTAAAAAAGTTACAATAAGCCAAGGTTAATTTATTACTGAGGAAAAATATATTTTCTTATAAATTTAGTGTTGCCTAAGTGCACAGTATTTATAAAGTCTACGGTAGTGTACCGTAATGTCCTAGCCTTCACATTCACTCACCACTCACTCACTGACTCACCCAACGCCACCTCCAGTCCTGCAAGCTCCATTAGTGGTACCTGCCCTAAACAGGTGTACCATGTGTGTCTTTTATACTGTATTTTTTACTGCACTCTTTGTATGTTTAGACATGTTTAGATACAAACATACTTACCGTTGTGTTACAGTTGCCTACAGTATTCAGTACAGTTACATGCTGTGCAGGTTTGTAGCCCAGGAGCAGTAGGCTGTACCACAGAGCCCAGGCGTGTAGTAGGTTATGCCATCTAGGTTTGTGTAAGTGTACTTAGTGATGTTCGCACAGTGATGAAATTACCTAACAATGCATTTTTCAGAACATATTCCTATCATTAAGAAACACATGATATTTGGCCATGTTGGAATGGATTTTAGGGTCTCTAACAGTTGAGGATAGTCTAGTTCATGTAGATTTGAACCTGACAAAAGTGACTTATGAGAAATTGCAAGAATTCTTGGCAGGTTTCTTTTTATGAAGAACTCCCTTTGTGCTCATTTTGTCACCTTTACTTTTGTCACCTTTACTTTCTATAACAAAATAAACCATGTTACATGAAATAATTCTATTGAATTTTGATTTTGAGAGAGAACTTTCACCAGTTAACACGTTGCTGATTTTGTTTTCCTCTAAGTTTTTAGATTAATATCAGATTAGGCAAATTATACCATTAGTGATGAAACTTAATGTGAATGATTGTTTCTGAGGGGAAAAACCTCGAAACAGTGAGATTTTTACTCTCTCAGTTAAATAATGCAATGCTGATTGATTGAGTTTTAAAAACAGTTTTTATTTTTTAAAGCAGCAGCCGAATTCTCTTAAGTGGAGGGATCGCATAGGTGTCCTGGAGCTCCACCATGGTGAGTGGAGTCACACTTTACAATTTTATTTATCCAGCTTTATTTGTTGACTTACATTTAATAAGAATGATTTTGTCACAATTCTAAAAGGCGAAATGATTTCTAGAAAAAATAATATAAATATATTTACTAATATACCCGTCCTTTGCCAATCTCTTGTCCTGCACATGTGTTTAGAAGTAACAAAAACAAGCTGTGTCCTATGGCAAGCTTACGGGAGGCCCTCCCCTGGTTGGGCATGTTGGACTTGATCATACTGAACAAAATTCATCTCAGAGAACAAGAAATTACTGCAGACTTTAGCAGCACCCGAAGTGTTACTCTGTCTAATTGGATCATCGGAATAGTCAAGTTTTTAAAAGTGTCACTCACGCCGGGCGCGGTGGCTCACGCCTGTAATCCCAGCACTTTGGGAGGCTGAGGCGGGCGGATCACAAGGTCAGGAGATCGAGACCATCCTGGCTAACACGGTGAAACCCCGTCTCTACTAAAAATACAAAAAAGTAGCTGGGCATGGTGGCGGGCGCCTGTAGTCCCAGCTACTCGGGAGGCTGAGGCAGGAGAATGGTGTGAACGCGGGAGGCGGAGCTTGCAGTGAGCCGAGATCGCACCACACCACTCCAGCCTGAGCGATAGAGTGAGACTCCGCCTCAAAAAAAAAAAAAAAAAGTGTCACTCACAGAAATAGCTAACAGAAGAAATTGCCTTACAGGAAAAATCACGACTTAAGAAGGAAGTCACTTATCTTTGTAATAGAATGTGTCATCAGACTGAAGAAGCAGCAGCTCTCCAAGTTACTCCTCGCCATTAACCAAAATTTGGAGGTGTACACTTTCAAGGACCACAGTTATTTCTTAGAACATACAGTGCAATTTTAAAACTGTGTTCTTGAAAGGAATCGTTTACAAAAAGTTATAGCACAGGAGTTTTTCATGAAAATGCAAATGTCACTTCTGCTGAATGGAAGGCTAAAGAGAAAAGGCAAAGAAAGAGACTCAAGACATACGAAGTGGGCCCGGTCGTGGTGGCTCATGCCTGTAATCCCAGCACTTTGGGAGGCCGAAGCAGGCGGATCACCTGAGGTCAGGAGTTTGCGATTAGCCTGGCCAACATAGTGAAACCCTGTCTCCACTAAAAATACAAAAATTAGTGGGGCGTGGTGGTGGGCACCTGTAGTCCCAGCTACTTAGGAGGCTGAGGCAGGAGAATCGCCTGAACCTAGGGACAGAGGTTGCAGTGAGCCAAGATTGCGCCACTGCCCTCTAGCCTTGGCAACAGAGCAAGACTCTGTCTTAAAAAAAAAAAAAAAAAGTGGACCATTTCTAGGCATTGGATGGTTGCAGAGGAGATGCCCTCATGCACCTACAGAAGTGGAGGGCATGCCCACCAGGTCAGTCCCCATAAGTAGACGTGCAAAGCTCATCACGCCTCCCTGTTGTCACCAAATGTCTCAGACCTCCATGGGCTGCATGTGGACAAAGCTAGAGAATATTTTATGACAATGCTACAGCAAAAACCTGAAGATTTAAGCAAAATGCCTCTCTGTGATTATGGGGGTTGAAAAGCATAGCCAGGGAGCAGCCACTGTCATCAGACCAGCTGCTGCCATAAAATGCCTCACAGCCACAACTTCTGGATCTCTGAAGTTAAACCAGACTTTAGCTCTGAAGTCGGGCTAAAGTAAAAGACACTTCCTTAACTTAGAACTGTGAAGAATTTAATAGAGAAACAAGGCTGAACACATCTGAATTTTGAAGAGCTATTTATGACTTCATGTCGTATATGACAAATTTTATTATCGTTCTCTTTAAAATCGAGCAATTGATTCTCATCATCCAAAGGGTGAACCTGTTTTTAATAAATGAATTAACTATGAGACTGCTCATTAAAATGTAATATTGCAACTATCTATGGAAGAATAGATTATACAATTTTCAGCCAGCATAAGAAAAACAAAAAGATTTTATTTGAACTATTAAAAAAAGTAATTTTCCTGTCAACTCTGTACTTTTTTATATACATTTTTATAACTTTGCTTTAAAAATTTCTTGTGAAACGATTTGCAAATTACATATAGTATAATAGTAAAATAAAATACTTTGGCCAAAAAAAGGATATTTACTAATATGCAATGTAGCCACACTTTAGAAGCTTATACAGACTTTATAATTGTCCTTGAAGGCCAGAAGTTTGTTTTGTCAGTCACTCTGCTTCCTTGGGTTCCACTGGCTTGGAGGGGCTCTCACCAGCATCTTCCATTGTCCCTGAAAGGGTTGTAGAGGTGTGCATTAGTTTCCTGGGGCTGTCATAACAAAATACTGTATAGTGAGTGTGGCTTGACCAACAGAAATGTATGGTCTCACAGTTCTGGAAGCAGGAAGTCCAAAATCAAGGTGGTGGCAGGGTTGGTTCTTCTGAGGGCTGTGAGGGAAAGATCTGTTCCTGGCCTCTCTCCTTGGCTTGTAGATGGCTGAGCTATAGTTTTGTTATTTTTTCCCTCCAAATCCCATGTTGAAATGTGATCCCCAATGTTGGAGGTGGGGCCTGGAGGGAGGTGTTTGGGTCATGGGGGCGGATCCCTCATGGAATGGCTTGGTGCCCTCCCTGTGGTGATGAGTGAGTTCTTTCTCTGTGAGTTCATGCAGGAGCTGGTTGTTTAAAGGAGCCTGGTGCCTCCTCCCTCTCTCTCTTACTCTTTCACTCACCATGTGACATGCCTGCTCCCCCTTCACCTTCCACCATGAGTAAAAGCTTCCTGAGGGCTCACCAGAGGCAGATGCCAGCACTATGTTTCTTGTACAGTGTGCAGAACAATGAGCCAAAATAAACCTCTTTTATTTGTAAATTACCTAGTCTCAGGTATTCCTTTATAGCAACACAAAACAGACTAGTACAGCTGCCTTCTCCCTCTGTCTCTTCAGATCATCTTCCCTGTATGTATGTGCATCTCTGTGTCCAAATTTCCCCTTTTTATAAGGACACCAGGTCATATTGGATTAAGGCCCACCCTAATGACCTTATTAATTTCCCTTTTTATAAGGACACCAGTCATTGGGTTAGGGTCCATCCTAATGACCTCACTTGAAATCCTGCCTCCAGATGAGATCATGCTCTGAGGTATTAGGGATTAGGATTTAACATGAAAGTGAGGGGGATGCAATTCAGCCCATCACAGGGTGGATTCCCCTTCTGGGGCTGTGTTACTCAAACCATCCCAGGAAGGGTAACAGGGCCAGAGGAGCTGAAGAATTGTGAGCCCTTGTTTACCAGGCTTGGGGGGTTCTGTCTTGCACTACTACCCTGAAAACCCTACTGGTTGCCAATTGAATTTATCAGGGAACTCCAGTGCCCAGTGACAAAGGCTGGAAATCTTTCTCCTAAAGATCTTTAAGGGTGCACCTGCCCTCACAGTCCCTCTGGCTCTGAGCTTGTGGCTCTATCTGTTCCCTATGCCCACATGAATGAGTTCTGCCTCAATCCCTGCTCCCCACTGTGGGGAACCAAGTACCAACCTCAACTTGCTGGGCAGATGCTACGTGACAGTCTAAGTGCTAAGCTCTTTACAGACATGGTCTCATTTTATCTTCCTCATAAGCCAAAGAGGTAAAGAATGACATTACTGTTTTACAGATGAGAAGGCCACATTGTGAAGAAATTAAGTGATTTGCCCGAGGTTTGTGTTGATCATTTCATTAAATGAAGTATCATATCTATCATACTTTTTCATTTATTAGAAACAAAATACCACTCATGGTAAGAACAAAGATGTGGAGGAGCAGTAGAAGAACAGAGAAGTAGGAGTGGAATTTCATGAGTCCCCAAACCGAAGACCAATACCTATGATTAGAAATACAGGGGACTCCATGTTCATAGTGGCGTTATTCACAATAGCCAAAAAGTGAAGTCACCCAGGTGTCCTTGTGTGGATGAATGGATAAGCAAAATGTGGTCCATGTGTATAATGAAACATTACCCAACCTCGGAAAGGAAGGACATCTTCTATACGCCAGAACATGGATGAACCTCGAGGACATTATGCTGAGTGAAATAAGCCAGGCACAAAAGAACAGACACTGTGTGATTCCACTTACATGAGGTGTCTGGAGTGCTCAGTCTCATGGAGACAGAAAATAGAATGGTGGTTGCCAGGGGATAAGGAGTTGGGGATAGCATGTTTGCATTTAATAGGTACAAAATTTCATTTTAAGAAGATGAAAGTTTTATAGATGGTTGGTGGTGATAGTTGCACAAAAAGGTGAATGCATTTAATGCCACTGGACTATATACTTAGAAATGACTAAGATGATGAGTTTTTATGTGTATTCACAACTTAAAAATAATTTTTAAAAAAGAAAGGAAAGGCACTGACCCCAACCCACACACTCAACAGTTTTTGAATCCAGATTTTCTGGCAATGATATAAAATGTCTTTTGATCCAATCACTCAGGAAGGTCAAGAGAAAACCCTGCATTTTTATTGGGAAGAATAGCCTCGAAGCAGGAGCATGGTTTAGAACCTGTCTGTGTGCATCTTCAGTAAACATTCGAGTAATAAATCACTGTTGCACTTGAAGGAAGGTCTCCAGGTTCTGGTGGTAGGTGTGGGGTTGGCAAGAGTGCAGCTTTAAGGTGTGAGCTCCGGGATTTCTCACTGAGGATAAGTTCATCTTTCTACCAGTTCTGCACAGTTGAGTCTAAGCACAGGTGGTGGTGGGGAGGTAAACATGGAGATGACCAAGGAAACACACTCTGACCCATCCCTGATTGCAAAATGAAAGGGTGTTGGATCCAGAATGTGGTTGGTACTTGATAGGTGCACTGTCCCTGACAAAAACGGGGCAGAGGGGTGACCTACACACTCCTATTTCTCATCTCCAGTTTGTTCCTTATCAACTACCACTTTCTCTTCCTGCCTCTCCTGAGTCTTGAAGTTTGTAAAGTCTGGTCTGGCTTACTCCTCATAGGTATCCAGCATTTAGTTTTGAAACATATCAACACTTGTACAAATGGCAGTTAGGGTGACTGTTATGAAAAGGAAATCTAATACACTATTCCTCCACTTGAAATCCTCCATGTCTCCCCATTCCCTGAGGCACATGATTGAAGCCCGAAGAACGCATGCCCCACCTGCTCCCTGCCCATTGGTCCAGCTGCCACCCAGACAAGGTCTGGCACCAGATCCATAGTCAGCAGTGCTGGCCCTGCAGCCTCTGCTAACGGGGCTCACCAGCCTGCAGCCTCGGCTCCTCCATACTCACCTGCCCACCACTACTAGCTCAGCCTACAACCTTAGCCAACTCCTTAGCCTCCAGGAAGACCTCCAGGTGGTTCCTCAACTTAGGTGTCTCTTCTAGCCTTAATCCTGGAAGTTGACTTGCTGGTTGCATTATGATTCCTAAGCCCCAGCTGTGGAGGGAGAGTCCCTGGAAGATGGGACAATGTCTTTGCCCCTGAACTTCCATCCCTGGCATAGTGCCAGCTTTTTCATGGAGGGTATTCAGTAAGCACTGCATGTGAAATGCATTGTGCCAAGTTATTTTGCCTCGTTTAACTCTTGAAAAGCAGGCTTCTGTGCAGACCAGGCTCAAATCCATGCTTCCAGGTGCCCTGTGCGGTGCCACCACAGTGTAGCACACAGACCTGCACGTGCCTACATGGCATTGATTCCAGGCCTTGGTTTCCTCTTTGGGAAGATAAAGTAACTGTACTAAATGCAGAGAGAAATTAGTTAACTTTATCACTTGCTTTTAGAATGATTCTTGAAATATGAATAAAAAATATAAATTTCTGGCTTATTTTGGCTTTTCTTTTCCTAGAGTAACTGAATTTTTAAAAATCAAGCAATGCAGGAAGGAATAAAAACAAATTCAGGTTTACATATATGAGACTGGCAGCACAATACAACTAACCTCTGCTAGTTGGTGACTAACAGTTGGAAATCCATCCTGGAAGTTCCCAAGCACATCAGTGTTGCAGAGGACCTTGAAAGCACAGCAAATGGGTGAGCACACATTATTAAACTTTTATTAGGTTGTCAGCCTTGTGTATCTCTTTCAAAAACGTGTAGCTCATAAAAACATTCTTCACTTATCTTCAGCTGATTTGATGCAATTTTCTTCAATGGTGCTTAGTTATATTTAATCCCTGTGCCATACTTATGTCCAAAAAATTGGGAAATAATGCAAAGCAGGCCATATTCTAAAATGAAAAGCATTAAATTAAGGTTCTAGGTTCCCTCAAAAAGAGCAAAGCAGAGTGGACCTCACCTTATATAGCATCTATCTCTAAACTTTGCATTTTATTTTGAAACTCTGCAAAGCAATAAAAAACTCATTAACTTTTATAGCCAGTCAGAAAGGTAGTAATAGCATCTGTAGCAATGGAGATGTAATTAGGCTTTTATTTAAATGTGGCAGGGAGTTTGTTCTCATTATACGAAATAAATGAACAACCACAAATCACCAGTGGATTCATGCTCCCTATGGTGCTGGTGCAAGTGGTCCAGGAACTTGCCCAGTGCTGCTTCCTTATGTGGCAACAGAGCCTGTGAGCCCCAGAGCCAGGGCTGGATGGAAACCAGCTTTCTGAAGGTTGAATAGTCACAGCAATTATATTAACGATTATAATCATGACAGAAAAGATTCTCCGTCCACATTGTTGTGTTAAAACAGAAAAAGAAAAAAAAAAGTGTTGCAGATCATCAATGCAATTCTTAACTTGGTCATAGAAAAACACCGAATTTGATCATCCTCTTGTCTCTGCTGTAGCTAAGCTCCTTTCCTGGCCTCCAATTCCTGTTTCCTTCCCAATACAGCAACTTCCTTCTATCTGTATTATCTCCTTGCCCATTTAGATAGCCTCAGAAAAACATGGGGAAGAACCAATTTGAAAGGTCTCAGTGGGTTTCATCAGGTTCCTAACAGATAATAAATGCTGAGCTAAGGACCCTAGGTTCTTCCAAAAAATGATGATATTAAAGCTCTACATCCTCTTTTTGAAAGTATGTAAAACTACTTTAGTGGTTTTGATTCATTTTAATCTTATGTCAGCTACATTATTATGTAAGGGAAATTCAAAGATGAGGATAGAAATTTACTCAGAAAAAGTATAAATTGATTTCTGTTTAAAGATGATTTTCCGGCCGGGCGCGGTGGCTCACGCCTGTAATCCCAGCACTTTGGGAGGCCGAGGCGGGCGGATCACGAGGTCAGGAGATCGAGACCATCCTGGCTAACACGGTGAAACCCCGTCTCTACTAAAAATACAAAAAATTAGCCGGGCGAGGTGGCGGGCGCCTGTAGTCCCAGCTACCTGGGAGGCTGAGGCAGGAGAATGGCGTGAACCCCAGGGGGCGGAGACTGCAGTGAGCCGAGATTGCGCCACTGCACTCCAGCCTGGGCGACAGCGAGACTCTGTCTCAAAAAAAAAAAAAAAAAAAAAGATGATTTTCCTTAATCTCATCTCTCAAAACCCACAAATATATATGTATTACTAGGTATGTGTGTGTATATATATATATATAAAATATATATATATGCACACATGTGCATATATATTTTTTGTTGTTGATTTGTTTGTGTATATGTATATGAATGTATACACATATGTGTATATACACACATATTTATACACTCATGTATATGCACACAAATCAACAATAAAAAATAGAGGGCAAAAAATCCAATTTATATATAACAAGAAAATGGCTACATTCTCAAAACATCTTGACTGGAGCTCGAGAGCCAATAAAAAGTTGATCTCTGCCACCTGAGACCTTGGGCCAGGATACACGTGCTCTTAAAAGGGCAGGTTCCGTGTTCACTTGTATGTTCCGGCCCCAGCTGCTTTCCCTGATGGAAGAGGGCCAGAGGCACACAGCGGGAAAGTGGAGAAGCTGGAAGGGCTTAAGAGTCTAAGTCTGGGGAAGGTGAAGGAGTGTCCCCAGGGCGAAGAAAGAGCAGGTTTGTTGGAGGGCACTCAAGAACACACCCACGTGAAAGCCGTAGATAGGCTTTCCCTATCCCGCATCCCGCCACACTCCCATCCCACCCCTCGGCAGTACTAGCTCAGCCAATGGGGCTACTGACTGTCCCTTCTCCAAGATGAGTCATATTGAGAAGAACGGCCTGGGCCCATGGAGAACAACTGCCATCAAACAATCAATTGGCAGCATCCATCAAATACCTGATGGAGGGAAAAAAGGAAAGACAGAGGCACATCGGGGCAGATATCACGAAAGACAGTTTTCAAGGACACAGAGAGGGATTCTCACCAACAGTGCTTCATTCTGCACAAAGATTCTATGCAGCAGGCAGCATTTTCTGCACCTGAAACGAGAACTGTCACGGAAGAGTCAGGATATTCAAGTAAGAGGCCGTGTGACAGTGGGAGAGGATGTGAACAGAGCTGTCAGAGTCCATTAGGACATGGAAAGGAGGAAGAACACTGCAGAAATAAAAAATCCATATGAAGCGACAACAAAGGAAAAACAAGACAGATGATATCATGAGGTCTTGACAAATAGACCTGGGAAAATCTCATAAACTACGTATTAAAGAGAACCAGGGAACTTAAAAATGCTTTTAGCAAAACAATGGCCAGGAGAGGGCAAGATAGACAAGGACAGCTCGGCTCTCAGCAGGCGCTTCTAACCCTCTCACTGTCCCCGCCGCCAGCCCTGGGGGAAGAACACTGTGTTTTTGTTTTTGTTTTTACTACAGATTCTTAAATATTTTAAATTTTGAACCATAGATATATGTTTCCATTTTAGCATTAATCAATAAAATGGCTGTTGGAAACTCAGTGAAGAACAATACAAGAAATGTGATAAACCCCACAATGGGTATACGACCATCTTTGATCAATTTTACAACTGCTACTGCTCACCCCTCAATGCCCATCAGTCTCTCACAGGAATGCACCAAGAGAAGAGAATCTCCAGCAGGAGGCCCAGAGGTGGAAGAGGCAGGGATGCGAAGAAGCAGAGGAGGCTGGAAGGAACCGGCGAGAAGTGGGGACAGCGGGAGTGTAAGTGAGAGCCAGTGAGGCCGCTCACGCAGGGCACCCGGCCAGGTGAAAACTTTTAGAATTTGCTTCAAAAGTCAGTGAAGTGCTCTAAGCAGCACAGTGTCAAAATCAGATTTAAAGTTGTCAAAGGGCATTTTTAATGCAAAAAGCAACAGACTGGGCAAAAGTGTTTTTAATATGTGTAACCAAAAAAAGAGAGTTAAAAACTAGTATTTTTTTTCAAAATGTTCCCAGAAATAACATAAATAAAATTAGTTAGAAAACAAAGCAGACAATTAAAAGAAAAAGAGATACAATTAGTCGATAAATCTATGAAAAAATGGTCACTGTATCGTAAGGCCTGAAATTTCATTTCCCACCTTAACGCCTTCGACCCTCACAAGGCCCCAAGGGTCTAATCCTAAGTCCTTATGCTCACACCAGACGTGTACCCCCGCCAGTGGGAAAGGCTCCTTGCCTGGCCAGTTCCCCATTAGCTGGACTAGCTTCACTTAACCTGATCCTCACTCTAATGGGCTTCGCTTCCCTGCCAGCTCATGAAATTATTCAAAAAAGCTAGTCATATCCTCACATGGGGCCTGGAGGCACCTCAGCATCTTGTTAGTTCAAAGCCTGCCTCCTTTTCACTAGAGTCCCTGCAGGCTCTCTGTGTTCCCATGTGCAAGTCCCTTATGGCCCTGTGTAAAATGCAATGTCCTCCTCCCCGAGGCCTTGAGCATATGTAAGCAACAAACCGCTATGAGCTTATCTGTCCAGTCCCGCAGGGTGGATGCAAGTGGTCAGAACAGTCACCTCATTTGTAATCAGAGAAACATTAACTGAAGCAGCAATGATACGGAATATTTTTACCCAATGGATTCATAAAATTATGAACCAGTATTAACTACCTGTGTTGGCAGTGGTTTGCATGGGAATATATATTGGTGGTTTTTCAGGGGATATCTATTAAAATATACAAATCCTGTGACCTCTGATTTACCTTCTAGAAACATTTACTTAGATGCACTGTTGGTAACAGAGAAAAAATTGGATAGAGCTTAAATAGCTACTAAAAGACAATGGTTAAATGAGTTTTGATATGACAACTGATAGGCAATTTTGTGGACTGGCTCATTTCCAATCTTCTTCCCTTGTGTCTCCCTGGACTGCAGAGACCAGAAAGCCAGAAACTACATTTGCTAAGCTCCCTGGATTACAGGCATGACTTAGCTCTGCCAATGAGATGTACTTATGTGTGATTTGACTTTGGATCTGTTTTAGGTGAGATAGAAATAGCATAAAGCAGTGTTTTAAAAAATACTTTATTGTTTAGAATGGTGTTAAATTTACAGAAAAATTGCGAAGCTACAGAGATCTTGCATATGCCAGCATAACCTTTTCCCCCTATTATTAACATCTTACATTCTTAAAGTTAATGGATCAATAGTGATATATGATTGTTATTAAGTAAATACCACAGTTTATTCAGATTTCCATTTATTTATTTAGAGACAAAGTTTCGCTCTTGTTGCCCAGGCTGGAGTGCAATGGCACGATCTTGGCTCACTGCAACCTCTGCCTCCCGGGTTCAAGCGATTCTCCTGCCTCAGCCTTCTGAGTAGCTGGGATTACAGGCATGCGCCACCACGCCCGGCTAATTTTGTATTTTTAGTAGAGACGGAGTTTCTCCAGGTTGGTCAGGCTGGTCTCGAACTCCCAACCTCAGATGATCTGCCCGCCTCGACCTCCCAAAGTGCTGGGATTACAGGCGTGAGCCACAGCCCCTGGCCCAGATTTCCTTATTTTTTGTAGAACTTCTTTTTCTGTTCCAGGTGTCTGTTCATAACTCCACACTGCACTTACCTCTCACGGCTCCTTAGGCTCTCTTGGTGGTGACAGATTCTCTGAGTTTTCTTGTTTTTGATGACACTGATAAATTTGAGGAGTAATGGTCATACTTGGTAAGATGTCCCTCGAATGGAATTGATGTGAATTCTTTCTCTGATTAGGCAGGTGCCAGCATGGCCCACCACTGCTGATGTGGACCTTGGTCACCTGGCTCAGGGAGTCTTTGTCAGGCTTCTTCACGTAAAGTTGCTCTTTTTTTCCCACTTTCCACACCGTACTCTTTGGAACGAAGCACCTCGTGCTTAAGGAGTGGGGATTTAAGCCCACTAGGATAGTTTCAGCACTCAAAAAACGTATGCTTTCAGAAAGACAAGCATCACATGTTTTCACTTATTTGTGGGATCTAAAAATCAAAACACATGGAGATAGAGAGTAGAAGGATGGTTACCAGAGGCTGGGAAGGGGAGTGGGGTGGGGGGTGGAGGGGATGTGGTGAAAGTTAATGGGTACAAAAAATAGAATAAATGAATAAAGCCTAGCATCCGATGGCACAACAGGGTGACTATAATCAATAATTCAATTGTATATTTTAAAATAACTAAAATAGTATAATTGGATTGTGTGTAACACAAAGGATAAATGCTTGAGGGGATGGATACCCCATTCCCCATGATGCAATTGTTATTTATTGCATGCCTGTATCAAAACATCTCATACGCCTCATAAATATATATACCTACTATGTACCAACAAAAATAAAAAATAGAAATCCTGCGCTTTACCTATTTACCCCTCCCATCCCCTCTGGCAACAACTATTTTTACTGACTCCATAGTTTTGCATTTCTTTGAACCTCATATAGCTGGAATCATATGCTATGTAGCCTTTTCAAATTGGCTTCTTTCACTTAGTAATATGCATTTAAAATTTAACCATGTCTTTTCATGGCTTGATAGCTCATTTCTTTTTATGGCTGAGTAACAGTCACTTGTGTGGATGCTCTCTACTTTGTTTACCTCGGTTGCTTTCAGTTTTGGAGTTTATGAATGAAGCTGCTAAAACACACTTTCATGCAGCTTTTGGTGTGAATATAAGTTTTCAAATCAATTCTTACTAGGAACTTGATTGCTAAATCACATAGTAAGACTATGTTTAGCTTTGCAAGAAACTGCCTAACTATCTTCCAATGACTGCACCATTTTTCATTCACACCAGCAGCAAAAGAGAGTTCCTCCATACTGAATCCTCTCCAGCATGCGGTGGTGCAATTTTTGCAGATTTTATCTACTCTAATGCATGTCTACCTGTATGTGGTTTCAATTTGCAATTCCCAATTGGGAAATGATTTCAAAAATTATTTTAGGTTGCCATTTGTATATTTTCTTTGCTGAGTTTTCTGTTCAGATCTTTTAACTTCATTTTAATTGAGTTGTTTGCTTTCTTATTGTTTAACTGTAAAAGTTCTTTGTAAGCTTCAGATATAAGTTCTTTATCAGACATATGTTTTGCAAATATTTTCTCCAAGTCTGAGGCTTATTTTTTTATTATCTTGCAATGTCTTTGGCAGAGCATAAGCTTTTAATTTTAATACAGTTTAACTTACCTATTTTTCTTTCATCCACCATGTTTTTGATGTTGTGTTGAAAAACTCATTGCCAAACCCAAGGTTACCTACATTTTCTCTATTTTCCTCTAAAAGTTTCAAAGTGTTGCTATTTACATTTAGGTTTATGATTCATTTTGAGTTACTTTTTTTCTTTCTTTCAGCTATATTGAACTATAACTGACAAATAAAAATAATATACATTCAAGATGTACAATGTGATGTGCATATACTATACACGTTCATTGTGTAATGGTTACCACCATCAAATTAATCAACCTATCCATCACCACAGAGTTACCCTTTGTGTGTGTGTGTGTTGTGATAACACTTAAGATACTTTTTCTTAGCAAATTTCTAGTAAATAATATTATTAACTATAATTATCATGTGGTACATTAGATACTCAGCAATTATTTATCTTATAACTGAAAGTGTGTACCCTTAAATCAACATCTCCCCATTTTTCCCACCCCTCAGACACTGGCATGCACTGTTCCACTCCTTGCTTCTATGAGTTGCACTTTTTAGATTCATATATGTCAGATCATACAGTATTTGCCTTTCTGTATCTGGCTTATTCCACATAGCATAATGTCTTCCAGATTCACTTATGTTGTCACAAATGGCAGGATTTTCTTCTTTTATTATGGCTGGATAATATTTCATTGTATATATGTGTGTATATATGCATCATATATATGTATATACATGCATCATATATATGTATATACATACATCATATATATGTGTATATATACATCATATATATGTATATATACACATTGTATATATGTGTGTATATATACATCATATATATATGTATATATACACATCATATATATGTGTATATAGACAATAGTTTCTTGATCCACTCATCTGTCAATGGACACAGGTTATTCCATGTCTTCCCTATTGTAAATAATGCTGCAATAAACATGAGGGTGTAGATAGCACTTCAAGATATTTTATTTCCTTTCACTATCCTTTTCCTTTTCTTTGGATATGTACCTAGGTATAGGATTGTTGGATTATATAGTAGTTCTATTTTTAATAGTTTGCAGAACTAACAATGTTTTCTATATAAATTGACTATATCAATTTATATACCCACTGACAGTGTACAAGGATTCTCTTTTCTCCACATCCGCACCAACACCTGTTAGTTCTTGTCGTTTGGATAATAGCCATCCTTACAGGTGTGAGGTGATGTCTCAGTCTCACTGTGGTTCTGATTTGCATTTCCCTGATGATTCATGATGTTGAGCAGCTTTTCATACACCCGTTGGACAGTTGTATGTCTTCTTTGAAAAAATGTCTGTTCAGGGCATTTGCCCATTTTTCAATACGTTACTATCATCATCATCATCATTATTATTAATTTGCTATTGAGTTGTATGTGTATTCAGTATTTTGAATATTAACCCATTATCAGATATATAGTTTTTAAATATGTGCTCCCATTCTGTAGCTTGGCTTTTTGTTTTGTTGATTGTTTTCTTTGCTGTGCACAAGATTTTTAGTGTGATGTATTCCCATTTATTTATTTTTGCTTTCATGCTATGTGCTTTTGGTGTTATATCCAAAAAATATTGCCAAGGCCAATGTACAGAAACTTTTTCTCTCTTTTTTCTTCTAGGAATTTCACGGTTTCAAGTCTTACATGTAAGTTTTCTTTTTTTTTTTTTGAGATGAAGTTTCCCTCTTGTTGCCCAGGCTGGAGTGCCATGGTGTGATCTCAGCTCACCACAACCTCTGCCTCCTAGGTTCAAGTGATTCTCCTGCCTTAGCCTCCTGAGTAGCTGGGATTACAGGCATTACAGGCATGCACCACCACGCCTGGCTAATTTTTTTTTTTCTTTTAGTAGAGATGGGGTTTCACCATGTTGGTCAGGCTAGTCTCGAACTCCCAACCTCAGGTTATCCACCTGCCTCGGCCTCCCAAGATGCTGGGATTACAGGCATGAGCCACTGCGCCTGGCCCATATAAGTTGTTAATCCTATTTCAAGTTAACTTTTGCATTTGGTATAAAATAATGGTTCAATTTTATTCTTTTGCATGTGGTTATGGAGTTTTCCCATCATTTATTAAAGAGAGTATCCTTTACCCATCGTGTATTCTTAGGACTCTTCTCAAAGGCATTTAATTTGGGGCTCTCTATTCTGTTCTAAGAGCCTGTTTTTATGCTAGTATCATACTGTTTTTATTTACTGTACCTTGGCAATATAGTTTGAAATCAGGAAGTATAATTCTTAACAGCTTTGTTGCTCTTTCTCAAAATTGCTTTGCCTATTCAGAGTCTTTTGTGATTCTGTACAAATTTTAAGATTGTTTCTTCTATTTCTGTGAAAAATGTCATTGGATTTTTGATAGGGATTACATCAAATCTGTATATCACTTTGGGTAGTATGGATCTATTTGCGATGTTAATTCTTTCAATTAGTGAACATGAGCTATCTTTCCAGTTATGTGTGTCTCCTTTAATTTCTTTCATCAGTGTTTTATACATTTCAGCATACATATCTAGATATTTCACATGCATGATTAAATGCATTTCTAACTATTTTATCGTTTTTGATGCTATTGTAAATGGGACTGTTTTCTTAATTTTTTGGATAGTTGGTTGTTGATGTATAGAAAACCCACTGACTTTTGTATGTTGATTTTGTATCCTGAAACTTTACTGAATTTAGTTATTAGTTCTAACAGTTTTTTCATGGAGTCTTTAGAGTTTTCAATATTTAAGATCATGTCATCTTCAAACCGAGATAATTTAATGTCTTTCTTTCCAATTTGGGTTCCTTTTACTTACTTTTCTCTCTTAATTGCTGTGGCTAAGACTTCCAGTACTATGTTGAACAGAAGTGGCAAGAGTGGGCATCTTTTTCTTGTACCTGAGTTTAAAAGAAAAGCTTTCAGCTATCATCACTGAGTATGATGTTAGCTGTGGGATGGTCATATACGGCCTTTCTTGTATTGAGGCACAGTTCTTCCATATGTAATTTGTGAAGTTTGTATCATGAATTTATGTTGAATTTTGTAAAATGCTTTTATTGAATCTATGGAGGTGATCATATGATTGTTATCCTTTATTCTGTTAATGTGGTATATCGCAATTATTGTTTTGCACATTATGAAACATCCTTGCATCCCAGGATAAATCCTACTTGATTATAGTGTATGATCCTTTAAATGTGTTGTTGAATTTGGTTTGCTAACATTTTGTTGAGGAGTTTTGCATCTATGTTCATCAGTGATTTTGTCCTGTAATGTTCTTTTCTTGTAGTGTTCTTAGTTAGCTTTGGTATAAAGATAATGCTGGCCTGATAAAATTAGTTTGGAAGTCCTTCCCACTCTTCAACTTTTTGGAAGATTTTGAGGAGAATTGCCATGAATTCTTCTTCAAATATTTGATAGAATTCACCTTGAAGCCATCTAGTCCTGAGATTTTCTTTTCTTTGAGGTTTTAGATTACAGGTTTAATCTCCTTTCTCATTATTGTTCTGTTCATATTTTCTCTTTCTTCATGATTAACTTTTTGCAGGTTGTACATTTCTAGGAATTTATTCATTTCTTCTAGGTTATTCAATTTGTTGGTGTATAGTTGTTCATAGTGGTCTCTTATGATCCTTTGTATTTCTGTGGTATCAGTGGTAATGCCTCCTCTTTCGTTACGTTTTCTTTATTGTGAGCCATCTTTTTTGTTCTTGGTTACTCTAACTACAGTTTTCTCAACTTTGCTTATCTTTTCAAAAACGCGACTTTAGTTTTGTTGATATTTCCTATTGTGTTTCTAGTCTCTATTTTATTTCTTTTTATTCTAATATATATTTTTTAATTTTCTGACTTTGGACTGAGTTTGTGCTGCTTTTCTGGTTTTTTTTGGGCTAAGTAGCTTGTATATTTGAGATTATTCTTATTTCTTAATATAGGCATTTATTGCTATAACGTTTGTTCTTAAAACTGTGTTTCCTGCATCCCATACGTTTTGGTATGTTGTGTTTCTATTTTTACTTGTCTCAAGATACTTTAAAATTTCTCTTTTGATTTCTTATTTGAGCCATTGATTTCAGGAGTATGCTGTTTAATTTGTACATATTTGTGAATTTCCCAAAATCTCTTGTGTTATTGATTCTAATTTCATACAACTGTGGTCAGAAAAGATACTTGATATGATTTCAACACTCTTAAATTTGCTAAGAATTGTCTTATATCCCAGCATATGATCTATCTTAAAGAATGTTCCATGTGCTCTGGAGAAGAGTAAGTATGCTACTGCTGTTAGACAGAAGGTCAAGACCTTCTGTTGGGTCCCTAGGCTAATGGGATTACTTCTGAGATTGCAGTCAAGTGGAGTCAGAGCTGAGTTACAACTGCTGCTGGGCCCACAGTGGGGACCATGTTTAGTGGGCCTCTTCCCAGGTGCTCAAGCTGGCATGGATTATACCTCCATGACTTTGGTCAGTAGGGCTGGTGATGGGACAAGTGTCTGTCTACTCAGGGTCCATAGTTGGTTGTTACCAGGTGTGTATACCGGTGCGGATCCTTCTAGGTCCTTGGGATAGCTCCTCCTGGGTCACTGGGTAAGTCCCTGGGCAGGCATGACTGCACAGGTAAGAGTGACTGGAGAAGAGTTACAGGGCCATTTTGGAGTCTACTGTGGTATCAAGGTAAACAAGCCTGCCTCCCTGGGTGTGAAAGATTGAGCATGCCTCCTGGGGGGTCTTTGAGTGGGAAAAACTGCTCTCAGCTCACAGATGAGAAGGCCTAGAGCCAAGTTACAAAACTATTACAGGACCTTCTGTGGGTCTGAGATTGGTAGACCTTCTCTGAATGCACAGATAGCTGTATCTCCTGGCAAGACTGTGCTTGGGCAAGAATGCTCTCAAAACACAATTGAGAGGGTCTATGGCTGAGTTACAGGACTGCTTCAGAGTTCACTGCCCAGGCTGAGGTCAGCGAGCCCATCACCAGAGGGAGCAGTGCCCGTGACTCCACCCCAGTCCTTTGGCAGATGACTGTGGTAGCAGGATCAAGGCCAAACAGGCTTATAGCCGAGCCCACAAGGAGATGAGGCTGATTCCAGACCTATTGCCTGCACCAACAGTCAGCAAGCCTGCCACCTAGATGCAGGCCTCCCCTTTCCTCAACCTCCTAGGTTTTAAGCCAGACCAGGGTTTCACAACCTCCCACCTGGATCCCAAAGGCTCTTTTGTCTAAATAAATCTCTCAATGTATTTAAATATTCTTTGATTCCTGTCATCAGAGTTTAGTAGTTTCCTGCATATAGATTTTGTACATATTATGTTAGCTGTTTACCTAAGAATGTCATTTTTGGTGCCATTGTAAATGTTTTTGTGAGTATAATTTTGAATTTCAAATGTCCATAGTTGGTGTATGGAAAACAAATGACTGTTGAATATTGGCCTTTTATCCTGTGATCTTGCTGTAATCACATCAATACCAGGACTTTGTTTTGACCATTTCTTAGGATTTTATACATAAATAATCATGTCATCTGTGTATGCAATAGACTGAATAATAATTACCAAAGCTAACCAAGTCCTAATATTTGGAACCAGTGAATATTATGTTACGTGGCAAAAGGGATATTGCACATGTGGTTAAAAGATGGGGAGATTGTCTGAGATTGTCCAGAGTGCCTGAAATATAATTGCAAGTGTCCTTATAAAAGGGATGCAGAAGTAGCTTTGATTATGGGTAGGAGAAGGCAATGTGATGAGAGAAATGGTGATTGGAGTGATGCGGCCACACTTCAGGGGATGCAAGCAGCCACCAGAAGCAGAAAGAAGCAAGGAACAGACTCCACTCTGCAAGTGACCAACCCCAATAACACCTTGATTTTAGTCCTATGTCTTAGTCTGTTTTGGGTTGCTATAACAAAATACCACAAACTGAGTAATTTATAAAGAAAAGAAATTATATTTCTCACAGTTCTGGAGACTTGGAAGTACAATATCAAGGTGACAGTATCTGGTAAGGGCCTTCTGGCTATGTCACCCATGGCAGAAGGCAAAAGGTGAGAGATGGTGAGAGAGCTAAGAGGGAAGCCAAACTCATCATTTCATCAGGAACCCACTCCCACAATAACTAACCCACTGCCACAATAATGGCACTAATTCATTCATAAGGGAAGAACCCTCATGACCTAATCACCTCCTAAAGTTCCCACCTCAGCATTGTTGCATTGGGGAATAAGTTTCCAACACATGAACTTTGGGGTACACATTCAAGTCATGACACCCTATATGACTAATTTTGGACTTTTAGCCTCCAGAAATGTAATAGAATAAGGATGTATCATTTTAAACCATGGACTTTGTCATAATTTGCTACATCAGCAATAAGAAACTAACACAATCAATAAAGACAGATTTATTTCTTCCCTCTGTACCTACACAATTTTTACTTCCTTTCTTGTCTTATTGTATTAGCTATGACTTATAGTATAATGTTAAATGGGAGTGGAGGGAAAAGATCTCCCTGCCTTGTCCCTGAACTTAGGGGGAAAGCTTCCAGTTTCTTACCACGAAGTAGTATGCTGTTAGCTGTAGGTTTTTTGCAGATGTTCCTTGTCAAGTTGAAGCTGTTATCCTCTATTCCTATTTGCTGAAAGTTTATATCAAGGATGGGTACTGGACTTTGTCTAGTGCTTTTTCTGCATCAATAGATATTGTATTAGTTCATTCACACACTGCTATAAAGAACTACCTTAGACTGGGTAATTTATGAAGAAAAGAGATTTCGTTGACTCACAGTTCTGCAGACCTAACAGAAAGCATGGCTGGGAGGCCTCAGGAAACTTAAAAACATGGCAGAAGGAGAAGGGGAAGCAGGCACGTCTTACCAGGGCGACCCCATGATCCCATCACCATCAGGCCCCTCCTCCAATTCGACATGAGATTTGGGCAGGGACACAAATCCAAACCCTATTATTCTGCCCCTGGCCCCTCCCAAATCTCATGTCCTTTTCACATTTCAAAATACAATTATCCCTTCTCAACAGTCCCCCAGTATTAACTCATTTCAACATTAACTCAAAAGTCCGAAGTCCAAAGTCTCATCTGAGACAAGGTAAGTCCTTTCCACCTATGAGCCTGTAAAAATAAAATAAAATAATTAGTTACTTCCAAGATACAATGAGGGTACAGGCATTGGGTAAATGCTCCCATTCCAAATGGGAGATATTAGCCAAAACAAAGGGGCTACAGGCCTTATGCAAGTCCAAAACCCAGCAGGGCAGTCATTAAATCTTGAAACTCCAAAATAATCTCCTTGGACTCCATGTCTCACATCCAGGGTACACTGACGTAAGGGGTGGGTTCTCCAAGCCTTGGGCAGTTCCACCCCTGGGGAGGAGCTGTGCAGGGTACAGCCTCTGTGGCTGCTTTCATGGGCTGGTGTTGAGGGCCTTTGGTTTTTATAGGTGCACAGTGCAAGCTGTTGGTAGAGCTATCATTCTTGGATCTGGAGGATGGTGGCCCTATTCTCACAACTCCACTAGGCAGTGCCTCAGTGGGGACTTTGTGTAAGGGCTCCAACCCCACATTTCCCCTCTGCACTGCCCCAGTGGAGATTCTCCATGAGGGCTCCACCCCTGCAGCAGAATTCTGCCTGCACACCAGGTGTTTCCATACGTCCTCTGAAATCGAGGCAGATGTTCTCAGACCTCAATTCTTGTCTTTGGCACACATGCAGGCTCAACACCATATGGAAGCTGCCAAGGCTTGGGGTTTGCACCTTCTGAAGCCACTGCCTGAGTTGCGCCTTGGCCCCTTTTAGGCATGGCTGGTGCTGGAGTGGCTGGGATGCAGGGTTCCATGTCCCAAGGCTGCACAGAGAAGCTAGGCCCTGGGCCTGGCCCACTAAATCATTTTTCCCTTCTAGGCCTCCAGGCCTGTGATGGGAGGGGGTGCTGTAAAGGTCTCTGAAATGCCTTGGAGACTCCATTCTTGGCTATTAACATTTGGCTCCTCTTTACATATGCAAATTTCTGCAGCAGGCTTGAATTTCTCCCCAGAAAATGGGTTTTTCTTTTCTATCACATGGTCAGTCTGCAAATTTTACAAACTTTTGTGCTGTTTCCCTTTTAAATGTAAGTTCCAGTTTCAAATAATCTCTTTGTTCATGCATATGACTGTACATGTTTAGAAACAGCCAGGTCACCTCTTGAATGCTTTGCTGCTTAGAAATTTCTTCCACCAGATACCCTAAATCATCTCTCTCAAGTTCAAAGTTCCACAGGTCTCTAGGGAAGGGGCAAAATACCACCAGTCTCTTTGCTAAAGCATAGCAACAGTGACCTTTACTCCAATTCCCAACAAGTTCTTCATCTCCATGTGAGACCACCTCCACCTGGACTTCGTTGTTCATATCATTATCAGCATTTTGGTCAAAACCATTCAACAAGTCTCTAGGAAGTTCCAAACCTTCCCACGTCTTCCTTTCTTCTTCTGAGCCCTTCAAACTGTTCCAACCTCTGCTCTTTACCCAGTTCCAAAGCCGCTTCCACATTTTCAGGTATCTTTATAACAATGCCCCACTCCCGTACCAATTTTCTGTATTAGTCTGTTCTCACACTGCTATAAAGAACTACCTGAGACTGGGTAATTTATGAAGAAAAGAAGTTTAATTGACTCACAGTTCTGCAGGCTTAACAGGAAGCATGGTAGGGAGGCCTCAGGAAACTTATAATCATAGCAGAAGGCAAAGGGGAAGAAAGCACATCTTACTGTGGTGACGGGAGAGAGAGAGCAAAGGGGAAAGTGCCACATACCCGTAGACCATCAGATCTCATGAGAACTCACTCTGACAACAAAAAAAGCATGGGGGAAATCTTCCCCCATGATCCAATCACCTCCCACCAGGCCCCTCCTCAAATTTGACATGTGATTTGAGTAGGGACACAAATCCAAACCATATCAGATATGGTCATATAAATTTTATTTTTTTACCTGTTGATGTGGTAGATAGCATTGTTTTCCAGTGTTGAACCAGCTTTGCATATCTGAAATAAATTGGTTGTGGAATACAATTCTTTTATACCTTGTTGGATTCAAGTTACAAATATTTTTTGAGGATTTGTGTATTTGTTCCTGAGAGATATTAGTCTATAGTTTTTCTTACTCTTACTAATAATGATTTATCTGATTTTAGTATCAGAGAAGTGCTGGCCTCATAGAATGCATTAGAAAGTGTTCCCTCTGCTTCTATTTTCCAGAAGAGATTGTAGAGAATTATTGTATTTTCTGTCTTAAATGTGTGATACAATGCACCAGTGAAACTATCTGATCCTTCTGCTGACATTCTTGGAAGGTTATTAACTCCTGATTTATTTTTTATACATATTGACCTGTAATGATTATCTATTTCGTCTTTGATGAGTTTGGTAGTTTGCATTTTGCAAGTAATTGGCCCATTTCATATAAGTTATCAAATTCGGGGTCACGGAGTTATTCATCATATTATTTTACTATCTTTTCACATTGAAGGGATTCCTGCTGATGACATATCTTAAATTTCTGATATTAATAATTTTGGTCTTCTCTGTATTTTTCTCAGTCTGACTAGAAGTTTATCAATTATATTGATCTCTTTAAAGAACTAGCTTCTGATTTTATTTTCTCTTATTTTCCATTTTTTATGTTCATCGACTTCTGCTCTAATTTTGCTTATTTGTTTGCTTTAGGCTTAAATTTTTTTTTCTATTCATAATTCCCAAATGTGGAAGCTTAGATTATTGATTTTAAATCTTCTTCCTTTGTAATATATGCATTTAATGCTATAAATTTTTCTCTAAGTATTATTTTCATTGCATTCTACATATTTTGATAATTTGAATTCTCATTTTCAGTTAGGTCAAAATATTTTGTAAAAATTTTTCTTGAGGCTCCTTCTTCACCCATGTGTTATTTGAGGTTAATTTATAAGCATTTTAGGATTTTTGTGGTATATTTCTGTTGTTAATTTCTATTTTAATTCTATTGTCATCTGAGTTTATATTTTATATTTAATTTTTATTTAAACAAATACGTTAAATATGTTAAGGTGTGTTTTATGGCCAAACATGTGGCCTTTGTGAGTGTTTCAATGTGAGCTTGAGAAGAATGTATATTCTGCTGTCGTTCAATGAATTATTCTATAAAAGTTAATTAGATTCAGTTGATTGATGTTTCAGTTCAGTTCAACTTACATCTTGTTGGAGAATTAGCCTCATCAATCTTTGTGTAAGTCTCTGCTTTATCCCTGCTATTTTTTTTTCTTTGGAAGCCTGCTTTGTCTTAAGTTAATAGCTGCCCTGAGAGCATCCTGAAAGTTGGAATGGGTATGTGGGGCAAGACTCTGATGAAGCTGGGATCGTTAAGCCCCTACATTCTGATGAATCTTCTTTGCCAGTAGAAACAACTCTCCAGCCCAGTAGGAATGGCTGCTCTGAACCTATTTGGGGCAATTAACACTGTATAGCCTGAGGTGACTGCAATGGGCCCCCTGAGGTAGTTGCCATGCAAAACACAGCTGATTTTTTTCAGGACCCACCCCATAACTACACTCACATCACAACAGGACTCTAAAGGCGAGGTAGAAAGTGTGACCCATGAAGAGGCGTGACACACTCCAAGGGAATTAGTTGTGTTTTCTTATTTATACAGACAAAAATCCAGGCTATATGTGCAGAAATGAATAGTAAGTGTGTGGGCTAATGAGAGAAAGTTAGATCAGGGTAAGTTTATTGATATGGGCCCACTAAGCAGAGACTCTGCATTTAATATTGTAGCTTGGGGAGTCAGAAAGGACTCTAACAGTTTGGTTGGTGGACCCAAAAAGGGATCAAAAGGTGGCCCACAGCAAGGGAGTTCAAATATAAATGCCAGGTGTGCCTTGGTTTAATGCCGAAGAAGGGATTAAAGGCTTAAAGACATTGGGATGTTAGAGTGGATTTTCCATTTAAGACCTACTTATATGCCCTGGGAGGCTTCAAAAGACATACCTTTCACCAAAATGGTGAGAAATAAATTTTTGAGGAGAGCCTCAGCATCCTTGATGTGTTTGTTCTCTATAGGCAAGATTTTTAGTGGAAACTAGAGTCACTGAATTGGGAAAACTAAATGTAATGGGAGTAACTGGATCCCAGGTTGGCAGGAGCCAAGTACCAGCATTCAGCCACCAAAATCCAGGTGGGCCTAGCTGACACAGTGGACAGCAATGTCACAGCAGCCACTAGAATAGTCTCACTCGTGGAGACCTATGGCATTGGCTAGTTGATCGTGGTGCTCCTAGAAGTGAAATAGATAGGAAGCCAACTAAATTCTTACTTGATCTGTATAAGCAGAAAAAGTTGTAGGTCAAGTGAATAAAAGTCTAACTCTAATACTGAAAAACAGAGAATCATGATCCCTCAATCAATTATCAGAGGCAAAGTAAGGCCTTTATTCTTCCTGTAAGGGATAAAAGCCAAGTCCCCTTGAGGAAGAAACCCATGACACTGCCAAAAATTTATAATGTTAATCTCTTTCTCAGCCTTCCCCAGAGGAGCTTATGGCCTTTTAACAAGATGACTAAGCATTAGGGAAAAGTAAATAATCAGACATTTTGGTGACTGCTGGACACTGGCTCTGAATTGACACTAATTCCTGGTGGCACTGAACACCACTGTGACTCAACAGTCAGAGTAGGGGTTATGCAGATCAGGTGATCAGTGGAGTTTTAGCTCATCTTATAGTAGATTCAGGTAATCTCTGAACCCATCCTGTGGTTATTTCCCAGTTCCAGAGTGCATAATTGGAATGGACATATTCAGCAACTATCAGAATCCCCACATTGGTTCTCTGACCTGTGGAGTGAGGGCCATTATCATAGGAACTGCCTGTACCTAAACAATGTAAACCAAAAGCCATACTGCATTCTTGGAGAGATTACAGAGGTTAGTGCTACTCTCAAGGACTTTGAAAGATGCAGGCGTGGCAGTTGCTACCATATCCACATTCAATTGTGCTATTTGGACTGTGCAGAAGACAGATGGACCTTAGAGAATGACAGTGGATTCATGAGCTTAATCAAGTATTAACTTTAATTGTAGCTGCTTTAGCAGATGTGGTTTCATTACTTAAGCAAATTAACACATCCCCTGGTACCTGGTATCTGAGATCTGGCAAATGCCTTTTTTTTTCTGTATCTGTTTCGAAAGGCCATTAGAAGCAGTTTGCTTTCAACCTGCAAGGCCAACAATACAAATTGAGTGTCCTATCCCAAGGGTATATCAGCTCTCCAGCCCTGTGTCATAAATTCAGTTCATACAGAACTTGAGGCCTTTTCCTTCCACCAGATACCACGCTGGTCCATTATCTTAATGACATTATACTGATTTAACCTAGTGAGTGTGAAGTAGCAACCACTCTGAACTTATTGGTAAGACATTTGCATGTCAGAGGGTAGGAAATAAATCCAACTAAAATGCAAGGGCATTCTACCTCAGTGAAGTTTCTAGGGGCCTAGTGCTGTGGGGTGTGTCAAAATATCCCTTGTAAGGTGAAAGAGAGTTGCAACATCCCGTCCCTCCTATAACCAAGAAAGAGGCTCAAGGCCTAGAGGCCTCTTAGTATTTTGGAGGCAACGTATTCCTCATTCAGGTCCAACCCATTTACAAAGTGAACTAAAAAGCTGCGAGTTTTGAGTGGAGCCTAGAAAAGAGAAGGTTCTGCAAAAGGCCTACATTACTGTGCAGCTGCTGTGCCCCTTGAGCCACATGAGCCATCAGATCCAATGGTACTTGAAGTGTCAGTGGCAGGGAGAAGTGCTGTGTGGAGCCTTTGGCAGGCCCTTTTAAGTGAATCGCAGTGCAGACATAGGACTCTGGAGAAAGGATCTGCCATCCCCTGTGAATAACTACTGTCTTTCTGAGGAACAGCTTTTGGCCTATTCCTGGGCCCTTTTAGAGCCTGAACACCTAATCCTGGTCCATCAAATTACCATGCAAGCTGAGTTGGCCATTATGAGCTGGGTATTTTCTTACCCACCAACTCAAGAGGTAGATGTGCACAGTAACAATCTATCGTCAAATGGAAGTAGTATATGTAAGATTGAGCTTGAGCAGGCCCTAATGGCACAGTTAAGTTACATGAAGAAATGACACAAATGTCCATGCCTTCCGTAGAAGCCTGAACCTATGGCCTCATGGAGAGTTCCCTATGATCAATTGTAGAGGAAAAGAATCTCAAGCCTGGTTTACAGATAGTTCTGCAGCATATGCAGACACTACCGAAAAGTGGACAGCTGCAGCACTGCGACCCTCTCTGGATCATTCCTGAAGAACACTGATAAAGAAAAAATCCTCTCCATGGGCAAAACTTCAAGCAGCACACCTGGTTGTTCACTTTATTTACAATGAGAAATGGCCAGCAATGAGATTCTATACTGATTTATGAGCTGTGGCAAATGGTTTGGCTTAATGGTCATGTCCTTAGAAGGAACAATATAGGAGTATTGGTGAAAACGAAGTATGGAGAAGAGGTATGAGAGTAGACCTCTTTGAATGAGAGAAAAACATGAAGATATCTGTGTCCCATGTGAATGCTTACCAAGATTTTAGTAATAAAATGGATAGAATGACTCATTCTGTGGATACAGTCAGTTTCTTTCCCCATCCACATTTGTCATAGTCCAATGGGCTCTTTGCCATTGTGGCAAAGATGGGGATTATGCATGGGCTTAGCAACACGGACTTCCACTCACCAAGGTTGACCTGACTATGGCCACTGTTGAATGCTCAATCAGTCAGCAGAAGAAACAGCACTGATTACTTGATACAGGATCATTCTTCGAGATGATCAGTCAGTAACCTGGGGCAGGTTGATTACATTCTATTGCTTCCATTATGGGAAAAGCAGGGTTTTGTTTCTACTAGACAAGGCACTTACCCTGAATATGTATTTTCCTTCCTTGCATGCAATGCTTCTACTAAGACTACAATCTGTGGACTTACAGAATGCATTAGTCACTGTTATGTTATTCCACACAGCATTGTTGCTGATCAAGGAACTCACTTCACAACAAACAAAGTGCAGCAACGGGCTCATGCTCATGGAATTCATTGGCCTTTCTATGTTCCCCACCATGCTACAAAAGCAGGCTTGGTAAGATAGTGGAATGGCTCTTTGAAGACTCAGTCACAGAGTCAGCTAGATGGCAATACCTTGCATGGCTGGGACAAAGTTCTCCAAAAGGCTGAATATGCTTTAAATCAGTGTCTAATATATGGTTCTGTTTCTCCCATGGCCAAATGCATAGGTCCAAGAATCAAGGGGTAGATATGGGAGTGACACAACTCACCATTACCCCTGGTGACCACTAGCGGAATGTTTGCTTCCTGTTCCCATGACTTTATACTCTGCTGGGCTAGGGGTCTTAGTTCCAAAGGGAGGAATACTTCCACCAGGAAACAAAATGATTCCATTGAACCTGAAGGCTGCTGTCACCTTTCTCAGCACACAAATGATGGGGATGTAAGGCTGGTGCTCATGGAATTGCAATTGCCTCTTGTCTTTAAAGGCAGTTAATTTCTACCCAGTTTCTGAGACTGTGGAAGGAAAGCAGACAAGGTCTCTGCTTGACTAGTAGATTTTGCTCTTCCCCACCCTCACCATAAAGTTCAAAGGCACAAACTGAAAAGATTTTGAAAGCTGGCTCAAAGCCTTTTTCTTCTGTTAACAAAAAGTTAGAGTATTTTGCTTGGGAGGATCAGTTTCATAATTGTATCAGTGCTCCTATTCTAGAATTTCTAGAGCCAATTCTTCAGTAATGGGCATCTCAAGCAAGCACATGCAAGTTGTATGTTTATTAACAATTTTTTTTTAAACTGGCAACGCTTCTCATGTTCCCTTACAGAGGGAGGAAGACATATCTGGAGAGACTGTGGAAAGAGCAGAAGAAAACATAAACTGATTACACCCACAGAACAATTGCTGATGGAACATGAAGGATGCTTTAGGGAAAGCACCCTGATGTTTCACATTCAAATTGCCTCATCATGTGTTTTTAAGGTGCTGCCTGTCTCCAGGCACAGAGGTGCCTGGAACTAAAACCTCAGTGTTTGTCCTCTCTGTATTATCCTTGGCTCCAGAGCAAGGAGAGAGTTCCAGGACAGGTGTGTACAGTGTTTGCAGGTGAATCTGCATGTTGGTCTGTGCACTCGTTTCTCCTTTCCACCCCAGCAGTCAGTGGTGATTTATAAGCATCCTTCTGCATGCCCTTGTGATGTGAGGGAAAGAGCAGAAACATTTGGTTTAGAAAATAAATGGAGTCTAAGTAAGACCTTGAGCCTTTAGTGGGTTAGTTGTCAGCTTTTGGACAGATCCCTTTACCTTCTTACCCTTAGCTTTCTCCCCTATGAAACAGGGCCATGATCTTGTAAAAGGATGAAAATGACATGAGTAATTGCAAATAATTATAAACATCAGGGAAAATTCAATCTACATCTACTACGCCTTCCATTCCTTTTCAACTATGTTATACATTTCTTTTAACTTTAGCTATTCATGGTGCAAGGGATCTTCCAGATATCTAGAAAGCTAATTCAAAGACTGACATTAGAAAACTTTACAGAAAAAAAAAGATTAAAGAGTTGCAGGCATGGGTGCAAAGAGCAACATAGCTGCTAAAGGAAGCTTGAAATCTTTGTCTAGTCCTGGGGACCCAGCTGGAGTTGTCAGGAATCAGCAGAGCAGGTGTTCAGCTGAGGTTTGGAAGAATTCTTAGCCCATTGAAATACTTTATGGGCCGGGCATGATGGCTCACACCTGTAATCCCAGCACTTTGGGAGGCCAAGGTGGGTGGATCACGAGGTCAGGATGTTGAGACCATCCTGGCTAACACGATGAAACCCTGTCACTACTAAAAAATACAAAAAAATTAGCTGGGCATGGTGGCAGGCACCTGCAGTCCCAGCTACTTGGAAGGCTGAGGCAGGAGAATGGCGTGAACCTGGGAGGCAGAGCTTGCCATGAGCCGAGATCGTGCCACTGCACTCCAGCCTGGGTGACAGAGCGAGAGTCCGTCTCAAAAAAACAAAACAAAACAATAAAACTTTATAAAGTCCTGATGCGGTGGCTTATGCCTGTAATCCCAGCATTTTGGGAGGCCGAGGTGGGCAGATCACTTGAGGTCAGGAGTTCAAGACCAGCCTGGCCAACATGGCAAGACCCTGTCTCTACTAAAAATACAAAAGTTAGCCGGGCGTGGTGGTGGGCACCTGTAATCCCAGCTACTTGGGAAGCTGAGGCAGGAGAATCGGGTGAGCCTGGGAGGTGAAGGTGGCAGTGAGCTGAGATCACACCACTGCCCTCCAGCCTGAGCAATAAAGTGAAACTCTGTCTCGAAAAAAAAAAAAAAAAAAAAAAAAACTTCATAAAAATGCTAAAATATTTATCCAGAATGCTCATTTATTTCTAGGATGAGGTTTATGCATTTCATCATGCAAAAAGTTCTGTTCAGGTCAGGACTAGAACAAATATTAATATATATTTACAAATGTTTGCAATGTACAAAAGGCTCTGTTAGTGATCTGCTGTAAAGAAAAAGAAAGGCTGCATCAGCCTTTGAAGTTTTGTTTGCCTTTGAAGCTGGAGGAAGTCATATTGCCTGAGTGCTGCTCTTCACATTAAGAAGGTAGGGCCACTTGAGGGACACCATCTGACAGGCTGCAATCTAGGAGAGACCTACAGGGTTCCAAAGGCTCAGTGTGCTAATTTCTGAAACAGGATAGAACCTCCCATCACCTCAGAGCGATGGGACGGCAGGCAGGCCTTGGCGAGCCTCACTTCATCTCCACCCTCTTCATGAAGCCCCTGACTTTTAGTTCTCTGCCTAACAGTCCAGAAGGGACTGGCCATTTCCAGCTAAAGGTCAGGCTGTCTTAGGCATAGTTGAAGTAACAGAATCATCCTTATTGCTGGTTGCTTTTTTCACTTTTATTTCTTTATTTCCTCTTCTCTTGAGGCTTTCAGAGGCACATTTTGGTGAGAGAAAATAAGTCTAAACATTTATGAATTAGAAATATTGGCTTCTGGCATCCTTGTGCCAGTTGTGTGGGAATCTATTTCTTAATAAGATCATAATTAAGAGCACGGTTGCAGATTGTGACTGTGTTTACAGGGGCCACTGAACTTGGCCTGTAAATAACAAACAAAGTCATAAAAACTATCCAGAGAATAAAAGGTGCATCCTACAGTGAAGCCCTAAGAGACAGTAGTCCCCAGGCTGGCTGGAGAGCAGCACAGTAGCCACTCTGCTGCAGCGGGAAGGGATTGAGGAGATGTCACGGAGTCTGAGTGGCAGAGCCAGGGCCAGATCCAGCCCATGAGGTCACAGGCTGAGGAGTTTCTGAGTTTCAGAGCCACAGGCACAGCCCAACCCCAGGACTGAAAGATGCCAGTTACTCATCCAGTCCCCAAGGAGTTCCTGCCGCTGACCTTTGAGAGAGAAGACCCCAGGGAACAAGCCTTTCACCAGAAGGGGGAAACTGGAGCTTGAGTAGCTGACATTAAATACTCATGTTGTCTTTGGTTATAGATTTAATCTCCCTGACTCTGTTTATTTTTCGTTTTTGTCTTTCATCATGAGTATGTGGTCCTAAAGCAGTGAATCTCAAACTATGTTTCTAAAGCATCTGAACCTGCTGGGAAATGAAAAGTTACCCACTATTTAATATAAATATACATGCATATACACATACACATACAAATGCATATACAAATACATATGCAAATACATGCACAAGTGCATATACATGAGCATGTATCCACGCATATCATATACATGTACACATACACATACATACATATACACATATAGACATATGCATATACATAGACAAAAGTATAGCTGTTTTGGCTGAAACTCCGGTCTCACTCACTCAACTCACACTCACCCTCTCCCTCGTCTGGCCTTCATAGTGACACCTAAGCACCCTCACAAAAAGCCTAGGCTCTGCCCAACTCCACTTTAAAACCACTGAGCTTTGATTCAGTCAAAAGCTTGTCCTCACCAACCAGCTTGCCAGTGAATCTGAAAATGTGGACCTTTGCGTGAGTCAGTGCTTTCTGACATCAAAATCTCTTGAAGGAAAGAGGATCGTTCCCCTATTTTAAAGATTGAATTTGGCAAAAAATTTAAAAAAAAGAAGTAAGAATTTCAAGCCAGATGGAAAAAATCTTTAGGGCTAAACAAAATCTCATAAAATGAATGAGGAGGAACTAAGCATAAACTATGTGATATTAATGGGTTAGAGATGTGCAGAAGTTTAGGGAAGATATTATACATGAGCAGAGCATTTAGAGATTGATGGGTTTCTGGATAAGTGGAGGGAAGCAGTGTAGGAGGAAAAAGCCATGGGTAAAATAAAAGTTCCTGATGATCACAGATGTCACAGGACTGGAGGAGTTTGTGCTATAAAAGGGAGAGGGATCGTAGTTGAGATAATGAGAAGATGAGAGAGACTCGTAGGAGCCTCATTATGGAATCTACGGAGGGCTGATAAGGGCAGGGCTGATCCTGTCACTCAGATAGGATGTAGAACGCTATCTCTGAGTGGGACAAGAACTCTGCCAGGCTGGTTCAGGACCGGGCGAGTGAGGGTGAGGTCTTGCTCAGCATTTTCAATGAGTGGGCCAATCAGTGGCTCTATGAAAATGGCAGAGATTCCTTCCTTGGTCCCTGTTGGATAGTCACCTCGTAAAATTGATCCTAATTTCTGACAACTACTCATGAAATATGCCTGCATTTTCCCATGCCAAACATTTGCAAACCATCTATTTGAAAAGTTTAAATGGATATTGTTAACTGAAAAAAAAAATCCACAATTTTTAAATTTAGAAACGGAAAGGAGACTTTTTTCTTATAAAGGGTTACATCCTGCAAGGTGGCCAACCTGCAGGCTGGGAAGCATGCCTCTGGCTGAAGCCCGGAGACAGGCACTTTGAAGGAGAAGGGGTTGAGTTGTAGAAGCTTCATTCTGAATAGGTTGACTAAACACACATATTCAACAAGTTACAGGAGGAGCTGTGAATATTCATGAAGGTGGTCCTGACACATGCCTAGTGAACAAACATGCATGTAACATACAACCCATATTCACCTTGGGGTGGAGAGTTACCATTTAAATTTGTTACAGTTTAGCCCTATATGTCAACAGGTTTTATCAGGAGACAAAGGCACTTAAGTGTGCAACCTCTGTAAACCAGCCAGAACCAGTCCATGATTGGTGGGCTCTTATCAGGAGAAAGTTACTGAAATCAGTCTCTTGTCTGATCGAAGCTGTAACTATGGCTGGTGGAACAGGAGTTTAGTGAGTGAGTGTCTGTCTGTGAGCTGGATGGATTGTGATTGTTTTAATATTGCTTACGTTGAGGCTGGGGCTTGTTTAGCTGCTAGAGAAAAAGAAAAAGCTGTGAGAACATAGTTTATCCTTTCAGTGTAGGGGTGTGTGACTTACCTCTTGCTTGGCATGGTAGGTCCTGTTTATAATTTGGTATCTTATGGCCACAAAGAGTCTGTTCTGTCATTCTTACAGTCTCTATTTTAACATTAATGCTGGCTGTTGTGACTAAACCGTAAAAGGGAAGGGGCATAACAAGGCATGTCTGATGTCCCATCCTGTCATGGCCAGGAACTCAGTTTTCAGGTTTCTCTGGGCTCTCCTTGGCCACAATGGGGTCTGTTCAATAGGTGGGAGAGTCTGGATTTTATATTTGTTTATTTAGACAGAGTTTCGCTCTGTCACCTAGGCTGGAGTGCAGTGGCATGATCTCGGCTCACTGCAACCTTCGCCTCCCCAGTTCAAGCAATCCTCATGCCTCAGCCTCCCAAGTTGCTGGGACTACAGGTGTGAGCCACAACACCTAGCTTTTTTTTTTTTTTTTTTTTTAGTACTTTTTAGTATTTTTAGTAGAAATGAGATTTCCCCATGTTGGTTAGGCTGGTCTCAAACTCCTGACCTCAGGTGATCCACCTGCCTCGGCCTCCCAAAGTGTTGGGATTACAGGTGCGAGCCACTGTGCCCAGCTTGGATTTTATTTTTAGTTTACAACATGCATGCCCACACTTGCACATATATGCACACATGTGTGCACACACATATTTATAAGAAGAAAATATGGACAGCTGCTACAGTCTTCATTTCTGGCCACAGTATCGTAGCTAATATTTAACTCAACTAGTTGGGGATCCTTTTTCTTGTCGGGTGACCCAAACCTTAATTCCCAAAGGGTGTGAGTCCTTAGCAGTCCTGCCTTTGTGAGGTTGCTATTATTGTCCATTTCTATTTCCAAAGGCTGACAAAATAAATTACCACAAACTGAGTGGTGGCTCAAAAAACAAATTGATTTTGTCACAGTTCTAGAGGCTGGAAGTCCAAAATCAAGATGTCAGCAGAATGCATTCCTTCTGGAGGTTCTGAAAGAAAAGCCTCCCTAGGCCCCTCTCCTAGCTCTGATGCTGCTGGCACGTCCTGGTAATTTTTTGGCTTGTTGCTTCATCATTCCAGTATCTGCCTCCATTGTCACATGGCACTCTTTCTGTGTGTGTCTGTGTCTCTTCTCTGTTTCCTTTTTTTTTTTTTTAAGACGGAGTCTCACTGTCTCCCAGGGTGGAGTGCAGTGGTGCGATCTTGGCTCACTTCAAGCTCTGCCTCCTGGGTCCACACCATTCTTCTGCCTCAGCCTCCCGAGTAGCTGGGACTACAGGTGCCCGCCACCATGCCTGGCTAATTTTTTGTATTTTTAATAGAGACGGGGTTTCACCGTGTTAGCCAGGATGGTCTCGATCTCCTGACCTCGTGATCCGCCCGCCTCGGTATCCCAAAGTGCTGGGATTACAGGCGTGAGCCACCGCGCCCGGCCTTCTCTGTTTCTTATAAGGACGATAGTCACATGGACTAGAGCCCACCCTTATCCAGCTCATCTACCCTTGATATCATTTGCAAAGACTGTACTCCCAAATAACATCACGTTCACAGGTATTGGGGGTTAGGACTTTAGCATAGCTTTTTCGGGGGACACAATCTAGCCCACAAAATTGTCCACTAACATTTTCTATTATGTGTGGCAGAGCCAAGAAGCACTCAAGAGCATCCCCTGGGTTTTTAGGGGGACATGGTTCTTCCTACCTCCCTTGTGAGCAGAAACCCAATTTCTGCTTAGGGATCAGCCAGGACAGTTACTCTATTCTTTATAGTGGAATAAGAAGCCTCAAATGACAGAATAAAGCCTCAGTATCCCATTCAACAGATACAGCCTTATTTTCTCCAGCAGAAGCACTTCTGTCTTAGGAACTAGAATCTCCAAACCAGCAAAGCACAAGATTCTGGAGGGAGAAGCAAAAATCCTGCAGAAGAAATATGAGAAGAGCCATTTCCAATTATGCCTCTTTGATTTCCAGACTCCTGTATTCTGTTGATTGATTGCTGCTTCAAAGCATATACTACTTCCAGAATGCTGTCACTTTATGGGCGCTGTAACTGTATTCTCAGGCCATTGTGCCATTATATCAGGACAAGGCAGAAATTGGTGGAGGTCAGTGTTACAATCTGCTTGCCCTATCATGTGGCTGAGTGGTTCCCCCGGGAAGTTAATGCTGCTGAACCCTTGAGTGGCTTCTATCACCACTTCCTTAGCCACTTTATACCCAGACCCATTGAGCAAACACCCCGGAGCCTTCCAGCACACCCACTGAATGTGTCATCACATCCCCCTGATTCCTGAAAGTCTCCTGTGTAGCAGATGACCTTCAGGGAACATTCACGTGGGACACAGGTATGCCCCACCCTGTGTCCCTTCTGAGAAGTCCATTTACACATCTCTTCTTCAGTCTGTCACTAGTTATCCAATGCCATTCTTTCCCAGTCTCTGACCATCTACTCAGAGAACCACACATGAATTTGTGTAGATCTGTACTTCTGGCCATCTGTTACGCAGATAAAATGAAAAACTAAATTTTACTGCTACAAGTTTTGTCCACTGGGAAGCTATCCTTTTCCCTTTGTTCTTCAGCACTATCCTTGAGTGAGACAGTAGCATTGGCAGCGATCCACTTATGGCTGGTGCCAGCATAACAGAACCATCTGCAAACCAGCTGCCGTAGGCAACTCCCAATGAGGTCCTAAGTGTAAATTATGGGAAGAAAAGATGGAGAAGAAGGAAAAGATGGAATCGGAGTCCTTAGCAGTCACCTGCTCATGAAACCTGTTTCTGGACTTGCCGAATCTTATTCTCCTCCCACCTTATGGCCTAGTGTGTCGGTGCATAGCCAATTCATGATGAACAGTGGTCATGAAGTTCTCATTTTGTCTTGACAAAGCTCAGTAGCATAGCAAGATAAGAGTTGATTCTTAAAATAATAATTATATGCAGAGTAGAACATGGCTTTTCTCCAAAGCCCTATATATTTGCATTGCGATTCTCATTTGGGCTTGCCAGAAGCTCCTGAAAACAGATATTCAATTATGCTTTTATTTATTTATTTATTTATTTATTTATTTATTTATTTTGAGACGGAGTCTCGCTCTGTCACCCAAGCTGGAATGCAGTGGTGAGATCTCAGCTCACTGCAACCTCTGCCTCTTGTGTTCAAGCAATTCTCCTGCCTCAGCCTCCCGAGTAGCTGGGACTACAGGTGCCCGCCATCAGGCCTGATTAATTTGTGTATTTTTACTAGAGATGGGGTTTCACTATATTGGCCAGGCTGGTCTCGAACTCCTGACCTTGTGATCCGCCTGCCTCGGCCTCCCAAAGTGCTGGGATTACAGTTGTAAGCCACCACACCTGGCCTTCAATTATGCTTTTATGTGTGTCCATATGGCCCCAGTCACTTACCTTGGAGCTTTGTTGGTTACTCAATAAATGGGTTGGGACAGCACTCTCAAATGTGGTATTTGTTGCCTCCAAAGACATTTTCTCAACACCGTGCCCATTTTTTAGGGGTAGGTAATAGATGAAATAACAACTTCTGTTTCACTTTGGAAGAAATGCCCAAACATGCTTCAGACCACAGGGCCATGAGAAACCTCCCCAAGGCATGGGCCTCGAGATTTCATGGGGTTTATTGTTCACTCTTTGCCACACATGTGTCTCATTAAGACATTTAGGGTTCTTGCTGTGCTTGCTCACCAGATTCAACCAAGATGGTGTCCTGGGTATGGTGGAAGAAGATGTTCTCTGGGATGCAGAGATTTCCCTGAACAAGTCCATCACAGAGAGCAGGAGAGTCTGGCCTCTTCAGATGTGAGCCATCATTAAGTTCAAATTCACTCCACCATCCATGCAAACTGTGAGAGCTGCTCCATGGTGCCCAAATCAGCACATTCAGCTAGAATCTCTGTAAGTGCTCTCACATGGATGGGGTCAGCCTTATTCAGTGTTGAATTCTGTGCTCTGTGGTGTAATGTTCTTAGGATTCATGCACTACATTTACCCATGTTTCTGGTACTTTGAATTGGTGAGTATTGCCCTTTTTATCATTTTTCTTCCCTCTCTCTTTTTTTTCTCTCTCTCCTATAAACCATGTCCTTCTGGATTGGACTTTGCTTTTCTCCCTGTGGAACATACTTGACATTTGTGACCCTAATTATGGGTCTCATGCACTAATGGGTGATGGGAGTGAGCCCTGAGAGTTTTAGATATCACCTTACCAGGGAGCTCAAGCATGTGAAGTTATTAAAAGGTCTTCAAATAAGGGAAGATTCTACAGGCAGGGAGAGGAGGCTGCTTCCTTCAGCAAGGATGGCTTAGAGAGACTTGGGGTGTAAATTTCCCAGCTTTTCTTGAATCCACACAGATAACCCAATTCCAAGTCTTGGAGAGCCCCCTGCTACAATCAAAGCCTAACTTTTACACAAATGTATTGGCGAGTCTGAGGATTGAACTTACACTGTAATTTTGTACCTACTCCATTAAATTCTGCATCTATTTTATACAGCTCTATCTGCCTTGCTGCTTGTAAGTAAAACAAAGATGTTTTGTTTTGGTTTTAGTGTCACTGGAGAAGCTGTCTGATTCTCTGAACATGACGCAAGCCTTGCTGTCACCACCACCGTGAAGGTCAGATACAGCACCCAAGGTACTTGCTGCAATAGGCCTTTCTTCCCCTGCAACTGAGGTGATAATTGAATCATAATACCACTGCACGCCTTGGATTATAGGAATCCCGTTTCCCACTCAGCATTGCATTCAAGACAAAGGACATACCAAGTCAACCCTAACATCTCACATCAGATGTTCATAAACGGCTCACATTTTCTGTACTTTATGCATATTTTTTTACTCATAAAAGAGTCAAGGGGAAACAGCTTTGAAGAAGGAGCCCAAATGATATTAGCGTTCATGCTTATTTTTAGACTTCAAAAAGATAGGTATCTAAACACTACTTACTGGATAAATGTAAGGGTGTATTTTAGCCATTGTAGATTTCCTAACAGTAATTATTAACTATACAACCATACGAACTCATTATTAAGTACTTAGTGTGCTTTTGACATCAGCTCCATCTCGATTTCTTTGAATTGCATGAGCTGTTTTGTAGGACAGTACACATCTGTCCTGGAAGTGTCCCAGAGAGCCAGCAAACCCCTCACCTGCTGGACTGTGGCTGTGTTGGGAACCTGTCTACGTTTAAAACTCCAATGCTTTGACTGAGTGGTATTGGCTGGATAAAATCTGTGGTCTTTGTGAGCTCTACAAGGGCAAAGCTGGTTAACTTGTTCATTTCAAAGGAGTAATCTTAATATTGTTAATGTGGCTTGTGGCATCAAGGTTATTAGAATTTAAGGACTTAATAGATTTCTCCATCTACTACATCAATGGTAATTGTAGAAATTAGCTAAAATGCACTACTGCTTAAATGCAATGGAAAAATATTTCTTTCTTCCTTTCAAGACTTTAAGAGGTCTGAAATGTTTCTGTCCAGGCCCTTGCGCCTCTGCCACCGCTGTGAGAAGTACATATCCTGGCCAGCCTGCTGACTCAGGAGGTTGAGAATCAGGTGCAGCAGACCAGAGCACTGCTTCAGTGTCAGGGTAGAGCTGCTCCATGACCCAGAGATTCATACGAGTAAGTTATTTTCCTCAAGACCAGTGAGTTTGTTACACAACAGAATTGTGGCCATACCCAACCAATACAGCATGAATCTTTTCCATTACGTTACTATACAATTACACAATTGATCGTTCTATATGCATTGTTTTGTTAAACTGCATGTCTTAGGGATCCTCCAAGGTTAGTACCTATAAGCCAAACTTATTCTTTTTAATGGCTGCAGAGTATTCTGCAGTATGGTTATAGCAAAACTTATTTATTCATTCCCCTGTCGATGAATATCTAACTTCCCAATCTCTCCTTAAATCAACAATGCTGAAATGAACATTTTTATGTATATATGCCTTTTCACACTTGGGCATCATATTTAAGATAGATTCCTGCTGTAAAGTTTATGAATCAAAATATGTACATATTTAAATTTTGAGAATTACTGCCACTTTTTCTGAAAGGCTACACATTTGCACTCCCACCAATGATGAATGAGAACATTGATTACCCTGCCTCTTCTAAATTAATCCCAGCCTAATAGATGAGGAAAAAGTCTCATGGTTGTAACATACTATTTCTTGATTTTTGAGTAAGTTTAACACATTTTCATATGCTTACTATGTTTGACTCTTCCGAGAGAGTATGTTCATGGTCTAAATTTTTCTATTAAAATGTTTTTCTTTCTTATCAATTTTAGGATCTCTTTATATATTCTTGATATTCATCCGTATTGATTAAATATGTTACAAATATTATCTACCAATCTACCACTTGCCCATTGACTTTACAGTGTTTTGCTTTTTCACTAAAGAAGATTTTAGGTTTTTATGAAGACAAACGTTTCATTAGATTTATGTAGGACTTTTGATTTTTGCACATTGCCTAGAAATACTTGTACTTCACTTCAATATAATGAAACCACTCCGTATATTTTCTTTTACTAAATTTACAATCTTAACTTTTATCTGGCATTTATACCATTGCACTATTATGAAAACACTCTATAATGTTTTCTCCTAATAAGTTTACAGTACCATTTTATATCTGAACATTTTTTATAATGTAAGAAAAAATTTTTCCTATAGATATCTAATTATCTCCAAATTATTTATTGAATGAGCTATTCATTTACTATTGACTTTAAACACCATTATCTTTGTCATAAGCTACTATCTCATTAACAGAAGAGTATATTAATTTTTAAAGAGTTTTAAAAATTTTATAGCAAAAACACATAAAATTTACATCTTAATTGTTTTTAATGTACCGTTTAGTAGTATTAAGTACATTCACATTGTTGTGCAATTGTGACCACCATCTATCTCTAGAAATTCTTTAATTTGCAAAACTGAACATGTACCCATTAAAAAATAACTCATCATTTCACCCTCAAAAGGGTGAAAATCCTGGAAAGCCTGGAAACTGCCAGTGTACTTTCTGTCTCCATGAATTTGACTACTCTATGTATCTCATATAAGTAAAATCATGCAGCATTCTTTTTATGACCAGCTCTTTCACTTAGCCTAGTGGCTTCAAGATTCATCCATGTTGTAGCACGTGACAGGATTTCCTTCCTTTTTTAAGGATGAGTAATATTAAGGATATATTTCTAAAACCTCGAGCCTGTTTATCTGTTTTATTTTTCTACTTTGGTACAATACTACAATGTTTTAAATACAACAGATCAATAGTGATAAGAAAAAGCTGGTATAGTTGGATATTTGTCCCCTCCAGATCTCACGCTGAATTTGATCTCCAGCGTTGGAGGTGGAGGCTAGTGGAAGGTGCTTGGGTCACGAGGGCAGATCCCTTGTAAATGGCTTGGTGATATCTGCTTGGCAGTGAGTGAGATCTTTTTCTAATAGTTCATGAGAGAGTTGGTTGATTAAAAGAGCCTGAGCTCCCCTTCCCTCTCTCACCCTCTCTCTCGCCCTCTCTCTCACCCTCTCTCTCGCTCTCTCTCTCACCCTCTCTCACCCTCTCTCTCACCCTCTCTCACTCTCTCTCTCACCCTCTCTCTCACCCTCTCTCACTCTCTCTCTCACCCTCCCTCTCGCTCTCTCTCTCGCCCTCTCTCTCGCCCTCTCTCTCGCTCTGCTCTCTCTCTCACCCTCTCTCTCGCTCTCTCTCTCGCTCTCTCGCCCTCTCTCTCACCCTCTCTCACCCTCTCTCTCGCTCTCTCTCTCACCCTCTCTCGCTCTCTCTCTCACCACAACATAAACCTGCTCCCCTTCACCTTCCACTGGTGGTGGAAGCAGCCTGAAGCCCTCACCAGAAGCAAATGCTGACACCATGCTTCTTGTACAGCCTACAGAACCATGAGCCAAAGAAACTGCTTTTCTTTATAAATTACCCAGCCCTAGGTATTCCTTTATGGGAACACAAAATGGAATGAAATACAAGTAAATTTGCCATCTTATCGTTCTCTTTGTAAAAATGAATTAGACATTCTCCACTGCTGTGGTCTGAATATGTCCCCCAAAATTCATATGTTGTAAACGTAATGCCCAATACAACAGTGTTGGGACATGGGGCATTTTGAGAGATGTTTAGGTTTCTTCAAATTGATATCATTATAAAAGGGCTTGAAGGAGAAAGTCTGGCCCCATTTCACCCTTCCTTCCTGATATGGTTTGGCTGTGTCCCCACCTGAATCTCATCTCGAATTCCCATATATTGTGAAAGGGAACCGGTGGAGGTAATTGACTCATGGAGGCAGATCTTTTCCGTGCTGTTCTCGTGATAGTGAATAAGTCTCACGAGATCTGATGGTTTTAAAAATGGGAGTCTCCCTGCAAAAGCTCTCTTCTCTTGTCTGCTGCCATGTGAGACATGCATTTCACTTTCTGCTGTAATTGTGAGGCCTCCCCAGCCATGTGAAACTGTAAGTCGAATAACCCCCTTTCTTTTGTAAATTGCCCAGTCTCGGATATGCCTTTGTCAGCAGCATGAAAACGGACTAATAATACACTTTTCTTCTGCTATATGAGGACACAGCATTTGTCCCTTCTGGAAGATGCAGCATCCAAGGCACCACCTTGGAAGCAGAGAATAGCCGTTACCCGATAGTTAAGCCAGCCAGCACCTCAGTTGGACTTAGGCTGTAGAACGGTCAGAGATAAATTTCTGTCCTGTATTAATTACCTAGTCTCAGATATTCAGTTATAGCAGCACAAAACTGACTAAAACATCTGCCATATGAATTTTAAAAACCTTTTATCAAGTTCATAAAACTTTCAGTTAAATTGAAAATTTTCTTTTTTTGGGGGGGTTTATTATTATTTTTATTTTTTATTATACTTTACGTTTTAGGGTACATGTGCACAATGTGCAGGTTAGTTACACATGTATACATGTGCCATGTTGGTGTGCTGCACCCAGTAACTCGTCATTTAACATTAGGTATACCTCCAAATGCTATCCCTCCCCCCTACCCCTACCCCACAACAGGCCCCGGTGTGTGATGTTCCCCTTCCTGTGTCCATGTGTTCTCATTGTTCAATTCCCACCTGTGAGTGAGAACATGTGGTGTTTGGTTTTTTGTCCTTGTAATAGTTTGCTGAGAATGATAGTTTCCAGCTTCATCCATGTCCCTACAAAGGACATGAAATCATCATTTTTTATGGCTGCGTAGTATTCCCTGGTGTATATGTGCCACATTTTCTTAATCCAGTCTATCATTGTTGGACATTTGGATTGGTTCCAAGTCTTTGCTATTGTGAATAGTGCTGCAATAAACATATGTGTGCATGTGTCTTTATAGCAGCATGATTTATAATCCTTTGGGTATATACCCAGTAATGGGATGGCTGGGTCAAATGGTATTTCTAGTTCTAGATCTCTGAGGAATCGCCACACTGACTTCCACAATGGTTGAACTGGTTTACAGTCCCACCAACAGTGTAAAAGTGTTCCTATTTCTCCACAGCCTCTCCAGCACCTGTTGTTTCCTGACTTTTTAATGATCGCCATTCTAACTGGTGTGAGATGGTACCTCATTGTGGTTTTGATTTGCATTTCTCTGATGGCCAGTGATGGTGAGCATTTTTTCATGTGTCTTTTGGCTGCATAAATGTCTTCTTTTGAGAAGTGTCTGTTCATATCCTTTGCCCACTTTTTGATGGGGTGGTTTGTTTGGTTTTTTTTGTAAATTTGTTGGAGTTCATTGTAGATTCTGGATATTAGCCCTTTGTCAGATGAGGAGATTGCAAAAATTTTCTCCCATTCTGTAGGTTGCGTATTCGCTCTGACGGTACTTTCTTTTGCTGTGCAGAAGCTCTTTAGTTTAATTAGATCCCATTTGTCAATTTTGGCTTTTGTTGCCATTGCTTTTGGTGTTTTAGACATGAAGTCCTTGCCCATGCCTATGTCCTGAATGGTATTGCCTAGGTTTTCTTCTAGGGTTTTTATGGTTTTAGGTCTGACATTTAAGTCTTTAATCCATCTTGAATTAATTTTTGTATAAGGGGTAAGGAAGGGATCCAGTTTTTCATGAGATGTATAGATTAACCTGGAGATAATTTGCATTTTCCATGACTGTATCTTTCAGTGTAGGTATAGGGTATGTCTCCTCTTATTTTTTTTTTTTAACATTCTTCAACAAAGTTTACAATTTTATTCACATCAGACTTGTATACTCTTTGTCAGGTTTATGGTAGAATTTGCTGGCAACTCTTCAAAATTTAATCAACCCTTTTCTTTGTGCAAGCAGTTAGATTCCCTTCCCAGCTTCCCTTGCAATTAGTTGGGGTCATATGACTGAGGTTGTAGTTAGTGGAATTTGAGCAGAAGTGATGGATGTTACTTCCAAGCCAGGACCTTAAAACCATCCCACACTTTCTCTAAGCTCTCTTTCCTTCCTGCCTTGGATGACAACTCCCAGGGTGATCTTGGGAGAAACCTGTGGAAGGTGACAGAACCCCTGTGTCCCTGAATGATGCAGTGGAGCAGAGTCCCAACCTCCCCCTCTGGACTGCTGCCCTGGGCTTTTGGATGAGTGAAACATGAACTGCTCTTGGATGGAGTTGTTACACGTTTGAGTCTGTTACTACAGCTGATTCTACCCTAATCAGTATCAAACCAGTGACCTTAAGGTGTGATGCCACAGATGAGCCCTGAAATACATGAATGCCACTTCCAGGCCACCCCATAACAACCTTACATACACACTCTTCCATGCTTTCCTCCTCTCTGGCTAACCAGGATTGCAACTCCATGATAGCCTTGGAAGCAGGGTATAAAAGATGGCAGAGTCGCTGCTCACCTGTGCACCCAGAGCCTCCACACCTGCCTGGAACCACCTGGAACGTCACGTTGCTAAGGGAGTTGTTAGATATTGGGGTCTCTGTAATGCTAGAAGAGGTTCCATTTAGATAATAAAAGTTCTTCTTTGGGGTTTTGTGTGCATTTAAACAATTGGTAATGGCATTTGTTTCTTTCTATCATGTTTTCTAATTGGTTATTGTTAGTAAGTATTTTTAAATGTTTATTTTATATCAGACCACCTTACTAGTTAATATAGTTTATCAGTTAATTCTGTGAAATTTTGGGGTAGATTATCAGATAAAACTTTTTAAAATGGCAGTTTTGTCTTTTCTTCATGCTGTCTGTACAATGTTTCTGTATTTACTGCTAAGATTTCTTATTCACTGTTTGCATAAAAGTGGTGCTAGTAGGTGTCCTTTTCTTGTGTAAAATTTTAACATGAATATTTATGATATTTTGCCATTAGCTATTATGTTTGCTCCAGTTTTCTAGATCTCTCTTATACAAAATTAAGAAAGTTTTCTTTTATTTCTAACTTCACTGTTTTGCTTTGTTTACATTTTTATCAGAAATGTAATCAGGATGTTGGTTTTAGCAAATGCTTTCTTGATATTGATTGAGATGATCTTGTTTTCCTCTTTTAATCTGAAGACATACAGAATTGAATTAATAGATTTTGAAACTATTGAATCATGTTTGCATATCTAAGTCTTGATTTTACAAGACACACACATTTTTAAAAATCATTATTCTGTGAAATTCGCTAAGATTTTTTGGGGTTTAATTTCTGCAGCTCTCTGTGTTAGTGAGATTGGCTGATCTCATTTAGTTTTGTGTCAGCTTTGTCTAGTTGTGGTGTTAGTTTTATACTAGCCTCACAGAATAAGGTAGCAGCCTTCCCATATTGTTTGATGCTACAGCAAAGTCTGTATCACACAGGGATAATCTAATCTATGAGCTAAAGTTTCATAAAATTTATTAACTCAAGAAAATCCCTGAACTTGGTTTCATTATTATGGATAGATTTTTTTCTTTTTATTATCTTTTAAATTTGGTTTAGATGCTTTTGACTGTTTGAATTTTGTTTCTTATTAAGTTAAAAATGATAATTTATAGTGTTCTCAAAAACTGTCCATTTAATCTAGACATTGAAATATATTAATTTAATATCTTATATTTTAAATATATTTATATATTTATACCAGCTTGCTTTTAAAATTATATTTGTATTTATATTATATTACAAAATATTTTTAAATGCTCTTTTCATTGCAAAGAACTGTCTTTTTATTTTAGTGATGAAATCTGTGAATTTTAGCTGCTAAATCATTTTGTTTAAATCTTATTATATTGCTTCTACTTTCTTTAGGTTGTTTTTTCTTTGATTTGATTACATTTTTCAATTATGGAAAATTTTCAGCTGTTAGCTCCAAATACCTCCTCTCCATTCTTTCTCTCCTAGAACTCTTACAGATTGTGCATTCTATCATTAATTCCTCCTAAATGATCATTCCCAGTCACCATTTTTTATATATCTGCTGTAATCTGAGTGATTTCTCAGTGCTAATGTCTACCTCACTGATTCTCTCTGTTGCTATTTCTATGTAATCTGTTGAAAACTGCATCTATTGATAAATTATTTTCTTTTTTGCTATCCTTTCATTCTTTATTTTTAGTTTATTTGTTTTATGGAAGGAAATATGGCTTGTATCATTTTTGCTTTTAGGAATGTGCATAGCTTTTCTTTGCAGCCAGACACATAATCTATTTTTGTGCCTATCTGGGTAGGGAGGATTTCAAAAACACCTGGAGGCAAGAATAGGGAACATTAACTGCCTTAAAACCAGGATCAGTCCTGGCTCCCCAGGGGCTCAGCTCATTGGCTCCAGACAAGAGTTCTGATCTGAACATCTGAGTTAAGAAAAAAGACCTCATGTGTCTTCCTGTGCCATCCTGCTGGAGCAAGAGCCAGGAGACCTACAGGAGCGCTGCTTCCTCCTCCCTTTTATGCGCTTGTCTCAAGTCTGTTTTGGAGGCCATTGCAAAGGTGCTGCCTGCAGGAGCCAGCCCTCTGGGCGTGTGGAGGGAAGGGCACACTGACTAAGCTGCCCACAGGAGGGAAGCGGGACCAAGGACGTGGGAGGAAGCTCACATGGTAACTATGGGGCATAAGGCATTTTGAGAAAAGCAAGACTTTGAGGAGGAATTTTTAGGACTAAAGAATAGCATGAGTGTCTGGAAATCCTAGGGTAAAGAGCAACTCATAAGGAGAAAGAGAAAGGTGGGAGAGCTCAGAGGCAAAAGTCTATTCTTACCTGTGCCCTGGACTGGCCCTTCCCTACCCCATTTCCTAGACACCGAGATAGAATTTCATGCTGCTCACAGTGTCCGGACTGCAACACACCATTTCTGTGTTTCCTGTAGTTAGGTGGAGTTGATAATTTAAGTAACAGACAAAACTAAGAGACCCCTTGGCCAGTCTCAGGCAGCAAGCACAGTGTGTGCCCTTTATTATTTTATTTTATTTATTTATATTTTTTGAGACAGAGTCTCACTGTGTCGCCCAGGCTGGAGTGCGATGGCGGGATCTTGGCTCACTGCAAGCTCTGCCTCCCGGGTTCACGCCATTCTCCTGCCTCAGCCTCTTGAGTAGCTAGGACTACAGGTGCCTGCCACCATGCCGGGCTAATTTTTTTTTTTTTTTTTTTTTTTTTTTTAGTAGAGACAGAGTTTCACCGTGTTAGCCAGGATGGTCTCGATCTCCTGATCCCCCCTCCTCAGCCTCCAAAAGTGCTGGGATTACAGGCGTGAGCCACCACGCCTGGCCGTGTGTGCCCTTTATACTAGTAATAGGCACATGTGAATTTTGTCCACACTTATGCAGAAATGGAGAAGAAGCACTGCAGTAAACACCTAAGAAACAGCAATCAGAAAGGTTGTGGGCAAAGCTCGATATTCAGATGTGTCCTGGACTCCCCTCCAGTATCATTTTAATTACAAATCATCCATATGGAAACCTGGAGACTGTTTTAACTTTCCTTTTCAGTTTTTAGTTATATCTTACATCTTATATCACTTTCTAAAATTGAATAACCTGGAGATTAATTTATTTGCTTGTCACTTTTCCATTAGAAGCTTGAATTCATTTCTGTTTTCATTACCAGTACACAGTGGCTTGTCCCAAATTATCTTCACCCAAATCCTACCTGGATGAACTTACAGCATTTTAATAAAAATGGTTATTTGCTCTGGGAGAAAATTGTAATGGGCAAAATAAATCTCCTTTTCTTTGAAGTAGTTTGAATGTGAGATCACAGTATGTCCTTTCTGTTAATACTTGGCTGCAGGATAATCCATGATTCCTTCTTTAAAAAAGTTCAGTACTAAAGTTGTTATGCAACATTTTATTAGAAGATAAAGTGCTCCCATTCTTCATATATACTCCATAAACTGCTGAGATGTCAAAGTGCTCCATAAATAATACAAGCTTCTTGCCCATCATTAACAAAAGACGCTGCTAAGTGGACAGAAAATTCAGTAATTCCCTTTTATGGAGATCACAGTACATACACTTAGTCCAATTTGCTGACCCTGCCATCAAAAATTACTGTCTGCAGAAACCCTGGCCTGGATTTTTTCACACTGAAAAATGGAGAGCTGGGGATTTTAATGGAAGACGCTGAACACTGGTTAAAATTCTGCCTTCACTTGAGAACTGGTCCACTGAGAAAAAATTATAACTATTGCTTCCCTTCCATTGAGAACACACTCTTCTATCAAAGGCATTCTGAGCCAGGAATCTGAGCTCTTTCAAGAAATCAGCTTATAGTAAGGCCAAATGAACTGCTAAGTCAGATCCCAGTGTGATGATATGCATATTCCCATTTATGATATGTCATCAATCATGGCTCATGCCTCTTGATTGCACTATGATAAATATGCCACTCAAGCAGGTTCATCGTACATCAGAGCCAGGGAAGGCAGCTTGGGAAATGCACAGGGTAATGGGCAACTTGGAAAGTGTGCAAATCCAGACAAGGCAGGTGCCTGCAGGACAAATCAGCCAAAGCCAACCAGATGTCTGGGCACCTGGTGTGGACATGCTTTCCCTCAGCCCAGATTTAGTTTCAGTGCATCACGTCTCTGTGTTCCAAGCAGCAGTTAACCTCAAGGCCGCACTAACATCTCTGGTGAGTTTACGGCCTCTGGTTCCTATCTACTCTCTGATTTAGGATATTCTTCAGCAGCAGATTGATCCTACATTCTGGCAAGTGCAGTTACATGGATCGTAATGTGCAAGTTCCCATGACCCCTCAGTCTTTCTTTCCAGCTGATGCACAAGTTAGACTCTAGTCCTCTCCAGATGTTTCATCTCACAATATGAAATCCACCTTTCACTGGTATCTCTCACACAAATCAGAGCCAGATTGCCAAACTTCTTCACCTGACCTAATCGGCCAAAAACCAGAAAGCAGTATTTGCTGTTTTCCAATGATGTGGCCCACCGTGATTAACTTCCATAACACACAAACATGTTCCTCAAAAAGAAAGGCTAATGCTACATTCTAGAGAAAATGTATTACCCCTTGATATGGTTTGACTCTGTGTCCTCACCCAAATCTCATCTCAAATTGTAATCCCCACGTGTCGAGGGAGGGAGGTGATTGGATCACTTCCAATGCTGTTCTTGTGATAGTGAGTGAGTTCTCATGAGATCTGATTTTAAAAATGGCAGTTTCCCCTGTGCTCTCTCTCTCTTGCTGCCTTGTGAAGAAGGTGCTTACTTCCCCTTTGCCTTCTGCATAATTGTAAGTTTCCTGAGGCCTCCCCAGCCATGTGGAACGGTGAGTCAATTAAACCCCTTTCGTTTATAAATTACCCAGTCTCAGGTAATATGTTTACAGCAGTGTGAGAAAGGACAAATGCACCCCTCTCACCCTTTCTTTCCTGTTAAATTGTTTCAAAACTAGCTTTGGGGCATGTTAAAAATGTAGATGCGCCAGGCGGATAACTCATACCTGTAATCCCAGCACTTTGGGAGGGTGAATCACGAGGTCAGGAGATCGAGACCATCCTGGCTAACACAGTGAAACCCCGTCTGTATTAAAAATACAAAAAGTTAGCCGGGTATGGTAGCATGCACCTGTACAGTCCCAGCTACTCGGGGGGCTGAGGTGGGAGAATCACTTGAACCTAGAGGCAGAGGTTTCAGTGAGCTGAGATCGCACCACTGTACTCCAGCCTGGGCAATGGAGCAAGATTCCATCTCAAAAAAAAAAAAACAAAAAACAAACAAACAAACAAAAAAAACCTGCCTGGGCCTCAAGTGCAGACCTATTAAATTAAAATTTCTGGGAATGGGGCTTACAGACTCTTGTTTTTTTATAAGCAGCCAGATAGTTCTGTGCATTGAAGTTTGAGAAGTTATTTGGGGTAGGTTTTCTCTGAGATGCCTTTCTGCCCTGATATTTTGTGGTTCTAGAAGCATTCAAAGAAAACTGTCAATGCACACCCCAAAGGCACACCCATGGGTCTCCTGCAGCACTGGCCACCATTCTCAGACCATTGCAGGACTGTGCAGAGGGAGTGATGGACAGGGGAAAATGGGACAGGGAAGAGCTAAGGGTTGGAAATCACAGGTCTGCTTTAAACTTCAGTGCCTTTACTTCTGGCTCTGCTGTCTTAGAGCAATTACATGACCTCACTAATTTCAGGTTTTCTAATTTCCAAGACCTGCAGTGTTAGATCAGTTACATGACCTCACTATTTCAGGTTTTCTACTTTCAAAATAGGAGTAAAAACAGATACTTCCCAGATGGCAGGAGGGTCAAATGAAGCAATAATGGGGCTGTATATAGCAGTGTTTAACTAAAATTTGAATTATTTAACTCTGTAAATGTTAGTTTTCTTCCCAATTTCCCGTTTGTAAATGATCCCTGGTTCGTGGGTTATTTTGAAGATCACCTTAGATGTATATGAGAGAGACTCTCTATGGATGACGTCGTGAAGAGCAGAGACCCTGAATCCCTTTACCTGTCGGGGAAGAGGGACAGACAAGGCCACCAGTTCAATCTGAGAAAAGGGCAGTGTGGTCCACTGAATAGTGGCCCCCCAGGACCTCCACCATCTGGTCCCTGGAACCTGTGATATGGTGACTTGGAAGGCAAAAGGGATTCTGCAGATGTGATTAAGAACTTTGAGTTGGGGAGATTATCTTGGGCCATCCAGGCGGGCCCTAAATGTAATCATAAATTTTCCTATAAGAGAAAGGCACAGGGGACTTGATGACAGTAGGGAAAGGCAGTGTGATGACACAGTCGGGGGGAAGGTGATGTGATGCAAGGAAGGGGCCAGGAGCCACGGGACGCAGGCGGCTCTGGAAGCTGAAAAGGCAAGGAAGCGATTCTCCCTAGAGCCTCAGTTAGAACCAGCCCTGCCCTGCAGACACCTCGGTTTTGTTCCCATAAGACTCAGTTTAGACTTCTGACCACCAGAACTATACATTCCCACTGTTTGAAGCCACCGAGTTCGTGGTAACTTTTACAGTAGCCACAGGAGAGGAATGCACGTATATGTAAAAGCAACACTATTGCTAAGAAAGTAAGGAGCACGTTTTCATAATTTACAGATGACAAGTATCTGAAATTTCAAGGGTAGTTTGAACTCACATATTTCCCCCACCAGCACTTTCAGGGCACTCACTCAGTGCCTGGCCTTGTGCAGCTCCGTATCACTCTGACAACCTAAAGTTTAGGCTGCTGCAGCCACTTTGCCCCACCTGAAGCATCTCAGGGGTGGGGGCTTGGGATGCTAAATTCTTCTCCATGCTGCAGGCCCAGGGTGCACTCAAGCTGGCACCGTGTTCCCCAGAGCTGGTCTCAGTATCTCCAGAGTGGGCGTCCTGGAATCCTCTCAGCCTGGGAGGTTCTCAGGGTGGCTCGAGCAGCCCTGTCCTCCCAGAGCCTGCTCAGGTCAGGAGACCCATGGAGGGAAGGGTAGGGACTTTCCTCCCAATCCCTAGAAGTCACTCCACCCACTATCCCAACCTTGCTTCCTTTTGGCCCCATTTGTCCTCTTGTCCTCACTTTGTCTGCCAGAATCATACTTCCGACCTATCGTAAAGGGTGGTTTTGCAGTAAAAATGAAGCTGATGCAACCAGTTCAATGCACAGAGGCCCCTGAGCTAAGAATAGGATGAGTGTGTAATTTCTCATCCACACCAGGACACTGCTGGGCTTGGCAAGCTCCCACTAAAGACAGCACAGTCACGAACCACAGGACTCAGGCCAGGGCAGGGAAAGTAAGAGGAGGCAGGCCCCTCTGTCAACCTCCATCTTCCCTTATCCGCAACTGGTGCTGCAGGCCTGCAGCTGCAGTAGGCTTCCAGGAGAGCCCTTCAGAAGACCTAAGGGCTGAGCAGAGTCCTCCGGGTGGAGAAGCAGGACACAGGCCTTTTATTTCCCTTTTCTTCCAGAACACCACCTGGATTAGAGAGAGCCACCTTTCCCAGGTGGGGCATTTGCCTCCTTTGACTGGCCCAGACTCATGATTATTCAAGGCTCTTGCCTGTAACTAGATCTTCCTAAGGAATCAGTGACTCTCTAGAACCCATCAGCAGAGGATCTTCTGCCATGTACACTGTTATCATGTCTCTTTTAGCCATCCATGAAGTTTCTATTTTCCAAGAGAGATGCCCAAAGCCTCCAAGCCACTTGCAGGGCAGTCAGGAATCACACACTTTGGATCCTATTACAGAGCAAGCCTTCCTTAATGCAGAACACCCCTTTCCCCTGCCCAGCTTTTCGGGTTCTTTTGTGATGACCTTCCCACTCTACCTCCTCTCAGGTGGGCAGATAACACTGGATACGCAGTGACAATTTTGAATTTCAAATAAACAACTTAAGTTTTTTAGTTTCTTTCTTTTTAAAAAATACCTATTGCCCTACCTTTTCCCAAGCCCCTCCACCAAATCTGAAGAACACAGTTTCCAGAACCCTATCACAATTTTATCATATCAAAAATACACACTTAAAGGCTTTTTAAATTTATTGACGTGTGAAGTAGTTAAAGTGGCAATTATATAATTACACAATAATTTGGTGGAGATGATATTTCAAATTATAAGATGCATAAAGGAAAGGTAATAAAAGGGTCTTAGGCTAAAGGCCTTCAAATTTGTGATATACAAAGAGCACAGACCACAACCATGAAGTCCAGGAGGGCCGGGTCTTGCACTTGTAGAAAGTGCACAATCAGGCTGGGCGTGGTGGCTCACACCTTTGGGAGACTGAGGTGGGCAGATCACCTGAGGTCAGGAGTTTGAGACCAGCCTGGCCAACATGGTGAAACCCCATCTGTACTAAAAGTACAAAAAATTTGCTGGGCGTGGTGGTGGGCACCTGAAATCCCAGCTACTCAGGAGGCTGAGGCAGGAGAATCATTTGAACCTGGGAGGCAGAGGTTGCAGTGAGCCGAGATCACGCCACTATGCTCCAGCCTGGGTGACAGAGTGAGACTCTGTCTCAAAAAGAAAGAAAGAAAGGAAGTGCACGTTCAGATGATGTCTCCTCCCGGCCTCACACTCTCAGGAAGGAAAAACAGAACAGCTGCGTAGATCCCACGGTCTCTTCCTGAAGCTTCCCTAACTCTAGCACCAGTTCCAGATGGGACAGCCCGTAGGCTGCTCAGGCAGTGTGTCAAAGGCTCACCTGATGTGCCAAGGCTTTCTGGCTTGGAAGCCCCTTTCCGTGCCATTTTGTTAAAAATCTGTAAACAGAAATTTAAAGTAAATTTTACCTATTTATTATTTTGTTTTATGCTAATATGCATGTGAAGTTAACAATTTTGGGGCTGTTCTATGAACATACCAGTGGTAAATACCCATTATAATGTCTCTTTCTGTTTTCTGAAAAATGTTCTTTCAGTGCAGATAAATAGTCATTGAAAATCAGTAGAATGTGTGTCTTTTGGTCAAACAGCAGGAGAGCTGGGAAGGGAAGTTGAAAGGCCTGGGTAATTTTCATTTGTCAGTAGTGAAATCATCAGATTAATGAATGAAGAATGCATGATTTCCACCTTCATGAAGTCACTGCTAGTCTTAACCAGACACCATAAAAAAATGCAAGGATGTCCTGAGCTGGAAAGTTAAAATCCTGAGTGTTCCAGAATCATAGACTTTAAATCCTAAGGTTTAATCCTGACATTATGCCATCAGGAGCCTGGTGGCCAGGTAAGGTGGAAAATGTAAACTCTTTTACCAATTTCAAAAGAGCTCTGGAAATTAGCCTATGAATCCTATAAGTGAAAACGTCCTCCAGCCAAAGACCTCAGGATCAGGCCTATAGTTGAACGAGTTGGATTTACTATTTGTTGGAGGGAGAGAGACTACACGCAGGGCACACCAGCGGGAACTGTGGGGTGTCTCAGGCAGAGGGGGTTTGCCAGGACTCATTACAGAACTGGGGCATGTTGGGTGATCTGGGGAGAGCGTTCAAGGAAGTGGGGCTTTGCTCCAGATTTGGTTGGTGTTTGGAAGAAGGGGATGCTATGCGATGCATGGGTTAATCTTACCTGGAAGAAGGCAGACCAGAGCCAGGCAGCAGGCTTTTAACTATAAAGCAGCAGCACTCACTAGCATGAGCTGGGAGAGGGGGATATTAAGTCACTTTTATGGTTTGAACCATGTTCTTGCCTTGTCTGTGTTCAGACCTAATGACATAATGGTCTTGTTCTTTTTTTTTTTTTTTTTTTTTGAGACAGAGTCTCGCTCTGTCACCCAAGCTGGAGTGCAGTAGCATGATCTCGGCTCACTGCAAGCTCCACCTCCCAGGTTCACGCCATTCTCCTGCCTCAGCCTCCCAAGTAGCTGGGACTACAGGCACCTGCCACCGCGCCCGACTAATTTTTTTGTAATTTTAGTAGAGACGGGGTTTCACCATGTTAGCTAGGATGGTCTCGATCGCCTGACCTTGTGATCCACCCGCCTCGGCCTCCCAAAGTGCTGGGATTACAGGTGTGAACCACCGCGCCTGGCCAGTCTTGTTCTTGTCTTATTCCGTCACACTCACCAAGTGGCTTCCCTGACCGTTCCTGTTCAGTGAACTGTTTATGTTCATCAGGAGAGACCAAGGCCCAGCTGTGGGCACCGGGCCAGCTCCTGCATATTAGGGGCCACCTTTGTCTTCTTAGAGCAATAATAACTGATGAACACCAGGACTAAGTTAGCACTGTGTGTTCTTGTTTACTGTGGGATTTTACTGAATAATATTTCATTACATTTCTTTCTCCAGAAATGCTGGGAAGGAATAATTTGGTGGAGACAATAGTTCAAATTATAGGATGCATAAAGGAAAGGTAATAAAAGGGTCTTGGGCTAAAGGCATTCAGGTCTCGCCGTATTCAAGTGTGCAATGATGTGTTGTAGCCACTGAGCCAAATCCTGGGAGACCACAAGAGGCTGATTGTGTCTGTCCCCATCAGTATCCAGGAAACTCACTTTCCCCAAACACACCTACAGCGAGGTAGTTCCCTAAGTTAGGCAGCCTCTATCCACAAGCCGCACCTGCATCTCTCCAGTACCTGAACACTTCCTTCATTCCACAAGCATTTCCAGACAGCCCACCTTCCCCTCACACTGCATCCTTCTCCTCAGGGACACAGAAACCCCCTCTCACTGCTGGTCCCAATTAGATGGGCAGGCCCCTCCCTGCTGCTCAAAGCACAACCAGAAACCAGGCTCAGAGGCAACCAGAACTCCGAAAGGTGTTCAGAGGAAGGCGGGCTGGTTTTGGGACCCCAGGGGGAGAAGGAAGGCACAGCAACAGGGTGCTTTATGGCCCCAAGACCAACAGAAGGTGACCCCAGCCTAGCACCCATGGCAGCCAGCTAGGCTTGCTCCCGCTCTGATGGAACAGGGCCCTCTGGCAATACCAGGCCAGCCTGACGCCACCTGACGGAGGAGGGACCTGAAGCCCTGTCCGCATAAGTGGCCCCAGGGTGGCTCCCCTCCTTGTGTACTGACAGCCCCTCCTCCCCACCCAGAAATATCTGGTTGGTGGGCACCTGCAGGGGATCCAAGCCTCTTCTTCAGACAGCCTGAGCCTTGGGCCCCACTGGGAGACACTCAGGGCAGAGCCTGGGGAAACTCCGTCTGCCCCTCAGCCTGCATCAGGAGGGATCCTGAGAGCCACAAGGACCCCCGAGAAACCAAGCAGGAGAGAACAACACAGCAGCGACTCTGGAAATTAGATGCCAGTAGAACCACAGCCTGCAAGATGGGCCAGGACCCATGTGCCAAACCTAAACAGGTCACTGCCTTCTAAAGCAAAAGAGTCACAGGGGACCCAGGTCACCTAACATGACAGGCAGAACGTCCACCAAACAACTGAAAACTCACCATCCTTCCAAGAGTGCAGAGATCACCACCAGCATGAGCACCACGATCAGCTGCTGCCAAGACCCAACTATCAGATGTTGGAATTATCTGACAAGGGCTCTAAAGTATCTGCCATTAAAAATGCTTCAGCAATGACAGGTTCTCTCGAAATAAATCAAACAATGGAAAATCTCAGCCCTTTCCTCACTGCCCCAGGGCTGGCAATCACTTGACATGGTTGCCTGTTACACCTGATAGCCCTCTTTGACTTCTTTTTTTTTTTTTTTTTTATACTTTAAGTTTTAGGGTACATGTGACAATGTGCAGGTTAGTTACATATGTATACACGTGACATGCTGGTGTGCTGCACCCACTAACTCGTCATCTAGCATTAGGTATATCTCCCAATGCTATCCCTCCCCCCTCCCCCCACCCCACAACAGTCCCCAGAGTGTGATGTTCCCCTTCCTGTGTCCATGTGTTATTGTTCAATTCCCACCTATGAGTGAGAATATGCAGTGTTTGGTTTTTTGTCCTTGCGATAGTTTACTGAGAATGATGATTTCCAATTTCATCCATGTCCCTACAAAGGACATGAACTCATCATTTTTTATGGCTGCATAGTATTCCATGGTGTATATGTGCCACATTTTCTTAATCCAGTCTATCATTGTTGGACATTTGGCTTGGTTCCAAGTCTTTGCTATTGTGAATAGTGCCACAATAAACATATGTGTGCGTGTGTCTTTATAGCAGCATGATTTATAGTCCTTTGGGTATATACCCAGTAATGGGATTGCTGGGTCAAATGGTATTTCTAGTTCTAGATCTCTGAGGAATCACCACACTGACTTCCACAATGGCTGAACTGGTTTACAGTCCCACCAACAGTGTAAAAGTGTTCCTATTTCTCCACATCCTCTCCAGCACCTGTTGTTTCCTGACTTTTTAATGATTGCCATTCTAACTGGTGTGAGATGGTATCTCATTGTGGTTTTGATTTGCATTTCTCTGATGGCCAGTGATGGTGAGCATTTTTTCATGTGTTTTTTGGCTGCATAAATGTCTTCTTTTGAGACTGTCTGTTCATGTCCTTTGCCCACTTTTTGATGGGGTTGTTTTTTTCTTGTAAATTTGTTGGAGTTCATTGTAGATTCTGGATATTAGCCCTTTGTCAGATGAGTAGGTTGCGAAAATTTTCTCCCATATTGTGGGTTGCCTGTTCACTCTAATGGTAGTTTCTTTTGCTGTGCAGAAGCTCTTTAGTTTAATTAGATCCCATTTGTCTATTTTGGCTTTTGTTGCCATTGCTTTTGGTGTTTTAGACATGAAGTCCTTGCCTGTGCCTATGTCCTGAATGGTAATGCCTAGGTTTTCTTCTAGGGTTTTTATGGGTTTAGGTCTAACGTTTAAGTCTTTAATGCATCTTGAATTGATTTTTGTATAAGGTATAAGGAAGGGATCCAGTTTCAGCTTTCTACATATGGCTAGCCAGTTTTCCCAGCACCATTTATTAAATAGGGAATCCTTTCCCCATTGCTTGTTTTTCTCAGGTTTGTCAAAGATCAGATAGTTGTAGATATGCGGCGTTATTTCTGAGGGCTCTGTTCTGTTCCATTGATCTATATCTCTGTTTTGGTACCAGTACCATGCTGTTTTGGTTACTGTAGCCTTGTAGTATAGTTTGAAGTCAGGTAGCGTGATGCCTCCAGCTTTGTTCTTTTGGCTTAGGATTGACCTGGCGATGCAGGCTCTTTTTTGGTTCCATATGAACTTTAAAGTAGTTTTTTCCAATTCTGTGAAGAAAGTCATTGGTAGCTTGATGGGGATGGCATTGAATCTATAAATTACCTTGGGCAGTGTGGCCATTTTCACGATATTGATTCTTCCTACCCATGAGCATGGAATGTTCTTCCATTTGTTTGTATCCTCTTTCATTTCATTGAGCAGTGGTTTGTAGTTCTCCTTGAAGAGGTCCTTCACGTCCCTTGTAAGGTGGATTCCTAGGTATTTTATTCTCTTTGAAGCAATTGCGAATGGGAGTTCACTCATGATTTGGCTCTCTGTTTGTCTGTTATTGGTGTATAAGAATGCTTGTGATTTTTGTACATTGATTTTGTATCCTGAGACTTTGTTGAAGTTGCTTATCAGCTTAAGGAGATTTTTGGCTGAGACAATGGGGTTATCTAGATATACAATCATGTCGTCTGCAAACAGGGACAATTTGACTTCCTCTTTTCCTAATTGAATACCCTTTATTTCCTTCTCCTGCCTAATTGCCCTGGCCAGAACTTCCAACACTATGTTGAATAGGAGTGGTGAGAGAGGGCATCCCTGTCTTGTGCCAGTTTTCAAAGGGAATGCTTCCAGTTTTTGCCCATTCAGTATGATATTGGCTGTGGGTTTGTCATAGATAGCTCTTATTATTTTGAGATATGTCCCATCAATACCTAATTTATTGAGAGTTTTTAGCATGAAGGGTTGTTGAATTTTGTCAAAGGCCTTTTCTGCATCTATTGAGATAATCATGTGGTTTTTGTCTTTGGTTCTGTTTATATGCTGGATTACATTTATTGATTTGCGTATATTGAACCAGCCTTGCATCCCAGGGATGAAGCCCACTTGATCATGGTGGATAAGCTTTTTGATGTGCTGCTGGATTCCGTTTGCCAGTATTTTATTGAGGATTTTTGCATCGATGTTCATCAGGGATATTGGTCTAAAATTCTCTTTTTTGGTTGTGTCTCTGCCCGGCTTTGGTATCAGGATGATGCTGGCCTCATAAAATGAGTTAGGGAGGATTCCCTCTTTTTCTATTGATTGGAATAGTTTCAGAAGGAATGGTATCAGTTCATCCTTGTACCTCTGGTAGAATTCGGCTGTGAATCCATCTGGTCCTGGACTCTTTTTGGTTGGTAAGCTATTGATTATTGCCACAATTTCAGCTCCTGTTATTGGTCTATTCAGAGATTCAACTTCTTCCTGGTTTAGTCTTGGGAGAGTGTATGTGTCGAGGAATTTATCCATTTCTTCTAGATTTTCTAGTTTAATTGCGTAGAGGTGCTTGTAGTATTCTCTGATGGTAGTTTGTATTTCTGTGGGATCGGTGGTGATATCCCCTTTATCATTTTTTATTGCGTCTATTTGATTCTCTCTTTTTTTCTTTATTAGTCTTGCTAGCGGTCTATCAATTTTGTTGATTCTTTCAAAAAACCAGCTCCTGGATTCATTAATGTTTTGAAGGGTTTTTTGTGTCTCTATTTCCTTCAGTTCTGCTCTGATTTTAGTTATTTCTTGCCTTCTGCTAGCTTTTGAATGTGTTTGCTCTTGCTTTTCTAGTTCTTTTAATTGTGATGTTAGAGTGTCAATTTTGGATCTTTCCTGCTTTCTCTTGTGGGCATTTAGTGCTATAAATTTCCCTGTACACACTGCTTTGAATGCGTCGCAGAGATTCTGGTATGTTGTGTCTTTGTTCTCGTTGGTTTCAAAGAACATCTTTATTTCTGCCTTCATTTCGTTATGTACCCAGTAGTCATTCAGGAGCAGGTTGTTCAGTTTCCATGTAGTTGAGCGGTTTTGAGTGAGATTCTTAATCCTGAGTTCTAGTTTGATTGCACTGTGCTCTGAGAGACAGTTTGTTATAATTTCTGTTCTTTTACATTTGCTGAAGAGAGCTTTACTTCCAAATATGTGGTCAATTTTGGAATAGGTGTGGTGTGGTGCTGAAAAAAATGTATATTCTGTTGATTTGGGGTGGAGAGTTTTGTAGATGTCTATTAGGTCTGCTTGGTGGAGAGCTGAGTTGAATTCCTGGGTATGCTTGTTGACTTTCTGTCTCGTTGATCTGTCTAATGTTGACAGTGGGGTGTTAAAGTCTCCCATTATTAATGTGTGGGAGTCTAAGTCTCTTTGTACGTCACTCAGGACTTGCTTTATGAATCTGGGTGCTCCTGTATTGGGTGCATATATATTTAGGATAGTTAGCTCTTCTTGTTGAATTGATCCCTTTACCATTGTGTAATGGCCTTCTTTGTCTCTTTTGATCTTTGTTGGTTTAAAGTCTGTTTTATCAGAGACTAGGATTGCAACCCCTGCCTTTTTTTGTTTTCCACTTGCTTGGTAGATCTTCCTCCATCCTTTTATTTTGAGCCTATGTGTGTCTCTGCATGTGAGGTGGGTTTCCTGAATACAACACACTGATGGATCTTGACTCTTTATCCAATTTGCCAGTCTGTGTCTTTTAATTGGAGCATTTAGTCCATTTACATTTAAAGTTAATATTGTTATGTGTGAATTTGATCCTGTCATTATGTTAGCTGGTTATTTTGCTCGTTAGTTGATGCAGTTTCTTCCTAGTCTCGATGGTCTTTACATTTTGGCATGATTTTGCAGCGGCTGGTACCAGTTGTTCCTTTCCATGTTTAGTGCTTCCTTCAGGAGCTCTTTTAGGGCAGGCCTGGTGGTGACAAAATCTCTCAGCATTTGCTTGTCTGTAAAGGATTTTATTTCTCCTTCACTTATGAAGCTTAGTTTGGCTGGATATGAAATTCTGGGTTGAAAATTCTTTTCTTTGAGAATGTTGAATATTGGCCCGCACTCTCTTCTGGCTTGCAGTTTCTGCCGAGAGATCCGCTGTTAGTCTGATGGGCTTCGCTTTGTGGGTAACCCGACCTTTCTCTCTGGCTGCCCTTAACATTTTTTCCTTCATTTCAACTTTGGTGAATCTGACAATTATGTGTCTTGGAGGTGCTCTTCTCGAGGAGTATCTTTGTGGTGTTCTCTGTATTTCCTGAATCTGAACGTTGGCCTGCCTTGCTAGATTGGGGAAGTTCTCCTGGATAATATCCTGCAGAGTGTTTTCCAACTTGGTTCCATTCTCCCCGTCACTTTCAGGTACACCAATCAGACGTAGATTTGGTCTTTTCACATAGTCCCATATTTCTTGGAGGCTTTGTTCATTTCTTTTTATTCTTTTTTCTCTAAACTTCCCTTCTCGCTTCATTTCATTCATTTCATCTTCCATCGCTGATACCCTTTCTTCCAGTTGATTGCATCGGCTCCTGAGGCTTCTGCATTCTTCACGTAATTCTCGAGTCTTGGCTTTCAGCTCCATCTGCTCCTTTAAGCAGATGTATTGGTTCTGTATTGGTTCTCTGTATTGGTTATTCTAGTTATACATTCGTCTAAATTTTTTTCAAAGTTTTTAACTTCTTTGCCTTCGGTTTGAATTTCCTCCTGTAGCTCGTAGTTTGATCGTCTGAAGCTTTCTTCTCCCAACTCGTCAAAGTCATTCTCTGTCCAGCTTTGTTCCATTGCTGGTGAGGAACTGCGATCCTTTGGAGGAGGAGAGGTGCTCTGCTTTTTAGAGTTTCCCGTTTTTCTGCTCTGTTTTTTCCCCATCTTTGTGGTTTTATCTACTTTTGGTCTTTGATGATGGTGATGTACAGATGGGTTTTGGTGTGGATGTCCTTTCTGTTTGTTAGCTTTCCTTCTAACAGACAGGACCCTCAGCTGCAGGTCTGTTGGAGTTTGCTAGAGGTCCACTCCAGACCCTGTTTGCCTGGGTATCAGCAGCGGTGTCTGCAGAACAGTGGTTTTCGTGAACCGCGAATGCTGCTGTCTGATCGTTCCTCTGGAAGTTTTGTCTCAGAGGAGTACCCGGCCGTGTGAGGTGTCAGTCTGCCCCTACTTGGGGGTGCCTCCCAGTTAGGCTGCTCGGGGGTCAGGGGTCAGGGACCCACTTGAGGAGGCAGTCTGCCCGTTCTCAGATCTCCAGCTGTGTGCTGGGAGAACCACTGCTGTCCTCAAAGCTGTCAGACAGGGACATTTAAGTCTGCAGAGGTTACTGCTGTCTTTTTGTTTGTCTGTGCCCTGCCCCCAGAGGTGTAGCCTACAGAGGCAGGCAGGCAGGCCTCCTTGAGCTGTGGTGGGCTCCACCCAATTGGAGCTTCCTGGCTGCTTTGTTTACCTAAGCGAGCCTGGGCAATGGCGGGCGCCCCTCCCCTAGCCTCGCTGCCGCCTTGCAGTTTGATCTCAGACTGCTGTGCTAGCAATCAGCGAGACTCTGTGGGCGTAGGACCCTCCAAGCCAGGTGCAGGATATAATCTCCTGGTGTGCCGTTTTTTAAGCCCGTCGGAAAAGCGCAGTATTCGGGTGGGAGTGACCCGATTTTCCAGGTGCTGTCTGTCACCCCTTTCTTTGACTAGGAAAGGGAACTCCTTGACCCCTTGTGCTTCCTGAGTGAGGCAATGCCTCGCCCTGCTTCGGCTCGCGCACAGCGCACTGCACCCACTGTCCTGCGCCCACTGTCTGGCACTCCCTAGTGAGATGAACCCGGTACCTCAGATGGAAATGCAGAAATCACCTGTCTTCTGCGTCGCTCACGCTGGGAGCTGTAGACCGGAGCTGTTCCTATTCGGCCATCTTGGTTCCAGAAAAAAAGTCTTTGACTTCTTTTAGGGGCGGGTGCCTTTGCCTGTGTAACCGCTGTTCATAGGAAAGTGTCCCCATTCACATGACTCCAGTGGTTTCTGCCACCCGTCTGCACCGATTGAGTGACTGAGGGGCTCTGCAGCGCTAGCAAACATTCACCTGGGGAGATAGAGAAGATGCTTTAGATCATACTCTCCTGGAAAATGCCTTGAAACCCTCTTTCAACATTTCTTCCTCCTAGTCCTTCTGTCCCAGGCTTTGAGCAGGTTATTCCCTCATCAGCCATGTCCTGTCGGCTGCCATTTTCCATCTCATATCTGACCTATAAATCACATCCTACATCTCACCTTAAGACTGGAGGGAGATCCAGCTCCCACTGCCACACGTGGTCAGCCTCCCAGCATATGGGACTCAACAAAGTTTAGGGCAGAAGTGGAAAGAATATGCTGTAGCTCCCAATTCTTTTTCCAGAATCTAAAAACAACTGAATTATACCACTCTCTGGCCCAGAGCCTTCAGTCGCCCCTACTGCTCTTAGGGAAAGCACTAGGGAATCCCGAAGACCCCCATCTCCCATCCCAGACAGTGCCTTCTCCCACCCTCACTCCTCCTGCCCACCGCCACCCTGCCCACCCTGGCCCTCTCTGGTGTTCCTCTCATGCATACCTCTCAAGGTGCACCAGGCGGCTGCCTCTGGGTACTTGCCCAGCCCTGTCCCCTCTGCTCCCCTCTCGCAGGCCATCCCACCACACTCGTCCCACCTGGCTTGTGTCAATGTTCCATTACTGTTCACCGGCTGCCCACGCACCTCCAGCTCCACATCGTGAGTATTTCTCCCCCTTCTCATCTCATGTCCTAAAAGCATTCAACAAATATGTACTCAGTAAACGGTCTCTGCTGCTTTCCATGTGTAATGACCCCTCCCTAATGACCTCACCAGATGCCTCCTGGACCCACTGCCAAAGCCCCTGTATTTATTTATTTATTTTTATTTATTTATTTATTTATTTTTTGAGACATGGTCTCGCTCTGTTGCCCAGGCTGGAGTGCAATGGCACAATCTTGGCTCACAGCAACCTCCGCCTCTTGGGTTCAAGTGATTCTCCTGCCTCAGCCTCCCAAGTAGCTGGGATTACAGGGATGCACCACAATGCCTGGCTAATTTTTGTATTTTTAGTAGAGATGGGGTTTTTCTGTGTTGTCCAGGCTGGTCTCGGACTCCTGACCTCAGGTGATCTGCCCGCCTCAGCCTCCCAAAGTGATGGGATTACAGGCGTGAGCCACTGTGCCCGGCCTAGCCCCTGTGTTTCTGAGCTGTGCTTTTTGGTATTTGGGTCCTGGTAAATATCACTTAGGAAGAGACAACTGACAATGTCTTTCTAAACTTTCCTTTTTCTCACCAGAGAATGTGTTGCTAGACGTCATTGTCATGGTGGCAGGAGGAATTTGTTAAACTTCAAAGGAATGCCTGTTTGTCATAAAGCCTTTAAAACAAGAAGATGGCATCTCCTATGTGGGAGGAGTGAGGTTTGATCCTGCGGAAAATAAACTTAGCTGACATTTTCGAGTGCGTCTTGTGTTCTGGGCTGTCCTTGCGACAGTGTCTTGGCAGGTAGTACTATAGTCACTCCTTTAACGTGGGGACACCCGAGTTTGGATAACGTGAGCAGTGTGCTGGAGGTCAGTCGGCAGGGGGCAGAGTTGGATTTGAAGGTGAGGTCGTGTTTGTGGGGCCACTGTTTTTAATCACGGTACTAGAGGCACCACAGAGAGTGTAGAGAAAACAGAACCGCAAGGCCTGAGTGCCTTAAAGAGAGGTTTTCAGAATCAGGACCCAGCATGCTTATTCTTGCTGCAGTGCCTTAACACGCTAAACAGCGCTTAACCACGCTAAAACATCCCATGGGAAACTGTGACTGCAAGGCCCGGGGGATGTTCCTTCTCAGCCCATGCCCTGCCCATGCCCCAAGTAAAAGCAGTTTTAGGGACCACTAGTGTCCCAGGAATCATGGTATTAAAGAGTTGTTGGGTGTGGTGGCTCATGCCTATAATCCCAGCTGCTTTGGAGGCTGAGGCAGGAGAGTCGCTGGAACCCAGGAGGCAGAGGCTGCAGTGAGCCGAGATCGCGCCATTGCACTCCAGCCTGGACAACAAGAGCCAAACTCCAATTCAAAAAAAAAAAAAGTTAACCTTTCAAAGCAAGATGGTTTTAGCCATAAATTTTCATAGCAACAGAGGACAGCACATACCAGTGACGGAACCGATACTTTGAATCAAGCCAGCCAGAGGGGTCTACACCCCCTTCCACTGCAGACACCAAAACACAGGGTGCCATTCTCCATTCCCTGCCATTTACAAAGAAGAATGGACAAAGTAAGTTTGAGGTTAACGAAAGCAGCCTCAGGATGTTGAGTTCCTAGTCTCAGTTCAAACAGCTATTTGTGTGAGGCTGGGCAAGTCGCTGGGGTGGGCCTCAATCCCCTCATCTGATTTTACCTGAGGCGCCACCAACTCTAGGAAGTCTCCCATGATTGTCTAAGGCTGGGATCCCTCCCTGTGTGGCCCTTACTCTCTTTTTACCTAATTCCCTTCCTAAGAACGAGCTCCTTCCAGCTAAGATAAGCTTTCTCATGACTGCACCCCCTGTGTCTGGCAGAGGGGACAGCACCTGACAGATGCCTGCCTTGGAGGCTGGGGCTGCCACAACAAAGAACCACAGCCTGGGGGCTTAAACACAGACGTGCATTTCCTCACAGTGCTGGAGGCTGGAAGTCCAAGATCAAGGTGGGCAAGGCTGGCTTCTCCTGCAGCCTCTCTCTTCGGCTTGTAGATGGCTGTCTTCCCTGTGCCTCAGACGATCACCCCTCTGACTGTGTCTGTATCCTAACCTCATCTTCTTATAAGGACACCAGTCAGAATGGATTAAGGTTCACCCTCATGGCCTGATTTTAACTCAATTACCTCTTTAAAGGCCCTCTCCAAATAAGATCACAGTCTGAGGTACGGTGGTTGGGCTTCAACATATAAATTTGAAGAATCTTAATTCAGACCACAACGGGGTCTCACATGTCTCAGGTGAATGGACTGAATCTCAGCCTGCAGTTCAATGGGATCACATCCATGTGAATCTGAATTGCAGCTGTGGGTTGACCTCAGCCAGTTGGCTTTGGCTCTCCTCTGCCCAGTTATTTCCAGGAGTCTGGAAGAATCTCAGGAGAGCTCAGGGAACCTGGAACAAACACCTACTGCTGGCCCCCACTGCTGCCACTCCTGCTCCCTCCTGATGGCAGGGTCCCTGTCTCCCCCAGTCACAGACACGCGGATGAGCCCCCATCTGCCTGGCTGACCCACTGCCTCCTGAGCCCAAGTCTCTTTGGCTGAGGCCCCAGTACACACCAACACCATTTTCAAAATGACTCCTTCACAATTTCTCTTTAAGGCCAGACACCAAAGTCCCCCAGACCTGTCTCTGGAACAAATACTCTTATCTTTTGTACTTGAACTAACCTTTAAAAAAAAAAAAGCTTGGAACCTGATGCCATAGACGAGCTCTGAGCTTCTGTATATTTGGAAATTCTGAATCTAATTGAATAGCATGAACTTGTCTTTTCCACAAAGGATTTGAGGCACTGTGTTTTTAAGTGACTAAGCCCACGTCCCTCTCCAGACACCACCTGGGGCTTGGCAATGAGGATGCTGGCGGGGTTTAATATGGTCACACGGGAGCCAGAGAACCAACAAGGTTGACCAGGGCACAGGGGGCATACTGAAGTATGGCTGGGACTGCAGCAAATTCTAATTCCAAGTGGATGGTAATTTCTTGAGCATTATGATGTTTGAAAAGTACAACAGAAGTCTATATTGTAATGTAGTGCCTTCTTATCCACAGGGATATGTTCCAAGACCCACAGTAGATGCTTGAAACCTTGGGTAGTAGTGAACCCTACATATGTTTTTTCTCTGATATATACATACCTATGATAAAATTTAATGTATAAATTAGGCACAGTAAGAAATTAACAGCACTTACTAGCAATAAAATAGGACAATCATAACCATATGCTGTAATGAAAGTTATGTGAATGTGGTCTCTGTCACAAAACATCTTATTGTCTTCGCCTATTTTCTGACTGTGGTTGACCACAGATAACTGAAGCCACAGAAAGAAACACCACAGGACATGTGTGGTGGCTCACGCCTGTAATCCCAGCACTTTGGGAGGCTGAGCTGGGCAGATCATCTGAGGTCAGGAGTTCGAGACCAGCCTGGCCAACATGGTGAAACCCCAGCTCTACTAAAAATATAAAAATTAGCTGGGCGTGGTAGCAGGCGCCTGTAGTCCCAGCTACTTGGGAGGCTGAGGCAGGAGAATGGCGTGAACTTGGGAGGCAGAGCTTGCAGTGAGCCGAGATCGCGCCACTGCACTCCAGCCTGGGTGACGGAGCAAGACTCTGTCTAAAAAAAAAGAAAAGAAAGTAACGCCACAGATGGGGGTGACTGTATGGTAATTACCAAAATGTGTAGGAGAAAAACATACTCACTTTAACCCTGACATATTGATTTCACCAAGACTATCTTTATCTTAAATGACAGCTTAAAATAATGTGTTTGAAAAACAATTACACTATTCATATTAATACAAAGATACTAAATGGCGAATTCTTGGCCGTTTTCATTTACCACAGAAAGAAAAGGGGGCAAATATAGTTGGAAAAAGATTAAACTCTGTAGCTTCATAAGGTCCTTCAATGTAAAGATGAATAGCTTCAACATGAAGTGAAAAGCATCTGCCACAATCTTCTAAAATTACTGGGAATATAATTTACCAGCAGCCTTGGTGCTGAGACATAACACACTCTCTCTCCATTGTTACCCATTGCCCTGAATATGTGGTCAGTGACTATCAACGCGTTGCGAGTGGAGGAAGGCAGGATCAGAGATATCGCTGCCCAAAAAAGCAACAATAGCAAACAGCAGCAGCAACACAGAATGATGGAGCCTCCTGCCACACTCTTCAAAGCGCTGCAGCCAGGAGGACACAGAGAAGAAGGTGGTGTGGGCCTGCAAAGGACAGACTCTGAATCAGTGCGACCCACCCCGCGTGTCCCTCCAACCCAAATAGCGGATCCCTCTCCCCACCCTACGCTGCCAGTCTCGAGTGAGGCTCATTGAGAAGGGAAGTTGTAAGTTGGAGGGAAAAAGTTTTAAGAGAGCCCATGAGTGCAGAAGTCCCGCCTCCCACTAAGGATCTCAGCAGATGCAGGAAAGTCACAGGCAGGAGGTCTTCAGGTGTCTTCCCTATGGGCAGGAAGGAAAGGGGATGTGACTATAACCAAATTCCTACTCCCACCAGCCCTCCAACTACCAGCCCTAACAGCCAAATCCATGGACATTTTATCTGTCCTGACTGGAGGTTGAAGGGTGTAAGGAGAGAGGTTGGGAAATTTCACCGGGAGTACGCGGCTAACTGAGAAAGCTGAATAAGAGTTCACTCACCCCAAAGACCCAGAATTTCATGAATTAGAGCAATAAATAATGATATAGATCTCCTTCCAGGGTAATGCCTAAGATGTATTGGAGCACCAACAGACCAACATCAACAGCAACAAAGTAAAGACAAAAACGCCCAGGCTGTCCATCCTAGGGGCTGGCCTTCCTCTCAGAACCCCAGGCCAGGAAAGCAGGAAGAAGGGGGAGCACAGAGTCTGAAAGGGGCTGAGACCTGCTTTTTCAGAGGAATTTAAAGATCCACATGGAGCTGCCCAAATTAAGCAAAAGTAAGAGTGAAATAAATGGCAAGGCATTCCTGCAAATGCACTGCAGGGGAACAGTGAACACAGGGTGGACCATGGTCTGTAAAGAAAGACAAAGATTTCATTCTGCAGCAAAATATATAACTGAATCCATGCAAGAAAGTTCTCCAAAATGTTGTGTAAGAAGTTAGTAAGAAATCGATTTCAATAAAAAAGAGCTAAAAGATAGAAAAGCAAAATGAAAGGTAAATTGCAGAGTTTTGGAAACAAATTGAAGAGCAAAAACTCATTTCAGAACGGGAAGAAAAAAAAAAAAACCTACCTGAACTGTAAATAGCAGGAAACAGAATAGACAATGCCAAAAATAACAAAGCTACCATCATAGAGGAAGAATTTCAGATCTCCAAAGGGAATAAGAGGAATAAAACACATCATTGCATATTCAAGCCAAAATGAGGAAAAAGAAGGAAAATTCATTTTGCATAAATAAATATACCATGTATGTGATGGTAGGAAATTAATTTCAGAAAGTAAATGTTATAACTCATGAATTTGTAAAAATAACAAAGATAATTGCACTATGAAAATTAGGTAAAAGGGAAGATCACCACAAAATGAATGAATTGCCCATCCTATTAAACATCTTTCAATTTTCTCTCAATAGTAGTCAACAGATACTCTTCTGAATTGATAAATATTAAAGCATATCACAGAGTGTTGTATAAGGAACCTGCAGAAAACCTAAAAACAAAAAGATAACTAATAATATATTGGGGTTTGAAGTGAGAAGTGGAGAATTAATAGAAACTGTCAGGTTGATAAATCATGAACTATAGGTTGAATTATGTAAAATTATATAGGTAACCACTTAAACACATAAAAGCAATAAATCTTTCATTTTAACAAAAGGATTGCACATAATCAGAAGGAGGGGGGAAATAAAAAAATCCAAAAGGGAATGCAAAAGAAATATTAATTACAGATATTGAAAAAAATATTAAACCAAATATATCAGCAATATGTATTAAAAATATAAGTGCAGATCCAAGATAAATAAACCTAAAACAAAGTGCCTCAAAAAGGTTAAACATAAAATTGAGTATAAAATAATAAGAAATACATATTGGTCTGTGTCTCCAGTTTCTGACACAGAGCTCCTAATACCCTTGTAATTTCCTGAGTGATGGGGGTACTGGGAGCATCTTTTGTTCTAATATTGGTTGGGAGCATCTTTGACTGGGTTCCTGGTACAGAGCTTCCAATCCCTTGGAATTTCCTGGGTGATAGGAGCATCTTTTGTTCTAATGAACGACTCTTGGTGGAATCCTAGATGAGGGCTGGTCACCAGAAAGACCAAGCCATGGTTAGAAGCTTGGAACTTTCAGCCCCACACCCCATCCTCTAGGGAGGAAAGAGGAGTTGGAGATTGAATCAATAATCAATCATGCCTACATGATGAAGCCTCCTTAAAAATTCCTAAGTACAGGTGCGGGAGCTTCAGGGTTGGGGAACACGTGGTGGTGCTCCTGGAGAGGCCATGGCAGCTCCATACCCACCCCCACCATATCTTTTCCTGTATTTCTCTCCCATTTGGCTGTATTCTTTATAATAAGTGGATAAACATAGTAGTGTTGCCCTGGGTTCTCTGCGCTGTTCCACCAAATGACTGGACCTAAGAAGGGGGGCGTGGGAACCTCCGATTTATAGCCAAGTTGGACAGAAGCTGTGGGTGACCTGCAGACCCACCACTTACAACTGGCATCTGGAGCAGGGCAGTCCTGGGAATTGAGCCCCTCCCCTGTGGGGCTGGCTCTAACTCCAGTTAGTGTCAGAGTTGAGCTGAACGGTAGGACACCCAGCTGGTGCTGGAGAATGGGTGGGATTTTTCCCCACACATGTGGAGACGGGAGGTGTTGTGTGAGTGTAAGAATGAACGAGAGAGGCATCTCAGCATAAGAAATCAGTGGGGCTGATTTTAAAAGCAGACAAATGTGAATTCAAGGTTAAGTATTGAAAATAGAATGAAAATCCGGTAAATCGTTAAACATCCTGTGGTAAATGGAAGGATGATTGAAAGAGGAATGCTGCTGACAGGGAGCGTGGCCCCAGCCAGGCCAGTGAGCAAAGCCAGGGGTGGAACTCCCACACACCCGCCCAGGTCGTTCTCAGAGAGGGACCCATTCACAGGCACTGATCATACAAACCCCTCAGAAACACCTCAGCACATTATAAATATTAGAAATAGAACAAAAGGCATTTTGCTTAAAGCATAAGGTAATGTAACTAGAAATTAATTTTTAAGTTAAAAAATGTGGAAATTTTAAAACACTCAACAAAGCTCAGTTCGGGCTGGTCTGAGTGCAGTGGGGTGTACAAGGAATTGATTACAAGCAGTTACAGGTTTCTTTGCTCCTTTTCCATTTCCACTGCTGCTTCACTTCACTAGCCTTTATTTAAAAAGTCAGCTTGAAGAAGGTACAACAATTCAACTTATAGAATATCCAGAAAATACAAATGAAAACATTGCATATTAAGACGTATGGACTGCTGTTAAAGCTTTGATCAGAATAAAATGCAGAGCCAAAAATACTTATCTGATTAAATAAGAATAATTGGAAACACATGAATTAGGCATCTATTGAATAACTTAGAACAACAACAACAAAATAAAAGTAGAAGAGAACTGGCTGGGCACGGTGGCTCACGCTGGTAGTCCCAGCACTTTGGGAGGCTGAGGCGGGTAGATCAACTGAGGTCAGGAGTTTGAGACCAGCCTGGCCAACATGGTGCAACCTCTACTAAAAATACAAAAAAAAAAAAAAAAAAAAAATTAACCGGGAGTGGTAGTGGGTGCCTGTAATCCCAGCTACTCAGGAGGCTAAGGCAGGAGAATTGCTTGAACTCGGGAGGTGGAGGTTGCAGTGAGCCAAGATGACGCCATTGCACTCCAGCCTGGGTGACAGTGCGAGACTTCCTCTCAAAAAAAAAAAAAAAAAAAAAGTAAAAGGATCATGGCTGAATCCTGAGGATATCTTATTTCATGTAATGTGAAATAAGTCAGTCACAAAAGGACAAATACTATATGAATCCACTTGTATCAGGTACCTAGCCAAATTTATAAAGACCAAAAGGAGGCCAGGTGTGGTGGCTCACGCCTGTAATTCCAGCACTTTGGGAGGAGGAGGCAGGCAGATCACTTGAGGCCAGGAGTTCGAGACCAGCCTGGCCAACGTGGTGAAACCCCATCTCTACTAAAAATATATAAAATTAGCTGGGATTGGTGGTGTGCTCTGGTAATCCCAGCAACTCTGGAGGCCGAGGCATGAGAATCGTTTGGACCCAGGAGGCAGAGGTTGCAGTGAGCAGAGATTGCACCACTGTACTCTAGCCTGGGTGATAAAATGAGACTCTGTCTCAAAAAAAGAAAAAAAAAAAAAAAGGACCAAAACAAGAGTGGTTGATGTTTGATAGAGACAGGGTTTCAATTTGGGAAGATGAAAAGAGTTCTGGGAATATGTGGTTGTGAAGACTGTACAACAATGTGACTGTATTTAATGACACTGAATGGTACACTTAAAACTGGTTAAAATGATAAATTTTATGTTATGTATATTTTACGAAAATTTAAAAATATACAATAATTTTTAAAAAGTAAAATAGAATGAAAATATTAAAGATAAAAGCAGAAAACTAAAAATTAGAAAACATACCTGCAGAATTTGTTGATGGGAAGTATTTATCAAAGGTGAACACACAGAACTCTAACACAGCAGCAGAGGAAATGGTAGGAAGGCCATTGGCAGAAAAAAAGGAAATTTAGAAAGCAGTGCAAAATGTTACACGTGACGGTGGAGAGAAGACAAGAAAGAGTGTGGAACTGCAGCGCTGCAGAAAGGTGGCATTCCCGAAGCGGGCTGTGTGCAAACACAGGGGGCGTCTCGTCACAAAGAGTTTGAGAAAGATAGAATCTGTGGGCCGCATCCCCAGGGGCCATAACTTTGAGACCCCTTCCCCAACTCAGGACAAGCTATGGCATTAGAAGGTCAAACGCATATGAAGTAAACAGTAATTACAAAAGGAGCTATCCATGGTGAGGTCAGAAACACTGATAGACGGAAGGTCTAGGGAGGTTGGGAAGGGTTTGTACCACATAAAAAATGAAGGAATGAGAAAAAGTTAAATTATGTAAGAGTTCCTTCCTGAGGCGTGCACCTCCAGGGGGCTCTGCTTAAAGCTTCTGTCAGTCTTTTCTCCAACTCACTGGGGTCCCCGTGAGTGCAATGACCAGCTACATCTAACCCACCATGCTGCCCCGACTAGTTTGTCCCACAGGCTCCCAGGGCCCAGAGGAAGGGCTGAACCGTGTGTTGGGCCCAGCACTGGCTGGAGAAGCACCTGCAACAACTGTGGCTTCTGCTGTGCTGGCCCACTGCTGTCACCTGGGAGGGCTGGGTCAACACAGGGACCCCCAAGACCCTGCAGACAGGTCCTCGGACTGCAAAGTCTAAGGGTCCGATGTCTTAAAAATATAAACCGGTAAAACTCATGGCAAGCTAAATCAATAGGCACGGGAGAAAGGAGAAATGCACACAATTACAAACGGAAAAAGGAGAAAAAGCCACAAATACAGAGGAAAGAAAACACCTGAAGTGCATATATTACAAAACTACGCAACTATGTTGAAAAGTGGATGGAATTAATTTTATTTTTAAAAATGTCATTAAAATGGACTCTAGAAGGGCTCGAGGACCTAACTTGCCTGATGAGCAAAATCCAGAAATATACCACGGCAGGCCCAGACAGCCCCAGCTAGTTCTTCTACACTTAAGCAGAAAATAATCCAAAACCAATAGATGATTGTAGAATATAGAGGTTTTTGTTTTATAATATTTCTTCCTTTAAGTCAGCATAAAGTTAAATCTGGACAAAAAACACATAAAAGCAAGATGTAGAATGATGAATCTTAATTATAAATATTGATAACCAAAGTCATGATACTAATAAGTAAAGAACATCTCAGGAATACACTAATGATTTGGTCTTAAGTATTCTATTAATATAATTAAACATACTACTAGAGCAAAGGAAAAGACCTTCTGATAATCCCTCTGGACACTGAGAAGGCTTTGACAAAAATCTAACATCTACATTTTCCCCAGAGAGTCTTAATAGTTTGAGAATACACAGATACTTTTTTATTATGGCAAGGAAAATACATGTCTTCATACAAGTTAAACGCTGAGACATTAAAACGTCCCACTGATGTCACGAACAAGATAAGCATGCCACCTGAATCACTGTGACTCAACACTGATCTCAAATCAACTAGATACAAGAAAGAAATAAGAGACACATTGGAAAGGAGAAGTCAAAAGTATACCTTAGAAACAAGTAGGAATCACAATTTGTGGTTGATTATAACATTCATACATAAAAACCAACTACTTTCTTATACAATGGGATAAAATAGAAAATAAAGTGGAATAAATCATTCCATTGAAAATGATAGCCAAATGATAAAACATCTAGAAATAAACTATAAATTCAAAGCACCTTAGTGAACAAAATCATAAAACACTACTAAGTTACATAAAATTAGACTTAAACACAAGATTTCATGCTTTTGAATAGGAAGACTCAATCTGTAAATTCATTGTGACTCTAATTGAAAAAAGATTCATATGAGAGAGAGATTCAGAGTTGATGGGAGTGTTGACTTGAAAATACTGATATTAGTATGAATAATGCTTTAGAAATGAAAGGCATTCATAGAGATAAATAGAACAGAAACAGAACCAAACACTTAAAGAAATTTAGTTTACAAATAAGGCTGCATTTTGAACAACTGGGGAAAACACTATGACTGTATTTTAGAAATGCATTATTACATATTTATTGATACTGCTGACCACCATTTCGAGGAAAAAGTATGGATTTTTCCCTCATGTCCTGCAACAAATGAATTCCAGGGAGTCTGAAGATGTGAAGGTAAACCAATAAAACCATAAAGTTTCAGAAGAAAATGCGAGTAAGTCTATTTATAATCTCAGAATGAGGAAGGCTTTTAAAAACTGGAAACAAATCCCACGATCGACAAAGAAAAATACTCACAAATTGACAACATAAAAATTTAAACTCTATGCCAATAAATAAGGAAATCAATAAATAACATCGAAAGACAAATGATAAAAATATTTTAAAGACATAAGACAAAAATGTCCCAAAGTGCATGAGCAAATTAAGAAAAAGCCAAATAACCCAATTAGGAACTGGGTAAAATATATAAATGTATCAAAATTAAAACTACAAAAAAATTTTAAAAGATGTCCCATTTTATACACAAAATAAACCAAAATCAGAATAATATTCGTAAATATCATGTTTCACCAATTATATTGGGAAAAACATTAAGTTTGAAAATACCCAGTGCTATTATAGAAAGCTGAGAAATTGGGCCTTTTATTGTACTCTTGATGGAGTTACATCCTTCGATCAGTTTCTAGAAGATAATCTGGCAATAGCTATCAAAATTTTAAATACATGTAGCCTTAAACCCAGCAATTCCATTTCTAAGTTGGAATTTATACCGTTTTAGTCACAAAACTATGTCAAGATGTATGTACAAGTATGCCAATTATAGATTTGTATATAAAAATAAAAACTGGAAGTATCCATATGTTCACCAATAAAAGGCTATTCAAATAAATGATAGTCCGCTGAGATAATGGAATGCTAAGCAGCTACTAGGAGGAATGAGGTAGATCTTTATATGTTATTATGGGACGACCTCTAAGACAAAACACCACATGAAGAATGCAAGGTGCAGCGCCCTTCACAGAGCGTTAGTGCTGGAAAGGGAAGGTCTCTCTCCATAACCCCCGTCCCTCCTTCTTTGGCCTCTTATCTTCTTTTCTTCCTTTCTAGAAATGCCCTTAGAAGCTCATTAGTGGTCCCCTCTGAGAGAGAAAACAGGCAGTATGGGAGACTGTTGTTTTTAACCACTCATACTTTTCTAACTATGTGCACATCTATTCCTTATTATTACTTTATTAAAGGACAGAGTAGTTATTTGAGAGTCCAAAATATGCACAACTTGTTTGCATTTTGTGTTCCTGTATAAAATACAAAACCAAAAAGGTTTCTTTTTAAAGCAAAAATGTGGGAGGGATCAATTTTGGGATAATGATAAGAAATGAAGCATTCCTTTTATATATCAAAACACTTCTACTTGTTTCTAAAGACACTGTAACAGAAAAAAAAAAAAAACCGAAAATCTTGTGCATGGTTCATCCATAGCATGTGGAAGGAATGCCTGCTGAAGAATGATCCTGCTCCAAGCCGCCTGAGGCTGGAATGTCCTGATCCACCAACTTTCTCGTAAGTGAGGTCTCTTGTCACACACAAGGTACCTCACACTTACACACACACACACACCGCACACACGCAAGCTTCCATCTTCCTCCAGTGCAAACAAAGTCATGTGCATTACCCAGAAATGAGTGAGCCAGATGGCTGGAAAAGCACATACAATTTATTTAACTCTGAAAATCAAATCTTCCCTCATGATGTTCCCACCTCAGGGATTAGAAGCAAATTAAAAATCTCTAGGGGCTCAGAAGCCTTCTATAATTTTGAGCTCTGAGCAGTTGTTGGATGACACAATGGAACAGGAGAGGTCTTTCTTGGTGAATTACCCTCTGATCTCATTAAAGAATAAGAATGAGACCATCCTGGCTAACATGATGAAACCCTATCTCTACTAAAAATACAAAAAATTAGCCAGGCATGGTGGCGGGCGCCTGTATTCCCAGTTACTCGGGGGGAGGCTGAGGCAGGAGAATGGCATGAACCCGGGAGGTGGAGCTTGCAGTGAGCTGAGATCATGCCACTGCACTCCAGCCTGGGCGATAATCTAAGGGAAGAGCTGTATCATCACTTAGGTTTAAAAATTAAAGTTTCTCTTGTTTTAAGTTGCCCATCTCCAGTGAATCCACCCAAGGACTTTGAGCCAGCTTTTGGGGCTGCAGCTGGGGTGGACTGGCTTGGAGCAGGCAGACTCCCAAAGGCCAGAACTCAGAATTGCTGGCTTGTCAGTCACTGAGGGTCGGCCAGCTCCTCCCTGCTGCCTGCCACTGGCCAGGTATCCAGAGAAGGGATGGGCCACACCATCCCCTCCCTGGCGCCTGCCATACTGGGGACCAGAAGAGTTCCCAGCCTCTACTTCCTGGCCCTGACACAGGCAGAAAGGGCCTAGGAATATGTTCACTTTATGTTGTGCATTTGTATGGATGCACACATTTCTAAGACTAATTAACTCCAGTGCATGTGAATCAGCTAACACATTATTTTTTTAAAGCCCACGTAAGTGGCTTCACTTAGCTGTAGCTATTCTTTTGGGCTGTTAATTCTAGTAGAACTCTTATTTGTCCTATGGGTTCTGCAGAATAGAACAGATTTGCTCAACTCCTCAGTGTCTGAGAGCAGCACCTAGGAGTTATCTGGGATCCACCAAAGACACTCCGCGGGGCCTGGCCCTTGTTCAGAATAAACAGAAACCTGCGTCCCTTTGATCTCCTTGACAGGGTAGGTTTGCAGAAGTCAGGCAGGCTGGTAAAAACATCCTTAGTAAGACCAACAGTCTGTCTTTTTTTTTTTTTTTTTTTAATGTAGAAACAGCATCAAGCTGTTTCTCTCTACCGTCTTTGATAGAAATAAAAATAAAAATAAAAAGTTGAATTGCAGAAAAGCTAAGAGGTTTTTAGTTTTTGTTTTTTGTTTTCCTTCCACCAGTCAATTATTGGAAAGGATTTAGTGAGTCTGGTTTATTTTAGCTTCAATCTGGGTTTGTACACAAGCAAAAAGCAAATGTTGAATTTTCAGGTAGACCTTCATGCAGACATGCAAAACCAACTGTCTCGGTGGTGAGGAGCCATGGGGAGCTCTCCGAAGGGCTTTCCAGGCAGTGGGCTAATGGGCAAAATGACTACTCAGTGGCCCTGCTGACCGATGGTACGGATGTGCCAAGGATATCTATCAGCCCATCTGAGAATATGAAACAAAGTGCTGAGATTCTACTACCTAAAGTAACAAAGAAACCGTAAGCAACACGACTGACAGCCAGAAGGGAACACTGGAGTTGTGGCGTGTAATGCTGTCCTGGATTAGCACCCCCAAATCTCGCCAAGCCAAAGGCCTTGCCCATCTGTGAGTTTTCCACATGTACAGAACCAGGCGTGGTTACGCAAAGTCTTTGGACACGGCCTCCACGAAGTTGGGAGCCAACATCAGGATGCCGATGGTGCAGATGATGGTGAAGACCGAGAAGGCCATGAGGCACAGGCGGTCCACCACACAGGCGGCGAACTTCCACTCGCTGCAGACCGCCTCGCTTTCGTCCTGGCAGCGGAAGCGGTTGGCAATGTAGCGGACCTCCTCCAGGATCTTGGCCAAGTCCGGGTCCCCCTCGGGGGGTTGCCCACCGTGCAGGAGGTGCTCATCGTGCGTGGGGGAGCAGGCCATGCGGCCACACACTACCCCAGAGTCGGGGGTCGGGACACAGTGCACGCCGTCCAGGCCGCGGAAGCCGATGTACAGCAGGTTCCCGTTGCTGGCGGGCGGCGGCGCCACGGCGCTCATCTCCACACTGGCCAGGCTGCAGCGCCGCTGCTTGTGCTGGCAGGCCGGGCGCACCTTGTCCTCCCCGGGCCTCTTCATTCGCAGGAACCACGCGCACCAGTTCAGAAGGATGACTCTGGTCTGGGGAGACAACAGAACGTTAAGAGCAGCCCTGAGGCGGACACGGGCTGATCCCAACAGCAGTAAGATCCTACAATACAAGCCCTGCTTCATTGGTCCTGGGGGTAGCAGCCTCCACTGCCTCCCGGATGATTTTAGCAGGCAAGCAGTGCTTGCGTATGACAAGCAGTCGAGTTCAACGTGAGGCAAGACTAAAACTGATGCACCCTGGGAACAAGCTAAATTGTTCTCCGGGGCAGGCACACTGCAATCTCAGGGAAGACAGCTTCGTGGAAGGGGAAGGCTATCTGAGCTGTGTAAAGAGGGAAAGTCAATTTCCCTCTCTGATCCTTCCTCATCTGTAACCCGGGGACCTTCAGATCTAACTCTGGCTCCCACACTACCTGTTAGGTGCCCTGGAAGGCCACTGCAAATTCGCAAAGAGTGCCTGGGGGAGGTTGTACATTTTCAAATGCAATCCCAGGATATCCATGAGACACCAGGTAAACTTGAAGCTTGAAGCAGTTCAGGCTTCCAACATCAGATTACCACATCTCTTGTGATGACGTGACCACTTTGCAAAGCTGTTTTTCAAAGTACCCTGATAAAAAGCAAACACCAAGGAACTTCATGTGAAACAGAAACTAGGTTAGTGGTCTCCAATCTGATCCCAAGATTTGAGAGGCGGTGCCGTGCCCCATAGGTGCTACATTGTTAAGGCATAAATACTTATTAAAGTGTTTTGATCTATTTAAAAAGAGAGCCTTGGGTATTATTTCTTTTGGCCAGGGGCTCTGTGAAAAATTTCCTGAGATACTAACGTGCTGTGAACCAAGGCAGTTTCGGAACCTCTAACCTAACTCAGTAGGCTTCAATGAAGACCGAATAAGATGATGTCTGGGAGAGTACTTTGAAAAGTTGAAGGCAGAAGTTGGCAAACTTTCTGTAAAGGGCCAGGCAACTACTCACTTCTGCTGATGTAGCACACATTGAAGGCGTCAAATGGATGGGCATGTTTTCTAAAATAACTTATTTACAAAAACACTTGGTGGACTGGATTTGGCCACCTAGGCCATAATTTGCTAACTTCTGGTCTAAAGTGTGTCCTAGAGTGCATGAAAGAAGCTGGAGAAAAATCACCATGGAGTTTATCCTGGTTTTGCCTCTCATGGAAAGAAGAGAGACAACTGAAGCCTCAATCCAGGTAAAGAAGCATTCTTGCAAGCCCATCCATGTAAAGTGTATGAAAAGTGGGCCTTTTCCCTGAAATTATCCAGATCCTGATTTCATTTACATTTTGTTTTATGATTTTGGGGAAATTCCATCAGTAACCTAACAGGTTTATTTCCTATCTTTAGGAAATAAATATACAGATAGTAAATTGTGCAGTTCGTATCTGCAGAGCTTTCATTCTTGGTCATCTTTTTATAACATCTTATCAAAGATAACTGCAACAAACAGGTCTGGGGACAAGAACAGGGAAGCACAAGACCAGTTTCATTGCAGCTATAAAAATAACCCTTTGTTTCCCATTGTACTTTACAAGCAGGCGGCACTCTGCGTGTCCTGGAAAGGTTGGGTCTGCTGACCTTGGAGGGTTTTTTATGATCAGTAAGGAGCAGGGACATATGGCCCCAGGTGAAACCTTGGGTGAGTTGGGCCGTCCATACAAGGCTCATGAGACAAGTCATCTCACTTGGGCCTTTCAGGGTCCGGTGAAATGAGTATAATCCCCTCACTTTACAGACCAACAAACTGAGGTTCAAAGAGGCTAATAAACTGGCCCAACGATGTACAATGAGTAAGTAAGTGGTTATGTCACTTCACATGTTTAGCCTTTCCCAGTCTCATCTGTCAAAGGGTCTGTAAGATTCTCTTCAAAACTCGCACAACCCCACCCCTCTGGGAAGGCACCAGAAAGCCTGAGCCAGCTCTCCTGGGAGGCTGCAGGGCAGTGAGTGTGCCTGCATCCAGTGGCAGCAGTGCACACAGGGAGCGAGCAGCACCAGGCACTTCTCCCTCCATGGCAGGGTCTACACGTCCCCCAGTGCACATCTCAAGCTCATACGATACACTCTGCCAAGTCCATTTTGAATTCCATGGCCTGAATCATTAACTTTCAAAGCCAAAGCATTTAAAAGATAAAATTATCCTCTTGGCACTCCTCAAACTGTGCTCTTGACCTCTTCTGTTAGGCTACAGTTTTGTTTCTGGCTGTGCAAATGTCACATAATGCCACTGCACCCGGCAGTATCTTCTTCATAGCAACAGATCATAATAAAAGTCCCTCGGAGGCTGTTTGTGTTTCACATACACATGGAATGAAAGAAAAATGCAGAGTGCTATATAAAGCAAGAGAAATGCATAAGCTTCATCTTTCATTTGCAGCCAATTGGTTTTAATAAGCTTTTATGCTGAGAGGTGAATAATTAGCATACGTTCTTAATTAAGATTGTTCTAGAGCAGTAGAGTGCTCCAGGTCGTTAAAAATGGTTTTGTGTCTCAATGTCTTAATTCTCTTATCTTCTCATCAGTCAAAATACTTACAAGAAATGAGAATGTTTAGATTTTTGTATTTGCATAAATAAATACTAGAAGGAAAAATAAGGAATTCATTAAAACGGTTATCAGTATTGACGGTAGATGCAGGGTAAAGGGGAAGGAATGGGAGCAGGATTTCCTTATGTATAATTTTAATTTTATTTTGACTTTAGAAACAGGTAAATGTATTACCTGCTTCAAACTGATGGATGGACAGACAGAAAGAGCAGCAAACCAACAAGCCTCCAGCTCTCAGGCCTCTCACCTCTGGCCTTGCATTTTCTTAAGTGTGGGTCAGCGTTATAAGGAAATCAGACAAAAATACAGGTGAATGTGTGCAAATGTACCCCAGTGTTTTAAGGGGGGGCCTTCACAAAACAAGCCTCAGGGAATGTAGTGATGTGGTCTGTGTGTGAGACATCACCATGTAGGCTGAGCTCACATTACTGCTTGTGTAATGAGCTACAAGTGAGTCTTTTTTTTTTTTTTTTTTTTTTTTTTTTTTTTTAGGAGATGGAGTTTTGCTCTGTCACCCAGGCTGGAGGGCAATGACACCACCATAGCTCACTGGAGCCTGGAGCTCCTGGGCTCACATGATCCTCCCACCTCAGCCTCCCAGGTAGCTGGGACTACAGCCACACACCACTGTGGTGGGCTCACAGGTAAGTCTTTACTAAATAGTGTATAAGGGGAATGGGCCATGTGGGTGAAACTCTGAGAAGAAACAGTAATTTTGTAAAGCATTTCTTAAGAAGCAGTCTTTGCTAAGTGAGCATTCAGGTAACAACTCCACAATGACTGTTTCAGGAGGCCCAGCAATCCCCTATTCCTGGAGGGTGCCTGACAGCATCTCACCCCCTACAGCTGCATTTAGCTTGTTGGTGATTCCTAGATTCCCTTCTGAACTGGGACACAAGTGCTCTCCAAAGACAGACAACTTTTGGAATGTGAGGGCCTTTTTAGCTCCCCAAATCCTTAGGCCAGGCTCTCTAGACAGGAGGACGGGGAAGCTTTACAAAGCTCACATGAAGAGGGGAAGAAGCTCAGGCCCTCCCTAGGCCCTCATCAAGGTTTCCTGACTGCCAGGCAAGGGTGGATGCAGAGCTCTGGACACCGTGCAGGAGAGGATCCCTGGGTGGGTGAGCATCCGCAGATGTGGCCGGGCACGGTGCCAGCAGCTGGGGCAGGAGTGGTATGGCCCAGGCTAAGCTGACAGGCTGTGGGATGCCATCCTTTCTGTTTTCATCCGTTTCCTTTTATCCCTTCCCCCTTCTGCACTGGTGACAATTAGTCTTTGTTTCATAGACTTCTGGTTGGATGATATCCCTAGATGTACTGAACGTACATATTTGTACACAGCTCATTCTGTTTCTTACTCTTTGCTCCTCATTCTGTTGTGAAGCCTCAACCATGTTGCTACGCATCTGTCTCATCTGTTGCTTCCAACTGCAGCACAGTGCTTCACGGCATGCATCAAAAAACAAACTAGCTTCTCAAAACACCGTGCTGATTGATAGAACACACAGGGCAGCCAGTTTGAGAGCCTTACTCTACTCTGCAGTTAGATTAGACAGCAGTGCCACGGGGCATCCGGGAACACGTGCACCATGACTGCACACTACACAAAGACACGTCAATAGGTGACGAAATACAGAAACAAAGCTATTTCTGGCTGGGAACAATGGCTCACACCTGTAATCCCAGCACTTTGGGAGGCTGAGGTGGGCAGATCACGAGGTCAGGAGTTCGACATCAGCCTGGCCAACATAGTGAAACCCCATCTCTACTAAAAATACAAAAAAAAATTGGCCAGGTGTGGTGGCAGGCGCCTGTAGTCCCAGCTACTTGGGAGGCTGAGGCAGGAGAATTGCTTGAATCCAGGAGGTGGAGGTTGCAGTGAGCCAAGATTACACCACTGCACTCCAGCCTGGGTGACATAGTGAGACTCCGTCTCAAAAAAACAAACAAAAAACCCAAAGCTATTTCTTTAGGAATGCCCGTTTTTTGTGTGATTTTAAAAATAAACCCTAGGAGGAGCCTCCTTTACAGCGGGGCTCCGACTCCATCGGGGGTGGGAGGAACGTACCCACTTGGGCATCTTGCCCCCGTCGGGGTCGTGGTGGTGGTACTGCAGCACGATCACCGTCACCACCACCGAGAGGCCCACGATGATCATGGTGCTGGCGAAGTACTGGGCTGTGGAGAGAACAGATGCAGGGTGAGACCCGGGGATCCTGTGGCACTGCACGTCACAGGACAGGCACACCCTGATCAGGTTCTCTGACCGTCAGGGCCTCAGGGTGCAGTGATGCCCATGTGTCCAGGCCTGCAGCCCACATTCTGGGTGGGCAAAACCAGCCAGTGTGGTCTGACTTCCCGCCCACGGAGTGACCTTCCCTCACTTCATTGCACTTCCATGCACTCTGGCCGACTTGTCAGTCAATAAGAGCTAGCATCGCCTGGCAGGATGGTGATAAGCTTGTTCCTGTGGGTAAATACTGGATGTGAGGGCATGGGAACCATCCAGTGTTCATGATGCAGGCCTCTACTGTGCTCCAGGGGCACAATGAGGGCAAACCTGCACACCACCTGGCTGCCAGCTGTCCAGCCTGAGGAAGGGGTCAGTGGCAGGGACTTTTCAGGACGAGAACTTCAGTCTCAGCTTTGGTTCTAATGGGTCATGGGTGTCCTTCCACCTGGGCCCAGGTGAGGGGCAGCATGGAGCATCTGAGTGCTTCCATCCTGGTCCACTAGCTACTGGCTGTGAGTTTGGAGTGGATGCTCAGCCTCTTCGGGCCTCAGCTCTCCAATGGGGGTGGTACAAAGGATGACGTTTGTGTCCCCACGAAGTTCATGGGTTAAAACCCTAGTCCTAACTGGGATGGTATCTGGAGGTGGGGCTTTGGGAGGTATGAGATTGTGATTTATAATAAGAAATATGTATTTGGTCTTCCTCCCATTTCCTGGCACACAGCTCCTAAAACCTTTGAATCTCTGAAGTCATCAGTGTCTTTTTATATGCTAATGAAATGATTTATGGCTGAGGTTCCTGGATACCCTCAGGATGGGGTTTGGTTGCCAGGGGAACCAGCCAAGTAATTAGAGAGTTGGAACCTTCAAGCTCTGTCCCCTCTCCCAACCCTTGACCCCTGGGGAGGAAAGAGGTACTGACGGTTGAGTGGATCGCCAGTGGCCAATGATGTAATCAATCATGCCTATGTAGTGAAGCCTCCATAAAAACCCAAAAGGATGGAGTTCTGTGGAGACCTTCCCAGTGCTGAACACGGGGAGGTGTTTGGAGGGCAGAGAGGGCATGGCAGTTCCATGCCCCTTCCCAAATACCTTGCCCTATGCATTTCTTTCATCTGACTATTCATCTGTGCTTTATAATTAATGAATAAATATCAGTAAAATGTTTCCCTGAGTTTACTAGAGTGAGTCACTCTAGTAAATGGCTGAACTCAAAGATGTGCTTTTGGGAACTCCCCGATTTATAGACACTTGGTCAGAAGCATGGGAAGCCGGAACTTCTAACTGGCATCTCAAGTAGAAATGGTCTTGTGAGCCTTAATCTGTGAGTGCTGTGCTAACTCCAGGTGGTGTCAGGACTGAAGTGAACTCACTGTAGGACGCCCAGCTGGTTTCCAAGAATTGGTCGATGTGAGAGAAACGCCCCGCTTTGGTGTCAGAAGTGTTGTGTAAGTAGAGAAATGGTGACTGATTTTCTCAGGGGCCTTCAACAGGTCCTGAGGGTGCAGCCCTCATGAATGGGATTAGAGTCCTTCATAAAAAGAGGCTAAAGAGCTAATTCACTCTCTTTTTGCCACGTGAGGCCACAGCGAGAAGAGGGCCAGCTGTAAACCAGGGAGTGGCCCCTCACCAGAGCCCTGCTGCCACCCTTATCGAGGACGTGCAGCCTTGCAGAACTCTGAGAAATAAATGTCTGTTGCTTAGGCCCCCAGTCTACAGCAATTTGTTACGGTAGCCTCCATTAAAATAGGAACTTCTTCCTTGCAGGATTTGTGCAATGATGAGCAATTACACAGGCCAAGATGTCTAGGAGAAAGGAGGGGGCATTCTTTAGTGGGCAGCTCTAATTATTAAACCTTTGGTGTGGCTGTCCACTCAAGGGGCTGAACTCTAAGCGGAAAGCATCAGGGTGCAGGGCGCTAAGCATTCAGCTAGCCCTCACAGGCCCTCACGCCAGGAAGGAACTCACTGCCTTCCTACAAAGACCAAGAGGTACCTGGGAGGAGCTCTGCCAGAGCTGGAAGTTTGAGACCTAAAGTTAGCATCAGGGCCCCTGAGAAAAGGAAGGAGACTGGAGCAAACCGTGACCCTTATGAGCTGAATTATGCTTCCCCCTAGAATTCATATGTTGAAGCCCCAACCCCTAGTACCCTAGAATGTGACTGTACTTGGAGATAGGGTCTTTAAGGAGGTAATTAAGTACAATTAGGTCATCAGGGTAAGCCCTAATCCAATCTGACTGGTGTTCTTTTAATGAAGAAGAGAAAATTTGGACACACAGAGAGACACCAGGGATGCAGGTGCACAGAGGAACTACCAGGGGAGGACAAAGCATTGTGAAAGTGGTTGTCTGCAAGCCAGGGGGAGAGGTCTCAGGTTAAACCATCCCTAATGGCCCCTTGGTCTTGGACTTTCAGCAGTGCAACTGTGAGAAAATAAATTTCTGTTAGTTATTTAAGCCCCTAAGTCCATAGTATTTTGTCACGGCAGCCTGAGCAGACCAACCACCTCTGGAGAGATGGGGGTCAAAGGATTGCCCAGACTGAATTTCCATCAACAGAGGGCAGCAAAGCTGATGTCCCTGGGGCCATCAACATCCCATCCTTCGAGATGTGGGCTATGCACCAACCAAGCCTTTCCCAGCGGGTCATCAGTCCAGAGAGAGAAGGCCTGACAACTGCCCCCGGAAGGGAGGCTGCAAATCTCTACTGAAAGCAGTGTGCTGGAAGGTAGAAAGAATGGAGTCAGAATCAGGTGGAAAGGTGGTTCTTCCCTGTCTGGATGGTACCAAGAGAAAAATGATACCCACAAAGGCTTTTCATACCAACAGTTTCTCTGGCCAAAATACTGCACATACAGGGAGTTCCACAAAGAAGGGCCTTTGCTGCTTGGTTCCTAAAGCCTGGGGGTATCCAGGTAGGGCTCTCCCTCTAGCCCACCCCCAGGTAGACACAGCATAGGTCCTCAAACAGCAGGGGCCAGCAGGTGTAATGACAGTCTGTATACCTCCTTCCAACCTTCCCTGCCCAGTGGGAGTGGAGACTTGTTTTTGTTGTCCCTCCCTGGGTAGAGGATCATGCCTTATACCTGTGCAAAATATATTTTTCTCATTCATATTTCCCTAGAAACTTTTATACAGAGACATTGAGTTATCTCAGGACACAGTAACTGTGTGCTTCTCCCATTTTAACAAAGGCTTTGTGGGAAAACAACATCTTAAGCTAAAATGATGCATCTCTAACGATGAAATATCTGGCTTCAAAGCAAGCATGAGGAGGAGAATTATGAGGGGAAGGGGGGCATTTCTGTGAGATAAAAGTCAAACCTCAAAGCTGAATATCCCCTTCCCCTTACTTGGGCCCGGGTGACTCTGAATAGTTACAGCAAATCATCACCTTCCAGAGAAAATGGGGGCAGTGCAGCCGTATTTCTTCTAGTTTCATCTGCTGGGAAATCCTGGGCACACTCTAACCCTAACCCCATATCTCTAAGAGAGGAGCCCAACTCTTGCCTTACCTATCAATGGTACCGAATCGGATGTTGCGGGCATGATCTCAGCCACGAGCAGCATGAAGACGGTAAGAGAGAGTAAGACTGTTATCCCTAAAACATAAACACACAGCGGTTCCTCAGACAAAAACAGACAAGAAGGCCTCAATTCTGTCTAACGAGGGCTCCTAACCTGACACTCAAAAGAAAGGGAGGCGCTGGGGGGAATGTCGTGGAATGCACGTTTTCCCTATGTATGGGCGTGTGCATTTTCCAGGGGACGTTCCATGCCACTTACCAGAGTCCCAAAGGAGTCTCTTATGGAGACAAGTTTAGGACCCAGAATTTTAAAAGCATCAACACAAACTGAAAAATTTAACTTGGCACAATTATCTTTCATATTCTCTGTAAAATATTATTGAGAAGTAGTTTCACGTAGCAGGAAAAAGAAAATATGCAGTCAGGAGACCTGATTTCAGGTCTTACGTTTGCTACTCAGCTAGCTATGTGACCTTAGATACAACATTCAACCTTTCTGAACCTCATACTCAGAAGATATGGGTTTGGGAATGATTTCTACCATATCCTACATCTGATGTTTAGCAACTCTTTAAGACATTGGGAAACTCATTCCACCATTCAAAATCTTGGTTTCCTTAGCTTCGTATGGGAGTGATTGTAAGAATTACACTGGGTACTGTAACATACAAATGCAAGCTGATACTAAGCTAAATTGTTCCCTCGATGACCAGTCGCCATTGAGGAACAGGTGGGGTGGCAGGAGGGAAGAAAGCACAGGCCTCTCAAGGCAGAATGGAGCTGGCCCCCTCCCTGTGCATCCCCCATCCTCTGAGGGTCCTCCAGTATTCTCAGGATTACACAGCCGTCCAGCACGGAGCCCGAATCAGGGACCTCTGGTGTCCTGGAGCCACCGTGGGCTCGGAGGTCCATGGGATGAGCCAGGGAATCCCCAGGAACCCTGATGGAGTCCTGCGCTGTCTGCTGTGAGCCCTCCAGAGCTGATCTCAGCAGAAGGTCTCCAGTCTCAGACTCCCGCCAGACACTGGGGCGCTTACCCAGGGAAATCTTCTCCCCGGAATCTGCAGGAAGCAGGAACACCAGCAGGGCGAGGGCGGAGATGAGCACACAGGGGATCAGCAGGTTGAGGCCATAGTAGAGTGTCCTGCGGCGCATGGTCACTGTGAAGGTGACATCGGGGTAGGGCTCTTTGCAGCACTCATAGAACCTTTCACTCCTCTTGCCGGGGATTCCTCCATAGGGAGGAGGAGAGAAGGAGCCATTGTTAGAATACAATAAATTACCCTGTTTATTTCAATGTGTATACCACACACAAGCACAGTCCTAAAGTTTGCAAAGTGCTAAAAAAAAAAAAGGGGGGGGTTGTAATTAGCTTGAATAAAACCTTGTTGATTTACTATAGAGTTAAGAGTATTTTAGTGATAGTTGGCCAAATTGGTACATATTCTTTTGGTGGATTGGAAACACATGATTATAATAATTATAAATAATACATTACCAATTTTACACTGTTATAAATGTAATCACTGTTTCCCTATTTTAAAATAATCAAATATAGGTTCCCATCAACTGAAATTTGCTGTTCAACTTGCTTTTAGAAATGGAGTGGATCTGCATAACGTAGAGAGATCTATCCTCACACTGGTTTGTTTAAATGCATCCTCACTGCAGTTGCCAGTTCCTCTTGGAAAGCATGGCATATCCTAACTGTTTTCTGTTTCTCCTCCTGTAGCTCTCAGTAAATTATGGAGACTACTGCAAAATTCAATAAATGCTCGCACCGGAAAGGACAGTGGAAAATCCCAAACTTTTAAAGCTTGCCCAGGAATAGGAAAGCTTTCTTCCAGGCGGTTAGTCTCATGGCTTACCCACTAGGTCCCATTCTCCATTGGGGATATAGCCACTGATATCTGCCTCCTGCATCTGCAGATCCAAGGACCAGCCTCCGTAAGACCAGGACCCAAACTTCAGTTTGCAGTGCTGCACATCAAAGGGAAACCAGCGTACATCGATGTAGCAGGAACTCTTGAATATGCCTGTGTGGGTGATGGAAACAGAAGACTGAAACGGAAGCTGACTGAGATGTGCTGAAAATACACAGCAGTTCCTTCAGCCGGTTCCGCCCTCCGCACTGCAGCTAACACAGTCCAGAGCAAACGGAATCTGTCTTTTTATTTATTCGCAAAATCTGTAAAACAGAATCTCAGCTAAGCTTCACTGTCTTTTAAAATCCAAACGTAACACTGACATGCTCTCTCAAAGACTGTTTTGTGGGCTTTTTGTGCAAAAAGTTAGCTCTATAATCTGCATTTACCATGAGCATCTTCAGACTCTAAATAATAAAAGTAAAGAATGCAAAATATCTCAGAGAAGTTGATAACCCTGATGATGAAGTTAGAAATAGAATCTAAAAGGTGTGTGTGTGTGTGTGTGTGTGTCTGTTTGGTGCGGGGTGAGGTAGGCATTTTCTTTAGGTTAAAAATGGGAAGAACACATGATTATCGAGAAATACAATCTAGAATTCTGGTTAAAGCTAGAATTTTAACTAATTTAAATTCTAGATGAAGAACAGAACAAGCTGGGCACAGTGTCTCATGCCCGTAATCCCAGTGACTCTAAGACATTGACGTGGGAGGGTCACTTGAGACTAGGAGTTTGAGACCGGACTGGGCAACATAGTGAGACATCTCTAATAAAAAAAATTAGCTGGGTGAGGTGATGCATGCCTGTAGTCCCAGCTACTCAGAAGGCTAAGGCAGGAGCATTGCTTGAGCCCAGGAGTTTGAGGCTAAAGTGAAGTGAGCTATGATCGAGCCCCTGCACTCCAGCCTGGGGAACACACCTAGAATCTGTCTGTAAGAAAAAAAGTTAAAACAAACAAACAAACAAACAAAAACAAGAACAGATAGATAGGTTTAAGCTGAAGAGATGGTGCTTGAAGGAAGAGTTTCCGCTGAAAAGAGCTATTCCAGGCTAGGACAGGTTGGAAGTGGATTTCCCAGAGGGCCAAGGGGAGGAAACCAGATAGAGGCCACTCCAGTTATTTACACTCATGTGCTCTTCCCTGCCCAGAGGAAGGCTGCATGGCACAAGAAGACAGGCACAGACTCGGTGTCCAGGTGTTCCTGGGGCAGGGCTGGCACTCTGCAAACTTCTGTTACTGAGTTACAGAAAGAGTGCACGCAGGAAGGGCCTCCACAGCCTTGCACACAAGGACCCCACCCCACAACCGAGTTGGGAAAAGATACACATTTTGTCCCCTGAAGTTCCTTTAAGTATGCTTTGCGTCCTTACATGAAATGTTTATAGGAATCTGGAATCATCACAGACAATCCCCCTCCATTAATAGTTGGATCCCCCCAAAACCCACCTTGTCTGCCAGTTAGTTGGAAAGCTTTGTAACTTCATGAGCCCATTTCTACGAAATAATGGCCCGAGACAGAGAATTTCTAGAGACAGAAAGCAGATCAGTGGTTGCTGGGAGTAGGAATGGGAATTAACTGCAAACAAGCAAAAGGGATCTTTGTGGGGTGATGGGAATGTTCTAAAACTAGACTGTGGTAATGGTTGCATAAGTCTGTAAATATACTAAAAGTTGTTGAATCATGTACTTAAAATGCATGATATGTAAATTCTCTCTCAATAAAGCTGTTAAAAAATAAACACATGAAATGGGGGGGAAAGTCATGTTATGGTCAAGTCTCTATTTCAAAGCTTGAACTCAAAACATTCTTTCCTATCCATGCCCCTCTAACTACAGACAGGGCAGCATCCTGGGACTCGTTCTACACTCCCAGGGAGCAGGCAGGGGTTTCCCAATCCAGGCAGCCCTGGGCCTTTCCTGCCAGCGTAAGGAAGCCCCTCATGGTCACAAGACAACGTGTCCTGTCCTGACCGGAATCCAGGGCCACTGCAGTGGGGACACAGGCCTGGAGCCCCAGAGGGGGCTGCTGCACTCAGGCAGCTCGAGGCTTGCAGTGCTGGTCCTGCAGCTGAAAATAGCCTCAGCCTTCCAAACAACCTGCAGCAGCATATTCTACACTGGTGACTACCGGAGGCTGTTTTCTAAAATAGCCCTCATAACAGAAGCTGCAACACGCAGGCCTGGCGAGAAAGACCTCGGGAGTGATGGAAGGCTCCCCCCACTACCCCTGTTTGCAAGGGTCCTGCTGGTAGGAGGAAATGCCAGGGCTAGCAGGAAAGCGGATGCTTCGAGAAGCCTGAACAGCTGGACTTCTTCAATCTCTTCCAATATTATTGGGAGGTGTCTACCATTGACAGGTTCACTCGCTCCTTTGTTCATTCAGGGATAAATGCTAAGGTGAGCAAAGGCTGACTGTGCCCCCAGATGCTTGTCACCTGCTGACAGGGAAGGCACACAGACAGCAACCGAGAAGGCACAGCCAGTATGTGTGGTATGTGAGTGGTGTGAATAGTGTATCTGGTTTGAGAGTGCATGCCTGCATGTGTGTAAGTGGTGTGTGTGAGGGTTGTGAGTCGTGTGTGAGTGGTGTGTATGGTGTGTGAGAGTGGTGTGTAAGTGGTGTGTGTGAGGGGTGTGTGTGTGTCTGGTGTGTGTGTGTTGGTGGTTTGAGTGGTTTGTGTGAGTGGTATGTGTGGAGTGGTGAGTGGTGTGTGGGTGGTATATTTGTGTGAGTGGTGTGTGAGTGTTGAGTCGTGTGGGTGGTATGTGAGTGGTTGTGTGAGTGGTGTGAGTGTTGAGTCGTGTGGGTGGTATGTGAGTGGTTGTGTGAGTGGTGTGTGTGTTGAGTCGTGGGTGGTATGTGAGTGGTTGTGTGAGTGGTGTGTGTGATTGTGAGTGGTGTGTGTGTTGTGTGAACAGTGTGTGTGGGTGGTGTGTATGAGTGGTGTGAGTAGTGTGAGTGGTGTGAGTGGTGTGTGTGAGTACTGAGTGGTGTGTGTGTGTGTGAGGTGTGTGTGAGTGGTGTGTGTGAGGGGTGAGTGGTGTGTGGTATGTGTGAGTGGCTGTGTGTGAGTGGTTGTGAGTGGTGTGTGTGTGAGTCGTATGTGTGAGTGGTAGTTAGGTGTGGAGGTAATTGCAGGTTGCCTCTGAGCAGAAAGTTAAACAGCTGCAGTGTGGGAGATCACCCTGGAATAAACACATTAAAAATCTTCTAAAAGATCAAAAACCCCAGCTGTTCCTATCAATATGCTAGTGCGCACTCTGCATGCACCTTTAGGCCATAAACCCATTTCCCTTGCCCTGTGAATCGACTGAAAAGATGGACTGGGGGGAAAGAACCAATCCAGGGAGCACTTAGCCTTGGAGGTGAGACACTGTTGGGAAGAAGTCAGCCGCTAGAGAGCTCTCCCTTGAAACCACCAGACCTTGCCTGTAACCTGCGTGTGCTCTTTAGCGCACGCACTCAGGATCCTGGAACTGTCATATCTCACCCCCGGCAGCTGGAGCGCTGCACCTGCCAAGACACTGAGTCCCGCAGGGAGGAGGATGGCAAGCTGGAACTGAGAAGCAGAGCCTGGAGAGGTGGCTTGCCAGGCTGGAAGGTGAGGTGGCCACTGCCCGGCAAAGGAGACTCGCTGTATTTGTACATTGGCTTTAAGGCACACATGGCAGAAAATAAGGACATAGTGGCAAAGACGGCTTGATTGAGACAAAAGAGGAGGATGGACTTCTGGGGGTAGAAAGCACACAGAAGCACAGAAGAGAAGAGAGAGGAAGAGGTGGGAGTGAGCAAAGGCGAAGCAAAGAGCTGGTCCACCACACGGGGGCACCGGCCAGACTGACTGACACCCAAACTCGCTTCAGTTTTCTAACTGGAAGAGGACAAAGGAGGTGCAGCTTACCTGGAGGCAGGTACTGGCAATGCCCAGAAGAATTCACCAACACGTTAGTGTGGAATGTGGCGTCAAAGCGCTCATCAGCACTAGAAACAGGAAAAGGACTGCATGAGCCAGTGCCACCAGGCTGTGGATTTCCCGAAGCCCTGGGGTCTGTCTTTGATGGAGCAGCAAAGACCTTGAGAGGGGCCCCTGTCTGTCCTCACAACCCCACACGCTGCCTGAGAGCACCACTGGGACTGGCCTGGGAGGTCTTCCCCGGGCACAGCTTGGAAGGGCCAGTGTCTACCCCCATTTCAATTTTCACACCGAACTGGTGATTTTTCTCACAATGTATATAAAACCAAGCTCTTAACCAAATGAAACCTGTAAACAACTCTGGAGGACATCGGCAGATGTGACATTTTCATGGTGTCCAGAAGAACAGAGGGTGGGTGAGGCACGCTGCCACCCTGTGAGCCTCATGGGGCAGGGTTTTCACTCGCTGTGTCCAAAGCTCTAGTTCCAGCCTCTTGAAGCGGACCCACACTTGGTTTGTGCTTCACATATATATCTTTTTTTTTTTTTTGAGACAGAGTCTTGCTGTGTTGCCCAGGCTAGAGTGCAGTGGCATGATCTCGGCTCACTGCAAGCTCCACCTCCTGGGTTCATGTCATCCTCCTGCCTCAGCTTCCCGAGTAGCTGGGACTACAGGTGCACACCACCACACCTGGTTAATTTTTTTGTATTTTTAGTAGAGACGGGGGTTTCACTATGTTAGCCGGGATGGTCTCGATCTCCTGACTGTACACATAAAAATAGCTAAAATGGAACATTTTAAATTATGTGTAATTTACAAGTAACACATTTTAAAGTTACAGTATTACACTATTACTATATATGAATTATACCTCATAAAGTTGATTGGCAAGGATAAAAGGATATACAATTTGATAAATACTCAACGTTGGAAGTTCTAACAAAAGGCATTTTAAACACATTGACTGGGATTATCTATTGATACAATGTTTTTTTAAGAGTATTTCAGCAATTTTTCAGAAGTCACAAAGATATTTACTGCCTTCTACCCATTTGTTCTAGTTCTATGAATCTTTCCTAAAGGGAAAAAGAAAAAGCGGGCACGAAGATTTAATCTCAAAAATGTTCATCAAAATGTTGTTTACAACATTATAATACTATCCAAAAATAGTAAACAAAATGATCAGATATTCACAACATATAAAACGTTTACCTTAAGTATTATGTATTTTATTTTAAAATGTTGATAACATTTAAAATACATAATATATATGTTATGGGGGAAAACAAACATAAAAAACTATATCATGTGATTCTAATTTTTTATAAGCAAAACAAAACTAAGTATCTACTTCAATAATAATTATCTCCCAGACTAAGTTAAGGACCCTTTATCATATGCTATCAAGGTAATATAACCTGAGGTCAGAGAAAACCTCGCTGGAAGTGGCTTTGGATGGAGAAAGAGAATAAAAGAAGATTCCTACCAGAGAACTTGTCTACCTCAGTATCATTTTATTCAAATTAAAACTGTTTTACAATCAAACCTCAATTTTTAACAGTGGGGGAAAAAACAGTATGTGTTAATTTTAGTATCCAAGGGGATACTAGAACCATTCTCCTGGCTGATACAGAGGGATGACTGTTCTCGGAAATGATTTGGAATGTCTGTCTGAAAATGTCAGCAGGGAGCACCCCATTCAGGTATATAACACGTTTTAAATAAAAGTGTTTAAATACATATTTCATTGATTCATTTTTAATGAGCATACCATAAGCCTTCTCAAAGTATTAAATGCTCAACCATTACCTAAAAATCCTACTTTCTATTACCAGATTTTACTTTGCGAGAGTAACATTAGAAGACGTATAATAAGAATTACCCTTATTATTAAACATTTTCTAAACTCCTATTGTTTCACCCATATTTCACCAGCATAGAAGAATAATTATTATACCACTGCCACAATTCACAAAATCCTTTCACCTCCGTTTTTTCATGTGCCTGTCCTAACAATCATGAGATAAGCAAGCTTCATGATAATAACTACAACTTCTACAACCCCAACCCCACTGTCAATGAAATACCCACTAAGAATCAGGCACTATACGGCCAGGCACGGTGGCTCATGCCTGTAATCCCAGCACTTTGGGAGGCTGAGGTGGGCAGATCACGAGGTCAGGAGATCGAGACCACGGTGAAAAAAATTAGCCGGGCGGGCGTGGTGGCGGGCGCCTGTAGTCCCAGCTACTAAGGAGGCTGAGGCAGGAGAAGGGCGTGAACCCGGGAGGCGGAGCTTGCAGTGAGCTGAGATCGCACCACTGCTCTCCAGCCTGGGTGACAGAGGGAGATGCCGACTCAGAAAAAAAAAAAAAGAAAGAAAGAAACAGGCACTATACCAGGTATCTCACATATTTACCACATTCAAAGTTGAATAATTACCAAAAATCTATGAAGTAGTTATCCCATCCCAATTTTACAGATGAGGAAACTGCGGCTCAGCAATTAAAGTAATTGGCCCAGAAAGCAGATCTTTGATCCACACCCAGGTCTGTCTGAATCCTAAACCTATGCCATTTCCTTGTCCCACCCACACTCCCCAGGAAACAGAGATTGAGAAAAAGATAATCATTTGGCCAAGTCTTATAGGCAACAGGAACCCAGAGCCTTCTAACACTTGATCTACGGTGCTTTCCACCTGGTATGTTGCTTCTATAAAAAGTAAGGACACTTCCTTCCATCGGGAGTTTATAAATCATAATTAATCTCAGATTATAAATAACATCATAGGGAAGCTATGTGCTACATAGGGACAGATAAGGGTGCCCAAGGGAAACTTTGAGGAAGTATAACTAAATTAATACACAGGGATCAGGGTTGAAGTATTTTATAACCAATACTCAAAACAGTAACAGTTAGCCTGGCGCAGTGGCTCACGTCTGTAATCCTAACACTTTGGGAGTCAGAGATGGGAGAATCACTTGAGCCCAGGAGTTGGAAACCAGCCTGGGCAACATAGTGAGAGACCTTGTCTCTACGAAAATAAAAAAACAACAACAGTTAATAAAGTTTCCAGGAGTAGCTTAGATAATCCCAGAATCGTATCTATATTAGGAGAAGGGCTATTTTTAAATATTCTAAAGTTTATAATTGGAATGCCCATAAAAATTGCCTATGAGTAGATTCATCATTACATCAGAAAAATTTATGATAATTACTTAGGACTCTGCTTTTGATAAATATGTATGCTGTAACTACTTAATAAAACCATGAGAAATAATTTTTAAAATGTAAATGTTACTTACATATCGCAGTTTGCAGCTATCCACAAATGCTGGATTAGCAATTGGAACTAGAATAAAAAATGTAAATGTAAAAAAAGAAAAAATTAAAATATTTAAGTCATGAAACACAGAAAGTGACAGCAAAGTTAAAAACTCAGATCTTTATAAAAAGGAAATTTATACTGTACACCAAAAATGATATTTGCTAAATTACAAAGGCACTTGTATATGAATAAGATTAAAATAAAAACTAAGAACAGTACTTTTAGTTTCTCCTACCACTTTATATTCTCTAAATGACAGCCCTTACCTGATAGACACACGCCAACTATCAAAAAAAGCAATCTTAATACCATCCTGGAAGCAAGTGAACTTACATTTTTTTCAAGCCAATTCCCAAATGAGGGCCCACTACAGAAAACACCTCCGAACCACTGTAATTCCTTTCTGAGGATGACTCCAAACACTCTGCCAATCGATGCTAAACATGAGCCAAAAGAAACAAAAAAACTCTGACAAATTCCCATGAGCTTACCAATGGACCAAGATTGTCCAAAAAGTAATATTCCCAGAGGATAGGAAAAAAATGTCTTAGAGGGTTGATGTCTGCCTTCAATGTCACAGCAGAAACCTTGCAGTTTACCAGATGACCCAGTAAAGGAACCAACACCCACAACCCATTCCACATGGGCAGTTAATTCCAGTCACTGATGAGAAGGGAAAAGGTCTGTCTTATGATATCACATTTTTTTTTTTGTTTTTTGTTTTTATTTTTTGAGATGGAGTTTCGCTCTTTTTGCCCAGGCTGGGGTGCAATGGCATGATCACGGCTCACTGCGACTTCTGGCTCCTGGGTTCAAGTGATTCTCCTGTCTCAGCCTCCCAAGTAGCTAGGATTACAGGAGTGCACCACCACGCCCTGCTAATTTTGTATTTTTAGTAGAGATGGGGTTTCGCCATGTTGGCCAGGCTGGTTTCAAACTGCTGACCTCAGGTGATCCACCTGCCTCGGCCTCCCAAAGTACTGAGATTACAGGCGTTCATTCCAGTCACTGATGAGAAGGTAAAAGGTCTGTCTTATGATATCACGCCCGGCCTGATTTCACATATTTTTTAAAAATCTTACAAGTTAACATAAAATGGAAACCTGAGTATTACAAACAACAACAACAACAAAAAGTTCAAAATCACCGTCTACTCTTATCTACTTTAAGACGTAAGGATTAAGCAGAGGATAATTTGCATAAACCTAAAATCGTGATAAATCAGTTTTTTCATGGTAGTTAAATCAAATTGCTATTTTAGCACTTGTTTGAGCCTCTATAAAAAACATAAATTTAAATGCATAAGTCATGTCACAGAGGCCTACCAGCGGGGAAAGGAGGAGCCTGGTGGCCACCTCCTGGTGACCAGCCACCACTCACAAACAGCAAAGGAGATTAAGCTTGGCTCAGGAGGTCCCCGAGCTCTTCTCACTGGAGTCGATCTGCGAGCACACTTGTTACAAAAAGTCATTCCAATCTTGGTCTTTCAGAAATTATAACTTATCCATTGCCAAGGAAAGAAAATAACAAAAGTATGATGATGAGAAAAACAACTGCTGGAAACATTACATGAGAAATAAACACAGAGTTACGACAGCTAAGATGAGGACAAAGAAAACATTACTCTGTCAACACCAAAAATACTCCAAAGATGACACTACTTCTATTTGTCCTTCTATATTCCTCATCTCTTTATCTATCCATGGAAACTTTTTAAACACTTCAATGGAAAACTATGCTTTCAAACCAAGCAGATGTCTAAAGCAGAATTGTCTCACAACCTAGATTATAACAAAATGCAAAGTTCAATACAACTGGAGTAAAAGACAAAAAAGCCTTTGTATAAATAAATCAACTCTCAGATATTGAGAAAAGCACAAACCACACAGTTATTAAAAAGTTCCAATGAAATTACTGTAAAAAAATAACGAGGATAACATGATAGCTAAAATCACCTGAAATTCCTACCTCCTAATCCCTATAAAAAAAGGGCAAAATCTAGGAAATGTGATACTCCCTAAAATTTTTTGCTAACATGTTTTTGCTGATCTCAATCTTTAGACAAAGAAATTGTAAATATAATTTCCTAAGTAACTCAAAGAAGAAAAAGGAAATAGTATTTCCCAATAATAATTCTCTAGGTTTGCATAAATAGACCTACTTGGCACTGAAAGCACTATTAATATTTTGCTTCACTTTGGTCTTTCAAAAACGTCCTTCTACACAGGTTTTTTTGGTTGTTTTTATCACTAATTAAGTTGACTGATATAAACCCTTAGCTGGTTTATTTAAACCTAAATATATTTTAAATTTACTTCAAATCATAGATTCTACTCTAGCCACAATGAATAATTTTCCCCAAATTGAGTTTAACAGCTTAAAATATAATTTGTTAAAAAAAAAAAGTTTAAGGTATGTAAAAATTTCTGACTTTCACCGTAAATAAGATTTTCATTAGCTCAACAGAAATGTAATAATTATCCCTTAAGTATCTCCACTCCCACACCATCTCCACAGTCATGAACCACCTAGTCCCGTTCTCAAATGTCCTGGTCCCGCCAATAGAATCCCAATCCTTCCTTGTTGTCCCCAACCCTGTGCACCTACACCTGCCATAAATGGTGGAAATTCAACCAGCTCTATGAACGGAAGGGAGGAGGCCCCCCACCCACTCTACAGGAAAACTTGCCCAGATCTACAGGAACCTCCCCACTCACAAGAGGACAGGGCAGCCCAGACTCAGCTGAGAAATGTCAACAGCTGGCACAAATGAATTACAGATTATTTACAATTCACATAACACTGACCCAAGAATATAACCAATTGTCAAGACAAAATAAATTTAGTTGTTCACATACAAATATTCCATTTGTGAATAAATTTCATATTCGTATCTGTATACAGACAGTCTACATGTTCGATAACTCCTTTATGATCCTACCTGAAAATGCTGGTAGATGCAATATTTTTGCATCAAATTTAACCGATGGTGGTTGTTTCATTATCTGTGGTTAAAAAAAAAAAAAAACTTTTGAGGCAATTTTAAAGATGGATATCTGTCTCCTTATATGTCCCTTATATCAGATAATAAATCAATGAGGACAAAAAAAGAATGTGTAAAATTTGTTACCAAAAACAAAAAGAACGATGCCTTTTCAGATTAAAACATACATATATAGATAATAATTTATTTTTTAAAATCATTTCAATTGATATCTGTAATAAAATAAAGCTTCAAAGAAAAAATTCACCCCATCCTGGCTTACTTTTTAGGTAATTTACCTCTAATTAGAAATTCAGTCTTTCAACAAATATCTATTGCTTACCTGCCAAGGTAAGGCTCTATGTCAAGTGCTAAGGGGGATACAAAGATATAAAAGACACAATCCTATTTTCAGCGAGCTGACTTTCTGGTTGGGAAGATGAGACAAACATTTGATAAACAAGAAAATATTTCACAATTCAAAAGAGGCAGGACATAACTACAGACAAAACCCTGGACAGAAAGAATTTTTTTTGTAAATAGTAGTTTAGAGAATACAGCAAGCACTTTACTTGATATAGTTGACACCGGGTTTACGGAAGAGGTAGAAGGTGGGTTGAGGTCTTGAAGGATGGCTAGAACTTTATGATTATATCAGAGAAGACACCATTCAAGGAAGCCATAATAGCATGAATTGGAAAGTGCATAATTTATTTCAGAAATGTGAAGAAACCATGTAGTTGGATCCATGAGCTTAGGACAGCCAGATACTGCATCTTGAGACTTTTAATTAAAAATTCAACCATCATTTCTATACCTAACTTCTGCAAAACTTCTATATGTAATATTTTTAAAACCTTTACTAATTAAGTAACCAGCATTACTGTACTTACTGTAGTATTCTTACTAAAATGCATATTCTCATTCTAATCTCATAATCCAAATTCATAATCTCATTTGAGTCATGAGAAACCCTTAGACAAACCTAAATTAAGGGACATTCTTCAAAACACCCAACCAGTTACTCTTCAAAGTGTCAAGGACTTGAGTCATACGTTTTATAACATGTATTACAAAAACATACAAAGGCCAGGTGCCGTGGCTCACGCCTGTAATCCCAGCACTTTGGGAGGCCTAGGCAGGTGGATCATGAGGTCAGGAGTTCAAGACCAGCCTGGCCAACATGGTAAAACCCCATCTCTACTAAAACTACAAAACTTAGCCAGGTGCAGTGGCAGGTGCCTGTAATCCTAGCTACTCATGAGGCTGAGGCAGGAGAATAGCTTGAACCCGGTCGGCAGAGGTTGCAGTGAGCTGAGATCGCGCCACTACACTCCAGCCTGGGTGACAAAAAACAAAACAAAACAAAATAAAAGACAAACTGTCAAGGTCATGAAAGACAAGCAAAGTCTGAGAAATTCTGACAAAACCGTGAAAAACTAGGACAGACTATATGAGACTAAGGAGGCATAACAACTAACTGTAATGTGGGATCCTGGAACAAAAAAAAAGAGGACATTAGAGGCAACCGGTAAAATTCAAATGCATTTGGTAGTTAGCAGCACTATTCTCATGTTTTATTTTTCCCTTTTCAGGAAGAATTCGAAAGGAGCAGTCAGGGTATTGCATGCCATCATTACACAGAGATATGAATCAAGTATCATGCAACTCCAACTACCACATTCTACTGCCCTCCAAAAGGAGGCACAGGTAAGGATTATCCCGCCTGACTAACACTATACCAATGTTAATTCCCAGGTTTTGCTAACCATACTATAGACCTATAAGATGTGAACATTAAGAGCAGCTGGGCAAAAGCTATACAGGAGTTCTCAACTATTTTTTAATCTTTTCTCTAAAAGTAGTTTAGAATTAAAAGTTAAACACAAAAATTTCCACTGATGAAGGCTTCCCATAAACTATCAAATATGGTTATAAGAGGAAAAAAGGAAACACAGAATATTGTGTAAAGCAAGCTTGTCCAACCCGCAGCCCGTGGGCTGGATGTGGCCCAAGACAGCTTTGAATATGGCCCAACACAAATTCATAAACTCTCTTAAAACATTGTAAGAATTTTTTTGCAATTTTTTTTTATTGGTTTTTTAGTTCATCAGCTATTGTTAGTGTATTTTATGTGTGGCCCAAGACAATTCTTCTTCCAGTGTGGCCCAGGGAAGCCAAAAGACTGGACACCCCTGGGAAAGATATCACAAATTGTTCTAGAAAGCCCATTTTGAAAATGCGCCAATGCACATCAAACTTAGCATAATAAAGTTACACTGCCAGACATATGAACTCACAAAAAGAATTAGCTCCATTATGAAAAACAGCTAAATCATCTATATAAAATGCTGTCTATCTAGAAAATAAACATGAATCCAAAAACCCTTACATTGTTCTAAACCACACTAATGTTCCCAATGAGACAAGAAAAAAACAGTCATGAATTAATACAGAAAAAGATATTTAAAAAAGAAAAAGAAGGCCAGGTGTGGTGGCTCATGCCTGTAATCCCAGCACTTTGAGAGGCCGAGGTGGGTGGATCACAAGGTCAGGAGATCGAGACCATCCTGGCTTACATGGTGAAACCCTGTCTCTACTAAAAATACAAAAAATTAGCAGGGCGTGGTGGCGGGCACCTGTAGTCCCAGCTACTTGGGAGGCTGAGGCAGGAGAATGACATGAACCTGGGAGGTGGAGCTTGCAGTGAGCCAAAATCGCGTCATTGCACTCCAGCCTGTGTGACAGAGCAAGACTCTGTCTCAAAAAAATAAAAAATAAAAGTAAAACTAAAAAAAAGTAAAAGAAGCAGTAAAGTTAAAATAGAGAATAAGTAGTGGAATGTGAGTATGTTGGGGAGCTGGAAGTCAAGACAAAACAGAGGGACTTAGAAATGCATCTGTTTTTTAAAGTAAATACTCATTATCCCCCAGCAATAAAGTATTATATTCCAAAAGACAAGAAGCAAAAAAACTCACAGTGGTTTAGAAGTACATTGTGAACCATGACTCCTCAAGTTCCCATAGTGTCTCCCCACCATCTCCCCTGCAGTATTAACAACCTGTGACAGGGCAGGGCTTCCGTGTGATCTGCCTGCCCAGCCCAGCCTGGTGAGCAGTGCCCTCTGACTGCTTCTGCCTTCAAAACACATCAGAGACTAGAATACTTAGAGTGATTCACATTAGTGCAGATGGAGAAACGATGGGACTGAGAGCTAAGGTCTGAGGTCAAGAGGCTGGCAACCCCTCCGTGGCATGTGGAAGAAAGCAGTAGTGAGAAGCAGAGCTGACTCATTCAAAACAGAGGGGGGAAAACTTAGAACTCCAGTGAAGCGGAAGTGAAGGCAGAGGAAAGGGTTGCAGACAGAGCGGGAGCTGGAAATGCAGACATGCAGCACAAATGAAAGAGTAGCGGACAAGAGAAACAGGAAAGATTAGACAGTAAATAATATTCTGAATGAAAATCTTATGCAGATTTCAGATCTCAGTAAAGTCTACAACTCACTTGTCAGAGTGCTTTCTGCACCTTTGGATTGTCAATAATGGGGGTGACAACAAGATCTGAGTCGTGTAGATAAGCTCTCTCATCTGGGATTCCAGGTCCTGCTGACTCAGGTGTCCACTTGTAATCTGAAATGAGAACAAAAATTTGACTTTGTTTCTGTGACTAATATAGAGCTTTAAAACACTGAACTAATATGATGCTGAGGAAGACACCACTGTAAAATATCACCTATATCAATGTACTTCCACTGCTATTCAAGACACTTGCAGTCTCACTTGATTTTCACAAAAATCCTAAACTGTAGGTACCATAATTTCCATTTTACAGATAAAAATATAAAACTCTGAGAAAGTAACTGAATTGCTCATGTTACCATTAAAACTGGCTAGGACTACAAAAAAGATCTTTACAATTCAACGTTCTAAACTCTGATGAGGCAAACTGCTTTTTCGATTACCAGCATGGTTTTTTTTGGTTTTTTTTTTTTTTTAGGGATGGAGTCTCAGTCTGTCACATAGGCTGGAGGGCAGTGGTGCAACCCTGGCTCACTGCAACCTCTGCCTCCTGGGTTCAAGTGATTCTCCTGCCTCAGCCTCCCAAGTAGTGGAATTACGGGTGTGCACCACCATGCCCAGCTAATTTTTTTTTTTTTTTTTTTTTTTTGAGACAGAGTCTTGCTCTGTCACCAGGCTAGAGTGCAGTGGCGCGATCTCAGCTCACCACAACCTCTGTCTCCTGGGTTAAAGTCATTCTCCTGCCTCAGCCTCTCCAGTAGCTGGGACAAGGTTTCACCATGTTGGCCAGGCTGGTCTCAAACTCCTGGCCTCAGGTGATCCACCTGCCTCGGCCTCCCAAAGTGCTGGGATTATAGGTGTGAGCCACTGCACCCGACCCATGGCTTTATTTTTCATTCATAGAATGCTGATCAATTTATTTCTGCTTTACAGAATATTCAATGTGAAGTTGAAACTGTAACATACAAAAATTTTCAGACTTAAATACAGACCGGTTACCTAAGTGTTAAACCTCAATTATTTATTAAGCCTCATTAGAGATGATACATAATAAAATCAATCACCAGACATTCACCATCAGTTATTCCTTTGAGATGGTTCTTTGTGCTCTATTTAAACATAATTTGTATTCCTAGTGCTATGCCCCAGTATTTCCCATCAGAAAAAAAAAAAGGATTTATGCTTAAGAACCTTAAAAGAAACAATGACTAGCAAACTAAATAAAATAGAAAAGTAAATCAGTGAAGTAAGGAAGAAGGAAAATAAATTATCCAAAACTAGTGAGGAAGGGTCATAGATAAAGGAACAGAGTTAGCTAAGAAAATTCCTGGAAACCCAAGGTGCCCCTTGCAACTCAGATGAAAGATATACGAAAACACACAAAGAGGCCGAGGCCGGGCACGGTGGCTCAAGCCTGTAATCCCAGCAATTTGGGAGGCCGAGGCGGGTGGATCACGAGGTCAGGAGTTCAAGACCAGCCTGACCAACATGGTGAAACACTGTCTCTACTAAAAATACAAAAATTAGCTGGGTGTGGTGGCATGTGCCTGTAATCCCAGCTACTCAGGAGGCTGAGGCAGGAGAATCACCTGAACCTGGGAGGCGGAGGTTGCAGTGAGTTGAGATTGTGCCACTGCACCAATTAAAACAATTGTATGCAAAAATTAGTTTCCTATAGGTAAATTGAGTGTAGGCACAAATGCCAAGTTATAACAAATATCCCACTCACAATAGCAAAAATATATAAAACAAAATGTTCAGGAATAAACTAAATGATCAATAATTGCAATGAGATCATGATCATTAAATGAAAATAATCGTTATAAAATTATACTCTCTTGCTTCAAAGTGAACACATTATGTATAAAACCAGAAGTAGTAATATCAAAATGTATGAGATGTATGAGGTTACAGTGAACTATGATGGTGCCACTGCACTCCAGCCTGAGCAACAGGCTCTAAAAAAAAAAAAAAAGGTAATCAGTGTTTACTTGGGAATTACATTGTAAATAATTTTTCTATTGTCTTTGTCCTCTTTTATATTTTACAAGTTTTTTACAATTATATATGTTTTGTAATAGAATAAAAAGTATCATTTAAAAATTATAAAACATAAGGCCAACACAGTGGCTCACACCTGTAATCCCAGCTCTTTGGGAGGCCGAGGCGGGCAGATCACTTGAGTCCAGGAGTTTCAGACCAGCCTGGACAACATGGGGAAACCTCTACTAAAAATACAAAAAATTAGCCATGCATGGTGGCGCACACCTGTAGTCGCAGCTACTCAGGTGGCTGCGATGAGATGAGATAAGCACCTAAGCCCAAGAAGTTGAGGCTGCAATGAGCCATGATCGTGCCACTCCACTCCACCCTGGGTGACAGGAGTGAGGCTCTGTCTCAAAAATAAATAAATACCGAGATATATATGTAAAATAAACTACCTTAGGTATTCACATTATTGATTATATTTTCTCAATAGAATGATTATATATTCCTCTTTATAACCATCTGCCAGAAGAGCTTCAACATCTATCGCATTTCAGAATGAATTTTTTTTTTTTTTTTTTTTTTTGAGACGGAGTCTAACTCTGTCGCCCAGGCTGGAGTGCAGTGGTGCGATCTCAGCTCACCGCAACCTCCGCCTCCCAGGTTCACACCATTCTCCTGCCTCAGCCTCTCAAGTAGCTGGGACTACAGGTGCCCACCACCACACCCGGCTAATTTTTTGTATTTTTAGTACAGATGGGCTTTCACTGTGTTAGCCAAGATGGTCTTGATCTCCTGACCTTGTGATCTGCCCTCCTCAGCCTCCCACAGTGCTTGGATTACAGGTGTGAGCCACTGCGCCCGGCCCAGAATAAATTTTTAAATTTACATTGATTTTCTATTTCACATAACCAAAAAATTAGCACAGTCAGATTTTATTATAACCAATTTATACTAAATTTCAAAGCAGAAATAAGCTTCACAAGGTCCAAATACAGTTCACATTACATCAAAACTACAGTTAAAAACTAAAAGCAATTATATTTGTCAACCAATAAGTAGCATAAAAATTACTTAGAATTAATTCAAAGTAGGTCTGCATTCAACACAACTACGATTGAAAGAAATTAAAGGAAGACCTAAATAAGTACAAATACATCCTGTGTTCGTGGAGGAAAACTTAATATTGTTAAAATGGCAGTACTTTCTAAGTTGATCTACATATTCAATGCGACTGTGATTAAAATCCCAGCTGGCTCCTTTGCAGAAACTGACAAGCTGATCTTAAAATTCATATGGAAATGCAAGTGACCCAGAACAGCCAAACCCACCTTAAAAAACTTTCTGGAGGATTCATACTTTCTGATTTCAAAGCTTACTAAACAGCTACAGTAATCAAGAGTGTGCTACTGGTATAAGGACAGATGAACAGAGAAAAGAATAGAATCCAGAAATAAACTTTCACATATACAGTCAATTGATCTTCAATAAGCGTTCCAAGACAATTCAATGGGGAAAGAATAAGCTTTTCAACAGATAGTTCTGAGATAACTGGATGTCTAGGTGCAAAACAATGAAGCTATACCCCCCTACTTCATGCCGCATGCAAAAATTAATTCAAATGGATAAAAGAGCTCAATATAAGAGATATTGATAAACTATAAAACTCATAGAAAAAAACATAGGCAGAAACCTTTGTGACCTTGGAGTAGCAACGTTTTTTTAGATATTACACCAAAAGCACAAGGAGCAAAAAAACACAAATGAAAAAAGATAAATTGGACTATATCAAAATTTAAAATCTTTCTGCTTCAAAGGACACCATCAAGAAAGAAAAAAGACAATCCAGAAAAAGGAAGAAAGTTGTTATAACTCCTATCTAGAATATGTAAAAAATTCTTACAGCTAAATAATAAAGAGATACATAACCCAATTAAAAATAAGTTAAATTTTGGAATAAGTATTTCCCCAAAAAAACAGACAAATGGCCAATAAACACATGAAAAGATACTCAACATCATTTGCCATCAGGTAAATGCAAATCAAAACCACTAAGACATAGAAATTCACACCTACTAGCTGGGCGCAGTGGCTCACACATGTAATCCAAATACTTTGGGAGGCGGAGACAGGTGGATCATTTCAGGTCAGGAGTTCGAGACCAGCCTGGCCAACATGGTGAAACCCCGTCTCTACTAAAAATACAAAAATTAGCCAGCTGGTAGTGGTGCATGCCTATAATCCCAGCTACTCGGAAGGCTGAGGCAGAAGAATTGCTTGAGCCTGGGAGATGGAGGTTGCAGTGAGCCAAGATCATGCCACTGCACTCCAGACTGGGCGACAGAGTCAGACCCTGTCTCAATCAATCACTCAATCAATGGAATTTCACACCTGCTAGATGTGAAATAGGATGGCGATCATGAGAAAGACAGGCAATGCAAACCTATTCACAATAGCCAATAGGTGGATGCAACCCAAGTATTCATCAACAGAGGAAAAGATAAAAAGGCATATTAAATACATACAAGGGAATATTATTCAGCCTTAAAAACAAATGAAATTCTGGCACATGCTACAACATGGATGAACGTTAAAGACATTATGCTAAGTGAAATAAGCCAGGCACAAAAGGACAACTACTATATGAGACCACTTATGCCAGCAGTCCCCAAACTTTTTGGCATCAGGAGCCAGTTTTGCAGAAGACAATTTTTCCACAGACAAGGTTGGGGGAGATGATTTTGGGATGATTCAAGGACATTACATTTATTGTGCATTTTATTTCTATTATTATTACATTGTAACATATAATGAAATAATTGTACAACTCACTATAATATAGAATCAGGGCTGGGCACGGTGGCTCACGCCTGTAATCCCAGCACTTTGGGAGGCCAAGGTGGCCAGATCATGAGGTCAGGAGATCGAGACCATCCTGGCTAACACGGTGAAACCCCGTCTCTACTAAAAAATACAAAAAATTGTTGGGGCGTGGTGGCTGGCGCCTGTAGTCCCAGCTACTCAGGAGGCTGAGGCAGGAGAATGGCGTGAACCTGGGAGGCGGAGCTTGCAGTGAGCCCAGATTGCACCACTGCACTCCAGCCTGGGTAACAGAGCGAGACTCCCTCTCAAAATAAATAAATAAATAAATAAATAAAAAATAAAAAAACTACAAATGATAAGCAACATAGAATAGATATGTAAGGAAAGGCTTTAAAAAGGAAAATAAGATCAATATAAACTAAGAAAGAATTATTACAGAACAAAGAGATTCTAGGGAGAAGACAAAAGAGTATCAAAATCACTTCGTAAAGATACTTGTGAATATATTACATGTATAAAACAAAACAGAGGCCGGGCGCGGTGGCTGACGCCTGTAATCCCAGCACTTTGGGAGGCTGAGGCGGGTGGATCATGAGGTCAGGAGATCAAGACCATGCTGGCTAACATGGTGAAACCGCGTCTCTACTAAAAAATCCGTCTCTACTAAAAACACAAAAGTTAGCCAGGCGTGGTGGCGGGCGCCTGTAATCTCAGCTACTCGGGAGGCTGACGCAGGAGAATCGCTTTATCCAGTGGACTGTCAAGAGAGGTAGGCTGCAGTAAGCCGAGATCGCGCCACTGCACTCCAGCCTGGGCGACAGAGTGAGTGAGACTCTGTCTCAACAAAAAGAAAAAAAGAAAGAAAACTTTTTTTTGAGAGAGAGAGAGAGAAGTCTCGCTCTTCTCCCCCAGGTTTGAGTGCAATGGCTCGATCTCAGCTCACTGTAACCTCCGCCTCCCGGGTTCAAACGATTCTCCTGCCTCTGCCTCCCAAATAGCTGGGATTAAGTCGCCTGCCAACACGACCGGCTAATTTTTCTATTTTTTAGTAGAGACGGGTTTCACCATGTTGGCCAGGCTGGTCTCCAACTCCTGACCTCAAGTGATCAGCCCGGTTGGCCTCCCAAAATGCTGGGATTACAGGCGTGAGCCACTACGCCCGGCCAAAAAACCGAAAATCTTAAAGGCCTTTCCCCTTCCCCGCCTGGGCTCCAACAACGCGGGAGCCGCCCTGCCCCGCCCTGTCGCGGTCCCTAGAGCAGGTGGGCTGACTGAGGGCGACCATGGGTCCCAAGAGGGCTCCCGCAGCGGCGGGCTCCCACCTCGAGGCGCAGCGACAGGGGCCGAGAGGGGCCAGCAGCCCCCAAGCCAGCCCCGCGCTAGGAGTTGGAGAGACGCGCCCTCCGCCTTCTCCCACCCAAGCCTCTGCCTTGCCGGGCGGGCCAGTTGCGGGAGAAAGGGGCGGGGAACCGCGGCCTCTCTGGGGCAGCTTCCCCTTTCTCCTGGGACTCTGGGCACCCGCTTTCCGCCCTCGCCCTGCCCCGCCAGGCCGCCACCCGGCGACTCACCTTAATGTTGCGGTGGGGCGTGAGCCGCGGCTGTGGCTCCTGGTTCTCCTGGAAGATAGAGGCCAGTAACTTCGGTTTGGCCTTGAACCCTGACATGGACATCTTCCCCTCACCTCCGGCGGGAGGGGCGCGGAAAAGGAGCCAGTCCCGAGCCGCTGTCATGGCCGCGGCCACCAGGCGGGGCCCCCGGCCGAGCTCTCGCGGCTCCACCTCTCCCCGCCGCCGTGACCCTCGTGGGAGCGCGGCTGGAAAATGGCAAGGGGCACCGAGGACTTGGCGGGAGCTATGTGGCGGCCTGCGGGGCTGCTCCCTTTATAACCGACTCCACCGACAGGAGGCGCGGCTCCCGTCAAGCCGCAGTTTAAAAGGGCAACAGCACCACTGCCCCCGCTACCGCCTGGGAAAGGGCTGCCCCTACCCCGCCCCGGTCCTCGTCGCCCCTCACCTCTTACCCCTCACCCCTCACCCCTCAACCCGGCGCGCCCCGCGCGCACCCGGCGTGCCCGCGCTACCGGCTGCCCCCTCCTCTCTTGACCCAGCACCTTTCTGCCCGACCGATCTGGTCCCTTCCTCACACTCGCGACTGGGCGGCACAACCACCAACTCTGTGTGTGTGTGTGTGTGTGTGTGTGTCTATGTGTGTGTGTGTGTGTCCCTGTCCCAAGGGGGCGTGGCTCACGCCTGTAATCCCACCACTTTGGGAGGCTAAGGCGGGTGGATCAGGAGGTCAGGAGATAAGACTATCCTGGCTAACACGGTAAAACCCCGTCTCTACGGAAAAAATACAAAAAATTAGCAGGGCGTGGTGGCGGACGCCTGTAGTCCCAGCTACTTGGGAGGCTGAGGGAGGAGAATGGCGTGAAACCGGGAGGCAGAGCTTGCAGTGAGCTGAGAGCGCGCCACTGCACTCCAGCCTGGGCGACAGACCAAGACTCCATATAAAAAAAGAAAAGAAAAAAAACCTCAAAGGATCACTAGTGGTCAGCAACTGTGTGCAAATAAATAGGAAAACCTACCAAAAATGGATAAATTTCCAGACACATCTAACCTACCAAGATTGAACCATGATGAAACCCAAAACCTGAACAAACCAATAACAAATAATGGGATCAAAGTGGTAATAAAAAGTCTCCCAGCAAAGAAAAGCCTGGGACCTGATGATTCACTGCTGAATTCTAGCAAACATTTAAAGAAGAACTAATACCAACCTTACCCAAACGATTCCAAAAATAGAGAAGGAGGGAATACTTGCAAACTCATTCTACAGGGCTAGCATTACCCTGATAACAAAATCAAACACACAGACCAAAAAAGAAAACTACAGGCCAATATCACTGATGAATATTGATGCAAAAATCCTCAATAAAATATTAGCTAACTGAATTCCACAACACATTAAAGTTGGGGTGCAGTGTCCCAGGTTCACTCAACCCTTCCCGTTTTCCTCTCTGTGTGTGTCTACTTTGCCGTGTTCCCTGGTGGCGGCGGCGGTGGCAGTGTTGGTGCATGGGCCTCCCAGGACAAGGGGAAAGTGAGTATGCCCCTTTCTTGCCCCCTGCCAGGCGTCTGCAGCCTGGCACAAGCTCTGGCCAGGTCTCCAACAGGGGACCTGGAGATGTTTTTTTCCAATTTCTGGATTGGTAACTTGAGGCAGATTCTGGGCACTAGAGTCAGAACTAAGAGGAGACTGAATCAGGGGAGTCTGGGGTCCTGAGAGGCAGATACCTGAAACCGTCTAGAGCGTGTGGGGAGCTCGGTGCATGTTCACGCCAGTTGTTTTTCTCTGTGCCTCAATGTTCCAGGTACCCTTGGAGGTGCTGAGATCCTAGGGATTCCTGGAGCCTGGCTGCATGGCCTGGCCACCCTGATGCCACTGTGTTCTCCATGACAGGACAGCAAGGCTGAGGAGAATGGCTCCGACAGCTTCATGCACTCCATGGACCCATAGCTGGAGCGGCAAATGGAAACCACCCAGAACCTTGTGGACTCCTACATGGCCATTGTCAACAAGACCGTGTGGGACCTCATGGTTGGTGTCATGCCCAAGACCATCATGCACGTCATGATCAACAACGTGCATGCACCGCCTCATAGGGGCAGGGGGCTCCTGTAGCACTGGGGATGCAGGTGGCCATGTTGGCCTGGGGGAGATGCTGACCAGCCCTATGGGACCAAGGTCCAGGGAGGGAGGCACAGTCCAGACCAGAGCTGTCTCATAGAAATATAACGTGGGACTGGGGACAGTGGCCCATGTCTGTAATCCCAGCACTTTGGGAGGCCAAGGCAAGAGGATAGCTTGAGCCCAGGAGTTCGAGACCAGCTTGGGCAACATAGTGAGACCTGATCTCTACACTAAAATTTTAAAAATAGCTGGGCTTGGTGGTGGCACGTACCTATAGTCCTAGCTACTCTACAGGCTGACATTGGAGGATCACTTTGAGCCCAAGAAGTTGAGGCTACAGTGAGTGGTGATCTCGCCCACTGTCCTCCAGCCTAGCGACAGAGCAAGATCCTATCTCCAAAAAACATTTTTAAGAAACTGAGTAGACCGGTGTCCTGGTGGCATGATAGGTCCTGGGTCCCCTCCCAGATGTGTGACCTTGGACAGGTGACTTTTCCTTTGGACCTCAGTGTCCCTATCTGAGTGAGAAAAGGGCGGTGGGGAGGCAGATCTTTGAGTCTAAGCGGTGTAGAAGCCGCGTCTGAAAAGCCATACTCAGGGCTCCAAGTCCAGCACACAGTCCCAGCAGGGCCCGGCAGGAGGCCAGGGCAGCAAAGGCATCAGGTCCCAACCTCCTTCCCTCTTTGCCCGCTCTCAGACCAAGGAGTTCATCTTCTCGGAGCTGCTGTCCAACCTGTACTCACGTGGGGACCAGAAAACGCTGATGGAAGAGTCGGCAGAGCAGGCACAGTGGCGCGACGAGATGCTGCGCATGTACCACGTGCTGAAGGAGGCACTCGGCATCATCGGCGACATCAACACGACCACCATCAGCACGCACATGGGGGCCCGTGGACAACTCCTGCCTGCAGGTGCAGAGCGTCCTTGCCGGATGCAGGTACCAAGGCTGGCTCCCACGGCCCCAAAGCCCCCCAGCCCCCATGGCTGAGCCTGGGGACTCTTGGAACAGGCTCCGTGCCCACGCTGGTAGACATGGGTGCTCCCTGGAGCCGTCACAGAGCTCATGGTTTATGGTGTAAGGGCTGAGAGCTTAGAGGGGGTGGTGTGTGGGGCTGTACTCTGAGGCGGCCAGAGTCCTAGGATAGTCCTCCTGTGCACACCGCACCTGTTGGGCAGTCTGAGTCATGCTGCCAGGGCAGGGCATCCAGCTCCCAGCCTGGGAGTGCTGAGAGCCAAATCCACTGCAGAGCAGGGGTGATAGTCAGAGTCCCACCTCCTCTATCTGTCGGCAATGCAGTGGTGAGATAGGATAAAACCTTGAGAGTCCCATACACACGGTCAACCCACAACACACCTCACAGGCCAGGCAGGAAACACAGGCCCCTTCCCTCCCTCCCAGGTACCATCATAGCTGCTAGCGTGTGACTGAAGGCAGGGTCCCTGGCCCCCGCTGAAGCACTATTGCTGGCCAGCAGGCTCACGCACCTTGGAGTGTTGCTCCTAGAGGTCACCTCTGCTATTCAGCCAAGGGGACCACAGTGCCTGCTGGCCCAGCTGACCTCCGCCCCACAAGCCCACCCACCTCCCCTGCCATAGACTCTCCCTCTTCTGCTTTTCCCAGCAGGAAGGGCCCAGCCTCACCTATCCGACCTGCAACCCCCAACAAGCTGAGGCTCCCCTCTTAGACTTATAAGTCTATAGCCAGTGGCATCCAGCTGCATGCCCTCCTTTCCTCCCCCAGGGACCCTTCAAGGGTTCCTGGGCTTTCTGACCCCCCAGAGGGGGCTCCGGCGATCACTCCACCCATCCATCCCTTTTAGCTTCATCATCCTGGTTCAAGCAGTGTTTCTTCTCTATCAGGCCTGGTGGCTGTTGTTTTGGGCTCCCCAAGGCGAGAGGTGGCCCTGGACAAGTGGGTTGGAAGACACGGTGACCAGAGAAGAGGGAAGCCCAAAGGGGCTGAGCATCAGTCTTAACAGTGGGTGCACTGGGTGCCGTGGAAGAGGCCAGCACGTGTGGGGTGGGGAGGGCTGCCACAGCCCCCAGGCACTACCTGTGAAACTCCGGCTCCTCCCTCTGTCTTCCTCCCCTTTCCCTTCCAGCCCCTCTTTTCCAGGAACCTTGCCACACCCGCACGTGCACCCTTTACTCCTTGGCCCTCCCACAGCTGCTGTGGCACACCTGTGCTCTGCACTTGCCTCACCAGCTCTCTGCTCGCTTTTTTTTTTTTTTATTATTATTGTACTTTAAGTTTTAGGGTACATGTGACAATGTGCAGGTTAGTTACATATGTATACATGTGCCATGCTGGTGCGCTGCACCCACTAACTCGTCATCTAGCATTGGGTATATCTCCCAATGCTATCCCTCCCCCCTCCCCCCACCCCACAACAGTCCCCAGAGTGTGATGTTCCCCTTCCTGTGTCCATGTGTTCTCATTGTTCAATTCCCACCTATGAGTGAGAATATGCGGTGTTTGGTTTTTTGTTCTTGCGATAGTTAACTGAGAATGATGATTTCCAATTTCATCCATGTCCCTGCAAAGGACATGAACTCATCATTTTTTATGGCTGCATAGTATTCCATGGTGTATATGTGCCACATTTTCTTAATCCAGTCTATCATTGTTGGACATTTGGGTTGGTTCCAAGTCTTTGCTATTGTGAATAATGCCGCAATAAACATACGTGTGCATGTGTCTTTATAGCAGCATGATTTATAGTCCTTTGGGTACATACCCAGTAATGGGATGGCTGGCTCAAATGGTATTTCTAGTTCTAGATCCCTGAGGAATCGCCACACTGACTTCCACAATGGTTGAACTAGTTTACAGTCCCACCAACAGTGTAAAAGTGTTCCTATTTCTCCACATCCTCTCCAGCACCTGTTGTTTCCTGACTTTTTAATGATTGCCATTCTAACTGGTGTGAGATGATATGCTCGCTTTTCTCTCTCCTGTCTTCTCTCTGCTTTCTCTCCAACTGCCAGCCAATCGGCTCAGGCAAGTCCATCCCATCCTGAGAGCCCCAGGCCCCCCTTTGAACTCTAAACAGATTCCTCCTCTTCTCAGAGACTTCCCTTTCCAAGCCTGCCTGGGCGGCTGTTCTGTGACTTGGCAGTGGCTCCCCCAGCCCCAAAGCCAGCCCCCCTTCATCTGTGACTTAGTCTATTGTTGCGGTGAGCTGACACATCCAGGTGTGACCGTTGCTGAAAACTTGTGCCCCCCTCTGTGGTATGCCCCTGCCCTGTTCTAGAAATATCTACAAATACCCATATACATATACACACACACACACACACACACACACACACACACACATACACCTACATGTGGCCAACCGCCTCGCCTCTAGCGCTGGGAATCAGTCACCGTGCTGTCCTTTTGGAGTCTTGTGGCCAAACAAGAGAAAGCTAACCCCTGACATTGCCCCTCCAAAGTGCGCTACCTTCAGTGAGCCTCCCTGTCACGCCCAGCCTATGGAGAGACACACCCCGCCATCCCTCCCGCCCCCCCCCCGCCTCCACCAAGCATGGGAGTGCTGTGCAGGCAGCTGAGTGGCCTGACAGTCTCTACCAGTCCTGCTGTCCCTTGGCTGAGAATCAAACCCGCTTCTGGATGGCGGGGAAGTGTGTCGTCTGCTGGCTGTGTTCTCTGTGGAGCTCAGGGGAGGGGAAAGGCCAAGCCATTTCTAGGGTGCTGTTGGGAGCAGTGAAAAGGCCATGCCCTTTCCAAGGGACACTTTTCCTGGAAAGCCCCTGGAGCTTAGCGGGCTCTTATCCTGTGAAGCCGGCTCTGGCCACCAGGGGGCAGGGCCATGAACTCAGCCCAGAGGGAGCCTGCAGGGCAGCCGGCACTCTGGAGGCACAGACAGAACAGGCCACCAGGTGCAGACAGGAGAGGGAGACAAGGGGATAGAACGGAAGATGCCGGGGCTGGGTGGAAGTCAGTGCCCTTAGGTGCTGGTACCTGTCTTCCCGGCCACCGCTAGATCAGGCTTCTGAGCCTGTTGGCTGTCAGGGCCAGACTGCGCCCCATAGACTACATGGCAGTCCCCTTGGAATCCCCCAGGCGCCACCAAGCAGCATACAGGTAACACGCCTGGAAGGTCCCCAACAGCCTAGCTGGACATGCTCAAGACACTCTGGGGCTCCTCGTTTGGTGGCACAAACTCCAGGACCCAGTGAGGGAAACGGAAACACACCAGGCCGAGCAGTATGGCTAAATCCATTTATTCCAAAATAAAAAGCAAAATAAACAGGAGTCACATCACCAGGGAGCCATGACCCCATCCCCGCCTCCTTCCTCTGTCCTATGCTAGCAATAAATAAGTTTCCCAGCCACAAATAATTATTACAACCTCCTCCCCATGTGCCGGCTCCAACCTCAGCTAGGTATGACACAGGGGTGGCCCTACCCTCTGGAATATACAAAACCTTACACAGACACAATATGTACACCGGGGAACGGGGGCCACCCCAGCAGCCCGTGCCCTCGCCTGGTCCACAGTTAGCCCCACTGTCCTGCCTCTCTGAATAAGAAGGGAGCCCCCCGAGGGAAAAGTTGCTATGGTGAGAGTAAGGGGGACATCAGGCCTCCTCCAAACAAACCAACTCCACCAGCCTCTGGCTCTTAAATAACAATCATCATCATCCAGAAATTTAGGGACTCAGCCCTGGTCAGGGTGGCAAAGGGTCTGTTTGTCTTTCCCCATTAGACAGAGGTCTTGTCCTGCTACCCTCATTGTAAAGGGGTGCCTGGGAAGGGGTGGTAGGGACATGGTGGCGGTGGAGACCCCAGCCCCACTTTTCCAGGCTTTGCTGACAGGGGCCTGCTTTTAATTTTTATTTTTATTCCATGACTTTTTAAAAAAGAATCCCGTAACTTCTTTTTCATAACTTTTTTTGGTAACTTTTCATAATACTGTTTTCTACTTTGTTCCCACAAGTTTTTTTGCCACAACGTTTTTACATTTTTTATCCCATAACTTTTTCACCCCATAACTTTTTTAATCCCATAACTTTTAAAATCTTGTGTTCTTTTAAGAAACACTTGCATAGTTATATTACAACTTTGTAAAAATGAAACACATTATCTCATGCCAAGCATGCCCAGCATTTGCACAGTATCAATACCTTTAATACTATAGTTTTCAAGAAACGCAAAATAAAATTTTAAGACAAAAACAACACTTAGAAACAATTTAATAATTTATTACATTACAGTGGCATCACACCAGCAGTCAATAAGGCCACTCTAGGGAAAAATCTTTCAGTATTTCCACGACACATTCTGTTTACAATAATTCATAAACTGGTAAAATTCATTCTAAGAAAACTTGGCAAATAAAACTTTGGACTGGAATTGGCATTTCTTTCTCTGCTTTTCGTTCCCACCATTTCTTTCTTTTATACTACAGTATTCATATTTTAAAATGTTTTAAATTATTTCAGAACATTAAGATAGCAGTTACATTTTTTAATAGTTATATTATTTTAAAATGACTCTTTAAAATAAAGTTTTAGAGAAACTATATTATGGATAGGGCTGATTTACATTTTCAAATTTTCTAAAATCAGCTTTGGTTTTAGAGCTGATTTTTTTTTTCATTTCTGGAAAATTATCAGGTTTAATCAAATACTTTTAAAATGATTATTATACATTGCCATCTTTAAATAGGTGTTTTGATTCTTCCTACAGACATTAAAATGTATTCAGTGGAACTCACAGTTTAAAATTCTATGTTTCTGATGAACTCTAACATTCCAATGTTGCCTTCTAAGCAAACTGAAAGCTGCCTTATACTGAATGAGGAAGAGCACAAATACTCGGCTGAATGAGGTATCGCAAAAGACTGCATGCACTTTGGAGAAAGACTTGAGTTATTGTCATACAATTTCCATTCTTTTTAGCTTTTTCTTAAATATATGACAAATACCTACACAAAGAGTGGTATTTCAGTCAATATAGTAAATTTATTTTCCAGACTGACCTTCAGCTTAAATATGCCAGTGTGTGATTTAATCCATAGGCACCTCATGAACACATTATTGTCAGATTGGTTACAGATGCTAAACGCTATCCGAAGGTCATTCCTAGTCACTGATATTTATCAGGGTAAAAGTGAAGTGATTTCAACGATAAAAGTACCTTTGCAATAATTTATCAATGTATTAGATAAACCCAGTTTCAGAATGATAAAAGAAAAAACGTTAGACCAAATAATGTGGCTGATTAACAGTGGTCCGATTTCTAGCCCGAGGGTTTAAAATGCTCTTAAAGTAACTGTCTTTAAACTGAACTCAAAGAATGCAAAAGCGGCAAGTTCAGAAAATAAAAGGCGAGAACAGGACTTTAAGTGCATTTTAAACCCACGGGCTACAAATCGTACCACTGTTAATTAGCCGCATTATTTGGTCTAAGATTTTTTCTTTATCATTCTGAAACTGGGTTTATCTAATACATTGATACATTCATAAAATTTGGAAGAGTCAGTGGAAGTCACAAGGACCGAATATTTGCTCTCTTTCAGTGAATGCCAGCAAATCTGTTATTCCATCGGTAAAATCGTATTGTTGCTCTCCTGTTAATGTTATATTTATAGAAGTATCATGAGGATGCCAAATGCTAAAAATGGAGATGATCTAGTAACTAGAAATCCCCACCGCAGGGAGCACACACACCTATCTCCCTGCATCCTAACAATGTGATGTGTTTTGGAACACAGACATTAGAACTTCATGAAGTTTTAACTGTTGAGTCTTTCCCAAGCATCATCAAGTTACGATTTAGGCAATACATAACTGAAATGCATTCATTCATCATGCATAGGCACAATCACATAAATATTGCACAAAATATGTCCCGAACAGAAACCCAGAGGTACAAAAACATATTTCACTTTGTAAAGAAGTTTGTGAGAAAATATAACTCTGTGGTTGTATAGACACGTTTCCTGATAATACATTGACATTCACGAACAACAGTAGATTGCACTGCAGTTTGTACACATTTTAAGTTTCATAAACTTCTCCTTGATTTTCAAAGACAGTATAATACCATCTACTAAAACTCCTTTTTGTTTCAACTATCTCACATATATTAGTTTATAAGAATGTTTCTATTTTTTTTAAAGTGTTTTCCATTCAAAGAAAAAGAAGTAAATTCCTATGTCAGAGTAACCAAGGTGGTTGAAGAATAGGTATTAGCCAAAGAGGTCTAGATGGTAAAATCAATCTTCAAGCCTCAAAGAATCTCCGTGAACAGAGAGGAATGCCAGGAGTCACACAGCTTTCCTTCACTCTAATTCATTCTTGACTAGAGCCTGTATGCCTGTTCCAGGGACATTTGAACTCGTAAAGGATTTCTTATGATCTTCACTAAATACATTAAGAAGAATGCCAACCAGTGCCCTTTTGTGTACTGGGGCATGTAGTCATGTGATTAAAACAGGTAACATGAACTCTGACTTTAAAATGTATTGTAGATACAAATGCTCTAAGCTAGGAAAGGTTTTCCACATCCACAGTCAACGATGGGAACCTTTCATTCCTCAGAAATAAGCCCTTTTTAGGTCATCGAAAAAGAGTGCAACTGCTGCAGCTCATGATGCAGTATCTTCATGAGCCCAGAGCACATACAAATCCTAAGGGAACCACCATAATACACTGCTAATTCCTGGCACCGGAACAGATGAAACACACTCTATCCTGCACGTACCTGCCAGAGGAGGCCACTTTCCTCTTCTGTGAGATTTAAAAAGCTCCCCCAAAAGGTTATCACTCCCATCACCAATACACAGAAAATGGAGGAAAGGCTGTTTCCAATTCTTGGCCTTTAAACAACTCTAAATGTCAGTACTCATAGTGGCGTATTACAAAGTAATAAACAGTGCACACTTGGGGGCAAACTACATATTGAGCTAAGGAAGAGCTCACTGTGATTAAGATTAGATCAAACAACAGCAGAACATAGGCAAATTTTGTCTGAATGCTGTAGTGAATATACATGCTGCAATAACATTAAAAAAGCATGGCAGCCTATTCCAAACCAAAGAGAACAGTTTTGGGCAAAGAGTGGGTCTTTGTGTGTTTGAACTCCCACCACGTAAGGGCAAACTCGATATGCATGCTAATGACCTACAATTATGAAATTAAAAAAGAAAAATGCTAAAGGATGCCAGAGTGAACATCAGTGAGAGCCACAGACACCCACTCTCTTTTAACTTTTTACAAATAAACTTAAACTATAAATTAGAAACACAAATAATCATGAGTGAGTCTAACATTCAAAGGAAGTAAATGAATTGTGTAGGAGATTAACCCCATAACTTGGTTTCTTATTTAAAAATTTCTTGAGCAGCTGTTTGATGATGGTGATGTTTATCTCCTTCTTCTTGGCAGCCAAGCCCAACAAAATAATGGCACACAGCAGTTGCTGCCCAAGCCTGGGTGCTCCTGGTGGTCCTGCACGATCGGCTGTGCAGTAGGCTTGTCAAGGAGAGGATCCTCCCTGGCCTCTCCTTGGGCAGAGGAGGTGAGGGTCACCTCACGAAGATCTTTGGAGAGAGGGAGGCGGGGATCTGAGCACAGTGGGAGCCCCCCTCTTCCTGCCTACCCACCCCACCTGAGGGCTCTACTCACCACCATGCTTGTCTGCAGCCCCAAGCACCTGGGGGGCTGGGGCTCCTGGACCGGGCTCATCAGCAGAGTTGTGGGCAGCGGCCAGGAATTTTCTGTGCCCATTGTTGTAGTTGCTGTAAGCCGCAATACCATCTGCTGCAGCTCCAGCAGCTTCACCTGGAGGGAGGGGTGCTCAGCTGCCATGCCGCTGCCTGCGCCCACCCTCACACCCACCCCCACCCCCACCCCCACAGAGATGTTGCACACCCTACCTTCATCTCCTCCCTGAGCTCCAGCCTGATGGTGTCCTCCTCCCAGTGCTGCATCTTTGGCACGGCCCCCTGGTTCTGATAAAAGGTGATGGATTTTCCTGCGGGAGGACAGGGCTCAGATTCTGGGGCCCCTCTGATGGCCCTGTAGCTCCCCCTGCCGTGCCCTGGCCTCCCACTCACTGATGGCATCTCTCTTGCCAGTATTGAATGAAGCGAAGTTCTTGTTTTTTCACCAGCTCACTCAGGTCTGCCTTCTCCTCCAGGTGGTCCATAAAGCTGCTCTGGAGCCAAAATATTGCAGTCACATCTCGGCAGCGACCTGCCCTCAGGTGGCATTTTCAAGTCATGGAGAAGGCGGAGGTGAGTCCTGGCATGGGCCAGCTTCTCCGTGACTTCCTGCAGGGCCCAGTGGGTCTCCCCACTCACAGACTCGCCCCCAGGCCCTGGGGCTCCAGGGCCTCTGGCTGCCTCTGGCTCCTTCTGGGCCGAGGCCACCGGGTGAGCCAGGCGCTGGCAGCACACCCTCTGCTCTTTCACCTGCTCTTGTAACTGTGCCTGCTTCTCCTGGGCACTAGCTCCAGCGGACTTGAAAAATGCCACCTGAGGGCAAGATGTGAGCATTCTTCTAGGGGCATACACAGAAGAAATGGGGCAGAGAGGTGGAGCGCAGCCCCTTCCCTTGGGGCCTCAGAGAGTGCACCTGTTGGCCACAGGTGAAATGGTGTCTGACCACTGGCTCTCGGAAGGGGTGAGGGTCCAGAGAAATCAGAAGGCAGGGAAACGAAGAGCATAAAGGGGTCTTGGAGGGACCACAGAGAAAGGTGGCAAAATGGGTGCAGGGGGGAGTCAGGCTCACCATGGCCTCCCTGCTCTCCGGGTCCTCTGGGACACTCGGCATGGGCTGAGGTGCCTCCTCCCCCTCACTGTCCAGATGTTCTCCTCCGTGTCCTGTGGGGGGTGGCCAGAGGGGTCTTCAGACAACCCAACAAGGGAGGTACTGTGGGCCCACCTCTACCTCCACCCTCACTGTGTAACCCTGAGCCAGCCCCTCCCCAGAGAGGAATGAGCTGTTGTTCTTTATTTTTACTTTTAAGAATCAAGATCTTGCTATTCCGCCCAGGCACACTCCCACTACTGGTCGATGTGGGAGTTCTGACCTGCTCCCTTTCTGACCTTGGCCAGTTCAGCCACCCTTAGGCAACTTGGTGACCGCCCGCTCACAGGAGGTCACCACACTGATGCCGAACTTAGTGCAGGCACCCGGTCGGCATAATGACCAGCTGTTCTAAAGGTCTCTTCCAACTCCTCAATCCTATGCTGCTAGCAGTCCCCCCTTCCTCCTGGGGCTCTCTCCTCTTCCTCTGAGCGGTCTCCCGTACCTTCCCCAGGGAGAGCCATGAGGCTCAGCTGGGCCGTTAGCTGCTGGTTCTGCTGGCTGGCCGCTTCCAGGTGCTCCTAAGGGGCCAGGAAAGAGTGAGAAGGGATGGAGTTTGCCAGGTCGTCCCCCTCACAGCCCCATCCTCGGCAGCTCCCTCCCCTGGGTCTCCTGCAACTTTTGGCAGGCCATCTCGGCCACTGCTTTGCCCCAAGCTTCCTACTGCTGCAGCTGGTTCATTAGCTGGGTCTGTTGCAGTCACTGCCTGTACAGCGCCTCCTTCTCACAGGTCAGCTGCTGATAGGCGGCCACCTGCTGCTGATAGGTGGCCACGTACTGCTGCAGGTGACCCAGGTAATGGTCTGGCTGCTGCTGCAGACTCTGAGCCTCTTGGCTCTTCAGCTCCACCTGCAGGAAGACCCTGGGTGTGAGGGCACGTGGTGGCTGGTTTCCAGATTCTGGGCCCATTAATAGGGTAGCGAGGGCACTGTGGGGCTCTGTCAGCTACCCAGGCCCCTGTCCCCTTACTCCAGGCCTAAGTGACTGCCTCCCTTTCCTAGAACCCCATGCCTCCTTCCCCAGCCTCAAATCTCATACCCTCTTCTCATTTAATCCTCAGCACCTCTGTAAGGAAAATGCTAACTTCCCTTTGAAGTTAAAGAAACAGAGACTTAGAGATGCAAAGTACTTGAACGGTGACCAGTGGAACCGAGGCTGGAATCCAGTTTCAATCTAAGGAGTCTTTTTGTTTTGTTTTCAGACAAGAGTGTCACTCTGTGGCCCAGGCTGGAGTGCAGTGGTGCAATCTCAGCTCACTGCAACCTCCACCTCCTGGGTTGAAGCAATTCTCGTGCCTCAGCCTCCCGAGTAGGTGGAATTACAGGCATGCGCCACAATGCCCTGCTAATTTTTTTTTTTTAAATTTTAGTAGAGATGAGGTTTTACCACATTGGCCAGGTTGATCTCAAACTCCCGACCTCAAGTGATTCTTCTGCCTCAGCCTCCCAAAGTGCTGGGATTATAGGCATGAGCCACTGCACCTGGTATAAGGAGCCTGTTATAGCACTGTCTCTTCCCCTGTGATTGGGGGCTCCATGCCTCTAGCTGGGATGATGATGTCCAGACCTGAGAGGAGCCCAGGGCTACCCACCTTTAAAAGTCAGAGGCAGGAAGCGAGAAACAGTCGCAGGACTGCCCTGGGGGGTGCTGTGGTCACCAGCCCCCAGGCTGGAAGCTGCCTCTGACCTGGCACCTCCCCTCCCAAGAGGCTGCTGCCCGCCTCCCAGCCCTTCTTGGATGGGGTGGAGGTTTCCGTCTCCTTCACCTCGCCAAGCTTCTCCTGTAGCTCCTTTACTTGCTGCTCCAACTGCAGTGTGCTCTTGTTCTCATTGTTCTGGACAGAGAGAAGCAATCAGCAGCCACCCACTGCAGCTGGAGACCCCAGAACTTGGTGTCTGCCTCCCATGGCACTGGGAAGGCTGGAGGCAGGTTAGAAAAATCACCCCCTCTCTCCCACAGCCACCTGGCTCACAGGTGCCTTTAGAAGTAACCTTTCACGCGAGGGCTACACTGCCCCATTTTAGAGGTGGGGAAACAAAGGCCCGGAGGGCTAGGGAGGAGGGCAGGCTCCCCAGTTGGGGCAACGCACCAGCTCCTCGAAGACGCTCTGTGGCTTGGCCAGCTGCCGAAGCTTCTCGTGCTGCTCCTGAAGCCTCTCCTCCTGCTTCCGAAGCCTCTCTTCCTGTTCCCGAATCCTCTCTTCTTGTCGCCGGTTCAGGAGACTTATGTGCTGATTGTTTTTGACCTGGGCCTGGAGCTCTCCTGCCACTCTCTCTAGTTCCTTCCTCAGGTGCTGCAGCTCCACCTCAGAGGGCACTGCTGGGGGCTCCGGGGGCAAGGGTTCAGCTGAGAAAGGAAGCAGATAATAAGGGCCTCTGGATTCTTGGAAAAGAAAAACCCTCCTCTTGGCGCACAGCTCCTCTCAGGCTCCTCAAACTTGGCCTCACTGCTAATGATTCCTCGCACCCAGATGGTAGCCAGTCTTCCAAAGCACTTTCAGAGAAAGAGCACTGCGGGTGGCTGACAACGGGCCCTCTTTGCTGATGGGGACACTGAGACACTGAGACTCACTGAGATGACAAGACTTGCGGTCTCCTGGCACAGATCTCTTTCCCTCTGCCTCAAAGCCCTTCCATCCACCCACCTCCCTGGGGCACTCTAAGCCACCCTCACAGCCCTCTGATGCCAGTCCTGCTCCCAGGTCATGCCAGCCCCATCTTACCCGTCTGGTTTTTGAGTTTGGACAAGCTCCACTCCAGCTGCTCTACCCAACGCATATCCTGCTTCTCTTTCTTTAATGTGCAAATCTGCCCAAAGCACAGGGGGAAAGGGCCCTGGAGAGAGGGGCTGGTGGCTGGACAGGCTGCCCTCTCCCTCTCTGCCCCCACCTCCACAAAGCCCAGACCCATGACCACCTCTGGCTCTACTATTCCCATTTTACAGATGCCCAGAAAGATCCAGTGACCTATCTAATGTGGGGGGGCTGAAGGGTCAGATCTCACCTCCTGCGACATTTTACTCATCCTCTGATGCCACCGGGCCCTCTCTCCTTCTATATGTTCAGCACACTCATCTCTTTCTAATTGGAGTTGTTGAAATGACTCCTTCAACTGCAAGAATGGGCACAGAAGTTAGGAAGGGCTGTCACTGGTCCTCACCTGCTCCTGGCCACCTGGGGTCATCGTCCTTCCACATCCCTCCCTCGGAAAACCTCACCTGTGTCAGCTGCGCTTTCAGCAGTGCCTGGTCCTGTAGGGACTGCTCTAACTCCCACTCTGTATGTGCTTTGCTGCAGCTGGACAACTGGATGGTGAAGAGTTAGAAGTTTCAATCTGGAGAGCCTGGGCATTTCCACACAGTGCCCCTTAACAGGGCTAGGGCTAGGCCCAATATACAACTCGGTCAGTAAAGATCAAGGCATTTCCCAGCCCGTGGTCTGGTTTTTAAAAGAACACAGTAAAGTTGGAACGGACAGGGAATGAGACTGAGTTTATAGCTGGCTAACAGAGGCCCAGAGAGATCAGATAATATTGCTATTGTTATTATTGTCATTATTACCACTGTTTGAACCTTTGTGGAATGCTTCACCAGGTACCGTGCTAACAATCCCATTTAATCCTCGCAACCACCATAGGAGACAGTTACTATGATTCCCTCTATTGTGGAGATGAAAAAACATGGAGTATTTGAGGTTAAGTGCTTGCCTAAGTTCACTTAGGCAGAGCTGGGATATAAACACCCAGGTCTATCCAATTCTCTAAGCCCATTTTTCTTGCTGGGGATGGGGGCACAGATAGGAAGGGGAAAATTAATCTTTTCTTCACTTTTTGAAAGGATGATACATTCACATAGTCCAAAACTCAGAAGGTACAGAAGGGAAGTATCTCCCAGCCATCTTGTTCTCTCTCCTGAATTTTTTATGAACGCTTGCAGACATGTTTTATGTATATTATCACAGTATGTACACACACACACACACACACACACACACATGCACGCGTTTCCTCTTTCTACAGAAATGGTAACATACTAAAGGTACTCTTCTGTACCTTCACAGTACAAGTACCCAATACCCCACCTAGGACTTGCCCAAGACCACAGCCAGGTAAGGGCGGGGCAGGCACTTGGCCTCCAAGCTCTGCGTCCAGTGCTCACTCCCCACAGTACCCCCCAACTCACCCACAGCAGCTGACTCGGCCCCAGGCTGCCACTAAAAACCATACAAAAAAGTAGCAAGAAATGGCCATGCTGCCTTCTGGGCAGGACACGCCATCCTGCAGAAGGGACCTTTAGGCTCACTCCTCCATCTGCAAAACCAGGCTCCCAGGGGATGGGGCAGGTGGCTGGACTCACCTGGTTTGCCTTCTTCTTCTCTGTGGCGATGACAGCAGACAGAGCCCTCTCTAACTCTCCTTTACACTGCAATGAATGTTGCAGGCGGACAGCCAGGTCCTTGGACTCTTCTGTAATGAGAGAGTTGAGATGGGGCCCAAAGGACTCCCCCTGAAGACCTGTCAAAGTGCCAGGTTGAAGGATGACAGGGTGCCCAGATTCCCACCTTCAAAGTATCTGAGAGAACGTTCCATGTGGTACAGGTCCGTATTTAGTTCCTCTTTCTGTATGATCAATGTCTGGATTTGAACCTTTGGGAGAAAAGCCAAGCAAGTGCTGAAAGAGAAGGAAAGAAACATTCTCCGGAGGACAGGAGGAAACTGCACACCCTCCACTCACCTCTAGCTCCCTTTCGGCTTTCTGTCTCTCGTTGTTTGCTTTCTTTTCCTGTAGGAAGAGGAAGACAGAGCTCTTACCAGGGGGAGGCAGAGATGGCACAGCAAGAGACATGCCCCCAGAATGCCACCAATGCCCCAGGACAGGCCCACCCATGGGACCAGGTTATCAGGGGCCCTGTGGGGATGGGGTGGAATCTGAGGGGTGAGCCTTCTTCCCCAGGCTGGGAGTGGGTGAGACGAGACTGGGGCCTCTATGTCTGAGTGCCCCCCAAACCCAGCAGTCATGTCGCGAGGAAACGAAATCACGTTACTTCTTCCAGCTGATGTTCCACTTGTTTCTTCTGTTGTTTCTGTGGGGAGAGTCAAATAAGGTGATGGAGGGTGGCCCCCTCAACTCTATTCCCCAGATCAGGAAGCGGTAGGCAGGGGCCAGGAATGGATTTTAAAGGCAGAGTTCTCAGACATAATGGGAACACGAACCGGTAAACTCTCCTCAAGCTCCCAAGGACAGAGGATTTGGGTCTTTGTTGGCTTTTGCCCACAGCCACAGAACTCAGTCTGAATCTGGAATCTCTTGAGAGGACAGCAACATAAACCTCTAGAGATGGAGTTTCAGAAAGGCCCCTCCTTCTGGCAGCTTGTGATTTAGAAAAGTGGGTTCATTCAATAAACACTTACTGAGCACGTATGGGCCAGGTACGGTTCTTCACAGCAGATATAGGATGGAAAAGGACAGACAGGAGCCCTTAGCCCTGAGGTTTCCATTCCCGGGGGCCTTTAAATCTCAGACTCGAGAGCTAACAGAGACCTTTGATACTCACTACCTCCTCTGGAAACACGAGCCCAAAAAGGAGAGGTGGCTTGTCCAGAATCAAAGAGCAAATTAGGGACTGAGTCATGGCAGAAATACGGGGCCCTTGACAACCAGTCAGGCTAGCACTTCCCCAAGAGGCAACAACCCCAGGGCGTGTGTAGCAAGGACTCGAGCAGGGGTGTCTGGAGAGGAGAGAGTCGGCAAAGAGGGCAGCAAAAGAAGAGCCATGCTGCATGCTCTGGGGTCCCTCCAGGTGAGGCCTGGGCACCCAAGCTCCCTATTTGTCCCGGGCACCAGGGACCCCCAGCCCCTTTCTTCAGGGCCCCAAGGGGAAACTGGAGCCCAGGATTGGCAGTGTGGAATCAGGGGACCCCACCGGACTCTTACCAAAGATTTGATGGTGTTCTTCAGTCGACTGATTTTTACGGACGTTGAATCCAGGACTACTGCTCGTTCTTGGCACGGGCTCTGAGGTGCATGCAGAGAGGAGGAGGTGGAGCAGGAGTGGGGGGAGAGGTAGAGAGAACGATCGTTAGGGCTGGGGTGTGTGGGCTGTCTCAGCTGGCAGAGGGGCACCCAGTCCCACCTGGAGGAGGAGGTTGGAGGGTTGACCCGAAGGGTCACTGCACCTCCACCCAGAGCCTCTTACCTCCAGATCTTTCAGGGTAGCAGATGATGTAGGGCCTTCCCTGTGGAAACCTGTTGCTGACTACAAGAGATGAGAGTGCACATGGAGATGTTCTGTCCCCCACAGTGTCTGAGCCCTCTGACTTCCTTTCTTCCCTATCAACTGGCAACATTTTCTTTTCTGCCTATCTTGGACCTTTTGTCCCATAACTCCTTTGTGCCAACTTCTCTCATGGTTCTTATCTCCCCACCATCCCATCCTGGGGCCCCTTCAGTGACTCCTGATGGCAAGTGGCTGTTCTCTTTGTCCTGGTTTCCCCTTGAGACTGGGGATGAGGAAAATCAAACCATATCCTGGGTGTCCTGAGTGTTTACAGCAGGCCATGTACTAGGGATTAACATAAAAACAACAATAACAAATCTCATTTAAACTTCACAAATGGAAGTGAAACAATAACACCTCTATTATACAGATGTGAAAAGAGAGGCCCCATGAGGTCAAGCAACTTGCCCTAAATCATATCCCTAGCAGAGCAGATGGAGAGGCAGGATTCAAACCCAGAATTCCTTTTTTTTTTTTTGAGACAGAGTCTTGCTCTGTCACCAGGCTGGAGTGCGGTGGCATAATCTTGGCCACTGCAAGCTCCACCTCCCAGGTTCACACCATTCTCTTGCCTCAGCCTTCTGAGTAGCTGGGACTACAGGCACACGCCACCACGCGTGGCTAATGTTTTTGTATTTTTAGTAGAGACAGGGTTTCACCGTGTTAACCAGGATGGTCTCGATCTCCTGACCTCATGATCCGCCTGTCTTGGCCTCCCAATGTGCTAGGATTACAGGCGTGGGCCACCACACCCGGCTAAAGCCAGAATTCTTAACCAGTACCCAGCAGTCCATCCACAATCTTAAGAATTACCCTCTATTGCCCCTTGGGCCCCCTGTCCCCAGAAGCCTGGTCAGCCAAGACTCACATCCCTAGGTGGCTGGCAACCACCGGAAGTGGCTGTCTCAGGGATACTGCCATTTGTTTTCCTGTTCCTGTTCACTCCTGCTGGAACTCTAGGTCTGTTTTTCTGCCAATATTCTTTTAACTGTTGGAAAGAAGAGCAGTAATATTCATGAGAACCGTCAGCCCCTACAGCCACAACCTCCTTTACAGTTTTTACAAAATACACTTACACACCATCTGATTTAATGACACCAACAACTGTACAAGGTGTTGTCACACTCATTTAGTGACTGAGAAGGATTGATATCATGGCTAGAAAAAAAAAAGAAAAAGGCAATACTGGAACTTTGAGACTCAGTCTTCTGACTCCAAGCTCTGAGGTTTTGCCAAGAATCAGCAGCTGCCAGGGACCAAAACCAGAGGCAGAGGTAGAAAAGTAAACATTAAGTAGGCAGGAACTGTATGCCATGTGGTTTAGTCATACATCCTCACACGTCTGTTAGTGTGAAGAAGTGCACCAGTACCTCTCAAACTTTTATATCAATGTGTCCTCATGGCAGAAGGCAGCCTTTCTCTTAAATCAGAATTTATCAGAAAGAGGACAACCCAAGCCTCATTTCAGAGAGAGGTCTGGTATACTCTTAGAAACCTATGTGACTGTCCTCCCTAAGTACATTCATGTTTTTTCTCTTGATCTCAAGAGAATCAAGGGAAACTGATGCTTCAGAAAGATGTCCCACATTTATCCTGTGGCACTCAAAGTACCCAAGGTTGAGATAATATGAGGAAGATTCAAGGTGTCAAGTTCAGTTTCCCAAGATCTATTCCACAGAAGATGAGCAAATCTCACTTCAGAGACCACTGACTGAAGGAGAGTCTGGTCCCAGAACCATGGAGAATTAGAATATGAGGTGGAGAACTCAGAAAAAAATGTTAAAATCTCTCTGGAAAGTAGAAGCCTGGGAGAAAACCAAATCAAACCCATTCTCTCATTGCCACCCAGAGATACTGTCAACGTTTTGAGTTCATGGGGGAAGTGTAGGCTTTTCCCACCGTCAACATCTGTAAGGGAGTGAGGCAGCCTGGAACCTCTTGCTCCTAGGTCCCATAGTCTCCATTCCCCTTCCAGCTGGAAATTTGTGCTGTGACCAGAGGAACCAGAAACGGGGTGAGAACGCTTAGGGGACTGGGTCGTAAGGTCAAAGGCCAGTCTTGCAGTAACGGCAGTTACTAGGTGGACTGTGACATCACAACATTCCACTCCTCCTCGTCGGGGGGAGGGACCATGTCAGCACCATGTCCAAGTCGCTGCTCCACGATGGGGGAGGGAAGCACAGGGTTGGGACCCAGCTCCTTGGAGACGCCAGCACAAAGAACCCAGGGAGGTCGACCTTGAGGCAGCAGGAGGGGAGGGCACAGTCTGCAGCAGGGAGTCCCAGGAGTCACCAGCCCAAAGTCACCCAAGGATGACTGGCGAGGGTGGGGCCTGGCTCCTTGGAGATGAGAGCCCAAAGAGCCCACGGAGATCAAGCTTGGGGCGGCAGGAGATGAGGGCCCAGTAATGGAGCGGGAAGCCCCAGGAGTCACCCACCCAAAGTCACCCTGGGGTGATTGGCGAGGGCAAGGACTGGGCTGCTTGCTGAAGGGGTGGGGCTGACTGACAAAACTTTGGTGGGGGTAGCCCAAGGCACCGGGGTTGGGGGGACCAGTCCAGTGTGCCTCAGGAGTCATATAGACTCTGGCAGGGGTCTTGTCATCAGAGGGGATCTGTGGCTGGGTTGAGGGGCTATGACCTAGTGCGTTTTTACCTTTTTCTTGGCTGCAGCCAATTTGTTGTGTTGAGTTTCTTCTGCCATTGCAGGGTGGGGAGGGAGGAAGGGTTGGGGCCACAGCAGCAAAATCCCAATAAGAACCGTTCAAGGCCTCCAGTCACCTACCAGGCAGCTGTGTGACTGAGCCAGAGGAGGCGTAACCAGGGCCCCAGTAGAATGCGGAATAGGGGCGTGGCCTTAATGCTCCAAGCCCATTGGTCAATGAGAAAGATGAAAGGGAAAGGGGGCGTGGCCAGACAGCAGCGTGTCCAGAGGGCCCTGCGGCTCACAAGGAAAGCTGCCCATGGCAACCGCTCTCCCCACCCACTCTAAGAGAGGGGAGAGGCCTCCCACTCTGGAAGAGAAGAGGGGCTGGCTTTTGCTTTAAAAGCTTTAAAACTTTAAAAAATATATGTGTGTATACTTTATATATATGTGTGTCCATGTGTGTGTATCTATGTTTTTCTCCATAGCTGTCTTCATTATCCAGCTTCTATGCAAGGTCTATGATTTTGGCCTATATTTTTCATCTTTGATTACAGTACAAAAATTACCAGTATTACCTTAACTGAGATACAGATCCTATAAAAATGGAAAATGCATAGCATGCTTGATGATTAATGAAGCAGACTATATTATCCAACATTCTAATAAGATAAAATAATCACAATGATTTCTCTTTTTTGGAAAAATGTTTCTCTTATTCTCCTACGTTTTCGTTAAGATTTTTTTTCTTAAACAAGAAACATGTCTAATATCTGTAAAAGCACAAAGCTTTTGGGCTGGGTGCAGTGGCTCATGCCTGTAATTCCAGGACTTTGAGAGCCCAAGGTGGGTGGATCATGAGGTCAGGAGATCGAGACCATCCTGGCTAACACGGTGAAACCCCATCTCTACTAAAAATACAAAAAAGGCCGGATGTGGTGGCAGGCAGCTGTAGTCTCAGCTACTTGGGAGGCTGAGGCAGGAGAATGACATGAACCCCCGAGGTGGAGCTTGCAGTGAGCCAAGATCATGCCACTGCACTCCAGCCTGGGCTACAGAGCAAGACTCCATCTCAATTAATTAATTAATTAATTAATTAATTAAAATAAAAAATTAATAGTAAGAGCAATGTGAACAAAAGATGCAATAAAATAATTTAGAAAATACAAACTATTAAAAAATAGATTTTAAAACTTGTGCAACGAAGTCAAACAGCAGCCAACGAAAATGTATACCCTTACACGTTTGTTTAAAAAGCAATTTAAATTACATTGATCCACTAAACTAGGAAAAGCAAAACAAACAAAAAGGGGGAAATAATTAAGACCTAAGGAAAAAGAAAAACCACTAGATTTAAAAAATAAAACTAAAGGAGGATTCTTTCAAAAGACTGAGATAATAAAACAGTCAAGCCTCTGATAAGTAATCAAGATAAAGAAAACTTTGAAGAGAAAAGGGCATATAGCCACATGTGAATATGATGCAAAAAGTGAAAACTTTACACATCTTTACAACACCTTAGAAGTATGGATGACATGTTCATTTTTTTTTTTTTTTTTTTTGAGACGGAGTCTCGCTCTGTCACCCACGCTGGAGTGCAGTGGCGTGATCTTGGCTCACTGCAAGCTCCGCCTCCCGGGTTCACAACATTCTCCTGCCTCAACCTCCCGAGTAGCTGGGACTACAAGCGCCCGCCACCACGCCTGGCTAATTTTTTGTATTTTGGCTTAGTAGAGACAGGGTTTCACCATGTTAGCCAGGATGGTCTCTATCTCCTGACCTCGTGATCCACCTGCCTCGGCCTCCCAAAGTGCTGGGATTACAGACATGAGCCATCGCACCCATCCAAAGTGTTCATTTTTTTTTTAAGAACCTACAGTTACGAAAAGTAACTGAAGAAGTGGGAAATCTGGAGACCAATATGCAGAAGAAGGAAAAAGACAAAGACTCATCCTCCAAATTGGATATTTAAACCAGAATTTGTCATCCTCAGCAATATTGATATATTGGGCCAGATAATTCTTTGTGGAGGGTTCTCTTGGTGTGTTGTCGGGCATTTAGTAACATTCCCTCTACCCACAGAATGCCAATGAGACCTCCCGACCATGACCAGTTGTGACCACAAAAATGTCTCCAGATATTTCCAAACGTCCCATAGGAGGCAAAATACTCCTGCAGTTGAAAATTACTGTGTAAACCAGATCTACATCCTAGATCTTAGAAAAAAGATGTAAAGCTTCCCAACTCAGCCCTGCATACCCTTGATACTGAAATAACAGCCTTAAAGGAAACAAACAAAACTATAATCTTATTTAATACAGAAGTAAAAATGCAAAAATAAAATATTACCATAGCCATTCCAACAGTGTTTATTATAGGAATGCAAAGATAATTCAAAATTAGGAAAATTTCATCAGGCAATTCACAAATTATATTTCTACATATAATTGAAGGCACAATCATGAAAAACAAAGTAGCTCTATATGCATTAAGTCCATGATCTATTCAGTGAAAAACACAAGTTGCACATGTCTTACAGAAGGAAAACTTAACACTGAACACAGATTCTCACCATCTGCTCTTTGTCCTGAGGCTCCAATAGAAATACAGTGAAGAATAAACATTGTATAAGCACACCATTACAAAAAAGGAATGGGGTTACCAACAGAAGAGAATTCATCTTCATTAGACAATGACAGTACATGGAAAATGGTTAATTCATGGAGCAAAGCAACAAAGGTGGAGGTCAGGGGGATACTGAGAACAAGGAGGCTAATCTGTCCCACAGCAACCTGGAAAGGTTCTAGACTCAGACACGAGGTACCCCCGACAGTGGGACTGATAGGCAAGACTGAAAACAGAGATTAAGCAAAAGCCCGGATAGAGAACACATTTCACAGGCCCTGAAACACACTGCTGGCCCCATCTCCTTAAACAGAACCCAAGCAAACGTATCCACCTCAGGCAAGAGAATGTAGATTTTACATCCAGAGGAATGGAGTAGTCATCCAGCCATCATTTATGATTGCAACAGGAGATAAGATAGAGGGATGGAGGATAACAATTAGGAATCAGCATACATTCCCCTTAAAGCTATCAGTTGACAAGTCTTGGCCACAAAGAACTCCCAATCAATTTTTATTTATTTTTATTTTTATTTATTTATTTATTTATTTTGAGACAGGGTCTTGCTCTTTCGCCCAGGTTGGAATGCAGGAATGCAGTGGCATGATCAGAGCTCACTGCAGCCTCAACCTCCTGGGCTCAAGCAATCCTCCTGCCTCAGCCTCCCAAGTAGCTGGGACTGCAGATGGGTGTCACCACACCTAGCTATTTTTTTTTTTTTGTAAAGATGGGGTCTCACTATGTTGCCCAAACTAGTCTTGAGCTCCTGGGCTCAAGTGATCCTCCCACTTCGGTCTCCCAAAGCACTGAGATTATAGGTGTGAGCCACCACACCTCGGCTCCCAGTCTTTTAGTACCTCTCTCAAATATGAATGAACAAATAAAGGAATGGAAAAAAGACTACAGGTCAGGCACGGTGGCTCATGTCTGTAATCCCGCACTTTGGGAGGCCGAGGTGGGTGGATCACCTGAGGTTGGGAGTTCCAGACCAGACTGACCAACATGGAGAAATCCCATCTCTACTAAAAATACACAAATTAGCTGGGCGTGGTAGCACATGCCTGTAATCCCAGCTACTTGGGAGGCTGAGGCAGGAGAACTGCTTGAACCTTGGAGGCAGAGGTTGTGGTGAGCCAAGATCACATCATTGTACTCCAGCCTAGGCAACAAGAGCGAAACTGGGTCTCAAAAAAAAAAAAAAAAAAGACTACAAATGATAAGCAACATAGAATAGATATTTAAGGAAAGGCTTTAAAAAGAAAAATAAGACCAAAATAAACTAAGAAAAAAATTATTAAAGAACAAGGAGATGCCAGGGAGAAGACAAAGAGTATCAAAATCACTTCATAAAGACACTTGTGAATATATTACATGTATAAAACAAAACAATATGAATAAGAAATAATCAGAGAAGAAAAAGTTCTTAGAACTCATGCTCCATCTTGGGAGTTGGTCTCCAATGAGCCATACCTCCTGTCATCATGTCCTCAGACAGGCCCATCCCATAGTCAATCTGGGTTGGCCCCAACACTCACTTTAACCTATAGCATGTGGTAGAAATGACACTGGACCTGTTCCAGGTCTAAGCCTTAAGAACTCCTGGCAGCTCCATTTCTGTGCTTCTGGAAGCCAAAAATAAGAATTGGCTACCTTCTTGGAGAAAGAAAAGCCACATGAAGAGATCCGAGAGGATGAGATGCTATGCAGAGAGAAAGGCCACATCAAGAATCACCAAGGCAGCAGACCTGTGGGTAAAGAAGCCGTCTCAGACATTCCACTGCAGCTGAGCATCCAGATGACCAGTCCCTGACACTGTTTAACCACACAGTGAGAGCTGCCAAATGAGACCAGCAGAAAAACTGTCCAGCTAGCCCCAGGTAATCCATACAGTCGTGACAGATAGACAGATGTGTAGTTTTAGGCCATTAGGTTTTGGGATAATTGGTTAAGCAACAATAAATAACCAAAACAAAACTTAAAGTTATGACAGTCCAAATAAAATTTCCTGAAAGTCGAAAGATAAGAAAATATTCCAGAACTGAAAATTTAAAAAACATTTAGAAATAACGTGAGATATAAGACTCAAGACAAGAGGTCTAAAATCCAATTAACAGACACTTCCAAATGAACAAATAAAATGGAAAAGAGAAAGTTAACAACAAAAATATGACAAGATTCAAGACTCCAACTTTGAAAGAGCCTATCCATAGGCCTGTTCATTTGGTGTACCCAGCATAATGAATGAAAAAAGACCCACACTAAGTACACTGTTGTGCTATTTCAGCTCACCAAGGAAAAGACAAACTCCTAAAAGCTTCCAGGGAGAAAGTCATGCATAAACAAGTGAAACTCAGGATGGCATGAGGCTTCGCCACCACGACTGGTTAGAAGACAACAGCACAGACTTTGAAATTCTAAGGTAAAATTATCCTCAACCTAGAAATACGTAATCAAGCAAACTATCAATCAAGTGTGAGGGTAGAATATGAGAGACGTGAATACTGATGGGGATGTGATATGCAGCAGGCACTGTTCTAAATGGTTTACATGTACCAACCCAATTAAGAAACTTAAAATACACACGCGCACACACACACACACACACACACACACACAGTTTTTCCTGCTAATCATTTTACGATGAAACAGCCAAGTAGCTAACCCAGAGCCCACAAAGGCAGAGTAAAAATTCTAACACTTGGTAAAATAAAAATGCACATATACCCTGTGATCTAAAAAAAAAAAATGCTTAAATATTCAAAGACAGACAGCAATTACAGCTACTGAGAACATCACTGTAAGCAAACTGAGGCAGAGAAAACAAAGGTGCTAATGAGGATTTGAACCACCTAACATGCAGAAACCCACTGGATGCTTTCCTAGGTTCCGAGCTGGCATTGTCTTTCAGAATGATCTAGAAGAGGTCACATGACACTGTTACAAAGGATCTGGAGAAAGGGACCCTTGCTTTATCACTCCGGCTCTCCAGTCATGCTTCACATTTTCACTTCTTACACTCTTTCACATGAAGTCAATTTACAGACCTCCATCATGCCCTTAGAGACCTTTTTGTAATATTCTGACAAGTTCTGGATGTCATCTCTGCACTTTTGACAAATTCTTAGCAGTTAACGTACAAGGCAGTTAACATTTTTGTTCACGGTATAGCTAGAAAAGGGTCATATACTCAATAAAACAAATATTTACCAAGCATTCATTGAGTGGAAGATAAAACGCACAAAGCATAATTATAAAATATTCTCCCCTGCCATGATACAACAAAATTTTTAAAGGCTTACAGAATATAGCATAACATGACCAAAGCAAAAATAGTAAGGACTAAAGAGGGGAGGAAGGGAAAATATCAGCATGAACTGAATATGACCCAGAAGAGTCTTGATGGTCAGACATGTAAAGATGTATTGGGCAGGGTTAAGGGGTGGAAGTCAGGGGCACAGGTCAGGGGCACATTCTACAAGGGAAAAACAGCTGATACAGAAGCCTGAAAGGTAAAGTGGGCAGAGCACCTGTACAGGACTCTTACCTGCCACAGCGAGGGCACAATGCGCCTTTCCAGAACACAGCAGCGCGCAGCCAGGCCTGGGGCAGAGGGATCACTCAAACAGCACCAGAGGCTGCATTCCTACTTTTCTTCCGTCAACAAGTCCATTTTCGTTGTTAGTTTCTCCTTCAACACAAACTTAAAAACAAATGGCTGAACACGCAGGAACAAGGAAAACCTGACTGAAGAATGAGACGTTAAAACTTAAGGGCCTTGGGTCCTGGCACGGTGGCTCACGCCTGGAATCCCAGCACTTTGGGAGGCAGAGGTGGGTCATTTGAGGTCAGGAGTTCAAGACCAGCCTGGCCAACACGGTGAAACCCCGTCTCTACTAAAAACACAAAAGCTAGCCAGGCGTGGTGGCCGGCGCCTGTAATTTCAGCTACTCGGGAGGCTGAGGCAGGAGAATGACTTTAAGCAGCGGACTGTCAAGAGAGGTAGGCTGCAGTGAACCGAGATCGCGCCACTGCACTCCAGCCTGGGCTACACAGTGAGACTCTGTCTCAAAAAAAAAAAAAAAGAAGTCATGGTCATGGTAAAAAACCTATGGCTTTGGAAGGCTTTCTCGGTAACGTCCTAGAATTAAGGTTAAGCCTGCGTTTCATGTTAACTGAACAGGAAACCAGCCTGACCAACATCCTTCTGCCCGGTGGCTTGCTCTCAGCTCCTCTTCGTTGGGCCTTGGGCAGCCAGACTGTCTAGTTTTAATCCTTGCTCTGCCACCTGTGACCTTGGACAAGTTACCTACCTTCAGTTACCTCATCTACAAAATGCAGATATTAATAATACCCTCTTTTTAATTTATCCAGAGGATTAAAAGAGTTAATAAAAAGTAAAAAATAAAAAGACTTGGTAAGCATAGGCACAGAGGAAAAAAAAGTAAAAATAAATAATTAAATAAAAAGACCAGTGCCTAGCACATAAAAGTTCATCAGGAATTAATTCTATAATATGAACTCAATTTTGCAAAACTTCAAAGTACGTACAACTTTTAACTTACTAGGGTATACATACCAGTAATAAATTCACAACGGTAGACATGTTTGCCTACTGTAAATATAACAAAGACTAAACAAGCAGATACTAAATCATTAAGCAATTATCAGTTAGTATCTTTAATTTTCTTATACTTCTATATTTTCTATAGATCATCTTTGTAACAAGAAGAAAACCAACCAAATGAAAATGAAATGAATTCTCTCAAAAAGAATTAAGTCAAGACAGGAAGAAGGCTCGCAAAGTAATATAAAATATATCTTATGGTTTATGTAAAATTCTTAATAAAATACCTTCTTTGCTCCAAGCTGCACTCTGGCTTTGCCTTTGAGTCAGGTGGCATTTCTTTGCACGATGACTGGTTCTATTGAGTAGGCACTGCTTCAGCCCTACAGGAAGAACAAAACCTCTCTGGAACACAGCAGCATTCCTGACTCCCACTTGAGGAGGCCTAACAAAACGGCATATGCCTCAACAGCAGCAGATCAGTGTTAAAAAGTCTGGAGTCAAGGGGAAAAAGTAAAATTGGACCATTTCCAAAATCTCACAAAAAGCAACAAACTGACGTTCTAAGTGCCCAACATGAGCAAATTAGAACCTTAAATAAAGGTCACTCTTAATGCCTATCCCAGCATAGATGCAGCACCAAGTACAGTGTCATTTTACTGGTTTACCTTTTTCATTCTTGAAAGTAGGAGCTATGAAAAAAAAACACTAAAATTTCTCTAAGAGAACCTTCTACTTTCTGTCTAACTTACATAATCAAAACACTCTATTGAGGGTGAAAATTGAATATTATAAGAAAATAATCACGTGTTTTGCGAGAAGTTGCAAATATAATGCTCCTCCACCCAATACCTACCTTAAAAAGAAAAAAGGAAACATACAAAATTATCTCGAGAATTATTCCTGCTTAAACAATGTCTACGTGCCATTACTAAGAAAGTATGCACACAGTAAAGATGAGAAGAGAACATGCAAGCGTGAACATACTTGTTAGGGATATAGGACTATGGGTAATTTAAACATTTTAATGGTATTACTCTCATGTAATTGCTCTGAAATTCTAGTCAGTTGTTTGAAATGGCTCTTAGAACAGAATACTTTGACATTTTTATGATGTCAAAAACTAAGAACTTAGCCCTAAATATTCCAAAGAATAGGTGCAGAAGAACCCGTTTCCTTAAACGGCATTTGAGTATTCTTCACAACTCAAACTTTCTCTCCCATCCTGTGATGGCCGAGAGTTTTTCCTCTGACGACCGCACTGACCTTACCCTATCCAAAATATGAACATCTGCATGGTTTCCTGGTTCAAATTGTTTTTATCCATTCTGTCGTGAGAATCAAATGGTTCAGACCATGCAGCACCTCTCTGGGACTTCTCAAGTCCTTTCTAGATCTGAAGACTATTCTCTGAACCAAAGACAACTTCTGGGGGTGTACCAAATCTCCCTTTAGAAAATTATTAAGATCAAGATGTTTTAACCTTTTAACTCTTTCTCAAACAAAATAAATTCGTTTCTCCTTTACTGTTATTTTAAATTTCAAAATACACAGATAGTATGTCTAAAATAAAATCAAGAGAATGACAGTTTTAGAACACAAACTGTGGTAATTTTGAAAACACAAAAGCTAAGACCACTAATTAGGTCTATGTGGACACCAAGTCCACCACAACCTGTTCTGTCCTCCGGGGCTCTGCCCACGCCTTTCCCTTGCCTGAGATTCCTTCTGCTTCCTACCCTTCCAAATGCTGTATTTCCCCCTGGAAGACTTGCCAAGACCACTCTAACCTGCACATCTCCCATTCCAGCTAACCAAAGGCATCCTTGGGTTGACTAAACCAAGTTATTTTGCAGACAAGGCATCTAAACACTTCCACTGTAGACTATTCACCTTAATAATTGTTATTGTGACATTATTCAATAATAAAATGAGGGAAAGAAGTCCTCTTCAATCCCTTATCCTGGAGAACCCAAGCAAGTGTCTTTCCCACTTGCTTTGCCCAAACCCTGGGACCTTTCTAAGTAAAAGTTTAATGGAAGGGAAAGAAAATCTAAAAGAAAAACTCTCCAAGAAATTAAACTCGGGCAAAGATTCATGGGATTAAAAATTTTTATTCTTTGTGTATTTGATTTCCGAAACATAGAAATCTCTCTCCCACTCCTTAAACCTGCCACTGGGCTAAGAGAGTATTGTACAGAATATGCACTCACTGACTTAACAGAATTAGAACATCCAGGCACTCACTGAGATTTTGCTTCCACAACCGCTCAAAGTCTAGTCATTAGTTCATGAGTTAACACCACACTTGACCTTCAAGTTTTGGAAATGCTGACGGTAGACAGGGACTTGTTTTGGGAAAGGAAGTACACAGTAGACATTGTTACCCATGACCCAACCACCACCACCTTTCCTTTAAAGAACCCCACTCTTCCTTTAAGGTTGCAGAGTCTCAGAAAGTGGGAAGAAAGGAAGTTTTTGCATTTTCAGGTCAAAACGAAGTACATTTGTGCAACCACATAATGCCCATGCAAAGGTTTCTTGAAATCTAAACACAAGACAGAAGTAGTTCTAGCACCTCCACAAAAAGTAAGGTAAGTAAACTTTTCCTTAATATACACTTTCAGCAGCATCAACACCTAAAAGTGGTTGACTTTACTACTGTACTAAATTAAATTACATTCATTTTGTCAATAGGTGTTCCAAATTCGTACTGATCTTTGTCTCCAAGGGGTTCCTGCTGAATATTGAGACAGTTGAAGATTACTAGGGGAAAAAATTCTTAATAATCGAAGTAAGGATCATCTAAGGATAATATGCCACATATACAGACACAGTCACATTTTCAGCTTTACAAAAGTTCAGTTATCAAAGTTGTACAGCAAACACTATCCTAAGCTTAGCGTCTTCAGGCATTTGATTTATAATCACTGTAAAGAAAAATCAGTCACAAAATGCCACTGTTGTATGATTCTATTTATATGAAATGCCCAGGATAGGCAAATCTACAGAGATAGAAGTTAGATCAGAGGTTGCCAGGATCAATGGTGGGGGAGAGAGCTACAGGGAGTGACTGCTAGTGGGTACGGGGTTCTTTTTGGGGAGATGAAAATGTTCTGAAATTAGGGAGTGGTAATGGCTGCATAACTCTGAATATACTAAAAACCACTGAACTGTACACTTGAAGGGTGAGGCTTATCATACAAAAACTGTATCACAATAAAGCTCTTAGTTTAAAAAATGTTTGTCTATGTCAAGAAACAAAGAAATAGGGTCATAGCTAGAAGATATGGGATATAAAATACTGGAACAAAACTGCTTAATAATATATCTAGAATCACACAATGCTTAGTCTTTACGCTGACTAAAATCACGAGATTTGTGTTTTATCGGTATTTCACATTTTTTACTTCTTCTAAGTCAGCCAGTAATTCCTCCTTCTCACTTAATCGTTGACTACAAAGACCAAGCCATTTTGACTCTGCCACCGATGAGCTTTCACATTTCTTTCCTCCTTCCATTCCCATGACTACCAAACCAGTGCAGGTTCTCCTCACTTCACTCTAAGACAACAGCGTGGCCCTCAAATACTGTCACACTCTTCAAGGCTCTGTGAGCACAATCTGTCTCATATTCTCTTCTGCTGTCACCAGATTTATTCTAAGACCGTTTCTTCACTGTTACTCCCCTGTTTCTCAACCAGTTACACAGAAAGACGAATATCCAGGCATGGTGTCATGTGCCTGTAGTCCCAGCTACTCAGGAGGCTGAGGCGGCAGGATCGCTTGAGAATGTGAGATTCAGACTGCAGTGAGCCATGATCATGCCACCGCACTCCAGCCTGGGCAACAGAGTGAGATTGTCTCAATAAATAAATAAGTAAATAAATAAATAAATAAATGAATAAATAAATGTGGTCTATCCATGCAACGGAATACTATAAAATTATCAGCCTTAAAAAAGAAAGAAGCCCTGTCACATGCTGCAATATAGATGAACCTTGAAAACATTACACTAATTGAAATCAGCCCATCACACAAAGACAAATGCTGTACAATTTCTCTTACATTAGGTTCGAAATTAGTCAAACTCATAGAAACAGAAAATAGAGCGGTTGTTTCCATAAGCCAGGGGATAGAGAAATGGGGAGTTGTTGTATAGTGGCTATAGTTTCAGTTCTCCAAGAGAAGCAAGTTCTAGAAACTCGTTACTCAACATGTATATTTTTAACACTACTGCACTGTATACTTACAAGTGGCTAATATGGTAAATTTTATGTTGTGCCTTATCACCATAATGTTTTTAAAAGAAGGGGTTTGTGTTTCCCTTCGTTGTGATCACCCATTTTTCACTTCAGCATTTTGAACTTGAGATTTCCTGTAGCGGTTTTACTGAGCCCTGCAGTTACCGGCTCAGAATGTCTCCACCGCCTTGTAACCTTGTAGGCAGACACTTTTCAGCATCTTATTGGGCTCCGTGTGCTTGATGCTTAAAGTGACATGGAGACATGCCACTTGCTGAGAAGCAAAGAAAGGCAAAAGGTGACTGCTTTCCTGGCATCGATGAAGGCAGAGAGAAGGGATCTTGGAGGCACAGATATTAAGCCATAAGCAATAACATGGGTTGCCAAAAAGAGAACTAACCCCTCTCCTGGTAACATTTCCAGGTGTTTTTCACAGGGCCAGTGGATTTCACAATGTGAGTGCTGTCCAGCACCAAAGGGAATGGCCAACAGGCATGGAGCAGCCTACAGCGTCCAGCACCCAGTAGGATGGCCAGGAGGCACGGAGCAGCCTGCCTGTCCCAGGAAAGCAGGAGTCACAGGACACAACTGGACCCAGGTAGGCATGTATGTTACTTTCCTGTGGCTGTTAGAGCAAATTACCAAAAATGTGGTGACTTAAAACAACAGAAATTTATTTTCTCACAGTTTTGGATATCAGAAGTCCAAAATCAGTATCACTGGGCTGAAATCTAGGTCTCAGCAGAGCCAGTGCTCTCAGAGGCTGAGGGGAAAATCCATCCTTTGACTTGCGCAGCTTCTGATGGCTGCTGGCATTCATTGGCTTGCAGCTCCACCACTCCAGGCTCTGCCTTCTTGGTCACAGGGCCTCCTTCTCTTCTGTCTGAAGTTAAATCTCCTTTATCTCCCTCTTATAAGGATATATGTGCCAGGATTTAATGCCCACGGAGACAATCCAGGATAATCTCTCCTCAAGATCCTTAACTTAATCATACCTGAAAATATGCTTTTTCCAAATGAGGTAACATCTACAGGTTCTAGGAGTTCCAGACCAGCCTGGACGACATGGTGAAACACGGTCTTTTTTTTTTTTTTTTTTTTTTTTTTGAGCGGAGTTTCGCTCTTGTTTTCCAGGCTAGAGTGTTTTCCGGTCTCGACTCACCGCGGCCTCCACCTCCCGGTCAGGTGGTTCTCCTGCCTAAGCCTCCTGAGTGGCTGGGATTGCAGGCATGAGCCACCATGCCAGCTAATTTTGGTGGTTTTTTTTTTGTACAGACGGGGTTTCTCCGTGTTGGCCGGGCTGATCTCAAGCTCCTGACCTCGGGTGATCCGCCCGCCTCCGCCTCCCTGGGTGCTGGGATTGCAGGCGTGAGCCACCGCGCCCCCGGTCCAATTTAGTAACCAGAAAGGAATAGATCGGCCTGGCGTGGTAGCTCATGCTTGTGATCCCAGTACTGTGGACGGCCGAGCGCGGCGATCGATTGAGCCTAGGACTTCCAGACCGGCCTGGGCAACGTGGTGAAACACTGTCTTTTTTTTTTTTTTTTTTGAGTGGAGTTTCGCTCGTTTTGCAGGCTGGAGTGCAGTGGCGTGGTCTCGACTCACCGCGGCCTCCACCTCCCGGGTTTAGGTGGTTCTCCTGCCTCAGCCTCCTGAGTGTCTGGGATTGCAGGCATGAGCCACCATGCCAGCTAATTTTGGTTTTATTTTTTTGGTACAGACGGGGTTTCTCCGTGTTGGTCGGGCTGATCTCGAGCTCCTGACCTCGAGTGATACGCCCGCCTCCGCCTCCCTGGGTGCTGGGATTGCAGGCGTGAGCCACCGCGCCCCCGGTCCAATTTAGTAACCAGAAAGGAATAGATCGGCCTGGCGTGGTGCCTCCCCCTTGTGATCCCAGGACTTTGGAAGGCCGAGTGTGGCAGATCGCTTGAGCCTAGGAGTTCCAGACCGCCTGGGCAACATGGTGAAACCCGGTCTCTGTTTTGAGACGGAGTTTCAGCCTTGTTGTCCAGGCTGGAGTGCAATGGTGTGATCTTTGCCCACCGCAACCTCGGCCTCCCGGATTTAGGTGATTCTCCTGCCTGGGCCTCCCTAGTAGCTGGGATTACAGGCATGAGCCACCATATCCGGCTAATTTTGTAGTTTTTTTCTTTTTTTTAGTAGAGACGGGATTTCTTCATGTTGGTCAGGCTGGTCTCCGACCTCGGGTGATCCGCCCACCTCTGCCTTCCAAAGTGCTGGGATTGCAGGCCTGAGCCACTGCGCCCGACGGAAACCCAGAACGGAAAACAAAACAAAAACCACAAAGATTAGCCGGGTGTGGTGGGCCGCGCAGGTAGTCCCAGCTACTCTGAAGGCTGATGGAGGAGGATTGCTTCACCCCGGCTTCTAGGTGGCAGTGAGCTATGATGGCGCTGCTGCACTCCAGACTGGGCGACAGAGCGGGACTCTGTGGCAGGAAAAGGGAAAGGAAAAAAAAAAGAAAAAGAATGTAAATAAAATTGCTAACTCAAGGAACAGCTTGACAGTATATTATTGCGACAAATAGAGGCAAAGGTTAGCAGACACCAGTGTTCACTTAGTGGGACCTGCGGGTGTTCCCCCCATAGGAGGCTGCTACTTTCCCACAAGAAATCCATTACTGACTACCGATAAAAGAACACATCGTTGGTTTCTTACAATATACAAATAGCTAAACTTTATATAGCCACAACCCTCTTCTAGCACTGCTCTAAGCCTTTTCCTGCTCTGAAATAGCTACTATTGTTACCTCCATTGTAGAGAAAACAGGTGCCGGAGGCTGTTGTGGAAGGCCCAGGGAAACTGACTATGAAATTGACTTGTTGTAAGTTTCAGACTTAAAAGTTCTTCCTGCTCTGCGCCTTACATTGCTACATTTTAGTTAAGGTACCTCTTACAATACTGGTCCTTTCTGTATTTGGAGGGACTTCTCTTGCAAATTGAAGTTTTTTCTTGCGCTAAGCATTTGGTCATGAGATTATCTGCGTTTTACATCAGTTTAAATACCTCTTTAGACATTGTTCAGTTAGAAATGTAAATAGGAGCTAACATTGTGTGTAAAAGGAAAGAACATCTGATTACAACCACTTTTGTTTCATAATACAAATATAAATCAATATGTTATTGGAAATGCAGGCTGGGAGGGGAGGGAAAATATGCATAGAGAAAAGCCCCATCTCTGCTTGGAGTTCAGCACTGGGTCTCTTTTTCCTTTCCACCTTCCTTGTCAAGGCTGCCACAGTGACAAGCACACAGGGGTGCCTTTAGTGACACCTGCTGTGACAGACCTGGCAGAACGGATTGCAGATTTGCATGTTTCCTGGCTGCCTCTGCTAGCCTGAGTCAGCAGCCCACTCCAATTCATGCTGAGCTTAGACAGCTCAGGTTTGCAAAATTATCCCTTCCCTTGGAGCAACCGCTTTCCAGTCTCTTCATCATTCCTAAAGGAGAATGACATACATGCCAGCATGACAGAGGTCCAGAAATTTATAGAAGCTTCATTGTGAGCCTATATCCTTAACAGGGGTTCAAACTACCAACACCGAATGAAGAGAGAGGTTTTGCAGTAAAGCAGGAAGTCATTAAAATAATGAATCACCCAGCTAGGTTTTGAGCTCCTTTCCCACCAATTTAATGGAAAGTTTTATTGTCTTTACAATGTACACTTTCATAAATTTTGCATAAATTTATTATTCACATCTTAACATAGGTAACTCCTTAGTGTTTGATCACTGAGCAAATTATATGCAGCAAAACAATCCTATATTTTGGTGAACTCATAGCTTAGAAAATACTAAAGACTCATTGTAAACTGAGGGCAGCATTAAGCAAATTATATTTACCTTTGTGACTGCAAAACTTAATGATTCAATGCTTTTCCCATGAAATTTATCTTCCAATACTGATAGTTTTTTAAACAAAAAATATGAATTAAATATCAATTAAAATTTTATCATTGTTTTCAGAAACTGTGACTTCACTAGTTATGAACAGACTTGAAATGTATAGTTTTTAAGTTTGGAAATTCTTTGTAGTCTCATTTACTTTTCCAGGAAGGAAGTGAGATATTTTTTGCCACTGTTGCCTGGTTTTTGTTTGTTTTTTGATCATAAACAAAACTTAATGGAGCCTCAAATCTACTAACTCGGTCCTCCTCTGGCAATATGCCTTTTTCTGATTTCTAGATATCACTTGATATTTTTTAACACACTAATTTTATTATTTAAAAATTTATAAAAGTACTCAGAAGTAAGAGGCAAATTAAATTTGAAACCTTAGTGGTAATACCATCATCCAAAGTCATCATCAATAATATTTTGGCATATTTTATTTTAAAATACATTTCAGCACAGTTTAGTTATATTTGTTATATCTGTATCAATAAACTGTTTTCATATGTCATTACTTTTATGGATATAATTTTTGACGTGCGACTAATATGAAATCTTATATACTTGCTATAGTTGACCTTGTGAGACATTTAGATTTTCAACTGTTTAGTACTTTAATAACCAGTTTTTTTTCTAATATCATTATTAGAATAATAATATTACTATAGTATTATTATTATTGTAGCAATAACTTGTTTTTAGAATAAATATCCTATTTCTCATTTAACTTGATCGGATCCGTGCATGGACAATTATGTTGGGAACATAGAATGTAACTGGCCCTGTTTCAACCCCTTAGATGTGGCCCTCAGTTCAGGGAAGGGAGGAGTTCTCTACTGGGCTGATAAAGCAGAATTCAGAAACATTGTTTTCTTCTCTACCTGGTGTCTTACAAAACCAGAAGATGTGAGTGTGACTCGTAAAGGCAAGAGCATGTATATTATGCAAAAGCAGCCTGAAATATTTTATTCACAGACAGACAGACAATGCTTGACTCCCTGCTAATCTGAAATACTTCGTGGGGAGGGCCAGGGAAATCAAAACAAAATTTCAGAAGTAGAATGAGCTATTTGGTGTATGTCTCCAAGGCCAATAAATAACAAGAAGGAAAAATAAATTTCTTTGCTAACAACAAGAAGGAGAAATAAACTTTTTTGCTCTAAAATATTTTCCAATTATCTCCACGACACTGGAGGGAAGGACTAACAAAAAAAAAAAAAAAAAAGAAAGAAAGAAAGAAAAAAAAAAAGAAAAGAAATAAAAGGTGGGGCATGGTGGCTCATGCCTGTAATCCCAGCACTTTGGGAGGCCAAGGCGGGTGGATCACAAGGTCAGGAGATCGAGACCATCCTGGCCAACATGGTGAAACCTGGCTCTACTAAAAATACACAAAATTAGCCGCAGGCACCTGTACTCCCAGCTACTTGGGAGGCTGAGGCAGGAGAATGGCATGAACCCGGGAGGCAGAGCTTGCAGTGAGCCGAGATGGCGCCACTGCACTCCAGCCTGGGGGACAGAGCGAGACTCCATCTCAAAAAAAAAAAAAAAAAAAAAATTAACCATCACAGAGGAGCAGAGAAAAACCTTCTCAAAGACAGAAGTCATTGATTTATTTCCATCCCGGCACAAGCCCCTTAATTCTGTAACTTGTCCAGAATGGTTTCCTGTCACTGTAGATTCTGCATCAGAACATCCTCTTATGCAAAGCTAAAAAACTCCAAACCACCTCTGTTAACTGTGCGGTGCTCCATGGTTTCACACAGTCCAGAGCTGCTTGTGTTTATCAAAAATGAAGCTGAAAACAAAATTCTTCCTTCACACAACCACTGCATTCCATTGCACATTTACCAAAGACATTTACCACGTTGGCATTATTTGTGCATCCATCAAGAAGTGCTGAAAAGCATTCCCCTCACACACTGCATGTGTCCTGTGAGTGGATCTTCCATTTTACTTGCCAGTTCTGGAAAACTTTGAATTTGTGTGTCGATGGAAAATTAAAGTTTAGTGGCATCTTTGCCCCACATTCACCCAACTTTTCTAAGGAACTATTTCAATGCTACTTTTCACTAGTGTCACTTTTCAGTCTTAGCCTCCTGGAGTACAACTTTATTAGAAGCCCGCAAAGCACTAGTGTTAAAATGAGAAATAGTAAACATCTGATTCTGTTGTGTTTTAACTCCATGCTTTTCTCTAATGTTTCATTGTTTTGAATTTAATTCTTTGTGCTTCCCACGTGAATGCAACTTACAGTTTGAATGTCTTCTTTCTTCACTAGCCGATGCATCTGTGCCAGTAACACATGGTGATTCTGTCCTTTCACCTTCAGTTATGCCTGTAAAACCAAATTCAAGACAGATGATCCTCAACTCACAAAGGAGTTATAGCTCATCATCAGTTGAAAATATAAGCCGAAAATGCATTTAAGGCCGGGTGCAGTGGCTCAGCCTGTAATCCCAACTCTTTGGGAGGCTGAGGCGGGTGGATCACCTGAGGTCGGGAGTTAGAGACCAGCCTGGCCAACATGGGGAAACCCTGTCTCTACTAAAAATACAAAAATTAGCCAGGCATGTTGGTGCGCACCTGTAATCCCAGCTACTGGGAAGGCTGAGGCAAGAAAATCGCTTGAACCCAAGAGGCAGAGGTCGCAGTGAGCCGAGATCATGCCATTGCACTCCAGCCTGGGTGACAAGAACAAAACACACTGTCTCAAAACATTAAATTAAATTAAATTAAATTAAAATGCATTTAATACACCTAAGCTAACATCATAGCTTAGCCTAGCTTACCTTAAACATTCTCAGAAAATTTACATTCACCTTCCATTGGGCAAAAATTCTCTCTCACAAACCCACTTTAAAGTGTTGAATATCTCATGTAATTTATTGAATACTGAAGTATGGTTTCTGCTGAATGCGTATCACTTTCACACCATCATAAAGTCAAAAAATTATAAGTCAAACCATTGTATGTCAGGGATCATCTGTCCATTAGAAATAGTACTTCTGAGTAAAACGAGGACAAACTCCTTTGGTCTTCATGTCCTCAGAATCACTTTCATAATCATCTCTTGGTTTACAAGGTGCATCTTTTATTGGTTAAAAAAATTAATACAATTTATTTCACTCTCAAATTAGGTTTAATAATAAATAACACAACTTTCTTTTGTTTTCACTAATAATGCTAACATTGGCTTGATTTAAAATTAAAATTATTGCAAAAATAAGACTTTATAGAATAGATGTTCCCATTTTTCAGATGTGTGAGATTATACTATAGTTGACAAACTAACCTTAAAGAACACAGCTTGCAATGTGGTCCTTGTGTATGTGACTCGTTTGCAGCTCACAGCCTCTGCATCTTTCCATCGAGTCTGACAAAACCTGAGTTGGTCTGTAACTGCTCATTGAGACAAGTCCCCTGATGTCACATACAGATGCTGGGAGAATGTCAAGTTTCTATAGAAATTTCTAAACATTTACCCTGAATTTCTATGTTTCTGTCATTACATAGAGATGACAGAGTGTTGACAGACTTTGAGTGGTCTTTAGTAACCAATTGTTGAAAGTCTGGTTTAGCTAAACTAGTTTGTAAGTACCTTGGCAGGTGCCTTTGCTGTAGGAATTCTCAGAGTCTCTATAAACTAATGAGCATTGGAAATCTGCAGGGGGGAAACAGAGTATGCAGTATCCCCCATGATGATTCAACCCCAGATTTTATTTTTCACTGAGCATCTCACACTTAGTAGTGTATCTTTTCTATGCATTGGGCACTGGGAGACGACGTGTAGTCATCTCAACAGAGACCTGGCCTTCAGACGCCACCACTCACTGCCGCTCTGTCCAGGCGAGCATCAACTTGCACTGTTTCAGAAGCAAAAGGAAAATGAACCGCAGCCACTGAAGTCCCTCAGAACTGAGGAAAAGTTATTGACTTTCCTGATTTGTGTTCAATCTGGCTGGCCATGGGTACAGACACAGCTGGTTTCCCCATTTGTGAGCTGGACGGATTTAATTCCTGGCTGTTTGAATGATGTATCCCCTCATCAGTGAAACCAACAGAGTAGCTCAACTTAATTTTCTCTTTCTATGGCATGCCATTTATACCCATTCAATTATGCCTGTGTCAATTAAGTCAAACATTCTTACTGTCTCTATTTCTAATAAAAAGTGGTAAACACTCGAAAACCCCTTTCATAAATAGGCATGTATAAAAGCAATGTTCTTAATAAAAATGTTGGACTTAATAAAAGTATTTTAAAAAACAGTAGGAACCATAGTATAATAAAGGCCTTGGCCGGGCGTGGTGGCTCACACCTGTAATCCTAGCACGTTGGGAGGCTGAGGCGGGCAGATCACGAGATCAGGAGATGGAGACCATCCTGGCTAACACGGTGAAACCCCATCTCTACTAAAAACACAAAAAATTAGCTGGGCGTGGTGGCAGGTGCCTGTGGTCCCAGCTACTCGGGAGGCTGAGGCAGGACAATGCTGTGAACCCAGGAGGGGGAGTTTGCAGTGAACAGAGATTGTACCACTGAACTTCAGCCTGGGCGACAGAACGAGACTCCGTCTCAAAAAAAAAAAAAAAAAAATATATATATATATATATATATATATATATATATATATAAAGGCCTCATTTTGCAGGTGAGGACACTGAAGATTATAGGAGAAAGAAGGGCTTCATGCAAAACCACGTTCCTGATTGTTGGCAGAACCAAGCCGCCAACCTGGAACTCAAGTTTCTCTACTTATAGTAGACGCTCAAAGAATTATAATACTTTATAACAACGTCATAATCATTTGACGTTTCTAAGCTGGTCATGTTTTCTTTCATGTGTACTTCTCCCCTCTCAACAATTACCGTGCCCTTGGCAATTTAATAAAGCAGGATAATATTCAACTCAGTGACCTACAGCTTGACAAGCATCTCCTGCTCCCAGAAAACAGAAGGTGTTGCTGTCAAACTAATACTAAATAATAATTTTCTGTAGTCCTAGAGCCTCTGGACTTCCCAATTACACGGCCAATAAACCCCCTCATTGTCTGAGCCAGTCTGAGCTGGGCAGCCTGACTGAAGTCTGGAACATCCTAACTGGCACAAAGGCCCTTAAGATGACCCCAAGCCACCTGTCTGGCTTTCTCTCTTGTCACTTCCTTCTACATCCTCTCTGCAATAACCAAATTAGATTACTCACCATTCTCCACACTGCCTTGTGATTTTCTTTCTTTTTTTTTTTTTTTGATGAAGTTTTATTCTTGTTGCCCAGGCTGGAGTGCAGTGGTGTGATCTCAGCTCACTGCAATCTCTGCCTCCTGGGTTCAAGTGATTCTCCTGCCTCAGCCTCCCGAGTAGCTGGAATTACAGGTGCCCAGCATCATGCCCAGCTAATTTTTGTATTTTTAGGAGAGACAGGGTTTCACCATGTGGGCCAGGCTAGTCTCCAACTCCTGACTTCCGGCGATCCACCTGCCTCGGCCTCCCAAAGTGGATTTTCTTTTTTTACCCATGCACTTGCCCAAGCTGACTTTCTGGCTCAAACCTTTCCCCTGGCCTTGCATCCTCTCTATCCATCTGCCCAAACCTCCCTCACTCTCCAAAGTCTCATTTCAAATGTTGCCTTTCCCTGAAGCTTCTCCCGGAATGACCCATCTCTCCCTCCTCATTCTGATCATTTCCTCTTTGAATTCCCGTAGCGTTAGGTATGCCCTCCTCTTCCAGCACTGAATCCAGCCTTGCCTCGCATTAGAGTCATTTGTACACCTGACCTTAATCCCCCTGAGGGCAGGGATAGTTTGTGTTTATCCCAAAGTCCTGAAACAACTAGTACAGAACCTGAGACACAGGAAGGCCCCAGAATTGCCTGCCGAATAGAACAGTGATAGTGCTGAATTTGGTTCCTCCTTTAACCTGTGTGACCCCAGACGTTTGTTTTCTATGAAGCCTCAAAACATGGTTATGTTTCCTAATTTACAACGAACACATGGAAACCCATGTTTTGAAAACGGGGGTGGGGAGGATGAACTGAAGGCAGCCTCTTCAGCCAAGTTCCAAAGGCCAGGTGGCCCACTGTGAACCTTGTTTAACCACACAGAACATATGAATAGCTACAACAAGGGATCTAACAGTTACCAGAATGTTTTCAGAAAGGTGACTTCAGAAGTGCCAAGCTTCAGGAAGACCTGGACTGAGAAGGGATCAGACAACTTTAGGAAAGCAGGTACCAAACAGCCCTTTTACAGTTTACACACAGGCCTTGGTGTCAGAAAAATACTGGTTTGAGTACTGGTTATGCATCAGAGATGCCACTCTGGACAAGCTCCTTATGCTCTCTGGGACTCTGCTTTCTCATCTAAAAAATGGGGATCACCTGAGGTCAGGAGTTTGAGACCAGCCTGGCCAACATGGCAAAACCCCATGCCTGCTAAAAATACAAAAATTAGATGGGTGTGGTGGCTCGCACCTGTACTTGCAGCTACTTGGGAAGCGGAGGCAGGAGAATTGCTTGAACCTGGGAGGCAGAGGTTGCAGTGAGCTGAGATCGCACCACTGCACTCCAGCCTGGGCAACAGAGTGAGACTCTGTCTCAAAAAACGGGGCGGGGGGTGGTGGATAATAATAGTGCCTACCTCAAGAGGTTGCTGTGAACACCAGAAGAAGCAATACACACCAAGTGCCTACAGATAGTAAGCACTTGGTAAAAATGTAACTGCCATTAACAATAAATATGATGCTCACAGGGTCAGTGGAAAAAGTAGTGGAAAGTAGGAGTGGTGGGAACAGAACAGGAGGGAACAAAGCACCTCTGAGTAGACCTTTCTGTATAGCTCCGACTCTTATTATGTTTCACCCTAATAATTCATTAAAACTAGGATAGGAAGGCTGAGGGTGTTTTTGGAATACAAACACTAATGAACCAAACTGCATTATAAATAGTGGCCACACTGAAAGGGATGAAGAAGAAAATAACTAATTTTGGAAAACAGTATTTTGACTGGATACTGTAAGGCAAGCTTGTCCAACATGCAGCCCAGGATGGCTTTGCATGTGGCCCAAAACCAATTAGTAAACTTTCTTAAAACATTATGAAATTTTTTTGTGATTTTTTTTTTAGCTCATCAGCTATTGTTAGTGTTAGTGTATTTTTATGTGTGGCCCAAGACAATTCTTCTTTTTCCAGTGTGACCCAGGGAAGCCAAAAGTTTGGCCACCCCTGCTGTAAGGCTTAGGACAAAAATATTTCTCCACAAACAATGGACTCCAGTTAATCAATCTGTCACAGGCATATGGAACTACTTTATGATACTAGGGTCAAACAAATAAGTGAATAAAGTGTACATAACAAGAGCCACACTTCCCACTGTTGAAAAGGCTAAAAAGAAGGAAGAGGGGGAGGCTAGGATGAAATCTGTGCTTGGATTAAAGCGGAAACATTCGTTATCAACTCATGTTTATTTTAATATGTATACAGACAGATACAGAAACAGATGTAGATGTGTGTATATGTGTGGTTAGTATGCATGTTTTATTTCCTAATCCTATCCACTGGGAGGACCTACAAAAAAATTTACAAATTTTTTATATGACACTCCAATAGAAATCGGCATGCCTAGTACCACATCCTGGTTTCTAACAGCATTCTCCAATATCAGAACCAGGGCTCCTTGAAGTAATGGCTGATTCTGGGTCAGGGTAGAGAAAACACAAGATGAGCCTTGTAGTGCCAGAGTGTATTGTAGTGCCAGAAAATAGACACACTCAAAAAAGGGTAGTGGCATAACAAGAGGACACGGGGCGATCGGAAGATGCGGGGCAAAAAGTTCCAGGCAGAGGAAAAAATTTCCAAGTTTGACAGAGGGCAAAAATTTCCAGCCACATGAAAAATAATCAAACCTTTGACTTATGTTCAGAGCTCTCAGATATTGCCATCATTAAAGGAACAGAAAAAAATGTTGGGAAAGGAAGTTCTACTGAAAAGCTACCAAGTTTGAATGTCACTTCACTCATGAATCATGATGAGAAAGTCCATTATGAAGTACATCCATATTGTGTAAAGAGAAAACTTGAAACTTTCTTTCTTTCTGTTTGTTTGTTTGTTTGTTTTTGAGACAGAGCCTCACTCTGTTGCGCAGGCTGGAGTACAGTGAAACAATTTTGGCTCACTGCAACCTCCACCTCCCGAGTTCTAGAGATTCTCCTGCCTCAGCCTCCTGAGTAACTGGGATTACAGGCACCCACCACCACACCTGGGTAATTTTTGTGTGTTTTTTTTTTAGTACAGATGAGGTTTCATCATTTTGGCCAGGCTCGTCTCCAACTCCTAACCTCAGGTGATCTTCCTGCCTCAGCCTCCCAAAGTGCTGGGGTTATAGGCATAAGCCATCTCACCTAGCTGATTTATTTCTATTATAGGTTGAATTACATACATTTCTGATGCTATGCCACTGCACTCCACTGCACTCCATAACCTTAAAAAAATGGCAATTTCATATGTATTAGCCTAACACATTACCTAGGGTCTCCAGTGCCATGTTCAGTAGATACAGCGATAGAAGGTACCCTTGTCTATGTCCTAACTTTGACGAAAAGCACTTCTAAAATTTTACTATTAAGTATGATAATTGCTTTACATTAAGGAAGATAGGGCCGGGTGTGGTGGCGCACAGCTGTAACCTCAGCACTTTGGAAGGCTGTGGGGAGGATTGCTTGAGCTGGGGAGGTGGAGGTTGCAGTGAGCCAAGATGTTGACACTACACCCCAGCCTGGGTGACAGTGAGACCTTGTCTTAAAAAAAAAGGAAGCTAGCTTGCTAATAGTGCATTATCTGATGTTGACTCTGCCCTTGCATTATTGTAATAAAACCTAATTCACCATGATGCATTATTTGTGTGTGTGTACATTGCTGTATTCAACTTGGTATTATTTTACTTAAAGTTTTGGAATTCATGTTCCTAAAAGTTAATAATAGTTAACATCTATTTGGTTTTCTATGTTCTGGGTCTTGTTAAGTTACTTTCCTTGAATTATTTCATTTCATCCTAGAAGGCTTATTGTAAAGGTTATTTCCCCCTTTATCAATGAGGAAGTGAAGGCCCAGTGAAGGCAAGTCATTTTCCCTAAGGTCACAGGGAGGATAAGTAGTGGCAGCAGGAATACAAATCCGGATTTCCTGGCTCCAGAGGCCAAGCACTAAGCACTGCCCTGTGCCCTCTCCCTGTGACAAAGACTCGTCATTCAGACTGTTCCATCGTGAACTTTCCTTGGACATCCTTTTGTGCCAAGCTTTGTACCAAGATTATATTATTCTTGATAGATAATTAAATAGCTCTTTTTCTTTTATTAAAAAAACTTGTCAAACTTTTATAAAAACCTATTTAATCCTATTACCTTTGCTAGCCTGACGTTGACAGTTTTGCAGTGGCCTACAGGTTTTACAGCATGTGCAAGCTCCTGTCCTGGGGATACTGGGAAGGTATACATCCCATAAAGCCAGGGATACAGACCACAGAGCAGCAGCAGACTCCCCCACCCTCCAGCACCCTTGGTTGTTTTTTGTTTTGTTTTATTTTGTTCTGTTTTTTTGAGATGAAGTCTCGCTCTTTTCGCCCAGGCTGGAGTGTAGTGGTGTGATCTCAGCTCACCGCAACCTCTGCCTCCCAGGTTCAAGGGATTCTCCTGCCTCAGCCTCCCAAGTACCTGGGATTACAGGTGCCCGCCACCGCACCCGGCTAATTTTTTTTTGTATTTTTAGTAGAGACGGTGTTTCACCGTGTTAGCCAGGATGGTCTTGATCTCCTGACCTCGTGATCTGCCCACCTCGGCCTCCCAAAGTGCTGGGATTAAAGGCATGAGCCACTGCACCTGGCCAGCATGCTTTCAAGTACTGGGGTACACCTAAGCTCTCAGCTTCTAGCTAGGAGTCATTTGGTACCCCTTTATCCCAAAAGACCTGTCACTGTCTTTGGTTTTCAAAGCCCAGCAGGCTCCAGGCTCTTCAGCCTCCAACCACTTTGCATTTCTTTACTGCTTTTCATTCATGAAGGTGATTAACTTATTTTTCAGCCTGGGCGTGTCTTTTTTATTTACTTAATTTTTTATTTTTATTTTTTGAGATGGAGTCTCACTCTGTCATCCAGGCTGGAATGCAGTGGTGAGATCTCCGTTCACTGCAACCTCCGCCTCTTGGGTTCAAGTGATTCCCCTGCCTCAGCCTCCTGAGTAGGTGTGACTACAGGTGTGTGCCACTATGCCTGGCTAATTTTTGTATTTTTAGTAAACACCGGTTTTCACCATGTTGGCCAGGCTGGTCTTGAGCTCCTGACCTCAGGTGATCAGCCTACCTCGGCCTCCCAAAGTGCTGGGATAACAGGCGTAAGCCACCGCACCTGGCCTTTATTTACTTTATATATCTCACCTATTACTGCTGCAGTTTGCAGAAGAGAGGATGCCCTCAACCCTAACTTCTCCACACCATCCCAAAGGGGAAGTCTGCTCCACGTCATCAGTGTTCTTGTTTTTAAAGACCATATGTCAACATGCCAGATTATAGCAAAAGGATGTCGAGGAAGCAATATGAAAGCAAGCCTCAGAGTCCTGGAGAGAAGGTGACAGAGCTGCCTTTTGAAGGTGGTCACTCCCTCAGATTCTGCCCTTCCTGCCTTGTTCCTCCAGTTGTCAGATTTGCTGTTGGGGCCCTCATGGGGGAGGGGTGGGGGCTGGACTGAGAGGGAGATGGAGAAGCTGCCAGGGGCCATTTGGATCCAGAATTGCAGCAGTTCCAGCCAGGTCCGGAGGTGGTTGCTGTCCCCCAGCCCCCAAGGGAATGGTACTGATTCCAGAACGTGGCGAGAACTCCCTGGCCAGGAGAAGGAGGTGCTTGCTCCCTTGAATCACCTGAGCCCAGGCTGGAAGGCCCAAGGGGGACGATGAGGCCAGCTCACTCCAGCTCCATCCCCTCCCTTTAACCCTGAGCTAGTCACCATCCCAGATTCCAGGCCCTTTTCCTAAGAGCCATCCCAGCAAAGTCTGCAGAGAGCAGCACTCCCTCATGCCAGCTCACCCTGCACTGTCCTTTCTTTCAGCAACCCCATGGGTATGAACTTGAGATGATTCATTTTCCTAAAAGCCTCTTTGGGCTGAGGGAATGTGTGGGTGGCTCGGCGAGGTTTGGAGTGGGGGCCACCTCTTCTCAGAGCTGCTGTGAGGGCCAGGGCCTCCTTCCCTGGAGGTCGTCTGCAGCCTGGGAAGCGGCGCCGAATGGCACTGGCTTTGCAGGCAGCCTAAGTCATCCCCAGCGGCCTGGGAGGCTGGGGGTGCACCGGCTCCCACTCCCGATAGGGCCGAGGCTCCTTCCTCACCTAAGAGGTGACTGTCTTGAAGAGTGGACACAGAGGAGCCAGCATCCTGGACGGTGAAGGCAGCCAGGAGAAAATCTGCAGCTCAGTCCGAGACAGACGTCTCCTGCAACACAGCTATTGTAGAGACAGGGAAACAAGGCTGAGAGAGAAGGGGGCTTGCCCAAATCACCAGACCTGGAATGTTTTGAGCTATGGGCGTGGATCTCCCAGGAAACGTGTTTTATGGCACCACCGCCTCTGGTCACCCACCCCGAGGTGTGGCGGGCCTGGACAGCCAGCTTGACTGAGGGCCAGGCTGGTGAAGTCAAAACTACCACTCAGGAAGAAGACCTAGCCCTTCTCCAGACAGAGTTCAAATGTGAGGGCTGCCTTCTTTGGGCCTCAGTTTCCCCACCTGAATTCCAAGGACCCTTCTAACTCCCACACTCTGGGCCAAGCCCCAGTCAGCCTAGAGGACCAGGGCTACATCTTCCTTGGACAGAGACCCAGCATAGGGGCAACAGGAGGTAGGGGTGGGGGTAGGCAAGGTTCCTGTAGGGAGGTGGAGCTGCCATCAGAGATGGTGACTGCAGGCAGTGGGTGTATCGTGGCTATGCTACTACTTCCTGGGTGACCCCATGACATTTCTTTCCCCACTCTGACCTCAGTTTCCCTATCTGTTCCGTGGAGATAAGATGCCTGCCTACATATTTGGGGACTGGGATGTGTGTGGGGGCCAGTTGCAGTGTTTCTTGGTGTGGTCCTGGGGCAGCCTGCACCACCCCATAGAGTTTGCTGGGCCCCACCCTAGGCTCACAGGACCAGAATCTCTGGGAATGAAGCCTGGGAATTTGCATTTCCACAGGCATCCGGCAGATTCTGACATGATTGAAAAAGCACTAATAGTATATGGCAAGCTCTTTATAAAAGGTAAATTCATAGCTGCCTTTTACTAAACATAAATCTCACCTTCCCTTCCTCAGTTAAGGACACACACCCCAGTTGAAAATCACTGTGCCTTTCCAGATGCAGAATCTGACCTTTCCAATAGGATTCTGTTAACTGTTACTTTCTGTAGTTTGTATTCCAAAACAAGGGGAATATCTTTCCATTTTTTCAATATAAATGTTTAGGTCAAATATGCTTTTTCAAACTGGACACACACTCACACAGTTTAGGATTTCAGCTATGGCTTCCTCTCAAATTATTAGCCCGTTTCTGCCAGGGAGCAGTTTTTCCCAGACAAGACCCTAGACAGAGGCTGGTGGGGCCCCCTCCTCATCAGAATCACTAGATCATGACTGACCCCTAGAGGTGGCTTTTCTGCTTAACAGTCAGCCCATGGGCTGGGATGGGATCCCCAAAGCTGTGGCAAAATCTTCCACCCATCCTGGGCCCCCCTGCCATCTGTGGGGAAAGGCCTGTCCCTTGTCTTCTGGGCCCAGCCGGCCTCACACTCATTCAGCAGACTGGAAAGTCGAAGCATGTGCTGTGCTTGGCTGGGCTCTGCTGTGCCCCTTTTTGGGGTGAGGCAGAGTGTATTCCAGCCCCCAGCATCCCTGCCGTTTATTCCCACCCCTCATCCCCACCCCCATACACACTCACAAGTACAAACACAAGCACAGTCACGGGCACACACCACCCTGGACAGCACCATTTCCAGCCTCAGCGGGGCAGTCTCCTTACAGGGAAGTTAATGAGGCACTAAAGAAGGCTCAGGGGACAGGGAGAACCTCTGTCAAAAAGAGGTTCCTAGACCTGGTTCTGCCTCTGACTTGCTGGGGGTCCTTGAGAAAGCTGCTTCCCCTTTTTGGCCTGTTTCCTCAGCTGAGAAATGGGGGGTCGGCCAAATGGTCTAAGGTTCTGGGAACCCCTAAGTCAGAGCCCATAGCTGGTGGTCAAGATGAGGGAGAGGCCCTCAGGGTCAGCCGAATGCCAGAGAGGCAGGACAGGCCCAAAGGTGAGTAACCTGAGCACATCAGGTGGGTTCAGAACAGGTGCATGAGCCCCACAGCCTGCACAGCAGCTCTGAACTTGGGAGCCCACTTGCACCAGCCCAGTGGGACTTCAGAGATGTGGGGTCCAGCCTCTCCTACTATTGCAGGGCTAGGGGCTGGGAGCTGCAGATTCTGACCCCACAGCTGCCTTAGACATGCCAGATGGCCTGGGGAAAGACACACCCCTCTCTATGAAATGAGCACTCAGTCCAAATAGGTAAACTAAAGAAGGGCTGTGGGATGCACCCAGCTGTAGCCTGGGGCTACAGACTGGCTTCCAGGGTACTCAAGCAGCTGGCCTCTTGGGTAGCAGCCCTGGGTATGAGAGGCAGGACTCAGAATCTAGGCCAAGCCTCCACAGGAATCCCCTCTGGAGAGCCCGGGCACTCTGCAGGAAGGGCAGGAGGCAGCAGGTGCACCAGGAGCATGTTCCACAAGGTGCCCAATATTGCATCTGCTCAGATAGGCAGCGAGTTGGAATGTGGATGCAGTAGGCAGGGTGGCAGCTGCTCCCTACGGCCAGGAGTCCAGCCCAGCACCCACCTGAGTCCACCTCAGTCCTGCTCAACTGGGTCATCCGTGCTCTGGGCCCTCTGGTCCCACCCACAGAGGGAGGGCTTTGGAGCGACCAGGTGAGCTGGCCATTGTGGGAGGATGTAAAAACTCCTGAGCCTGGCGAGCCAGGCAGCCCCTTGCCAGCATCCCCACACCCACCTCTCCAGCCCCCCGCATTCCCTGATCCTCCCATCCGCTCCCCTGACCCAGCAGTTTCCTCTGCTCACTCTTTTCCTGCTCCCAGGCTCGCCTGGTCATGTGTCCTTCACTCTCCTCTGAGTCTCCCTCTTTCCAAGCTGCCTCCACTCTACTTGACACACTCTCCCTTAAGACACCAGAGTACACAAGCGCAAGTCCCTGCACCTCACCTTTACTCCCAGACATGGGAGGGAGATGACATGAAGACCCAAACGCCACTTAGCAGGAGATCTGGGGTATGCAGAGGGGCAGATCGGAGGCTGTGGAAGCTCCAGGGGCTCCCTGCAGGAGGCCGCATGTAAGCTGGCTATTGAATGTGGCTCTGAGCTGAGACCTCTCCTTGAAGCTCCAGACCAGGAGCCAGCTGCTAGCTGGACCCCTCCATTTGGTGCCTCAGAGAAACCTTGCACTCCATAGATCTGACTCTGAACCCCGAATATCCCATCTCAGCCCTGTCTCTTCATAGGGAAAGCACCACCTCTGACCCAGTTCTGCACCAAACCCACACTTGAGTGATGGGGCTCCTGCCCTGCACTGTGAGCACTCTGGATAAGCCAGAGCTGAGGGGGAAAGAGCTCTGAATGCCAAGCCAAAACATGAGTTTCAACTCCACCTCCAGCTCTGAGAGCTGTGGGTAGGGAAGGGCCCAAGTCCAGTTTGCTGTAGAAAGACCAGTCTGCCACTGTATGGCACATGGATGGCAGGGGCAGAGTGCAGGTGGAGAGAATAGAAGGTGGGCAGGGCGGGGGAGGCAGGGACATGGCTGTAGCCGTGGAGATGGGAGGACAGACAGGACTTGGTGGCCACTTGGGTGAACCAAGGGAGGGGTCAGGAAGAGACACCCAGTTTTGTATCAGATGTGTAGAGCGTGGGATGCTGTTCATTGATTGAGGGAGGAGGAGGAGGAAGAGGTATGGCATGGGAGGAGGTAGCTGAGCTCTGTCATGAATGTCATTTGAAGTCCCCAGGGAGAGCCAGGCCGGCCAGCCCCTTCACTGCTTCAGCCAGCTCTCAGGGTGTCTGTGCTCCCTGGCCCTCTCAGCTCCTGCTTCATAGCTGTCAGCTGCAGTGGGGGACAGCTGCACAAGGACCAAGCAGGTCTGTGTGTTTACGCAGGGTTCTGCCGCATGGCCCTGCCGAGCAGAAGCTGATGGACGACCTTCTGAACAAAACCCGTTACCACAACCTGATCCGCCCAGCCGCCAGCTCCTCACAGCTCATCTCCATCGAGATGGAGCTCTCCCTGGCCCAGTGCATCAGTGTGGTAGGTGCAGAGGGCACCTGTGGCTCAGGCTCAGGCGAAGAGGCAGCTCATGCCCAAGCCCAAAGCAATCAATGTCCAGAGGAATGAAATGACTAGAGTTGACTTAGACTCACCAATACATGGCGGGGAGGCTGGAGGAGGGTCCATGAGGTTTATAGGTGTCCAATATTTAATGAGGTCATGGTTTTGTTAACAAAGAAGAAATGAGGGTGGGAGCAGGATCACCACTGGCTAGGCAGCCAATGGGCCTGCAGAGACTCTGCTCAGCTGAGTCTCCAGCACGACCATGAGCTTCTCCTCCTCATCCTCCCAGCCCCACCCTACTCTCTCCCCCAGCTTGCTCAACAGGTGACCTTACAGGCTCCCTACTCTTTGCGAGGAATAAGAACCAGACTGCGAGAACCGATGGGTACAGAGGCCCAGGTGTAGGGGCAGGACCACAGGCAGTGCAGCGTCTACTGAGCGAGGCGGGTGAGGGTCTGGAGAGTGGGCATGGCTGCTGCAGGCATGGAAAGGAGGCGCAGATGGCGGCACTCCCAGGGCCCATCGTCAGGGTCTCCATATGTGGACGTGTGCAGAGGTGGGGGTGCTGAGCGAGGAGGTGCATGGAGTTTCTCATCTTCTCTCTACTGCCTCTGAGTTGGAGATGTCAGAGGGAGCCATGGCCCACTGTAAAGTAACACAATGTCCCCACCCACAGGGTTAGAACCTCTCCTCTGGAAGCAGCTCTGAGGGGAACAGTCACATGTAGAGAGTGCAGGGCGCTGTGTCCAGCCGGGGGAAGGAGGTCACCAAGCAGGTTGACCCTCCCCTGGCCAGGTGGCTGCCTTCTGACACACCAGCCTCTCTCTCTAGCATGGTGGCCCCCACACACCCAGCCTGTGAAACCTACAGCCCTCAAGAAGGTTTTGGCCGAATTAATGAGTAGCTCCCTCTCCCAGGAGGAAGCACAGCTGAAGGATGCGGAGGGCAGTAGAGTTGTGTGTGCTCCGCCCCCTTTCTCCACAGTCGGACGGGAAAGAAGGGGGCTTTCAACCAGGCTCACCCAGGCTGGGGTCTGAGTGTCACTGTCCAGCTATTGGCTTCTTGCTTAACGGGTGAGCCCAGCAGCTCCCGTGCAGCTGCCGCCCTAGTTAGGGTGAACCGGCAGGCGAGTTGCATTTCTGAAAGCCCGGGAAGACAGTAAATATTAGGCTGTGGGCTGCTGGGCCAGGAAGGGGTGTTTATTTTTCAGGGTTTGTTTATCTATTGACTTGATGAGGGAGGGTTATACGTACAACCAGTTAAAAGATGGAAATTTTGAGAGAGTAGGCAGGGATTTAGTGCTGGGTAAGGCAAGAAGGCTTGTCAAAGCAGCTCTTCTGGGGAGGCCAGAATCCTGTACCAATGTCCTCAGCACGTTCTTCAGCTGCTGGGGAGTGCCAGACAGGATGAAAGCGTAGGAGAACTTTCTGGATGATAGAAATACTCTATATCTTCAAAGGAGGTGGGTTACATGGGTAATGCATTTGTTGAAACTGATCAAAATGGAAACCAGATCTGTGCATTTCACTGAATATAAATTATACCTCAAATTAAATACATTTCTTAAAAGACAGATGGGCCGGATGCAATGGCTCACGTCTGTAATCCCAGCACTTTGGGAGGCTGAGGCAGGTAGCTCACCTGAGTCAGGAGCTCGAGACCAGCCTGGAAAATGTGGTGAAATCCTGTCTCTATTTAAAAAATAAAAATTAGCCAGGCATGGTGGCACACGCCTGTAATCCCAGCTACTCGGGAAGCTGAGGCAGGAGAATTGCTTGAACCCAGGAGGCAGAGGTTACAGTGAGCAGAGATCATGCCACTGCACTAGAGCCTGGGCAACAGACCAAGACTCCATCTCAAAAAAAAAAAAAAAAAGAGAGAGAGACAGATGAAGGTTTTCAACTTTCACTAAAGGCAGAGGAGCTTGTTACAGATTCGCCTCCCCATAGGAACAGTTAGAAAAACTGGACAAAAATGTGCCCCACCACCAAAAACAATTGTTGGAAGGTAATTGGAGACCTCAGCCAGCACTTGAGTGACCAGGCCTGGGAGGTGATCCTGACAGTCTGTAGTGCTTTTCCCACATTTGGTGATCGGTCAACAGTAGAGGGCTAAGAGGCTAAGAAACTGAATATGAAGTGGTAGTTAAGGGGCTGGAGAGCCTAGCTGAATGTTGGCACTCTCACAGGGCTGAAATGACCTAATGAGAATTTGGGTCCCAGGAAGGAGATGGGACATTGGTGGGGACCCTGGAAGGGCCACCCCTAGGAGTCCAAATGAATAAAATATAGACCAGCCGTCACAAAACCTAAAACCTGCTTTGAACTAGCTTAGTCACAAACTAGATGAAGGCGATCTGCCCTTACTCCAATTGTGTGCCATAAAGTCAAAGTCAATACTCTCTGGAGGCAGATAAAACTTTACTAGGAATGCCATAAGACAACATCAGACTAAATGAGAAAGACCAAGAAAAAAACTAATAGAAACATACATGTAAGGAAGAAACTTTTTTTTTTTTTTTGAGACAGAGTCTCACTCTGTCACCCAGGCTTGAGTGCAGTGGCACGATCTCAGCTCACTGCAACCTCTGCCTCCCAGGTTCAAGCGATTCTCCTGCCTCAGCCTCCCAAGTAGTTGGGATTACAGGCATGTGCCACCATGCCCGGCTAATTTTTGTATTGGCCAGGCTGGCCTTGAACTCCTGACCTCAGGTCATCCATTCACCTCAGCCTCCCAAATTGCTGGGATTACAGGCATGAGCCACCGTGCCTGGCCAGTATTTTGCCAAAATTTAAAATAAATAAATTTTCTTTTTTTTTTTTTCAGGTTTGTGCTCAGACTCTATTCTAAACAGTCACATGGCAGCTTACTCTTCTCCAGGCCTTGCTGCCGGCTTTTACATGTTTATTATATTTGTGTTCTTGTCATCTGCTTGGTAGATGGCAGCTTCCAGGTGCTCCTAAGGGGCCAGGAAAGAGAGTGAGAAGGCACTGAGTTTGCCAGGTCGTCCCCCTCAGGGCCCCACCCTCATCAACTCCCTCAGCTGGGTCTCCTGCAACTATTGGTGGGCCATCTCAGCCACCGCTTCGCCCTGAGCTTCCTGCTGCTGCAGCTGGGCAGTGCCTCCTTCCCAGAGGCCAGCTGCTGATAGGCGGCCACGTACTGCTGCAGGTGACCCCGGTAGTGGTCTTGCTGCTGCTGCAGACTCTGAGCCTCTTGGCTCTTCAGCTCCACCTGCAGGATAGGCGTCAGGGTAGGTAGTCGCTGGCTTCCAGATTCTGGGCCCATAAACAGGGTGGCAAGGGCACTGCGGGGCTCTGTCGCCTGCTCAGGCCCCTGGCCCTGGCCCCTTCCTCCAGGCCTAAGTGACTGCCTCCCTTGCCTAGAGGCCCATGCCTCCCTCCCCAGCCTCAAATCTCACACCCTTCTTCCCACCATTTAAACTGTAGGCCGCAGACTGGTGGAAAAGCAGAGGGAGCCAACCACCATCTGCTAAGTTGTGGTGAGGTCGTTCTGTATGATCTCCAGGGTTTGCACACACCTCTGCCTGCTCCCCCCAAGAGCTCCGCCTTCTGCCCCAGCTTCCCCAGCCTCTCCTCCAGCTCCTGCAGCCTCACCTCCTGTTCCTGCATCTTCTCCTCCTGCTGCCACAGCCTCACTTCCTGCTCCCGCATCTTCTCCTCCTGCCTCTGCATCTTCTCCTCCTGTTCCTGCATCTTCTCCTCCTGTTCCCACATCTTCTCCTCCTGCCTCCACATCTTCTCCTCCTGCTCCCATATCTTCTCTTCCTGCTTGAGCAGCTTCTCCTGCCTCCACGTCTTCTCCTCCTGCTCCTGGATCTTCTCCTCCTGCCTCTGTATCTTCTCCTCCTGCTCCTGCATCTTTTCCTCCTCCTCCTGCATTTTCTCCTCCACCTCCCGCAGCTTCTCCTCCTGATCTTGCATCATCTCCTCCAGCTCCCGTATCTTCTCCTCCTGCCTCCACATCTCCTCCTCCTGCTCCCGTATCTTCTCATCCTGCTCGCGCATCTTCTTCTCCTGCCTCCACATCTTCTCCTGCCTCTTCTCCTCCTGCTCCCGTATCTTCTCCTCCTGCCTCCACATCTCCTCCTCCTGCTCCTGTATCTTCTCATCCTGCTCCCGTATCTTCTCCTCCTGCCTCCACATCTTCTCCTCCTGCTCCCGTATCTTCTCTTCCTGCTCCCGTATCTTCTCCTCCTGCCTCCACATCTTGTCCTCCTGCTCCCGTATCTTCTCTTCCTGCTCATGCATCTTCTCCTCCTGCCTCCACATCTTCTCCTCCTGCTCCCTTATCTTCAGCTCCTGCTCACACATCTTCTCTTCCTGCTCCTGTATCTTCTCCTCCTGCCTCCACATCTTCTCCTCTTGTTGCTGGTTCAGGAGGTTCCACAACTCGTTCTCTTCCACCTGGGCTTGGAGCTTTGCTGACACACTCTGTAGCTCCTTACCCAGGCGGTCAGCCTCCACCTGCAGCTGCTGCTGGAATAGTGAAAGTGTTGGTTCAAACCTCAGAAGGAAACAGACTCATGAGCTAGCCATATAAATGTAATCTATAAAATAATGGTTTTCATCTATGATCCTTTGAAAAATATTTTTTTAAGCCCAAACTCTGAGATTCTGATTCCCCAGGCAGGGCCCCAATTTGTATATTTTTAGCACACTCCAGAGGATTCTATGGTGGGACCAGAACAAGGACCCAAATTTTCCAGCTCTTGGCTGGAGCCTCCCCACACCCTACATGATCCCTAGACCATGGCCCCAGCCGGATGGGGCTCCCACAACCCCCGGGGCTGCAGCTGCTCGCCTGTGGCAGCAGGAGCTGGGCCCTTTCCAGCTTCCTTTTAAGGTCCTTTACGTTGAGCTGGATCTCAGACTTTTCAGATTCTACAAGTCGAAGTTTTTCTTGTAGTTCAGCATTTTTCTCCTTCAACTCCTCATCGGTTATGCTGTGGCCAGAGGCAGTAGAGAAAGGAATGAACGAAGAATAGAAAGGACCGCTTTGGTGATCAACCCTCTACTTTCACCACACAACCACAGAACGGTGGCATTGGAAAGGACCCCAGGAATTAAAAGTCACAGGTGGCAGGCCAGAGAGAAGACATGAGTTGCCTGAGGCTTCCCCATGAGTCAGTGGCACCGCCGGCACTAGAGCTTCCCTGTGCACACATGAAAACCTGTAGAAGCCTCTCACCATGCTCACCTGTACCCCCCACCTCCCAGCACACCACCCACTCTAAGGGCCCCCAGACCTCCCATTCCACCTTCCCCCATCCTACGTGTTCCTGTACAGTTCCAGACTCGGAGCATCCCTCTCCTTTGTTAATTTCTCGATGTACTGCAAATAGAGAAAGGTTAAGTCAGGATAGAGCAGGCAGAGGAGTAGCTGGACGACCAGAACAACAGCTACACTGATACTCCACAGTAACACTCCCTCACTCTCAATCACACCTGACATGTTCTCAAGGCATTTCCAAGCCCATGGTCTCATTTGTTTTTTCTTTGTTTTCTCTTTCTTTCTTTCTTCTTTCTTTCTTTCTTTCTTTCTTTCTTTCTTTCTTTCTTTCTTTCTTTCTTTTTCTTTCTTTCTTTCTTTCTGTCCTTCCTTCCTTCCTTCCTTCCTTCCTTCCTTCTTTCTTTCTTCCCTTTATTTCCTTTCTCCCGTGCTTCCCGTGCTTCCCTTGCTTTCTTGCTTTCTTGCTTTCTTGCTTTCTTGCTTTCTTGCTTTCTTGCTTTTCTTGCTTTCTTGCTTTTTCTTTCTTGCAGAGTTCGGCTCTTGTTGCCCTGGCTGGAGTGCAATGGTGCAATCTCGGCTCACCACAACCTCCACCTCCTGGATTCAAGCAATTCTCCTGCCTCAGAGTCCTGAGTAGCTGGGATTATAGGCATGTGCCACCACACCCAGCTAATTTTGTCTTTTTAGTAGAGACGGGGTTTCTCCATGTTGATCAGTCTAGTCTTGAACTGACTGATCCTGACTTATCCTTAGCCTAAAAAGAAAAATTTAAAATTACTCATTAAAAAAATGAATGATTTCCAGCAGAAAATGGGCAATGGAGAAACCGGCACTTCCCACAAGAATAAAAATGGCCAATGAGCAAACGAAAAAGATTCAAAAGCACTAGAAATCAAAGAAATGTAATGAAAACAATGAGATTTTCTGCTTAAAGACCAGCAAAGATGACAAATGGAAGGGGGAACCTGGAGCTCTGTCCCTGTTGGTGGGAGCATAAACTGAACCAATTTTCCTACAGGATAATTTGAACATTTCTTTTAAAAATCCTAAAACAGTTTTACATTATTTTCCTCTAGAAATTCTACTTCTATGAATTCAGTGCAAAAATCCTTACTGGAGTCCATTAAAATGTATATAGAGGAAATTCACCTCTGGGGTGGCAATGATTCACTTAACATAATCCAGCTATTAAAAATGATGATGCCAGGATATACTTCTGCCCTAGAAACATGTTTAAAATATAATAAGTGACAAAAGCCCATTTACTATGATTGTACTTTTATTTTTTTTAACAGTCACAAATCAGCTTTATTTAACTTTTCCAAAATATTTCTCAGGCCATTCTCTTTCAGACATTCAAAAAGAAAAAGTTTCTAACTTTAAAATAATTAAATGACAAATGGTAAAAGCTGCTAGTTATCTCCCAGTGGCTGTTCCCATGGTGGTAGGGCCTTAGATGTGTGGCCATTTGCAATGGACCCAGCATTTCTAGCTTGCAGCCAGGCACAGCCAATAGCAGGAGAGAGCGAGGTGTGTTCCTCCCCTCTCTTGTCTTCCAATCCTTTCCCTGTTCTGCTCATCTGGAATGTGATACTGGTAGAGGCCAGTTATTCGTGGCAAGCAACACGTTTACAGGGATTTTCCTGGGAATTTCAGATACAATGTCTGTATTAGTTAAGATTAGGTTTTGCGGCAATAACAGAAAACCCTCCAAAATGATAAATTAAAGAACATGGAAGTTTATTTTTGTCTCATAGGGATGTCTCAGAAGTGGTTCATGGCTGGCATGATGCTCCATGTTGTCAGGAACTCAGACTCCATTCATCTTGATGTTCTTTCCCGAAGGCTTCAACCTCACAGTCTCAACATGGCAGATTCTACTTTTAAATATGTTTATATGCATAAAAAGTGTAAAAAGCAACAAACCAGAATGTTTTGAGTGGCAAAATTAAAGATTTTTCTTTATATTTTGTCATCCAAATTATTACAAAAAGAATGTGATTTCCTTTATAATCAGGGAGAAGTGTTATTTTCATTTATTTATGTTTACATTTCTTTTCTTTTTCTTCTTTTTTCTCCTGTATGTATCCCATGTAGGCTAGAGAGCTTCAATCCCTGCCTCTTGAGGGAAATCAGCCCATTTTCGGGAAGTGCACTACACAAAGCTGCCCCATCTTCCCTTTATTTTTTATTTTTATTTATTTATTTATTTATTTATTTATTTATTTATTTATTTATTTTGAGATAGAGTCTCAGAGTGCAGTGGCGCATCTCAGCTCACTGCAACCTCCATCTCCCGAGTTCAAGCAATTCCCCTGCCTCAGCCTCCCAAGTAGCTGGGACTACAGGCATGCACTACCATGCCCAGCTAATTTTTGTATTTTTAGTAGAGAGCGGGGTTTACCATCTTGGACAGCCTGGTCTCAAACTCTTGACCTCAAGAGATCTGTCCGCCTTGGCCTCCCAAAGTGCTGGGATTACAGGCATGAGCCACTGTGCCTGGCCTGTCATATTATTTCTAAAAATTTCAGTGACATTTCAATTAAGTTAAATTTAATTCTTACTGACCTGATCTCTTTTCCTGTGTTTAATGATATCTTCCAGTTGAAAGGTATTTCCTCTGTAATCACAGGCACTAAAGGAAATACAACAAGTATTCTTTAGGTGGATATCCACTAAACCACGGATTCTCCCATTGTAGTCCTTAGACCCTCAGCATCAGCAACACGTGGGAACTTGTTAGACATGCAAATTCCTGGGCCAGCCCCACACCTCCTGAATCAGAAAGTGGGGAAGAGGGACAGCTGTCTGTCCTTTAATAAGCCTTGAGATGCTCCCTGAAGTTTGAAAACTACAGAACTAGAATACATATGGCAGTAAGTGCTCATACTTTATCCCAGGTACCTTCCCCTCTTTTCCATTCTCTTTTCCGTTGAAATAAAATGAGAGCTCTTTTTGACTTAATGGGTATAAGAAAGAAGGCAATGAGATGAGCAGGGTTTCAAGTTAGAGTTCAAAATTTAATCAGTGGATGGTGACAGGGTGCAAGCCTTCTAAACAGATTACTGCAAGAAAGCTGATTATAATCTATACAGTAGGTATCATTAGTGTATTGATGTTAAATTTTTGGGGTGGGATTAATGGTATTGTGATTATATAGGAGAACGTCCTGGTTCCTAGAAGATATCTGCGAAAGTACTTAACACTGAAATGCTGATACTGGCAACTTACTTTGAAATGATTCAGGGGGGAAAAGGGCACATATACAATCTTCCATATGCAGGGGAGACAAAACAAATATGATAAAATGTTAATTGGTGAATCCAGTTGAATAGCATACTGATGTTCACTGTATTATTTTATCAACTTTTCTGTGTTTGCAAGTTTTTAAAATAAAAAGTTGAGGGAAAAGAAACATCACCCCAAATCTTCCTACAAAATGGAACCATAGAAAAACTTTGCAGAAGAGGGCACCGTACCCATCCGGACAGCATGGTCAAAGTGCAGGGTCTCCTCCAGCAGGCTATTCTCTGGTCTCTTCTGTGCTGTCACTTCCCCCAGACGCAACCAAGGCTTTTTTATAACAACTCTTTTTCTAAAGGTGTAATTTTTTTCATTCATCTAAGAAAGAGACAAAAGAATTAGTATACATTGAGAAAATCAAATTACACTTATACTTGTGTAAAAGCAAAAAATACTTTGAAAAGTGGGGAAGCAAGAAATGTACTGTTCTACAATTCTGTCCTTACCATCTTTTTATTCTGCCAATGACTTCCTATTCCTGCTGCCTATGGTGGGGTGAGCTGCAAATGATTTCTTTTCCTCATTGATTTGAAATGCCATGTTTATAATATGCTAAACTCCCCCAGAAGCATTTGGGTTTATTTCTGGGCTCTATTCTATTCAAGTGATCTATCTGTTCACAAGCCACTATCAATTTTGATTATTAGAGCACCCTAAAGTTAAGTTAAATAATTCTTTTTTTTCTTTTCGAGACAAAGTCTCTCGCTCTGTTGCCCAGGCTGGAGTGCAGTGGCGTGATTTCGGCTCACTGAAAGCTCCACCTCCCGGGTTCACACCATTCTCCTGCCTCAGCCTCCCGAGTAGCTGGGACTACAGGCACCCGCCACCTCGCCCGGCTAATTTTTTCTATTTTCAGAAGAGACGGGGTTTCACCGTGTTAGCCAGGATGGTCTCGATCTCCTGACCTCGTCATGTGTCCACCTCGGCCTCCCAAAGTGCTGGGATTACAGGCATGAGCCGCCGCACCTGGCCAAGTAATTCTTTGATTAGGATATTAGTATTTGATGGAGCCTGACCCTTTTGACTCTAAACTCAAATTCTTATTATCTCTAACTTCTAAAAGTTATGAACAATTATGACTTCAATGTATAAAATGTCAGCTTTTTCAGCTACCTTACAGAATTCTCTTATTTTCCTAATATCGATTCCATTTATCCATTCGGTTTTCTCTCCAAACACTAATGTTTTCGTTTTAGTATCCCTAATCTTTTTTTTTTTTTTTTTTTCTTTTGAGACAGAGTCTTGCTCTGGAGTACAGTTGCATGATCTCAGCTCATTGCAACCTCCGACTCCCAGGCTCAAGCAGTCCTTTTACCTCAGTCTCCCAAGTAGCTGGGACCACAGGTGCATGTAACCACACCCAGCTAATTTTGTATTTTTTGCAGAGATGAGGTCTCACTACGTTGCCCAGGCTGGTCTCAAACTCCTGAGCTCAAGTGCTGGGAGCTCCTGAGCTCCCAAAGTGCTGGGATTGCAGGTGAGAACCACTGCTCCTGGCAGTTTTCCTAATCCCTTCTCTTTATCTTTTGTAGTTGCACTGGCTTATGTGGTTATTAACTGTTAGTGTTAATTAACAGGGATAACTGCAATACTGGACATTTTGTCTTATTCCTGATCTTAAAGGGATGTTTCTACAGTTTCACTCATCATGCATGATGGCAGCTTTTGGCTAGATGTATTTATAATCCACTAGGAGTAAAAAAAATTAGAAATAAATATTGAATTTTATCAAATGTCTTTCTAACATATATGGAGGGAACCATGTATTTTCTTCTTAATGTCTTGCAACCAGGAATCATACCAGATCTTCTAGTAGTGATTCAAGGGAATGAGCTTCATGTGATTGTGCGGCATAATTTTCCCACTGTGCTATGTTTGCATCACTAGCCATGAATGAGAGAGTGTGTGTGTTTTAATGTTACCTTTGTCAGGTACCTTTGTCAGGTTTGGGTTTTCATGTTCGAACAGTTTCAAAAGAAAAAAGTTTGAAAGTTCTACTTTATTCTTTATATGTGGAAATTTCAATAAATTATTTGTGATTTATTGAAAATTTTACTTGAAGGTCTGATATAATTTCAAAGCAAAACCAAACCTTTTTTTCTTTCTTGTTGGGGGAGGGTGGGAGGAGCGGGACAGGAGGACATTAACTCGTTGATATTTTATGTTTTGTTTTTTCCCTTTAGAATTTATCTTCTGGGGACAATCTGACAATGATGAATTTAATTTAGATTCACAGATTTTAAAAATAATTCTTTTGATATTCTTGGTATCATTTATTTACCTATTCTGCAGCTCTGTTGCCCAGGCTGGAGTGCCATAGTCCAATCATAGCTCACTGCAGCCTTGAACTCCTGGACTCAAGCGATCATCCCCGATCAGCCTCTTGAGTAGCAGAGACTATAGGCTCACGCTACCACACCCAGCTAATTTTTTATATTTTTAGTGGAGATGGGGTTTCAACATGTTGCCCAGGCTGGTCTCGAACTCCTGGGCTCAAGCAATCCTCCCTTCTGAGCCTCCCAAAGTGCTGGGATTACAAGTGTGAGCTACTGTACCTGGCACTATTCTCATTTTTATAATAAAATTTTAAGATTGGATAAATAATATAGCCCAATTATTGGAGCCAGACTACATCTACTAAAATTAAATGAAATTTCACTTGTCTGAAATCATGACATACTTTGGAAGATATCTTTGTCATGGTATTAATTAAAATTACGGCTATTTGGCACTCACCAAAATCTGTGGAGCACCTTAAAGACATAGGCGGCATCCTCCGGAGCAGTCAAAACAGTTACAAGAAGAGGCTGTCGGGACAGCTTTGTCAGAAGAGACATGCTATGCATATAAAGACATAAGGGAGACAGAAAAGAAACAACCATTTTACACACAGGCCCCAAATTGAAAGCTATAGGCTGGGTAATGCAGGCACTGATTTTTGCAAATCAGATGCTTTCCATATGGCATCTCCATATAGTGTGCTTTTGCTTTAGAGAGTGGCAGCAAGATTTTTGGTTTTGTTTGTTTGTTTGAAGACAGGATCTTGCTCCACCGCCCAAGCTGGAGAGCAGTGATGTGATCATAGCTCACTGCAACATCAACCTCCTGGGCTCAAGTGATCCTCCTGCCTCAGCCACCTGAGTAGCTGGACTACAGGCATACACCACTATGCCCCCACTAATTTTTGTATTTTTTGAAGAGACAAGATCTCACTATGTCACCCAGGCTGATCTTGAACTCCTGAGCTCAAGCGATCCTCCTGCATCAGACAACCAAAGTTTTAGGATTACAGGCATAAGCCACTGCACCTGGCCAAGATATTTGTTTGCAAAGGATGGTTAATAGTTACAACAAGAAAAATAGGAAGGCTGGGGCACAGTGGCTCATGCCTGTAACCTCAGCACTTTGGGAGGCTGAGGCAGGAGGATCACCTGAGGTCAGGAGTTCGAGACCAGCCTGCCCAACACGGTGAAACCCCATGTCTTCTAAAAATACAAAAATTAGCCAGGCATGGTGTCATGCACCTCTAATCTCAGCTACTCAGGAGGCTGAGGCAGAATCACTTGAACCCGGGAGGTGGAGGCTGCAGTGAGCTGAGATCATGCCATTGCACTCCAGCCTGGGTGACAGAGCAAGACTCTATCTCAAGAAAAAAAAAAGAAAAATAGGGAAGATTTGTTAGTAGTCTGTGAGTTCCACAATCATGTCAAGCATATTAAAAATTCCTTAAATTCCTAATTACCTTTTCCTGTCTTTTTTTAAAAGAGGATTTAACTTCATCAGAATTTTTCTTTACATGTGAAACACCTGCATCTTCAATTGCCTCATCATCTGGCAAAGTGAAGGTCACTCTTTTCAAGCTTTCTTTACATTGTTTACTGTCTTCACTTTCTTCCAGGTCATCATCTTCATCCCTACACTACAAAATTCTTATAAAAAGAAATATACTGCTTTCCATTAGAAAAACAAAAGGAAACATATTTCCCTTAATAAAGTTCTTCTTTTATATGCCTAATGCAACCAAATACTCAGAAGTTCCAAAATCATTCAGGTATTAAGGAACAGAAGGTATCATTTAAGTGAAATGCTATGTAAGAAACAGAACAAAAAGTGTCCAATATATAGAAAATAAATTGTTCAATCTCACAGAAATAACAGGATTTTTGGGGCACAAAACCAAATCAAAGTTCCTGGTCAGAAAGGTTTGATTGCCATTGCCAGTAATATTTTTCTTCATTAAATGATCTCTAATGTCCCTTTAAATACACAGACTTTCCTGTGGCTATCTTGAGAATATCTGATAGGAGAGAATCTAACTTCTTAAAACAAACATATGTGAAAACCACAAGTACCAATACATGATTGGACAGTTCCAGCTCACAATATAAAGGATGGTTCAAATACTTACATTTCAGAAATGCTTAGTTCTTCTGCTGCTTCTTCAGCAATTTCATCAGCTTGTTTGAACCCAGATCATCATCATCATCACTTGCTATGTCTTCATCACTTTCAACTGGATCAAAAAAAGTCTTTGTCCTTCACATTTCTGGAACTTTTACCTGACTAAAATAAAAAGATTTTTAAAACTATTAATTAGGAAGAGAAAAATACATCGTTAGCACACACATATATATTTGTGTGTATACTGTATGTCTACGTTACTTTCTAACTTAATAACACTACAAGCCAAAAATAGTTATTAGGTGAAATCAGCAACTAAAAACATTACCATAAAACTATTATAAGAACAACTGGAACAGAAACTGAATGGAAGTACAGATTCATTTATAACTGATAAGATAGAGCACAATATTTCTTAGATCCAAATCTTCTAACTACAATTACATCTGTCCTAGAAAAACAGAACAAAAGGTAATTTGAGGAGGAGGAAAGTGCTCTCTCCTCTCTCAAAATTTTACCTTAAGTTTTTTTACTTCTAAACAGTGCCCCTTCATCTTCATCAGAATCAATATCTTAAAAAAATCAGTATCTTCTACGTCATCATCGTTACCATCTTTTCGTTCCTCTTCTTTTTCTGTTTTCTAAATAGGCCTCCATTTCAGAGAGTTGGAAGAATTTCTCATCTGCTATGGACTTTTCTCTTGGTTTCCCGTGTCCTTTGTTTCGCACCTTGCTCTGCTGTTCCAATTTGTTGATATGAAAGTCAAGGTCAGAATCCTCATCACTGAGAACTGGGCTTTTCGTCGGATCGAATTTGCTTGAGTTTGCTCTCTCACTCACTTCAGGATTGTCACCACCCATATCTGACACTTCCTCCTCCTCCTCTAAATCTTCTAGGTCCTCCTGGCCATCAGCCTCTGTCTCTGAACCATCCTCTTCATGCTCCTGTTCTTCACTCTCTGGGATACTGATATCTTCATCTTTGTTTCACTAACTGCATTCTGGAAGCTTTGTAAAATTGGGTCATTTTGCAATTCCAGTTGTTGCAAAGTCTGCTTATCATCAAAACTTTCTATCACAAGTTTTTGTAAAGGGCTTCCATGGATCCTACCATTCTCTAATATTTTATTAAGGTCATAAAGCACTTTTGTTAAAGAAGTGAACTTTGATGCCAATCCATCTTGAATCCTAATGGGAGGAATTAAATGAGATTTAGAGTTATAGTTGATAATTTCACAGCCCTCTTAATTAAAAGAAAAATAAAAACCACAACTCTTCTGTAAAATCAAATTTGAATGAAGTGTAAGTATAGATTCTGGCCCCAACAACATACAAGCTGATGAGCCACACTGATATATAAAACCTGTCAACCAAGTATTTGTGAATCAGCTGTACAGATTTTAGGCAGGAAAAGCATTACAAATCTATTGCTTGGAGATATATAGTGAATTAGCCTTAAATTATCAACTCTGCTACATTATATACCACTCCATTCTTTCACTCATGTTAGTCAGGATGGTCTGGATCTCCTGACCACATGATCCACCCACCTCGGCCTCCCAAAAAAGTGCTGGGATTACAGGCGTGAGCCACCGTGCCCGGCTGAATTTTTCTTTTTTATAAAATAGGCTTTATTTATTTATTTGTTTATTTATTTATTTTGAGATAGAGTCTCGCTCTGTCACCCAGGCTGGAGTGCAGTGGCGTGATCTGAGCTCACTGCAACCTCTGCCTCCCCGGTTCAAATGATTTTCCTGCCTCAGCCTCCCAAGTAGCTGGGACTACAGGTGAGTGCCACCACGCCTGGCTAATTTTTTGTATTTTTAGTAGAGATGGGGTTTCACCATGTTAACCAGGATGGTCTCGATCTCCCAACCTCACGATCTGCTCACCTCGGCCTCCCAAAGTGCTGAGATTACAGGCATAAGCCATCGCAGCTGGCTGGCTTTATTTTTTTTTTTTAAAGCAGTTTTAGGTTCACAGCAAAATTGAGCAGAAAGTACACGCAGTTCCCATATACACCCTACCCACACACAGTCCCCATATACACCCTACCCACACAAAGTCCCCCTATACACCCTACTCACACACAGTCCCGTCCACTGTCAACCCCCCACACCAGAGTGGTACATTTGTTATAAACTATAAACATACACTGACACATTATTATCACTCAAAATCCATAGTTCACATTACTTTGTGGAGTTTCTATCATGAACAGGTCTTGAATTCTGTTTAATGCTTCTTCTGCTTCTACTGATACAATTGTGTTGTTTTTCTTAGTCTATTAATATTAATATGATAAAGTACAATGATGTATTTTAAAATATTGAATCCTTATATTCAGAAACGGACTCCATTTTGTTGTGATGTATTATCCTTTTTCTACATTACTGGATTTGACTTGCTAATGTTTGGTGGAAGCTTTTGTGTCTAGGTTCATAAGAGATACTGATCTATAGTTTCTTTTCAATGTTGTAATGTCTTTATCTGGTTTTGGGATTAGAGTAATGATGATATCATAAAATGAGTTGGGAGGTTTTTCCTCTGCTTCTCTTTTCTGGAAAAAAAATATGGAGAGTAATTTTTTCACTGGTATAATTCACCAGTGTAATCATCTGAGCTTGAGCCTGTTGCTTTTTTGGAAGGTTTTTATTATTAATTTAATTTTTAGAAAATATGTATAGGGCGGCCGGGCGCGGTGGCTCATGCCTGTAATCCCAGCACTTTGGGAGGCCGAGGTGGGTGGATCACAAGGTCAGGAGATCAAGACAATCCTGGTTAACACGGTGAAACCCCGTCTCTACTAAAAATATAAAAAATTAGCCGGGCGCGGTGGCAGGCGCCTGTAGTCCCAGCTACTTGGGAGGCTGAGGCAGGAGAATGGCGTGAACCCCAGGAGGTGACGCTTGCAGTGAGCCGAGGTAGCGCCACTGCACTCTGGCCTGGGCGAAAGAGCAAGACTCCATCTCAGAAAAAAAAAAAAAAAGAAAATATGTATAGGGCTAGTCTGTTTTTCCTTGCATGAATTTATTAGTTTGTGTCTTTTAAGGAATTGGTCCACTTTATTTAAGGTATCAAATTTACAAGGATAAAGTTGCTTGTAGAATCTTAGAATCTTTTAAAAGTGCACGGTATCAATAATCAGTAGTAATGATTCTTCTTTCATTGCTGATATTGGTAATTTGTATTCTCTCTTTCTCTCATCTTGTACGCTCATGCCTGGGAAGAGGTTTATCAATTTTATTTACGTTTGTGAAAGCCTAGCTTTTGGTTTTGTTGAATTTTTCTATTGTTTTCCTGTTTAAAATTTTATTGATGTATATTCTAATTTGCATGGATTTCTTTTCTGTGTTCTCTTCAGGTTTAAATTGCTGTTCTTTCTCAAGCTCCTAAGGTGCAAGCGTAATTTATTTATATTATTAATTCTTACTTTGTAATATATGCATACAGAAACTGAGTGCTATAAATTATTTTCTAAGCACTGCTTTAGCTACAACCCATAAGTTTTGATGAGTTATATTTTCCTTTTCATTTATTCCGAAACACTTTTTGAGATTTCTTCTTTGGCTCATGGGCTTTTAGAAGTTACCATCTTAGTGCTGATATTATCCATTTGTTCTTGCACATTGTCTACTTTTTTCATGAGAGCCCTTGACATATTTATCACAGTTATTTTTACATTCCGTCTCTGGTACTCCAACATCTGTGTCGTATCTGAGTTTGATTCTGATGATTGCTTTCTCTTCAGACTGTTTTTTCCTGCCTTTGACGTGTCTTGTGTAATTTTTTTGTTAAAAGACAGATATTGCATTAGGTAATAACAACTGAGGTACATAGGCCTTTATGTGAGAATGTATGTTAATTTGGTTAAGAGTTAAGCTATGTTTAATGTTTGTTGCAGCCATAAGTATCAGAAGTTCCAAATTCCTTTAGTGTCTTTGTTTTGGCTCTTCGCCTGGCTTCACAGCTTGTCTCTGCACTGCTCCTCATAGTGAGTCTGTGTCTTTCAGTTCATTCCACTGAAAACAGCTGTAGTCACTGCTTTTAAACTCAAGCTTTATAACAGTGATGATAGGATATAGAAGACAGTAAGCATTCTCCAACCTTCTAATGAAGTGTGGGTCATTTCCTAAGCCAGTAGCTCATGGCTGTAGCTATCCCAGCTGTGTCTGCCTTTCCTCCAGTAGCATGTTCACCTTCTAGCTCCTTTCCCTGGCTGCCGAGCTCCCAGTATATCTCCATGAAGCACTCTATCCATTGATGATTATTTCTGCCACTACGTGATGAAAGAAGGCTAAAGAGAGCTGAAGTGAGGGGGGATTCCTTTCCCCAAGCTTGGATACAGTATCAGAATGGAGCTCTGGTAAAGTCCTTCCCCTGGAGAAGGCTCTGGTTACATTTCACAATGGTCACTCTTTCCTTCTTCTGCAAAGGCATGAAGGGATCTTTTGGGGATTCTTACCACAAAAATATGGCGAGGTTACTGGAGGGAGCCTCCTAAGAAACTCTTCCTCCAGCAGTTTGTTAAAATTGTCATTTCATTGTTTGGACCAATAGCTCTAGAGGCTCCTGCTGTCTGAAGCACATCTCTAGGCTTTATCAGTTGCAGTGTCTGTTTGTACCTCTCTTTTTAGATTTTGGGGTGGTTATCTGTCCTGTGCAGTGCAATTGTCATGCTATCTACACAGAATTAGGTCAAACCTCACAGGTCAAGGGCACAGGGCCTGAAAAGGGCCTCCCTCATTTCAGACATCAGCTACAAGCAGGGGAGGGGGCTTCCAGGACACACACACTTCTGACCAACTGGCTACAAAGCTGGAGATTCCCACTACCCACTCAAATTGGATACACAACTTTGCTAGAATAACACATTACTCAGGAAAAAGCTGTAGTTATAATTACAGTTATATAATAAAGGATGTAAATCAGGACCAGCCAAAGAAAGAAACCGTCAGGGTAAGGTTTAGGAGGACCTGAGACACACGACTTCCGCTTCCTCAGGACAAGTCACCCTCCTGGCGCATCGATGTGTATCACTACCCAGGAAAGCACACCTGAGCTTCCGTGGCCAAAGTTTTTATCAGGGTTTCATTATGGACACATGACGGATTGAATCTTTGGCCACATTATTGAGCTCAGCCTCTAGCCTCTCTCTCCTCCCAGAAGGCTGGCTGATAGCACATGCTTCGAAGCCCAACCCTTGAATCACACAGTTGTTCTTTCTGGTGTGATGGGCCCCATCCTGTGTCATCTCCACAGCATAAGCTCAGATATTGTCAGGCCCGCCATCAGTAACAAAATATAATTGTATCATAGGAAACTTCAAGGGTTTAGAGGGCTCCTCTCAGGACCCAGAGAAAAAGATCAGCCAAATTAATTACTATGCAACAAGCCACCCCTTGTTCTTTGACTGCGATTCTTGTTATATGACTAATATCTGGGGGAGCCAGAAAACTTTTAACTGAATTTCACAATACATTTGGCTCTCGATGTCAATATTATAATCTTACCAACAGTGCCAGTATTACATCACAGCATGGCAGATGTCACCTGACTGTACTTTGTCTGCCCTGAAACATTGGAGCTCTATCTATATTTCTCTTTGAAAGCTCCTAATTGACCTGAGAGAAATGGTACCATTTCCCTGTGGTAAAGCAAGTCCTTCACTAGTGACCTCATCTGGCATTGTTTCCTATAAGAGAGCTGTCCTGGAGCTCAGATCATTTTGGACATAAAAGCTATGTAGCCTAGAATATGACTTAAAGGGTCCAATGGCTATGCCCCCAAACACATTGTATCCTTATATATGGACTTTGCCTCGGGAGTCACTGCACCCACAAAACTGTAACAAGGAGCCCTTTGCTTCAGTTTGAGTCTTTACCTCTCCTCTCTTTTCCTGGCCCTTAGTTTTAAGTCATGAGCATAGACCATGCAGACCTTTATGGAAGCTCTCTTAAGTCATAGGCTGGAAGGGGCCCAGTCTCTCTCTTTACCGCTCTGTTCGTCTTATGTACAGTGAACATCTTGTCTCTCACAATTGACTTCAAGCCACACAGGTCCTCTCTACAGAAATATCTTCTTATTGCTTGTTTTCAGAGCATCTTTCCAAAGTTCTTCTTATTCTATGTAATTCAAATTATTGTGATTTCTCACATGGACTCTTACAAATGCCTCCTTACTATTCTCCCAACTTCTTTCTACTTCATTATGTAGTACGGAGGCTTCCCAAGAAAAGAAGGATTATATATTATTAAAGAGGCTTGGCCGGGGGCGGTAGCTCACACCTGTAATCCCAGCACTTTGGGAGGCCGAGGCGGGTGGATCACTTGAGGTCAGGAGTTTGAGACCAGCCTGGCCAACAGGGTGAAACCCCATTTCTACAGAAAATACAAAAATTAGCTGGGCATGTTGGCACGCATCTGTAATCCCAGCTACTCCGGAGGCTGAGGTGAGAGAATCGCTTGAACCCAAGAGGTGGAGGTTGCAGTGAGCTGAGATTGTGCCATTGCACTCCAGCCTGGGCAACAGAGTGAGACTCCATCTCATTGAGGGAAGACAAAGACCCTCTCATATTGTTTTATATTGTTTCATACTCAGTACCTGTTTAAAGAAAAAAGAAAAAAAACAAGGAAGTGAAATCAAAGACAGGCAGCCTGGCACCAGGCCCAAAACCAGGCCTGGGCCTGCCCGGCCTAAACCTAGTAGTTAAAAATCAACTCATGACTTAGAACCCGATGTTACCCATAGATTTCAGGCATTGTATAAAAGAATATTATGAAACTCCCTGCTCTGTTCTGTTTCACTCTGACCACCAGTGCATGAAACCCATGTCATGTATCCCCTCGATTGCTCAATCAATCACGACCCTTTCACATGAAATCTTTAGTGTTGTGAGCCCTTAAAAGGGATGGAAATTGTGCACTCGAAGAAGCTCGGATTTTAAGGCAGTAGCTTGCTGATGCTCCCAGTTGAATAAAGCCCTTCCTTCTACAACTCGGTGTCTGAGAGGTTTTGTCTGAGGCTCATCCTGCTACATCATAACATAACATAACATAACATAACATAACATAACATAACATAACATAACATAACATAACATAGCATAAAATAGCTAGGTCTCTTGTCACAAATTCATTTCATTAAGTATTGGCGAAAGGTATGTATTCTGGGCTTTCCCTGTGTGAATGAGTAATTCCTAAATGATAAGTTAACTCCATCATTCTAATTTTCCTTAGTCTTTGAATCCCTTCCTCTACATTAAATCAAGGGATATCTGGCATTTCCAATTCACTCACAGTGGGACATCTTTTGATCCAGATTGCAGCCAACAAACCAAACTGGTAGAGCCTTTTGTAACTCCCTGAACTACAACATTAAATGCAGAATCTCTGCTCTGTGGGACCGTATCAACAAACGGGGAACTTTATGTTCCTTCCACCATTGTCTCATACCCCTGTCAATCGAGAAAAATGATGAGACAAATCTCAATCATTTTAGGAGGTTTATTTGCCAAAGTTAAGGATGCATGCCCAGGAGACAGGTCTATGCCTTTCTTCAAAGATGATTTTGAGGGCTCCAAATTTAAAGAGGAAAGGGCAGGATATTGAGAGGTACACAATTTTCATGTGAGAGTGGGGTAGGGAAAAATATTCATTTATGTGTCTGGCTCAGTGAATTTGCATTGTTTTACATAAGATGACATAGACAAATGGGGCAGAGGAAAAATGCTGGAATCTGCATTTTTACATAAGATAACAGACAAAATGGGGCAGGGGACCGATCAGATATGCATTTGTGTCTGGAGGGCAGGGGGGTGACTGCACTGTAAAGACAATTGACATTATCATGGTGAAATTTTAACAGACACACCTTAGGGTAAAGATCTTGGAGCTCACTAGGAATTTCCTCATGGACAAAATGTGGGGGAGGCATGAAGATTTTCATCTTGTAGCCATCTTAGTTAGGAAGCAAAAGGGGAGGCAGGTTTGCATGACCCAGTTCCCAGCTTAACTTTTCCCTTCGGCTTAATGAGTTTGGCATCCCAATATTTATTTTCCTTTCACACCCCTAATATCCATTCCCACACATGTTCCCCAGTTTCCTACCTGTTCCTGGATGTAGTCAGCCTCCTCAGAGATCATACTCTGTAACTCACCTTAGGGGATTGCGGGACTGGAGTCTACTTATAGGTCTAGAATATGGGTGTCCAATCTTTTGGCTTCCCTGGGCCACATTAGAAGAAGAATTGTCTTGGGCCACACATAAACTACAGTAACACTAATGATAGCTGATGGGCTAAAAAAAGAAAATAGCAAAAAAATTTCATAATTTTTTTTTTTTTGAGACAGAGTCTCGCTGTCGCCCAGGCTGGAGTGCAGTGGCGCAATCTCGGCTCACTGCAAGCTCTTCCCCCTGGGCTCACGCCATTCTCCTGCCTCAGCCTCCCAAGTAGCTGGGACTACAGGCTCCGGAGACCACACTCGGCTAATTTTTTGTGTTTTTAGTAGAGATGGGGTTTTACCATGTTAGCCAGGATGGTCTCGATCTCCTGACCTCGTGATCTGCCTGCCTTGGCCTCCCAAAGTGCTGGGATTACAGGCGTGAGCCACCGCGCCTGGCCAAAAAATTTCATAGTTTTAAGAAAGTTAACGAATTTGTATGGGACTGCATTCAAAGCTGTCTTGGGCCACATGTGGCCTGCAGGCCACAGGTTGGATGAACTTGGCCTAAAAGCAAAGAGGGGTGGTGGGGTGGCTCCTAAGGAGAATCAGCATTGTCTTGCTCCACAGCTGCCTTACGGGAGGCCATTCCCATTTCCTCAGGCAGTGCAGGGTTATCCCCTCAGACAGAGGTGGAAAGGTTGATGCCACTGGGGATGGGGAGGCACTTCCTCTGGGGTTGGGGAATTCACTTTTGCCAAGGGTGGGGTGGCTACTTCTGCTGGTGGTAGGGAGACCTGTTCCACTGGTGAGAAAGAAAAGTGGCTCCGAGTCGTCTTAGAAATGTGAGGTCTGCAAAATTTATCGGGCCCTGAGAGATGAGCACGAGGCTTCACTCATGTCCTGGCACCCGTGCCTGGGCATAATTGTTTAAAGGCACTTTGGCTTTCTTTCCTTTCCTGCAGTTTCCAGACTAGCGGATAAATTTCCTAAAACATTACCATAAGTTGCACAATGTGGCCCTCACCCAATATCTTCATGTTCCTGGAATCTGTGATACAAAAACAATGCATAGCCAACAAATAGTTTGTGTTGTGTTATTTTAATGAACCTATGTAGATTATTGATAAGCAACTTAGAAACTGCCCCCAGCTTATTTTTTCTCTTAAACACCCACTTGTAACTGCTGCTAATCTGGGTATATATGTAGGGCAACTTGAATCTATTACTCCTAGGCTGCAGTCCTTAATCTTGGCCCATATAAACTCTCTACTTATATTAATTTTGCCTCATTTTCTTTCCTTAAGTTGACATGGGCAACAAAGGCTCATCAGAGGGGCTCAATGTTCCCAGCTTTACCAAGGCTTTCCATCCCAATTTACAGGATCCCATTTTTTTCCCAGTCAATGCCCTCACTTTATCAGTGGGCACCCTGTGAGGCTGGGAGTTATATTTGCCTTGTAATTCAGCCAATCACAGGATAAAGTCTTGCATTTGATTTTCAGCAATTTCAGCCCTGAAGCTACAAGACCTAACACTCTCCCTCAGGGTGCACCTAGAAGGTCTTAGGTCATCTGTGTGGTGCTTGAGCTGGGAATTATTGTCATTATTTTCCTTAGTTTTCCAAAATCTTTTGAAAGTATTATATATCGCATTACTTTAGTTGACTAGGACTATCCAATGCAGATATTTTGGGTATCTCAATAAAAAATTCACGTCATGGACTATCAGTAATATCTTACCACTGAAAGTAAAGTCATTAGTATTTTCAAGTTTAATCATATTAGAGAAACAATTCCAGAAACCTCAAAACCAATTCACAGAATTTATCCTTAAAATTCTGTTCCTCTAGATCCACTCTTGGGGCAAAAATCTGTATTATTCAGGTTTCTCCAGAAAAATAGAACCAATCTGATATAGATAGGTAGATAGGTAGATAGGTACACAGCTAGCTAGCTACCTATCTGTATCTCATATCTCCTCTTGAAACAGGAGAGTTCCCTTATCCCCTACACAGGATGATTGGTGGGTGTGGCTCATCTGTTCTGCTGCCTCCTGCTCAAACCCCTCATGGGAGGGGAAGCACGCAGACAGGGAGGTGTAGGAGCTGGGGCAAGCACTTTTGGACTCTGGCCCCACGTTACCATATATGGGTGGGTGCCTGCAACTCCCAAAGCTCCAGTGGGCATATTACAGTACTCTTTAGCTCTGCCATCTGCAGACCACTTAAGTGTTAACCAGCTCAGTGCCCTCTTGGTACCAAGGTCCTTGCCTGGCATCCAGGAAGAATCAGGTGACATGGAAAAATTGAAGGATGACAAATGTGGGGGATTTTATTGCCAGACGGAAGTGGCTCTCAGCGGGGTGGATGGGGAGCTGGAGAGGAGTTGCAGTAGGAAGATGATCTTCCTCTGGAGTTTGGCCATCCCGTGGCCAATCTGTTCTCCAACCATCCCCAGCCAACCACCTCTCGATGTTCAGACGTTCCTTCTCTTCTCTCCTTCTCTGCCACCCTGCTCTTCCAACCCTCTGCTCTTCTGCTTGTGAAGCCTGGGACTTGGGGTTTATAAGGGTTCAGGAGAGGGGGGCATGGTGGGCCAAAAGGCAACAGCTGGGTGCAAAAACAGGAATGACTGTTCCCATTTAGGGCTGCAGGTTTCCTGGCTTCAGGGTGGGGCCTTTGACAGGGAACCGCCTCTTCTACCCAGTATTTCCCTGTCGCCTGTGCATATCACTCTTATCCCTGTAGATAGATAATAGATTCTCTATCTCTGTGGATAGGTGCAGAGATAAGAGGAGATCTATAATCAGAATTGGCTTACATAATTATGAAGGCCAAGAAATCCCACAATATGCCACCTATAACCTGCAGACCTATGAAAACTGGTGGCACAATTCAGTCTGAGTCCAAAGGCCTGAGAACCAACAGAGTGAATGGTGAAACTACCAGTCTGAGTCCAAAGACCTGAGTACCAGGAGATATGATGTCTAAGGGCAGGAAAAGTATGTCCCAGCTCAAGGAGAAAGATAATTTGCACTTCCTCTGCCCTTTTTGTTCTATCTAGGCCTTCAATGAACTAGGTGATGCCTGCCCACATTTGTGAGGGCAGATCTTGTTTGTCTATTGAATCAAATACTAATCTTTTGTCTATACCTCAATAAAGCTGAAAAAAACTAAAGTAATTGCACACTTCCAAAAACAAAAAATATAAACAAATACTATTTTCCAAAAACACCCTCACACACTTAGAAATGTTTTACCAGCTATCTACCAAGTCAACTTAATGTTTAACTTTAAACATTACATCCTTTAATCTAGCATAACATCTTTTAAATTCATCAACATTTGTGTAGATCAACAGTTACAGTTCTTTTCTTTTGGCACTTGAAAAATATTGTGCCACTTCCTACTTGCCCCCATGGCTTTAGATAAGAAATTCACTGTCATTCCAATTCATGTGCCCCTAAGGATAACAAGTCATGTTTCTGTGCCTGCTTTCAATATTTTCTGTCTTTTCAGAAGTTTAGTATGATGTGTCCTGGTATATATTTCTTTGGGTTCATACTATTTGGGATATATTAAACTTCTTGAATCTGAGTGTATTTCGTTTAACAAATTTGGGAAATGTTTACCCATTATGTCTTCAAATACTCTTTCAGCCCCACTGACTTTCTCCTCTTCTTCCCCAACTCCGATAATATTAATGTTGGATCTTTTGTTATTGGTCTGTGAAGTTCTGTTCATTATTTTCAGTCTATTTCCTCTATTGTTCAGATTAGGGAAATTCTACACATTTTCAAGTTCACTGATCATATCTCCTGCCCTCCACCCTCTACTATTGAGCCCACCTAGAAAGCTTTTAATTTCTGTTACTGCATTTATCTGTTTCATGAATGTCTTGTTTCTTTTTTATAACTCCTATTTCTTTGCTAGAATATTCCATTTTTTCATTTAAGATAATTTTTTTATTACTTGAACCATTTTTATGCTGGTTGCTTTGAAATTGTTGTCAGATAATTCCAACATGTGGTTTATTTCACTGTTAACATCAACTGATTGCCTTTTGTCATTTCAATTCCCATTTCCCTGTGCCTTGCGCATTTTTTATATTATGTTAGGAAATCTGGGTTCTATTTACATTTTGTTTAATTTTAGTAAGCATTCACCTTTTTGGATTCAGCATGCCGGTCTGGACCTAATTTGAAGGATTTGACTCCTACGACAATTTAATTTTCAGTCTTTGCAGAGCTATTTTAGTTTGCTTTTTAAAAAAATATCATTCCACTGGGGCTCCTACTGGTTTCTGATGGAGCTTCCCCAGGATCAGTTGTCTGTATCTCTAAGTGAATGAATGGAGACTCCGTCCTACAGGGGCAGAGTGCTTCCCTGGCCAAGTGCACATTGCAGTGTGAATTCCCTTCCCTGTGCCCTTGGTTGTGCAGTGTCTCTGGTGAAGGAGGTGAGTTGTGTCCTTTGTGGGAAAGAATTGGAAAGTTGGATTTTGGCAATTCCAGTTGCTAGTGCCCTCAACCAAGGGCTTGGGAACAGGGGTGGAAGGAGAGGAGTAGAGACGTAGAGAAAATGGTGTCTCACACTTGGTGAAAAAGTAGAGTTTTCTGGCAGCTTACCGTTAACAGGGCTTCTAATCAACCCGTCTCCATTGTTGGTTCTCCTCTGCTTGCCTGCTATTTCTGGCAGAACTCTCATTTGTTGCAGAAGAATGAGCCTACTTGAGCTCCCTTCTGTTACTACATTGGGAGGTGGGAATTGTCAAGCCTGGATCACCTCTCTTGTTGGATGGGGGTTGTATTTTGTGCCTCCAGAATCGAGGCCCCGACCAATTCACCTTCCTCTTACCACCTTTCAGAATTCTCCTGTAGCTGTTCCTTTTACTATTCTCAGTGTTTATAATTGTACTTAGTAGGGAGGGGCAGAGAATGACAAGTCAAGGTGATTCTGTCAACTCTCAAAGTCTTGTCTATTTAAATTTTTAGAAGTAAAAACAGAATCTCTGAATCTGGCAAATACGTATCTGACAGTGGTAGCCTATTGCCCATTTTCTAGGTTTGGTTCAGTTCCACAGATCTAGATGTTGTATGATGAAGGAGAATCCACGTACAGTTAAGAAACGAGTTTGCGGCCGCGCACGGTGGCTCACGCCTGTAATCCCAGCACTTTGGGAGGCCGAGGCGGGTGGATCACAAGGTAAAGAGATTGAGACCATCCTGGCTAACATGGTGAATACCCGTCTCTACTAAAACTACAACAAAATTAGCCAGGTGTGGTGGCAGGCGCCTGTAGTCTCAGCTACTTGGGAGGCTGAGGCAGGAGAATGGCGTGAACCCGGGAGGTGGAGCTTGCAGTGAGCCGAGATCGCACCACTGCACTCCAGCCTGGGCGACAGAGCAAAAAAAAAAAAAAAAAAGAAACAGACTATGGAATAAGTATCATTATATACCTTGGACAAATGGCAGAGCTTACTGCTTTCATTTTTAAAAAAAATTAAAAATGCATCAAGGTTTTAGAAATTAAAAAATTTTATTCTTGAAATAAAAATCTCAATAGATGGGTTGAATAGCAAAATGGATTGAAGAGTAAATCAGTGAACCAGAATATCATGCTAAGTAATTCTCCCAGAATGCAGTGCAAAACAATAGATGGAAAGAATGAACAAAATGTTATGAGACATGAATGACAGCTGTAAAAGTTCCACTATCTGCTTAATATGAATTACAGGAGAGAAGAAAATTAAGGAAGGAGAGTGCCTAAAACAAGGCAAAAATTTAAGACAATTTCTTAGAAATTGGAAATACTCATATTGAGAGGAACCAGTGAATATTTACAGGAAGAATGTAAAAAGACTGACATGTAAGTAAATCATGATAAAATTTCAGGATACTAAGGATAAGGAGGAAACTGAATGTTTTCAGCGTGAAAACAATTGTGTGGGATGGAATAAGATCGATACCAGACTTCACATTGGCAACATGGTAAGTAAGAAAACAGAATAATGTCTTTACAGTTTTCTGGTGAAAATACTTGTGAACTTATGATTCTTGTTAAAGCGAACTAAATATGGCCTGAGGACTCTGTACTTCTGTATTTGAGTCCTTGTGGACTAACCATAACCTAACTTAATAGACAAGATTGAAAACCTAGCTTAGGAGTATGCATCTGTAACAGCAGCTGAGTCTTGGCCAATCCCAGCAACTATACTTCAATCACTCATACACTGCTGAGGGTTCAAACTGTGTTCAAATAAGGCAAATGCCAACCTGTAACCAATCCAACTGTTTCTTTACCTCACTTTCAATTTCTGTGTGTCACTTTCCTTTTCTTGTCTATACATTTGTTCTGACCATGAGGCATCCCTGAAGTCTCTCTGAATCTGCTGTGGTTCTGGAGGCTGCCCAACTTGGGAATTGTTTTTTTTTCTTGCTCAATTAAATTCCATTTAATTTGAAGTTTTCTTTTAATATTGTTTAACCAGCCAAAGTGCAAGTGAATGTGAGGGCATCATAAAGACATTTTAAGACCCAAAAACAGATTCAAAAAGTTTATAATTCACTGTCCACATAGACTAACCTTTCTCAACAGGGTACCATTGGCATTTGGGGTGGAACAGTCCTTCGTTGTGTAAGATTGATCCACACATTGCAGGTTGCTTAGTGTCCTTGACCATCATCCACTAAATGCCAGTAGCATTTCTCCTCCCCGTGACAATACACAACAGCTCCACATTTGGAGACAGTGCTGTATCACCTCTGGTTGAGAAACCATGGTGTAGAAAATATATTCAAAAAGAAAATAAATCTGGGAAGAAAAAAAGGGATATAAGAAGCACAGGTGAGCAAGATAATCAGTGAAGTTTACTTTTAAGTCTAAATTATAAAAATAAACCTATAATAAAAAACTAAAATCTGAAATAACTCGGGATGGAAAGTTATGAAGTCTGGAAAGGAGGAAGGAGAGAGAAGTAAAAGCATGCTAGGAGTCTCATTTTATCTATACGATTAGCTCTGGATGTCAATCATATGTGTAGCTATGTGTATAAAAATATAAAGATATAGGAACTAAACATATACTTTTCAAGTCATTAGAAGAAAAATTAGTTGGGAACAAGTAAAATGCCAGCAGCTAACTGAAGATCAGGGATGAAAAAGAAACACAAAAACAGCATATAAAATAGAAAGCACGGCCAGGCGCTGTGGCTCACGCCTGTAATCCCAGCACTTTGGGAGGCCGAGGTGGGCAGATCACGAGGTCAGGAGATCCAGACCACCCTGGCTAACACGGTGAAACCTCGTTTCTACAAAAAATACAAAAAAATTAGCCGATCGTGGTGGCAGGCACCTGTAGTCCCAGCTACTCAGGAGGCTGAGGCAGGAGAATGGCGTGAACGCGGGAGGCAGAGCTTGCAGTGAGCCTAGATTGCGCCACTGCACTCCAGCCTGGGCTACAGAGCGAGACTCCATCTCAAAAAAACAAACAAACAAAAAAAGTGATTATATGCTTCATTTCAAAGATGAAATTTATGACTATACAGCAAAATAAAATTGGGATAAAAAATAACCTGAAAATCAGGAAACAGGAGAAACAGTCTAAACATTTATTTTGTGATCTTGCCTAATTATTTTTCTTATAGTCAATAAGGAATAATTTAAAATGACCTTATTCCTGAGTACCTGGAGACTTCTAAGAAGTTTTGAAAAATAATTTTATGTTGAAGAATCATACCACGAAATACTTCCAAGATATATCTGTGTTGCCATCCTAGTTACTATAAACCAGAGAAAAATGTTCTAATTACTCTTTTTAATGAATATGTACAAAAATACTTCATTATAAATCTAGAATATAGGAATATGTTCAATAATTGATTTTTGCAAAAAGTCTGTTATTTTTTTTTTCTCTAAAGCAGGCAGAGAACTGTGGCTTCATGATCTGAGATATCAGGCAAGGAAGTCCTCCCCTATTCTTTCTTAAGGGATAAGCTCTTTATATTCCTCTCTCCAGTCCCTCAGAGACAGCATCACATAACTCCCCTATGCTCTGTGCTCTGTTGGCTCCATCCTCGGGGACAAGTGCTATTTCACATCTTACTCTTAAATCACTTCTGAGAAACAGACATAGCTTCCACCAAAGAGGAGCCCTCCCAACAGACCTCTAATAACACCAAAGGGTTTCCATGTGTGTGCCCTTAAGCGAACATACACCAATGAAATGAATCTATAGATAATGAAGCCAGTTTTTATAAGTGACACATGAATATCAGTCGATTAGACACACTCCTGCCGAGTACTGTAACAAATCTCTTCATTTTTACCACATACATGAATAGCTGTCCCATATATTCATAAAACATAAGAATTTTTTTCTTGATGAATAAACTTCATTTTTTAGAGTAGTTTTAGGCTCACAGCAAAATTGAGTGGAAAGTAGAAGAGTTCCCATAGACTCCCTACTCCCATACACAGCTTCCCCCACTGTCAACATCCTGCACCAGAATGATACATTTGCTATAATCGATGAACCTACACTGACACATCACTATCACCCAGAGTCCACAGTTTACATTAGGGTTCGATAAAATAATTTTTTACAACTTAAATCCCCCAATAAACTTAACATTACTTCTCTGGGCCAAACATTTTTCTGCATCAGTAAAATGGGATAAGAATATTTATTTGGAGCTGGGAGTGGTGGTGCATGCCTGTAGTCTCAGCTTCTTGGGAGGCTGAGGTGGGAGGATTGCTTAAGCCCAGGAGTTTGACGCTGCAGTGAACCATGATTGCATCACTGCACTAAAGCCTGGGCAGCAGAGTGAGACCCTGTCTCAAAACAAAACAAAATAAAACAAAGACAACAAAAAGGTAATATTTGGAAGGTTTTGTGAGTATTATTGGGATACATTATGAAAAGTGCTAGCACATTATAAGTATTCAGTTACGGTTATTTATCATTAAGATCGTTATAACCTGTAGGAACTGACACTGCTACCCCAGTCCTGTCTTTGAAGGAGCAAACCCATATGGGAGTAAAAATGACTGGCTCCCCTCCCTGCCTTGATCTGTCATTTGAGTCTACCTAATTATAAAACAAACAGGGTTTTAAGTTTTGAACCTATTCCCTGTCATGGTGGGTAGAAAATCAATCACTACACCTGTATTTATAAAACAATCAGAACAGAGGAAAAGACACAATTTTGAATTCCAGCCACACATTAAAACAACCCATATTTATAAAACAATCAGAACAGAGGAAAAGACATGATTTTGAATTCCAGCCATGCATTAATTGTGTGCATTTAGGCACATCACTTAAGCCTGTTAAAATTCATTTTATCCACTGAAAGCACTTTATATACTTAAACGAACTATGCTCATTTACAGGGTTCTGTACATGATCCTGCATCCGTAAAACTGAGAAACCAACAGAATGAGGACAGAATGAAAAAAGAAAAAAACTTTCAGAATGTTCTTCCTTTCCTCAATGCCATACAGTTTGTGCAGTCAGCTGATTGGCTGAAAAGAGTCAGTTTTGACGACTGATGCTTCCTGCTTATGTTTAGTTGGTTTAGGAAGCTCATTAGGATGCTATCTCGGAGATGAGTCTGGTGAGTAGAATATCTGATGACTCTAAGGCAAATGTACTTCCTTCAGCTGGTGAATTAATTTCTCAATAGACTCAATTTGCTTTTTACTGTCTGGCAATATCCCATATTTGCAATGGCCTTTCAAACACTTGCAATAAAATGTGGCTCACACATACAACCTGTTAGCGGTGAAAGAGAAACATTCATCACATTCAAAATTCTCCAGACATGAGAGCAGCTCAATGTGCTTTAAGACAGTATACCTAATGATACATCTCTATTTTCCCCTTCCTTTTAAAATCATTTAGACAGATATATGAGAAGTAAATATGTGTTTAGAAAGTATTAGTCATCATAGATGTACCTCCAGTCATCCATTCAAATGTAAACATGGTAAAATATGCACTTATACAATTTTATACTATCAATGAGTATAGGTAGGTGAAAATTAGTGTTGCCAGAAAAAATTCAAACCAGAAAACTGAAAGTATAGAAAAATACTTTTTATTTTGTCATTGAAAAACCATTTTAAAATAATATATCGTGTAGAATAAAAAATTCCATGAATATATACATGCAAATTATACATATATGTGAATTTAATTTTGTTAAAAGGTAATTGGCATCTGCAATTTCATGCAGTCTAAGTGAAACCCATAAAGAAATGTGTATGAAATAGGAAAGCAACAAAAGCTCATAACATTTTAAAATTAGAAATCAGATTCAAAACCCATCATGATCTATTTTAAATTTATCTCTATAACATTTCAATTGAGACATAAAACACACTTTATACAACATGCCTCACTATTTTATTAACAGCATGACTTCCCTTTCCCCAATCCCCAAACCATGTTCCCATCTACACCCCACCCCACCCAAATCTCACCTCTTCCATTAGCATTATTACAAACATATTTTACAAATCTTATACCAAGCTTTTCCAGTCTCTTTTCAATGTAGAAATATCTTATATATAAACCCAAATACCACAAATCTTCACATTTATATTTTCTAAAGCAGTTAAACCTTTATAGACAATTCTACCTAAAAAGCCAAATGCGCTTGACAATATGTCATGTTATGTTAAGTTGACCAGACACAGAAGTCATTTCTGTCAGATTTCTTGTCGATGTTTGCATTAAGTTGGAGCTTTCTGATCTCAGCTCTTCTTGTGCCAGTAATTTGAAAGGTCACCTCTCTGTTGGCCTTTGGTTTATGCAATGCAGTCTGGCATTGCATAATTAAAAGTCTCGGCCGGGCACAGTGGCTCACGCCGGTAATCTCAGCACTTTCGGAGGCCGAGGCGGGCGGATCCCAAGGTCAGGAGATCCAGACCATCCTGGCTAACACGGTGAAACCCAGTCTGCACTAAAAATACAAAAAAATTAGCTGGATGTGGTGGCAGGCGCCAGTAGTTCCAGCTACTCACGAGGCAGAGGCAGGAGAATGGCGTGAACCCGGGAGGGGGAGCTTGTGGTGAGCCAAGATCGCGCCATCGCACTCCAGCCTGGGCTACAGAGTGAGACTCCGTCTCAAAAAAAAGAAAGAAAAAAAAAAGTCTTGTGAATTTGTACATAGAATATTGAAGTTAGAAGAGGCTTATCACTCTCTGGGCTCTAATACTGCCCAGAGGTTATTTGTTTCTTGTTTCCATAAGAAAATCCTATGTCTCTCCATTAGCATTCCTGATCCTTACCTCCAATTCAAAATGTGGCCAGTTCCACCTTCTAAGCCTTTATACCAAATTGACTGGGTAGGTTTATTATGAATCTGTGTTCTTGTCCAAACTCTACATTAGACCTCGCAGGAGAGTTCAAACTAAAAACTAATGAGTAAGTGCAATATTACAATTGAAACGGGAGCAAACATAATTTCAAGTAGGACACATAAAAACTGTGGGACCAAAAGAGGAAGAGTGCACGCCAAATGTTCTCAATTCTGAAATGGCTCTTGTGAAATATCTATGTGAAAACACTTCAAGGACCTGAAAAAAAAATGGTGAAAAAGCGAACAACCTTCCTTGCAAAACAACTCCAGAGTTAATGCCAGAGCTTTCTATCAAAACATCCATGTTAAGTTCGCCGGAAAGATTCAGAAGATCAATGACAGGAGTAAGGGAAAAAACAAGGACATTTTGTGAGTAGGAACGTATAATGACCCTGCAACAGGAGAACGAGAGAGGGGGAAGAAGGAAATGGAGGGTGTAAGTAAATTAATTGACTGTAACATGTTTAATGAAATAAGTAGACGTGTGATGCAAATTTCTTAATAGTCAAACATTATGCAACATATGATGCATAAGAATTGTACTATCTCAAATTTTTTTTAACGTGAGATTCTCTTGATGCCACTTTCATTTACCTACACACACACAAATGGCACAAATCACATATACATATACTGACACGAAAATATATATGTGGGAGGGAGAGAAAGAGGGAGGATAACTTTAATCATGATACACTGCCAATATAAGAACTCCCTTTTGGCCGGGCGTGATGGCTCACACCTGTAATCCCAGCACGTTGGGAGGCTGAGGAGGGCGGATCACGAGGTCAGGAGATGGAGACCATCCTGGCTAACACGGTGAAACCCCGTCTCTACTAAAAATACAAAAAAAATTAGCCGGGCGTGGTGGCGGGCGCCCGTAGTCCCAGCTACTCAGGAGGCTGAGGCAGGAGAATGGCATGGACCCCGGAGGTGGAGCTTGCGGTGAGCCGAGATCGTGCCACTGCACTCCAGCCTGGGCGACAGAGCGAGACTCCGTCCCCCTCAAAAAAGAAAAAAAAAAAAAAACTCCCTTTTTAGAAAGATCTTTTATTCAACTTACCAAAATTTTAATTGCCAATGGAACAGAAACCAGCACAAATAAGAACTTGTAACTTACCCAGGTACAAGTGAATTTCAATGACTGAAATTCAGGGGCATTCTAAGCAAGAATAGTTCAATAGTAACTAATCTCATTATTTTTCATTTTTATTAAGTAATATTTATTATTCGTAGTGTGATTTCTCATCAAGGAGTTATTTAACATGCCAAAAGCCTGCATCTCTTTAACTAGGTCTTTATGCATAGGGAATGTTTAAGTATCCACAAAAGTAATACATACTAACCAATTTTTTAGATTTTAACATATATATTTGAAGATATGTTTTCCCCAAATGTACAGTTCTTTGTGGCCTGGATTGCCTCAGGAAACTGCCTCTGCCTGTTGTGGGTATCATGGCAAGTAAGGGCACTGGTAATTTACTGCTGAGAAAATGCCTAGCCGTTTGCCTAATTATGCCATGTCATCTTCCTCACACTACAGAGCACGGTAACCTCATTTCCAAAATCAAAGACAGAACAAATCTGAACAGCTACTGTTCCTGAGGCAAACAAGTGAATAAATTCCAAAACATGCCATGGACTCACTGATGATGAATTTTAGACAATTCTTTTTTTTTTTTTTTTTGAGATGGAGTCTCGCTCTGTCGCCCAGGCTGGAATGCAGTGGCGCGATGTCGGCTCACTGCAAGCTCCGCCTCCTGGGTTCACGCCATTCTCCTGCCTCAGCCTCCCGAGTAGCTGGGACTACAGGCGCCCACCACCACTCCCGGCTAATTTTTTCGTATTTTTAGTAGAGACGGGGTTTCACAATGTTAGCCAGGATGGTCTCGATCTCCTGACACTGTGATCTGCCGCCTCGGCCTCCCAAAGTGCTGGGAGTACAGGCGTGAACCACCGCGCCCGGCCGGATTTTAGACAATTCTACATCGTCTGTTGAATCTATCGTCTGTTGAATCAGCTTTCTATTAACCACACACTATAGAAGTGAAACCAACCTGTACTACCAAGAGTGTATTAATTTTGCATGCATTTCCTAGTAAACAATGTAGACAGTATTAATTTTTATGTTGCCAAGGTAATAGTTTTGTCCCTCAACTCATATGCTAAATTTTGCCTCACCTGGCTCAGTCAGAAGGAACAGAATTGACAATATTAACTAGTCTCAGTTATCTCCACTGACAGAAAAAAAAACGTGTTATTTTCTACACTGACTGTGGGAATCAGCATTTTCTGTTATTAACTTAGATTTTTTTTCTTGCCATTTCTCTTTATGATCCCAATGTATTGATGTATTTCTAACACTACAACAAGATTTGTGTCACTCAACTGTGTGTTGTAATCATTGTCTTTTAACCATTTATATCCATGAAACTGATGTCATTGACAGATAGAAAACAGAAACAAAAAGCATAGAAGGGAGAGAGGGAGGAAGACTTTAGTCATGATACAATACCAATGTAAGGACTCCTTTTAAGAAAGATTTAAAAAAATTTCTTCATCAAAATTTCCATTGCCTCCTTGAATGAACTGTGAAGGATTGCAAATTCCTTTAAAACTTGGTTTTGGCAACGAATCTGGATTTCCTTCATTAACCAGGTATACAGAATTCATTTTCCAATGCTCTATTAAAAATAAGAGGCTGGGCACGGTGGCTCACGCCTGTAATCCCAGCACTTTGGGAGGCTGAGGCGGGTGGATCACAAGGTCAGGAGATCGAGACCATCCTGGCTAACACGGTGAAACCCCGTCTCTACTAAAAATACAAAAAATTAGCCGGGCGTGGTGGCGGGCACCTGTAGTCCCAGCTACTCAGGAGGCTGAGGCAGGAGAATGGCGTGAACCCAGGAGGCGGAGCTTGCAGTGAGCCGAGACTGCGCCACTGCACTCCAGCCTGGGCAACAGAGTGAGACTCCATCTAAAATAAAATAAAATAAAATAAAATAAAATAAAATAAATAAAAAAGGGAAGATTCCCTTAATGTTTCCCAGTCTATTAAAGGTTTCCTTCCAAAAGGAGCTCATTCTGATCCCATTTAGTACTACACCCTCGTGTATGCCAGATGGCACAGGCATCATAGCTTCACAAATGTCATTCTGATTCTCACCTTTAAAATGAAATTCCCTTAATCTACCTTTCTTTACACAAACTACAAAATTGTAGACAAAGATATGCCAAATTAAAAGCCTCTTTTGCTAAATATTCTAGAAATAATTTGAGAAAAATGGGCGCAATTTGAGACCTTAGTTGTCTTGGAAAGGGAGTAGGTGGGTATTTGACTATGATTCTGGTTGGTATTTCTCCTGTTAACTATTTAAATGTGTGACCTTAAAAGAAAATCATTCAGTCTTGTTGAGACTAATAAATGTCTCATCCAAAAAAAATGAACTTAAAATTTCTCCTATGTGTCTTATAGCTCAAAAATTTTCAATTCTGTTTCAAGCCATTCTAACATCCTGGATATTTTCCTGGATATTATAATATCCAGCTTATAATCTGGATAGGTAAAGTTTTATTTGTATTATGTTCCTTAGGTTTTGTTAAGTTTCTTGCAAGTAGGTTGATATTCTTTAATGTTTAAGTATTAAATCTGAGGTGAGCTGACCTGTTATTGTTTTGTGTACTCAATAATTTACAGTAAAATATATTTAGAATTGTTATAGTTGGTTATTAGAAATAGAGTTTCTACCTATTGTGGTTTTTAAAGTACCTGTGGTCCAGGGGCAGTGGCTCACACCTGTAATCCCAGGACTTTGGGAGGCCAAGGTGGGCGGATCACTTGAGGTCGGGAGTTCAAGACCAGCCTAGCCAACATGGCAAAACCCCGTCTCTACAAAATATACAAAAATTAGCTGGGCGTGGTGGCGCGTGCCTGTAAACCGAGCTACTTGGCAGGCTAAGGCACGAGAATTGCTTGAACCTAGGAGGCGGAAGTTGTAGTGAGCCAAGATCTTGCCTCCACACTCCAGCCTGGGTGACAGGGCAAGACTCTGTCTCAAAAAAATAAAAATAAAAGTGCCTGTGTATGCAGTGGGCAATCAACAAATAGTTGTTAAATGAATAAATTAAAACCTTGAGATTTGCTAAATGCTTAAAACCCAAAAGAAAAAAATAATATTTTTAAGAAAAATATTAAAAATCATTTTAACTATAGCCATGGATAAGTACATAAGCACACAAAAAATTAATCACTGTGTTGGTAAAAACCTTATTTCAATACCTCTTTATCCTTCATACAAGAATAAATCTCTGGAAGAGAAAAGAAAAGAAAGCCGCTCTGAGCGTACCTACCTTTCTACTCTGGAGAGAAGCTCTTTTGACACAGACTGCTCCGTTTAACAGACTCCAGCTGCTGGCACTGCCTTCTGAGTTCTTTCACTTCCGAATTCTTATCGTCCTGCAGCCCCACCACAGTCAATGACTAAGTTCCTCTGGACTTTCACATGGATCGTAATAGACAACTTCATCCTGTTTTTCTAAAAAGGTATTAATGATTGTTTAAAACATATTTTATTATTTGTAAAAATGCACTCAATTTTTTTAAATGTAAGGAAAATAAAGATCACTTGTAATGCCACCACTGAGAATCACTATTAACATATAAAAAATGTATGTGTATAAATGTAATATACATATACACGTGTATATATACATGACTATACACATGTATTAAGTAGCATGTGTGTATATACAAGTAGTATATGCATGTATATATACCTGTACAGACATACGTATATATACACACGCACATACACATACTACTTACATAGCTACACATATCAATGGAGTTCTAAAAGAACATTTTCCATGGGATGGAAATAAATCTTTAGGCCAGGTGCGGTGGCTCACGCCTGTAATCCCAGCACTTTGGGAGGCCAAGGCAGGCGGCACACCTGAGGGTCAGGAGTTCAAGACCAGCCTGGCCAACATGGCAAAACCCCGTCTCTACTAAAAATACAAAACTAGTTGGGCACAGTGGCGTGTGCCTGTAATCCCAGCTACTCAGGAGGCTGAGGCAGGAGAACAGCATGAACCTGGGAGGCAGAAGTTGCAGTGAGCCGAGATCGTGCCACTGCACTCCAGCCTGGGCAACAGAGCAAGACTCCATCTCCAAAAATAAAAAAAAATTTAAAAAGATAAATTTTAATGGCAGCATAGTATTCTCTAATTTAAGCAATACACGTTGTTAGGCTGTTCCAATGTTCCATTATTATTCATTTCACTGTGATGAACATCTCTGTATAAATCTTTGTGTACGCTTTTTATCATTTCCTTAGCAGATAAGTGTTTAAGGATCTTGATACCCATTGCCACACTGCCCTCCAGAAAGGCAACTTATATTCTACCAGCAATATATTATTAAGATGCCTTAGTGATATTTAATCTTGATTACATATTGATTTTTTAAAAGTCATGCTTACTGTAACAAATTCAAACCCTCCAGAAGTACATCAAATAAACAGTGAAATTCTATTGCTCATTCCCCAAACCTTCTGAGTCATTCTCAGAGGAAAAACATTATGAACAATTTGGCATGCATCCTTCCAGATTAACTTGTTTTTTAATGTAATTTTTTTCCTAAATATGTAAACTGCTTATAACCTGAAACTACTGAAAAAAATTCTGAATACTCAGGATTAAACTAAAAGTTCAGGATCTATGTGAAGAAATTTATTAAACTTGGAGGAACTTTAGGAAAAAAGATTTAAATAAATGGAGAGAGACATACCATGTTCTTGGGTAGGAAGATTCAAAATTGCAAAGACCACTATTCTCCCCAAAGTAATCTCTAATTTTAAGCAAAATCACAATCAAAATTCCAAAGAGTTTTTTGTTTTGAACTTGATTCTAAATTTCATCTGGAAGAATAAAGGAGTGAAAATAGTCAGAAAACTTGTGAAGTAATGTGGGGGGTACTTGCCTTACCAGACCCTAAAATGTGCCTCCAAGACAGTCGTGGGAACAGTATGGAGCCAGCAGCAGAAGCCACTCACGAACCAATGGAGGAGAACAACTCAGAAACAGACCAAAGTCAATCTAATGCTTAACTGGAGAAATGTTAAACATTTAGGGAAAATGTTTTTAAAATCAGTGATTGGGACTGCTTAACAATTTGAGGGAAAGGTTCAATTCCTACCACATTCAAAATAAATTCCACCTGGACTAAAGAATTAAATGTTTTAAAAAGTAACATCATAAACATACTGAAAGAAAACATAAGTATATATTGACATAATTTTGGGATAGGAGCCTATTGCCAGACATAATACTAAAAGCAGAAGCCATAGGGGAAAAAATCAATAAACACGACTTCATAAAAATTAAATATTTCTGAAAGGCAAGAAAACGCAAATGACAAGGAGAGATTATTTGCAACATATGACAGACAATAGAGAATATTATTCTTAATGTCGAAAGGAAATATTCCAAAGAAAAATGGACAAAGACTATGACTAGGCATTTCATAAAATAAGTACAAATGGCTTGTAAACATACAAAATTTTGTTCAATATTCATTCATAATTAAATAAATGAAAATTGGAAGACTGCCATTTTCTCTGTCAAGCAAGCAAAAATGCAAAAAAATGGCATGAGTCTGGGAAACATACACACTCATATTCTGCTGATGGGAGCGTCTTTTTTTTTTTTTTTTTTTGAGACAGAGTCTTACTCTGTCGCCCAGGCTGGAGTGCAGTGGCGCCATCTCAGCTCACTGCAATCTCGACCTCCCAGGTTCAAGCGATTCTCCTGCCTCAGCCTCCCAGGTAGCTGGGATTACAGGCACCCACCACCACGCCCAGCTAATTTTTGTATTTTTAGTAGAGACAGAGTTTCACCACGTTGGCCAAGCTGGTCTTGAACTCCTGACCTCAAGTAATCTGCTCCCCTCAGCCTCCCAAAGTGCTGAGATTACAGGCGTGAGCCACCACGCCCAGCCTGGGAGCGTCATTTTAAATGTACAACCTATCTAGAGGGCCACTACATAGTATGAAATTTAGAAATCAGAAAATAATACGGAGGTGAGGAAAAATGTATCTCAGATGATTGTTGTATTATTACGTAGCAAAATGTAAAATATACATTGTCCTTGACCCAGTAATTCCATCCTTAGATATTTATTCTAAGGAGATAATCTGTCCTATACTCAAAAAGACATGTGTAAAGGAAAGTTCACTACACTACTGTTCAAAACAGCGGAAATTTGGAAATCACGGTATATCCATATAATGGAATACTATGCAGCCATTAAAATTTTGATACTTTTATTATTTCTGAAATAGACAATTAGTATGTATTAAATGAAAAAGAGACTATTATGCATTGTATGCCTGTGTCAAAATATCTTATGTAACCCATAAATATATATATCTACTATGCACCCATAAAAATTAAAAAATTTTTAAAAAGATGTTACTGAACTGGTTATGTAGTTTTGGTTAAAAACTTATATTTTTATATATCAGCATATTTTAAAATCTACAAAGTTATACAGCAAATTGTTACCACTAAGTATCTCTTTTTTTTTTTTTCTTTTTTAGACGGAGTCTCGCTCTGTCTTCCAGGCTGGAGTGCAGTGGCACGATCTTGGCTCACTGAAACTTCCACCTCACGGGTTCAAGCCATTCTCCTGCCTCAGCCTCCCAAGTAGCTGGGATTACAGGCACGTGCCACCACATCGGACTTTGTATTTTTAGTAGAGACAGGGTTTAGTATTTTTGTATTTTTAGTAGAGATGGGGTTTCACCATGTTGGTCAGACTGGTCTGGAACTCCTGACCTCAAGTGATCCGCCCGCCTCAGCCTCCCAAAGTGCTGGGATTATAGGCGTGAGCCACTGTGCCCAGCCAAACACTAAGCATCTCTAGATGATGGGATTGGAGTAATAATCATTTTTCTTTCTTTGTTTTGCTATGTGCTAACAATGAATATATTATTTGAATAATAAACTACTGAAGGAAAACTTTAGGAAATTTTCAGATGTTACAGTTTACAAAAAGTAATTGATAATATGGTCTGTATTTCCTTAAATTTATAAACATTGTAATCTATATACTTAAATATAAACTTTACCTTTTATAAGTCTTTTAAGAGAGTCCAACTGTGTAGTAAGCAGTATTTCTTCGTTTTTTAATATCTCAAATTTAACTTCATATAGTTCTAACTGAATTTCATAAAATTGCATTTCTAATTCATCTACAACATTTATATTTTTTTCTTGTTCTGGAAGATCTTCCATCTTATTTTCATAGAAAAAAGAAAAATAAGTTAAAATAAATAGTATATTAAAAACAAACTTCAGAAGCATTCTAGCTATTTTCTATTCCTTGTTCAATACTAAATATAAAAAAGCAAATAGGAAAGAAACACTTTTTCATTTCATCTAGTGATGCTAATATTTTATCTCATCCTTGAAACAGAAAAACATTTAGGTTTTGAGAAACATAAATGGCAATGAGGTATTATTATGTATTGCATATTGGTGTCCCCACAAAATTCATATGTTGACACTCTAACTCCCAATGTGATGTTATTTGGAGGTGGGTCCTTTGGAAGTAATTAGGTTCAGATTATGTCAAAAGGATAGCACCCCCATCATGGGATTAGTGCCATTAGAAGAGAAAGACAGGGATCACTTTCTTTCTCTCTAAACTTACACACAGAAGAAAGGCTATATGAGCACTCAGTTAAGAAGGCAGCTGTCTACCAGACAGGAAGAGGATCCTCACCGGACAGTGAATCTGCAGGCATCTTGGACTTCCCAGCCTCCAGAACTGTGAGAAATACATGTCCGTTGTTGAAGCCACCCAATCTGTGATATTTAATCTTGTTATAGCAGCCTTAGCCAACTAAGACAGGTGGTTACAGTGTTTTCTGCTTTAAGGTCATAAGATTATAGGAAAAAACTTAAGTGTCTATGATCCTTCAGTGAAGTATCTCTTTGATTATTTTAAAGCTGTACTGAAAACATTGCTGGATTGATATTCAAGTACAGTACCCACTTCAATACTGGGCTCGGTGTTACTATAAAGTAAATCCTATGATATGGTATTTTGAAACATCTTAACTAAAGGAAAACTTTATGTCTAACCTTCCATAGAAGATAGTGTTAGAATAAGTGAAGAAAAGAAGCTCTTTAACGATGCCTGGAAAGAAAAGTGCTATCTAAAAATAAAAGTGTGCTTTACCACATGGTCTCACTTATAAGTGGGAGCTAAGTAGTGTGTATACACACACAGTGTGGAATAATAGACACTGGAGACTCAGAAGAGTAAGAGGGTGGGAGAGAGGATGAGAAATATTTAGTGGGTACAATTACATTATACAGGTGAAGATTACACTAAAAGCCCAAACTTCACCACTACACAATATATCCATGGAACAAAACAGTACTTGTATCCCTTATTTACACAAACTTTTTAAAAAATAAAAGTGGGGCCAGGCATGGTGGCTCACACCTGTAATCCCAGCACTTTGGGAGGCCGAGGCGGGCGGATCACGAGGTCAGGAGATCGAGACCAGCCTGGCTAACACAGTGTATCCCCGTCTCTACTAAAAATACAAAAAATTAGCTGGGCGTGGTGGTGGGCGCCTGTAGTCCCAGCTATTCGGGAGGCTGAGGCAGGAGAATGGCGTGAACCCGGGAGGTGGAGCTTGCAGTGAGCCGAGACTGCACCACTGCGGTACAGCCTGGGCAAAAGAGCGAGACTCCGTCTCAAAAAAAATAAAAAAATAAATAAAATAAAAGTGTAGTTTTAAAACAAAGTTACGTTTATCTTTGTCTTACCTTTCCCTGAATTTCAGCTCTTTTGCGATTTAAATACAATTCTTTCGCTCTCATGAGTTGCAGAGTCTCTTGAGCTAGCATTAGCTTAAGTTTTTCCAACCTGGGAATTGCTGTGGCCCAGGCAGCCTGGCCAAATCTCTTCACATCGTGTTCCATTTCTTTTTGCATTCCTGTTGGATTATAAAAATAAAATATAATTACACCTCATTAAAAAGGGAAACATTGATCATGAGCTAATTCTTTTTTTATTGCTTCCATACTACCTGCAGAACATCTTTTTTAAAAGAAATTTTGTTTTATTAACTTTTTTATTATTATAAAAATAATACATGGTCATTAATATACAATTTTAGGTATTCAATTTTTAAAAGGACAATAATAAGTCATGATCTCACCTAGTTGAGGCAACTGCTTCTTATATTTTGGCACACTTGCTTCCATATTGTTTCTATGTCTAGCTAGACAGACAGGCTCATATGGATAGTTTGACCAAAAAACCAGGATTATCATTCTGCTTTATATCTTGTTGATTCTGCACAATATATCAGACACTCTTGCCATTTATAAAAAAAATCAAGAATCATGCTTAATAGCTATGTAGTTTTCTCTTTTATGAATGTACCATAACTTAACAAACTGACAGACATTAAGTTGTTTCCTATTTGGTGTTTTTATTAACAATTATTTAAGACTGAAAAAAAGTCCTTCACCCAGCCCGCAAGCCCCTGCACGGTCTGATCCCTGCCTGTCTTGCCAGCATTCTCCCTCGTGCCACACTGTCCTGCACTCTGTGTGATCCAGCCCTGCAGGTTTTCTGTAAGCTCCTATTTGCCAACTTCCCTCAAGCCAGGGGACCTTTACCAGTGCTATTCCTTCTGCCCGGAACACTCCTCACTTTTTCTATTCTCTCAACTTCCGTTTACCCTTCAGCTACTGGGGCAAGCACCACTTCTCAGAGGCCTTCAGCGACCACCCTGATCAAGCCCAATTTCTCTCTCACAGACCCTCAGAGCCCGATGTCTCTCTTCTTTGTGCCATTTATTGTCACTGCCATTTTCCATGTGCTTCAGTGAATAGATAATTAAGATTTCTCTCCCTTCACCAGACTGTACAATGTCTCTTAATGCTTGACACTGAATTCTTGCCACCCAGAAAACACAGTGCCTAGTGCGTAAGAGGGACTCAAATGGTATATGAATAAAATGACAATCAATTACACGTATCTGCGTAAAGCATTTTTTAGATTATCACCTGCTAATGCTTTTACTGTCTAATTAAAATAATTCACTGTGATATCTTGAATAGAGACAACAGCTTCTTCAGCCCGTCTGGTCCATTCTTCAGCTTCTTTCTCCAGGGCAACTATCCTGGAGACGTAGGACCTACGTCATCCTCATCCAAGGAATTCTACAGACAGAAGAGAAAATTATCTTACTAAGAGCTAATAGTTATGTTGACCCATTAGGAAATTGAAAGGAAATTGGTCACATGGATTAATTTAACTACAGTACTACTCAGTCAGTTAAATTTTCATTCATTCAGCAGTCCCTTACTGCATATGAATAAGGCTCTAAGCTGAGCACCACCTGGAAGACAAAAGGACACTCTGGGGCATAAAGGGGAAAAAAAAACCTACTTTCACTTCACATGCCTAGAATAACTTTTTCTAGAGAGGAATGTTGTCAACTTATGCTTCTCTCTATTAATAATAATACACAATTGTTTAAATGAGTGATCTGTGTTGTCAAGCACTCAGCATAGGGCCTGGAACACAGCACTTAAGTGTTAGCTGTTGTTATCGTTTCTTTTAGGGATATGTAATATAATCACCTAAAAGACAGTATCTGTATATTCATGCTTATAACATGCACTGGTATTGGACTGAATGTTTGGGTCCCCCCAAAATGCATATGTTGAAGCCTAAATCCCCAGTGTGATGGTATTTGAAGATGGGGCCTTTGGGAGGTAATTAGGTCATGAGGGTGCAGCCCTCAAGAATGGGATTAATGCCCTTATAAAAAGAAGAGGAGACACAGGATCTCTCTCTCTGCTCTTCACCATGTGAAGACACAGCAAGACAGTCATCTACAAATTAAGAAACTGGCCCTCACAAGACACTGGATCTGCCAGCACCTTGATCTTAGACTACCCAGCCTCCAGAACTGTGAGAAAAAAAGTTTTGTTGTTTATAAGCCACTAATCTACGGTACTTTGTTATAACAGCCTGAACTAAGACATGTACAGCTATGTCATCCAATATGCAATTTTTCTTCTACAAAGCATAAGAAATATGTACAAGTTAGCCGACAAGGAATTACAAATCAAAACCATAACGAGATACCACTTCACACCCACTAGGATGGCTGTAACCAAAGAGACACACAATTACAAGTGTTGGTGATAATGTGGACAAATTGGAACCCTCATTTACTGCTTTTGGGAATATAAATGAGGCACCCACTTTGGAAAACCATCTGGCGTCTTTCAAAAGGTTAAACATTGAGTAATCACAGGACCCAGCAATCCTACTCCTCAGTACGTACACAAGAGCAATGAAAAGATATGTCTACACAGAAACTCACACACAAACATTCATAGCAGAATTATTCATGATAGCCAAAAAGTGGAAACAACCCAAATGTCCATCAACTGATGAATAAAATGCAATATATCCATACAATGAATATTACTGAGCAATAAAAAGAAATGAAATCCTGGTATTTGCTACAACATGGATTAGTCTTGCAAACACTGTGCTGAGTGAAAGGACCACATATTCAATAATGCTGTTGCTATGTCCAGAGTAGGGAAATCCACAGAGACAGAAAGTAGATTGGTGGTTGCCCAGGGTTGGGAGTGACTAATGGGTACAGGGTTTCTTTTGGAGGTGAAAATGTCCTGAAATTACATAGTAATGACCATTGTGCAACTTTCAATATACTAAAAATCACTGAATTGTACATCTTTTATATATACATATATACACATACATATACATACACATACACATACATATACACATATATACACATATACACACATATATACACATATATATACATACATATATTCATAAATATATACATATATATATATACACATATATATATATATATATATATATATATATATATATATAATCTGTGAATGGTATCTTAAAACAGCTGTTACTTAAAGAAAGGAAAAATATAGACCGGGTGCGGTGGCTCATGCCTGTAATCCCAGCACTTTCGGAGCCTGAGGTGGGCAGATCACCTGAGGTCAGGAGTTCAAGACCAGCCTGACCAACGTGAAGAAACCCCATCTCTACTAAAAAAATACAAAATTAGCCAGGCCGGGCATGGTGGCACATGCCTGTAATCCCAGCTACTCGGAAGGCTGAGGCAGGAGAATCGCTTGAATCCAGGAGGTGGAGGTTGCAGTGAGCTGAGATCACGCCATTGCACTCCAGCCTGGGCAACAAGAGCGAAACTCCATCTCAAAAAAAAAAAAAAAAAGAAGAAGAAAGCAAAATATATGCAAGAAGTAGACTCTCCAAATAATAGACTTTCAAAATAATGAACAGAACAACTTTATCCACAGGTTAGAGTGGCATGAGTTTCATCTAAATGTGATACTATTTTTATAGTACAATCATCTGGCAGGGGGCATGAGATTATATGTGGAAAGATGGCCCAGTGCAGGGGGCAGAAATCAAGAGATCTCTTAGGTGTCTTCTGATTCCCGTTGTTGAGACCCAAGGTAAGATATTTAACAACTCTGGACTCCAGATTCATTTGTAACACTGGAATAAGAATGCCTTTTCTGAATGGGGTCACACGGTTGTTTGATGGCTCAATGAAACAAGAGCGATAACAGCATTTACTAAAATTTAAGTTACTGAATTACAATCTAGGGTCCTGCTATTTAAATTTTCATCCTATTTTAAGAAATTTGGATGAGTCCTTAGAGGAAAACAAACTGAAGCAAATAAATATCACATCAAAAACAATTCATCAGGCTGGGCGCAGTGGCTCACGCTTGTAATCCCAGCACTTTGGGAGGCTGAGACGCGTGGCTCACTTGAGGTCAGGAGTTTGAGACCAGCCTGGCCAACATGGTGAAACCCCGTCTCTACTAAAAATACAAAAAAAGTTAGCTGGGCATGGTAGTGCACACCTGTAATCCCAGCTACTCAGGAGGCTGAGGCAGAAGAGTCACTTGAACCTGGAGGAGGTTGCAGTGAGTCAAGATTGTGCCACTGCACTCTAGCCTGGCTGACAAAGAGAGACCCTATCTCAAAAAAAAAAAAAAAAAAAAAAAAAGGCATCGATACAAAAAAACTCTTAACTCTTTAAAATCTGCAGGAATCTTAAGCTAGTAAGATGACCAACATAAATGTCTTCATTTTCTATCAATTTTAAATATAAATTCAATATTTAAACATGAGGGTGAACTAGGCATAGTGGCTGACGCCTGTAATGCTACGCTTTGGGAGGCCGAGGTGGGCAGACTGCTTGAGCTCAGGAGTTAGAAACCAGCTTGAGCAACATGGCAAAACCTCATCTCTATCAATAAATAAGTAAAGAAACATAAAAGTAAACCCAAACAAAGTGCAGAGATTGAACATTAAGTGTAAATAAAGAAATAATATATGACAAATAGTAAATGTGATAAAATAAAAATTAAAAAAAATACCAAAATATCAAGCTTACATAAAGTTGCAACTTCTCGCATAGCCCTAAATGGCTGCAGTAAGTACTGGAAAAACATGGTTGCCATGGTAACTAATTCCTGGTAGGCTTCATCTTCCTCTTGGTAAACTTTCATTAATGCTACCATGGTGTTGGCTTTTCCATGTCCTTGGATAACCTAGAGAGCAAATGTGAATAAAGCTCAAGTCAGACAGTGTAATACATACCCAACAAACAAAACTAAACAAAAGAAACCTTCATGTTCTCAACTTTCAATACATCAATTTAAAATATTGATTAAATATGAAAATGTCATCATCCTCCATCAAAAATGCCCAATAAAACAAGAATTGTTAAGTAAATTATGATATATCCATGGCAGAATATTATTACTGTAGTCATTCAGCACTGTGCTTCTGAAGATTGTTTAATAATATGGAGACTTTTGGCCAGGCACCGTGGCTCACGCCTGTAATTCCAGCACTTTGGGAGGCCGAGGCGGGTGGATCACTTGAGGTCAGGACTTCGACACCAGCCTGACCAACATGGAGAAACCCTGTCTGTACTAAAAATACAAAATTTGTTGGGCGTGGTGGCGCATGCCTGTAATCCCAGCTACTGGGGAGGCTGAGGCAGGAGAATAGCTTGAACCCGGGAGGCGGAGGTTGCGGTGAGCCGAGACAGTGCCATTGCATTCCAGCCTGGGCAACAAGAACGAAACTCTGTTTCAAAAAAAAAAAAAAGGAGACTTTTATAATTAAATGGAGAGGCAGAGTACAAAATTTAATCTCAACTATGCACTAAGTATGCAGCGAAAAGGACCCAAAAGAAGGTTTGAGGTGTGGATATTTTTTCATTTGACTTTTCTGACTGTGAAGGTTTTGTGAGGCTGTATTCCTTTTTAAAAGCTCCTAAGGGCCAGGCATGGTGGCTCACACCTGTAACCCCAGCACTTTGGGAGGCCACGGCAGGCAGATCACGAGGTCAGGAGATTGAGACCATCCTGGCTAACACGGTGAAACCCTGTGTATACTAACAATACAAAAAATTTGCTGGGCGTGGTGGAGGGCACCTGCAGTCCCAGCTACTGGGGAGGCTGAGGCAGGAAAATGGGGTGAACCTGAGGGGCAGAGCTTGCAGTGAGCCGAGATGGCGCCACTGCACTCCAGCCTGGGCGACAGTGCAAGACTCTGTCTCAAAAAAAAAAAAACAAAAAACCTCATAAAACATTACAGAGCTGTCTCCAAGTACTTTAGCATGTTGATTCTCTTAATGCCCCAGGTTAATATCCCCATGAAGTCCTTAGCAGTCAACTCATTTACAGAGCCTCAGCTGTGGTTCCAGTCTCTGCTGGTTATTGCTTGTGCTGCAGGGCAGAAAACAAACTGAACAGTGTATAATCTAGGTGGACTGATTTGGTTGGAAATTATTTTACTCCCACAAGAAGAGAAATAAAAATAAAATAATATAGATGTTTTTCAACCAATACATTCTTAAAATTCTTCTATTTCCATCCTTCTGCTTAAAGATAAAGTGATCTACTTTCAGCTGTATTTTTTATCCAGGTAATAATATTATGGTTTTTTTTTTAAGTGAAAGCCCCACTGAACAAAATTAAAACACACACGCAAAAGTAAACTTAAGGCAAGTGATACACTTCAGCCTTATTTCTTAGACTATTCAGAAAAATTCCAGAGTTAAAACATTCAGCTTCATTTTATATATGCTAGCAATGCTAGCAATTAGTCTAATTCTAGAATCAATTGCTTTTCTATTTTAAATATAAAGTAAAATATTAAAATTATATATTTGGACATGTTTTGAATTTTAGCTTCCCCTCTCAACCCCTCATTTTTGAGTTCCAGATAAATATGTGAACTACACTAACATGAACAACTAGCTCAACAGAATGAACTACATTCACGCTATAGTACCCCAGAGTGAACTTAAATTTGGGAAAACTAACTTTTCTGATAGTAACTACAGTAAAATGCATCATATAAATGTTCGATTTTAAGGAGAAACCACCTATCTCTGTGAGAAACCAAGAGTGTAAAAAACAAGTCTGATACAAAATGATACCATTTTTGAAACTCCGGTGGGCTCGTCATATCCTAAGGTGAAAGTTATAAAGTTGAAGATCAAAAGCTGACTGGCCTGAAACTCCCCTGTGGTTTCCTCATAGTCTAAAGTGAAATCAACACATGTTAAGTGGGTGTGTAGACATTTACACATAAAGCTCACAGTACAAAAATGACCCCACTAACAAGCTCCTTTTATAAAACCATTTTAATTTAGAAAGCTTATTCTATATTTAGCTTAGGCTGAATTCTTCTTTTCACCTCCCCTTCCTCAAAAGAATGCACAGAAAAAAATCATTCAGGTTAATAAGAGCAGTGAGCTGAGACTCCAGCCTGGCTCTGCTTAGTAAACCGTGGGTGTGGATTTAGAAGGCATACTTTCTCCTAAACCCTTCTATGAACATGTACTTCCCCGTCCCCTAAGTTCAGTAAGTTTACCACTCAATTACTCTCTCAAACTACCTCTTTCAAGCTTAAAAGAGCACTAATGCGGTTAAACTGATGAATAAAGCTCACTTTCTACCGGCTTTCCATTTGACCAAGTCTGTATTACTTAAAACAAAACACCCTAACTCCTAAAAGCCATTTCTTCCTTTAAACCATTTTATCCCACTTGCGACGTCCCCGCAGACACAGACTTGGAATTGCTTACGTGTAGTCCGTGTTATTCTTTCCTACATGGATGGGTTGTTTTCAGTTTGCTTGCAGTATTTCTGACATTTCCCGTTACAACATCCTGCTCTGCCAGCATCTTCAGGGCAAAGGTTGGGGGCCTAGCCCAGCTCCCAGCGGCAAGTACACTAGGCTCTTAACTTCGCTTGTCCTCTCTGCAGGCCCTGCCGAAGCTCCCCCTGGTTTCCCGCAGCGATCCCGCGCAGGTGAGGGTACTGGGGAGCCCGTGGCCTTCTCCGCCCGCCGGCTCCTCCCCATCAGCCGTCAGCCAGGGCTCTCGGCGCCGGGGAAGCCTCCCACAGGGTCCCAGGCCACCCAAGCGCGGTCAAACGCCGGCGGCCCGGCCTCGCTTACCTGACGCAGCCGCGCGTCCGCCTCGACCCATCAGGCGCGCAGGGCCCGCTCTCGAAACTCGCGCGGGCTCTCGCAGTCAGCCGCGCGGCCTTTAGCCGCGAAAACAGCGTGGCGCACGGTGGCGCCGCCGCAGCCGTGGGCCGCCGCGCCCAGGTAGCGCTCCAGCTGCCCGCAAAGCTCCTGCAGCGCCACCTCGCCGGGGCCCGCGCGCGCCTGCCAGAGCAGCGCCCACAGCCCGAGCCCCAGACTCCAGGCCCCGCCGCCGCCCACGTCCAGCTGCGGGGAGCAGCGTTCCAGAGGCGGCCACAGCGCCGCTAGCTGCCAGCGCGCGCCGCGGAACCCCGCGGCCGAGAACCGGCCGGCCCAGTTGGGCGGGAACACGGCAGCTGGGCGGGGACACGGCAGCTGGGCGGGGACACGGCAGCTGGGCGGGGACACGGCAGCTGGGCGGGGACACAGCGGCCTTGGGTTTGGGCTCCAGCCCCAGCCGGGCCCCCTCGCGCCGCTGCGGCTGCTGCGCGGTGAGGTCGTGACAAGTCACAGCTAACTTGCCCTCCGCGCCATTCCACGCCACCAGGAAGCGCAGCCGGTGCCTCTCGGCATCGGCGAAGAGGCCTTGCCGGACCGGCGCCCAGCCCTCCAGGCTGTCGAGCTGCTCGTCCTCCATGGCCGTCGGCGGCAGCGGCCCTAGGACTCGGCGGGCGCGGGCCTGACCTCGTCGCACTGCCTGTCAGGGGACAGTCCCAGGTGAAGCATTTTTCGCTCCACTATTGGTATTTTAACAACATGAATGAAAAAAAAAAAAAAAAACTCAGCTGTTTTGATAGAAGTAACAAACGTGCCTAGGAATCATCTTCCTTGAAGGGAGAGGAGGGTCTTGTTGAACTCGAAAAAACTAAATAAGCAAAGTTGATACATAAGGACACCCTTCTCTTTACCCTTACCTATTCTTCTCTTAAAACTTTAATTCATTTCTGACAGTCACCAACTGAAAAACGGTCCGACTAAAAAAAAAAAAAAAACTGATCATAAAGGGGGGAGAAGTTGTGACGTGTTCTATCCTAATCCAAGATATCTAAACCAATTTTGCTGATAGAGAAAATATATTCGGTGAATGATGTAAGTACATTAATATAGGTAACAACTCTTTGAAAGTAAAGTTTGCACATAATATGAAATACAAAGAGAATTACTGTAGTCTCGAAGGAGAGAACCCTTGATGGGGAGTGGTAGTCAAAAAGGTGTATGAGCAAGTCATCTGTTGCAAGGTGATGGGAGGAGATTTTTATGCAGGCATTCAATATCAGAGTCAGAGGTTTTAATGATTTTTGTTTTTTATCTTGAGAGTTGGAGACTAGAAGATCTAAAATAGGAAATTTCTGGCATATCCATAGATAGAATGGAAACTCTTGGCCAAAAATAACGTGCTCCAAGTCATGAAAAATAGCACACATGCACAATTAACTACAGAGTTACACAAGATGGTGTCTTTTCATTCGATTTTATTTGAACTCTTATTCTTCTCTTTTATGCTCTGTATCCTTGTTAACTCTTCCATTTTTTCCTCATCCTATGAGGTACTTTAAACATTTTATTCAATAACTCTTAAGGCAATTTTTACAATTCTATTCATATATAAAACTGTCATAAGCATGTTTTGTGAGTGAAAAATTCTAATTTGTAATGCATATCAAGTGAAAAGCCTCAGTTCAGCACTCGTCATATCCAAAATCTGTGTTATATGATAATGTAAAAGAAATATTTTCACACATGTAGCTCAAATGAGATTCTTAGTTACATGTTTCTTTTTTTTCTTTTCTTTTCTTTTCTTTTTTTTTTTTTTGAGACGTAGTCTCGCTCTGTTGCCTAGGCTGGAGTGCAGTGGCGCAATCTCGGCTTACTGCAAGCTCTGCCTCCCGGGTTCATGCCATTCTCCTGCCTCAGCCTCCCAAGTAGCTGGGATTACAGGTGCCCGCCACCACGCCCGGCTAATTTTTTGTATTTTTAGTAGAGACGGGGTTTCACAGTGTTAGCCAGGATGGTCTCTATCTCCTGACCTCGTGATCCGCTCGTCTGGGCCTCCCAAAGTGCCAGGATTACAGGCGTGAGCCACCACGCCCGGCCTACATTTTTCAAAATTTAACTCAATCTTTTATGTTTAAAAATGTGCATATACTGCCTGTTCAAGTACTTAATCTTTGTATTTATTATTTGAAATTGGAAGTCCATCTTTTTAGATTGTTAGGAGGTCTTCACATATTTGAATGAGTTATTAAGTTGATACAACTATTTTGGAAAAATAATTATCATTATCTACTAAATTTAAACACATAATTTATGACCAGCAGTTTCAACAGAGACACCTGGATGTTCATCAGGATAGAATGGATTGGAAAGCTCCATATTCATTCAACAGGGTGCTACACAAAACAAAAAGGAATGAAACACTGGTCCATAACATAAATAGATTTCACAAATGCAATTTTGAGTGAAATAAGCCAGAAAAAAATAAATACCGTATGCTTCCATTTATATGAAGACAAAGATAGGCAATATTAATCTATGGTAACATGTGAGACTGACTGACTTTTCTCAGCATCAGCTAAGAGCCTGAAAAATATTTTTCTGGGGTGCTAAAAAAGTGCCAGATCTTAAAATATTTGTACAAAAGATAATATTTGTTTTTTTATATAAATAGGTACAAAATACAAATATGGGCAAAAATGTATTTATAAATATGTTAAACAAGATTATTTATAGTTTATACTTCAATATAATTTTTTTCACTTTTGTTGACATTAGTAAACCATCACACTTAATAAACAGCCATTTGGAATGGTTCTTGATTTAGGTATTTCCTTGATCAAGTACCAAGTAGGAACATACCTTGATTCTAAAATATAAAGAATATGATTCCATGAAAGTTTCCATGAAAACTATCTTGCATTCTAAAATATTTTTAAAAGTACTTATTTTCAAAGTTCATTTTCCTATTTTAAACAAAAGTTGAACTAAATTACATATAATCTAGTCCCCAAAGTATTCAGTAAATATCAAATGAAGGTGTGAAAGTTAAAGATTTCAATTTTTTACTAGTTAATTTGCAGTGCTCTATTATTTTGCTTAATAAGCAATTTTATGCTAGAAATAAGCAGATTTCTCTATTCACATTATCTTTACCAAGAGCACTTAAATAAATACCATTGATTACTTGCAAAATGCAGATTGTAGATTCAGAGCTCAAAACTAAAGCTCTGAGGATGTAATTCAATTAAAACAACCCATAGTTGTGAATTCACCTCACCAGTGTCCCTAAGACAAGAAGCTCTTTCTCACATCAAAGTGAATTATTTTAATTCACTTTGGATGTTAGGAATATCCTAACTCCTTTGTAATTAAAAACAAAAACAAAACTTCTGATGCTTCTTTATACCTTAACAATTATGAGGTCTATAACAATATGAACACAGAAGTTTGGGTCAGTTCAATGACTGAACTAAAACATTGTTTCCCAACATGTCCATGTTTTACAAGATGATGGGGTTGTTATCTGTGATGCCATTGCAAAGATCTTGATGGTTCCAAAACACTCTAAGCATCACATAAGCCATGTTATACCTGTCGCCCCAAATTTACCAAACCATTTGGATTAAAACTCTCAGTAAGGACCTCTGAGGCACAAAGATCTATGAATAACTCCTTAACCCCTTTGCTCTTACTCTTCAGGTACAATTTCAAATTTTCACTTTTCCCTTTCTGCACTGACCTTGGGAAAGTCACTTTATCTCTGTGATCTAATTTTCCACATCAATAATGTATCTATACTTGGCATAGAGAGTTATGAGAATAAAATAATAACATATATGGGAGATTTCTGTGAATACCAATTGTACAGGTGGATTTTTAAATAATAGATTTAGGGCCAGGCGCAGTAGCTCACAGAAGTAATACCATCACTTTAGGAGGCCGAAGCGGGTGGATCACCTGAGGTCAGGAGTTCAGACCAGCCTGACCAACAAGGTGAAATACTGTCTCTACTAAAAATACGAAAATGAGCCAGGTGTGGTGGCGGGCACCTGTAGTCCCAGCTACTCAGGTGGGTGAGACAGGAGAATTGCTTGAACCCACAAGGCGGAGGGTGCAGTAAGCCGAGATCGCGCCACTGCACTCCAGCCTCGGTGATGAAGCGAGACACCATGTAAAAAACAAACAAACAAACAAATAAAATATATTTAGGAAAATTATTAATAAGAAAAAAATTGAAAGCATTAAGAACTCTATTATGGACTGAACAAAAAAAGGAGAATTGGTACCATACCTTGGTAAGTTTATTTTGATAAGCACAATTTCTATTAGTTCCTCAGTGTTTCTTCTTGCTCCCTGAATGTATGTTCCTTGCCTCTATCTTATCCCATTTTTTCTATTGTTAATGCATAGAGAGTTGTCACAAGTTCTATTCTCAATGCCTATTGCATCAGGCAATAGAAGATGACTCTGGTTCCCAACTCAGAAAAACCTCATTTTTAAGAAATGTTTGAGCTTTGACTTTGATCTCATTCAGAATATTCTGGTTCAAAAGTTTTTTGTTTTTTTTGTTTTTTTTGAGACGGAGTCTCGCTTTGTCGCCCAGGTTGGAGTGCAATGGCGCGATCTCGGCTCACTGCAAGCTCCGCCTCCCGGGTTCACGCCATTCTCCTGCATCAGCCTCCCTAGTAGCTGGGACTACAGGCCCCTGCCACCACGCCTGGCTAATTTTTTTTTTTTTGTATTTTTAGTAGAGACGGGGTTTCACCGTGTTAGCTAGGATGGTCTCAATCTCCTGATCTCGTGATCCGCCCGTCTCGGCCTCCCACAGTGCTGGGATTACAGGCGTGAGCCACCACGCCCGGCACAAAAGTCTTATGTTTGTGTAAATAAGAAAAGCACCTTTGAAAACTACACCTACAAATGGGAATATGGAATAAAAAGGACAAGCCAAAGGTTATGGAACAAAATAAAACATGAAGAAAGAGAAATAGAAACACAATATTACTATATACAATATAGTAATGTATTTTAAAATATGAAAAACGCTAGCAAAACAGCAATATGTGAACAAAAGAATTGGAGTAAAATAATAGAATTTGAAACAGCACAATCTGCTGAAAATACACAAAAGACAAACTAGGATATTTCTGAGCTCACTGTTTATAATATTAGAACATGTATATAAAAAGGAAAAGTGACTTTAAAATGTCTGGGGGCCAAGCAATATATAGCTTGTTACATTTTATTTACAAACAGTTTCTTTGACTAGGGAATCAATTTAAATTTTCTGTTTTGGAAATAATATAAATATATCTTTATTTTAGACTTTTTGCTGAAAAGTTTCTTAAATATTTACAACTTTAGGATAATCAGTGTACATTTCAATATATAATGTCCTAAAAATCAAACAGCTACCAAACACTGAATTGAAGTTCTGACTTATATAAATCATTTGCATAAAAACTGATCATTAAAAACAGTATCTAATGAACATTTTGGCCCCAATATTAATTAAAACTGAAATGATAGCATTACAAGCTAAAGATTAATTTCAATGACATGTCGTTCAACCATTTTGACATAATCGACTTATAATAAGCTAAAATTGACTATTTTTATGACATATTTGACCTAAATGAAGAGAAAAAAGCTTTGACTAATTCTTAATTACTCTTTCTGACCAATTGATGGCCAATAACTGAATTTAATTTCAAACCATTTTCTGTTATTTTAATCTTTTAAACATGTTTTACTTTCAGTGATTCATTTTCTAACATTCATAGCCAAAGCCCAGGCTCTGCCCATCTTTGTCTACCTTAATGACTTTGTCAATTGTTGGTATACACTGGGCCTTAAAAACTTGTGTTTCTTCCGAATTAATTAATGAAGTAGAATTGCTCTTATAGGGTTTCATATACCATTACCTCCAAAAGAGTACATTAGAAGTATTAGAAAATACTGATATTTATAAACAGATATTTATCTTATGATACAAAGAGCTAGAGCTGTTTTATTTTCTGTAAAACTAAGAATAACTTCTTGATAACATAGCTTCACAAAAAGAAAACCCAACACATTTGCATAAATAATTCTCTGAAATAACTATGTGTTTGTAACTTTTTATATACATGAGGATATACATATACTTATACATCTATACATATATATGTAACATAAAGGATATTAACATTAGGACTGTTTAATGTCTATTTGTCTTGGAAAGAAAAATATACTTAAAAATATTTCTCAATTGGGATTTGTAATCGTACCGACTTAATTGATAAACTTGGCGACTGCTTTTATGCTCTGTCTCCTTCCATAAATTTTTAAAAATACTAATTCAACAAAGAAAAAGCTCTAATGTTCATTGGAAATAATTTATAGACTTTTTTAGAGCAGAGAAAAATTAAGAAAAACTTTGAAATGGTCTCAAAAAATTACTATTTTCAGTGGAAAACTAAATGTTAGTTTAACTGATTGTATGGGGTTTCTGAACCTTTCACTTTTTGTTTGTTTTACCTATTTCACAACTGTGTAAATTGCAAATAATTCCTGTCCATGAAAATACAAATTATCCAGTGTAGATATATTTGACTGTCACCCTATAGATATTGGCTAATTTTGCCTTTATTAAGCAAATTCATTTCAGCATGAATGTCTGCCTGTATATTCTCTGCTCTTTGTATTCTCCTTTGAACCAGTCAGAACATCCTGTGGTACTCTTATTTATTAATCAGTTAAATAAAATCATGAACATATATTCATTTTACATTTGTATGAGAACCATTAATTTTCTTTTCTTTAAAAAAATTAATTATCCTTTGACATTGGGTTGACATTTTCTTAAGACTTGCCATAAACAGAGGATATCAAGTTTCTCAAGGTCAGTTCTAGAGGAAAAAAAAATTCTTTATAAAAATTTAGCCTCATGTGTAACAGTTTCCATTCCCATAGCAATGACATTTGATATACATTGTATATATTAATCTGGGAATGATGTAAGATTCCAAGTATAATTTTATCAGTGAACTCAACTACTTGATTACTTTCACTTATTTAAATATCTAGTTCAATGTTGTCCAGTGGCATTGTGGATTTAGGTAATTTTACCAGGCAGCCGTTCAATTTCTGCACTTTCTGTTTGCCCATGCAGAACACAACACATTTTATAAGTCAAAGTATAGGCATCTGGTGGCATAATTTTAATTTGTTATCAAATAAAAGCCTCATCAAATTAGTCTAGAAAATAACTCATTGTTTACTTTATTTTAGGACTGTATCACTATGTAATGAGATACAAATACATGTAAGCGTTAAGTGCCTAAGAGGCATCCAGAGAGCCTAAGATGTATGCAGTATGCCTAAGAGGAATGCAGAGAGCCTAAGATGTATGCAGTATGCCTAAGAGGAATGCAGAGAGCTTCATTTTCATTGTCAGCTGCTCAGTTGTTTCTCAGGAAATAAATGTGGCCAACTGACACCATTTAAGAGATATAAAGCAACAAGTTTAGAAAATTCTCATAAATGGGAGTGGCTAATGCATAGACAATAGCATTGACCTTTGATCCATGTATATATATATATTTAGATACATACCTCAAAAACATTTGGGTCAATTTAATTGTGAGTACTATAAACTACAAATGAAAGTAAAAAAGCAAATCTGTTGGTATTTTAGAAGAATGAAAGATTATTAACTCATGGCCTGTATGTATTTGGAATGAGAAGGACATACATAGCTTTCTTTGGATGGGGTGGAATTGAAATTGTGATTTACAGTGACTAAAACCTGACTGCTTTCACATTTTTTTTTCACTGTTGGGGGTGAAATTCTTGATTGATTCATGCATTGGGAACTTTTTTTTTTTTTTTGAGACGGAGTCTCGCTCTGTAGCCCAGGCTGGAGTGCAGTGTCAGGATCTCGGCTCACTGCAAACTCCACCTTCTGGGTTCACACCATCCTCCTGCCTCAGCCTCCCAAGTAGCTGGGACTACAGGCGGGCACCACCACGCCTGGCAAATTTTTTGTATTTTTAGTAGAGACGGGGTTTCACTGTGTTAGCCAGGATGGGCAGGATGGTCTCGACCTCCTGACCCTGTGATTCACCTGCCTTGGCCTTCCAAAGTGCTGGGATTGCAGGTGTGCACCCGCCTGAGCCACTGCGCCTGGCCGGGAGCTTTTGAATTAACTAAGGAAATTGACAAAATAGAGAATGACTCCTTATGTGACCTGCAGAAAATATTTTGTGTCATTCGTGGTACATTTATCATATTTTCTATAGGTTTGTACTATGTTACTTCACTTCTAAGAATTCGAAGTAGTTCAAAGCCAGCAGGGACTGGTATATTATAGCATATTTAACCTAAGCAACTCTAAAAGCTAACGAAACCAAGTATCTACAAACTTTAGCCATAGCTACCATCAACATGAAGAATGTAATAGGCAAAATGTTTTACATGCTGAATAAGCACTACTGAATTCTCTATATATTTTTTGCAGTTTTAATTTAAAAGTATACTAGTTAGATATTTCATCTATACCCTGGTATAGTAATAAAAATTCAGATATTGCTCAACGAGGAAGCATATTTTCAAAGCAACAGACCTGAAAACTAGTATTTTATTTGATATTTTAAGTGCTTATTTCATTTTCTGGTTAAAGATGTTTGTGGAGGTAAAATTTAAAATAGATACTCTGTGTTCTTCTATTATATAACATTGAAATTAAATTTTTTATTAGTAAATGTAGAAAAGGTAAGTCTGAAGCATTGACTGAGAAAGATTTAGTAAATGGAGAATTTTGACTGTTAAACATCCTATTTTAACAAAAATATGCATAAAATATTCTTAGGATGATTTAATTAACCTTTTAATAAATACGAAAGACATTATGAAAAAAAGAATACATCACATTGCAGAATCAAAAGTAATAAAAATCACTCAAATTCTACTGCTCAGAAATGAAAATAATTGCTAAACATTAGGTGGCAGTATTTCAGACATTCCTATATAAATATACTTGAATGAGGCCCAGAGCAGTGGCTCACGCCTGTAATCCCAGCACTTTTGGAGGCCAGATAATGGCATGAACCCCGGAAGCGGAGCCTGCAGTGAGCGGAGATCACGCCACTGCACTCCATCCTGGGCGAAAGAGCAAGACTCCGTCTCAAAATAAAAATAAAAATAAATAAATAAATAAATAAATACACGCATTCTTCATTTATAAAATACATTTAATATTTTTAAATAAATAAGTCAAAACAAAACGTTGATAAAATGACTATAGTTATTTGTGTGAATATATGCATGTGTGTTTGTACAGATGCATTAAGAAATCTTAATCCTCAAAATGATGAACATTTTAGAAGAAATATTAAGTATAATAGAGTTTGGGATCTGTATCTTTCTTTCTTTCTTTTTCTTTTTTTTTGAGACGGAGTCTCGCTCTGTCGCCCAGGCTGGAGTGCAGTGGCACGATGTCAGCTCAACTGCACGCTTCGCCTCTCAGGTTCATGCCATTCTCCTGCCTCAGCCTCCCGGGTAGCTGGGACTACAGGCGCCCGCCACCACGCCCTGCTGATTTTTCGTATTTTTAGTAGACACGGGGTTTCACCGTGTTAGCCAGGATGGTCTTGATCTCCTGACCTCGTGTTCCGCCCGCCTCGGCCTCCCAGAGTGCTGGGATTACAGGCTGAGCCACTGCGCCCTGCCCTGGGATCTGTATTTTTCTAAGTAGGTGATTCTGTATCTAATGAAAAATTATCACTTAAAATTTCAAAATGTTTTAGTTTGTTGTTATTATTATTATTTGTATTACTTTTAAAGCTGGGGTCTTCTTATGGTGCCCAGGCTAATCTTGTTAATATTTTTATATTATCATTGTATCTTAGGCAGCTCAAGCTGCCATAACAGAATACCAGAGACTGGTGTCTTCAACACACATTTGTTTCTCACAGTTTTGGAGGCTGGGAAATCCTCCACAAGGTTCGGGCAGATTCAGTCCCTGGTGAAAGCCCCCTTCCTAGACTACAGGCTCCTGCCTTCTGACAATGTCTTCACATGGCACAAAATAGAGAAAGACAGAGAGCTATGGTCTCACTTTCTCTTCCTATAAGAACACTAATCCCATCATGGAGATGCACATGATCTTAACCAGACAAATTTTTTTTGGATATTTTGAACTGATCAAATAACTCACATTGATTCAAAATATCACAGTTATTAAAACTCAGGCACAAAATCAAGTTAGTTCATCACTAATTGAGGCAGATAATTTTAAATCAAAATATAGCTACACAAAACATCATTTCCTAATTATCTTAGACTTTAAAAGTAGTTAGAGGAAGAGAAAGCTCATCTCTCTATTACAGTATTAATGGGTTTCCCATCCTAGGTGTCTTAATCTATTTAAACAGCTATAACAAAATACCATAAATTGGTGGATTATAGGCAATAGAAATTTGTTGTTCACAGTTCTAGAGGGCAGGAAGTCCTAGATCAAAGTGCCGTAAGAGTTGGTGAGGACCTGCTTCTTGATTCATGAATTGCCATCTCTTCCCTGCATCCTCACTTGGTGAAAGGGGCAAGAGTCTCTCCGGGGACTCTTTTATAAGTGCACTAATCCCATTCATGAGGGCTCTACCGTCATGATCTAATCCCCTCCCTCTAAGGTCCCACCTGCAAATATCATCATATGGGTGTTACATTTCAACAGCTGAATTTTGGGGGGCACTATCATTCAGTCTACAGCACTGTGAAATCCCTAATATCGAGTTTTCTTTTTAATTTTTGTTTTGTTTTGTTTTGAGACAGAGTCTCGCTTTCTCGCCCAGGCTGGAGTGCAGTGGTACGATGTCCGCTCACTGCAAGCTCTGCCTCCCGGGTTCACGCCATTCTCCTGCCTCAGCCTCCCGGGTAGCTGGGACTACTGGCGCCCGCCACTACGCCCGGCTAAAATTTTTTGTATTTTTAGTAGAGATCACCGCACCTGGCCCTTAGATGAATATTTGAATAAAAGTTGTATGTATGATGATAAAACAACAAGAAACTGAATTTTTGCAGAAAGTAAAAATAAAACTTGTCACTCTTTATATAGGCAAATCAGAGACTAGAGGTTTTAGAAAAGACATCAGTATGTTCCATATAAAGTATGTACTGGGACCCCGTCCGTCTTTTTCACCATATAATAACAGTGCTTTTAATAGTACCTGGGATGGCTGGGTGCAGTGGCTTACGCCGTAATCCTAGCACTTTGGAAGGCCGAGGAGGGAGGATCATGAGGTCAGGAGATCGAAAACATCCTGGCTAATACGGTGAAACTCCGTCTCTACTAAAAATAACAAAAAAATTAGCCGGGCGTTGTGGCGGGCGCCTGTAGTCCCAGCTACTCTGGAGGCTGAGGCCGGAGAAAGGAGTGAACCCGGGAGGCGGAGCTTGCAGTGAGCGGACATCGTGCCACTGCACTCCAGCCAGGGCGACAGAGTGAGACTCCATCTCAAAAAAAAAAAAAAAAAAAAAGTACCTGGGACATGATATGAACTCAATGACTATTTATTGAATGAATTAATTGAACAAGTTTATGCAAGAAATTGACATAAAATTAAACATTGTCTTCTTATATCATATAGTGTCTACAAAAACTAAGTTGATACAGAACCTGTATTCTAACATGATTAAATTTGAGCCAAGTACATTTCTCTCTTAAGAATTTAGAAGTTTATAAAGAAATCAGGGCCTGGGAACTGAATCATTAATGGAAGATCTCAAAGGCAATATTCTTTTCATTGTAATTAATATTAAGTCGTTAAAGTAATAATAAATAACTAACATTTAGGTTCCTGAAAAAAATGATTAAATTGAACATCAAATAGTTTGCATTTATATCACACTGTACAATTTATATTTTTTATGCTGTTTTACTGTAAGATTTCATTGAACAAATGCATCTTATGATTTCAAGGTAAGGTATTGAAATATGCCTTTTAAAAATGTAATGCTGTATTAGTGATTTTAAAATATGTAAAAAAAATGTGTGGGAAATACTAGAAACGTTATTTGAAATTAGCCAGTTCTGGATTTGCTTATTTTTTTAATTTTATTTGCCAAACTGAGAACAATAGCCTTTACACATTTTCTATTTTTCTGGACTTGATTCTTAGGAACTTTAATTTTGCACTTTTGCATTCCTCTATAAATGTTAATGTTTTGGCCAATGACATTTCTCTAGATAAATTCAAAAGCTTAACCTAAGTAATGTAATGGTGGCATTTATGAAATTGACTCCTGGTTCTCTCTTTAAATTCTTTTTTATTGTTTATTTCTATGGCACCATTACACTATGCTATCACATTGTTCTTGTTTTATTCCCCATGTTTAAAAAGCTGTATATTCTTTGCTGAATCTTAAAGGTCACTTTGAAACCTGAAGACCATGACTGAAATACAGTGAAGATTAAAGATAAAAAGGAGAAAAAAGGTTAAATTATAAAACCTCTAATATCATTACTCATATATATGATACACACAGAGATGCATCACCTAGGTCCTCCCTGAGAGCTGTGTCAGTAGACAGGACTCAGCTGTGAGCCCCTTCAGACGTCACCTCAGCTGCAGAGCTTCCCCCTGCCTAAGGTCCTGAGGTTCCCAGTTGTGGCGCATATGCAACGACTGATTGAGGTGAGGCAAGGAGGCAGGTGAAAGAGGTGGGGAGGGGACTTGGGGCCTATAAAGACTCAGTCATGTCATTGCAATGTGAAAGGATGCCAGTGGGCCATTTTATCTTCAAAGTCCCCTGTGAGATGAGCCAAAGCTGTGGTCCAGGACTTCTTTTCAGCCCAGCTTTTTCCCTTTCCCTCAATCCAGCTTCCTTCTTCTCCTTTTCACAGGTAGTAATCCAAGGGCACTCCCTAGTATATATCTCCATGTCCAAATCTGCTTACTAGAGAACATTGTATCATGAATGATACCATTCTTCAAAAATATGGGGTACTTTGAGTGAAAGGAGTGAACGGTATGGAAGAACAGCTTTGGTAGAGTAATTAGAATAGAAGCTACTCTACATTGGGTTGATGCATGAATGGGATATTAGGAAGTAAAGTAGCAAATTGAAAACTCCTTTCAAAAGAAGAGAATTAGAAAAGGGTCAGCAAGATAGTAGTTGGGGCCTGGCTGTGATGGATCACGCCTGTAATCCCAGCACTTGGGGAGGCTAAGATGGGAGGATCACTTGAGGTCAGGATTTCAAGACCAGCCTGGTCAATGTAGCGAGACCCCACCTCTTTAAAAAAAAATGTAGTTGGAAGCTAGAGAATAGCATAACAAAAAAGAGGGTGATTTTAGAAGATAAAAGGGCCCACTGGAGCTCTCTCACATTGGAATGAAATTCTGAAATTACCCTCTTTTTGGTTATGTCATTCTACCTCAATCATTTTGCCTCAATCATGTTTACAGGCAAAATAAGAGATAGAGAAGTGGGAAGGGCTGAAGGCAGAGATATGAGACACAATAACAAATGGGGAAAGATACAAGATATAATGGAAGGCATGAGCTAGATCAATTCTACAAGTGAAAAATTACATTAATTAAGAGGAAGGATCACTCATCACCCAATTATAGGTAAGTTTATAGGAGGGTGGGACTGGCTACATAATGGTAGGTGATACTTTATGTCCTTATTTTCATTAAAGAGAATATGTCATTTCCTGAAAATGAAAGATGTGGGTTTGAATAGAGAGTTGGCAAAATTTGGTATTTATTTGAAATTGGCATTTATTTGGGAAGATAATGTAGGGTAACTAATCCACTTAGATGATACCTATTAACTATAAACTATGTACCAGGTACTTTGCTATAATATAAAGGCAATGGAAAAACCAAGATTCAATCTTGATTTGACATCCTTAACATTTACAGTGTCGTGGTGGAAACTATGTAAAGAATCCAGTGTGATAGAAGGTGGTAGATGTGGAAACAGGAGGTTTAGAAAAAGCTCCAGGACACACTGCTGATACATCTAACTCAGGATCAGGGCATTAAAGAAAGCATCACACTCTCCCTCAATCTCTCTATTCTGTCTCTTGATTGAATCATTTTAACAAAGTATCAAGATGGCCCTCAGCACTAAGGAGGAAGTGTTATTTGAAAGCATGTGTTTGAATAGTTGCATTTATCTAAACAGAATTTTTCACTCCTGTGTAGATTTGGCTTGGAATTGGTGTATTCTGGCATTCCATGTTGTAAAGCACTTGAGGTGCTTAAGAGATATTTGGTTGGCCGGGTGCAGTGGCTCACACCTGTAATACCAGCACTTTAGAAGGCCGAGGTGGTTGGATCACCTGAGGTCAGGAGTTCGAGACCAGCCTGGCCAACATGGTGAAACCCCGTCTCTACTAAAAATACACAACTTAGCTGGGCGTGTTGGCAGGTGCCTGTAATCCCAGCTACTCGGGAGGCTGAGGCGGGATAATTGCTTGAACCTGGGAGGCAGAGGTTGCAGTGAGCCAAGATTGCACCACTGCATTCCAGCCTAGGGAACAGAACAAGACTCTATCTCAAAAGAAAAAAATAAAAAAAGAAGGAGAGATATTTGGTAAATAACTGAGGCAAAGGTGGAAGAAAATAGTGTTCTGCAGGAGATCAAATAATGTGTGAAGAGAAAATAAAAATTTTAAAGAACTAAAAGAATCAGGTATTGAAGTCAAAGGTGAGAGGGCCACTGGAATTCAAAAATACAATGTGAATAACTACAGAAGATATCATCATTCCTGATGAGGCAATGAATGTGGGTGCCTAAATTAGAGTAGAAATACATGTTATTGAAGATAAGGAGATCAAAAGGTGTAAGGCCAGGGTGTTGAATGTATTTTGCACAAATGCGCTAACGTTACCCAGAGTGTTGGCAAGGGGAAAATCATCTGATGGCCTGTAGCCAGAGTTTTCCTTAAAAATGCAGATGTGTCCTCCTGGAAGATAGACATCTTTGAAAAAATGAAGGAAATTAGGGTCTCACGGCATGAATCTCATGGAGGTGATGAAGGACTGATTTGAGAGCAGCCATGCAGAGTTAGGACAATGCCAGCAACATCTGACCCATGTACATGAAGCTCCAGATAACTTAGGTGATTGCTTTAATGCAAAAGGCCACACAGTGTGAATTCCTGAGAGACTATTTATCTTTTATATTCCAGAGGTTGGAATGGAATAATTCACTCTTTTAAAAGGCTTGCTGGATATCCTCTATTTCAGGGCTCTCCAAACCCATACTAGTCCATAGCTGTTAGGAACTGGGCTCCACAGCAGGCGGTGAGTGGCGGCTGAGTGAGCGAAGCTTCATCTGTATTTACAGCTGCTCCTCATGGCTCGTGTTACCCCCTGAGCTCCTCCTCCTGTCAGATCAGCAGCAGCATTAGATTCTCATAGGAGCATGAACCCTATTGTGAACTAAGCATGCAAGGGATCTAGGTTGTGTGCTCCTTATGAGAATCTAATGACCGATGATCTGTCACTGTCTCCCATTGCCCCCAGGTGGGAACATCTAGTTGCAGGAAAACAAGCTCAGGGCTCCCAGGGATTCTACATTATGGTCAGTCGTATAACTATTTCATTATATGTTACAAAGTAATAATAATAGAAATAAAGTGCACAATAAATGTAATGGGCTTGAATCATTCTGAAACCATCCCCACCACCACCATGTCTGTGAAAAAAATTGTCTTCCACAAAACCAGTCCTTGATGCCAAAAAGGTTGGGGACCACTGCTCTATTTCTCTTCACTACTTAGAGAATCTGTTCTTCCACTCATGATCTACAAGGATTAAATGTTTCAAACAGTTCAAGTCTTCAAAATATGTATTTTGTAAACTTGAATTTTTAGAAATCATTCACAGTATCCATATTATATTTTATTTGCTGCAATGCCCTATACATTTCCCATATAATGCTCTTGAATATACTTTTACAACTTCAGTAACTTTACCCTTTACTGAATCTCAATCTGTCTCTCCATTTCTCTCTCTCAGCAAATCTAAACAAAAGAGAAACATGTCGACTTGTGCTATGGTCTAAATGTTTGTGTCTCTAAAATTCATGTGTTGAAACTTAATCTCCAATGCAATAGTATTAAGAGATGAAGGCTTTAGAATGTGACTGGCAGAGCCCTCATGAATGGGATTGGTGCCTTTATAAAAGAGGCCTCCAAAATCTCCCTAGCCCCTTCCACCAAGTAAGGAAGCACAGAAGTCACCATCTATGAAGTAGAGAGCAAGCTCTCGCCAGACACCAAATCTGCTGACACTTCAGTCTTAAACTCCCACCCTCCAGAACTGTGAGCAATAAATTTCTGTTTTATAGTTGTCTAAATTATCCTGTCTAAGGTGTTTTTTTATAGTAATGTGAATGGACTAAGACAACTTGAAAATGCAAGGTACCACACCAATAACAAGGAAAATACTCATGTTTTGTAACATTTATTTTATACCAAAGATACGCCAATTACTGTATACAAATATATGCCAAATGTTGGGTAAAATACTTTACATAAATTATATTAATCCTGACAACAACCTGAAGGTAGATACTGTTGTCTGCATTTAAAGATGAGGACGTGGGGCTTGAATTAAGTAACTTAACTCACATCTCATCATGCTAAATGGCAAAGCTGGGATTCAAACCCTGCTCAGTCGGACTCCCATCAGGCTGCTCTTAGCCTGGTTATATTTTGAAGAAAAGAAGTTCAGAAACTTATCCATAGACATGGCCAGGTAGGGCCAGAGTCCAGACTCAACTGACTGTCAGCCAAGGCCAGCCTCAACTCTTCCATTTTACCTCCAGCCTGAACAGCTTAAACATTTTTTCTCTTGCCATCTTATTAGAGTACATAATGCCTATAATGATGGGATCCACATGATATAGCATGACAACACTCTGTTTTAAAAAAGGTGAAATGTAATTTTTTTTTTTTTAAATTTTAAGTTCTGGGATACATGTGCAGGACGTGCAGGTTTGTTACATAGGTAAACGTGTGTCATGGTGGTTTGCTACCCCTATCAACCTATCACCTAGGTTTTAAGGCCCCCATGCACTAGCTATTTATCCTGATGCTCTCCTTCCCCCCAACCCCCCAGTAGGTCCCAGTGTGTTTTGTTCCCCTCCCTGTGTGCTTGTGTTCTCATTATTCAGCTTCCACTTAGAAGTGAGAACATGCGGTGTTTGGTTTTCTGTTCCTGTGTTAGTTTGCTAAGGACAGTGGCTTCCAGCTCCATCTATGTCCCTGCAAAGGACATGATCTTGTTCCTTTCTATGACCGCATAGTATTCCATGGTGTATAGGTACCACATTTTCTTTTTCTAGTCTATCATTGATGGGCATTTGGGTTGATTCCATGTCTGTGCTATTGTGAATAGTGAAGCAAAAAACAGACGCGATAGGAATGCTTTTACACTGTTGGTGGGAATGTAAATTAGTTCAACCATTGTGGAAGACAGTGTGGCAATTCCTAAAAGACCTAGAACCAGAATTGCCATTTCACCCAGCAATCTCATTCCTGGGTATATACTCATAGGAATATAAATCATTCTATTATAATGAAACATAATGTAAAAATACCTCGAGTGTATTTGTATTTTGGTAATATCTGAATAAGACATAAAATATAACGCACACATCTTTATATCGTTTTATCCATATCTCTCTTTCTTTAAATCCTTCTGGTTAAAATTTGTCATTGCCTCCTGACTATGTATTTATTTTTTCTTTTCTGGAAGAAAGCTCACCTAGGCCTTACTCAAATGCATGTTCTCAATCTTTACCTACCACCCCTCCTGCCTTTTTGTTCCAGTTTCCTCTTATCATTGTACTGATGTGGAGATAACGAAAGAGAATATCACTGTCAGCCACCAGCAGTGCCTTTTCAGAGAAGAGCAATGGGGAAGAAATTGAGCAGACAAAGCCAGAATCCCCATTAGCAAACAGAAAGAGGGAGCTCAGGATAACCACATACGTTAATAATTCTTGCCCCCCAAAGGGAAGCTCTGTAAAATAAGTTGTATTACATCCGTACATAGCAGTACTTTAAATATAACTCTAGCTTAAGTATTTTAAGCATCTCCATGATATGAACCTAAGGGAATAAACTCAATAAATCAATATTTATAAGCTCTGTTCACTTATTTCTTGTGGTTTCAGCCACTGATTTCAGAATATGCATGAAAAATATATTTCTTCTGAATATTTGATTTCATGATCCCAAGTAGACACATCTCTGTATTGGGTTTCAACAAGTCCACAGAAGTTAAATACCCACTTTTAGCCAGCTTTGATTTTCAGAAGTTTAATTCTGACATTTAGTGATATACAATATGTAAAACAACCTGGCACTATATCTGTCATATCATAAGTACTTGGCAAATATTTCAGTTTACTCTTTCTCATAATTGAATAATGGCTCAATAGTAAAACTCTGTAGGGAAAAATTTAACCTCTTATTTATCAGTTACAAATAGTTTAAGACAGATAATACCCCTTTCCTTGTTAGCTTTAATGATGAGTCATTAAAATTGTGAGCAATGTATTTATTTTGAGGAAACTATTTTTTACTAAGGATTTTTTTTTTTTTTAGAATTTTATGAGTCTTCAAAATAACTAGAAAATCTTAAAGTGTTACCAAACAGAAGTGGACATTTAATAAACACCTCAACTTTAATACTTACAGAAAATCATTTGAAGGCTGTCACTCCTCTGGGTATTATAAATTTTAGCCTCGGTCAAATCAGATCACCAGGAGGCTACAAAGTTGAACTATATTGCCTTAGTTTCCAACAGAGTTTCTTTCCTTGAATTAAGTTTTGGGGCCATGACCTACTCCTTTTAACAAAAGAACAATACAACAAATAGTCATATGAAATCCATTTTGTTGCCTAATACAAAAATATTGTTGAAGAGTATCATAATTCAATGGCCCATATATATAAAATGTCTCAGCAAAGGCACTTATGTCATAATTCAGTACTAGGAAATGATTTCCTTCAGGCAAGCTCCCCCTTAATTTTTTTTTTTTTTTTTGAGACAGAGTCTTGCTCTGTTGCCCAGGCTGGAGTGCAGTGGCACCACCCTGGCTCACTGCAAGCTCCACCACCTGGGTTCACGCCTTTGTCCTGCCTCAGTCTCCTGAGTAGCTGGGACTACAGGCTCCTGCCACCACGCCCGGCTAATTTTTTGTATTTTTAGTAGAGACAGGGTTTCACCGTGTAAGCCAGGATGGTCTCGATCTCCTGACCTCGTGATCCGCCCGCCTTGGCCTCCCAGAGTGCTGGGATTACAGGCATGAGTCACCGCACCCGGCCCCTCCCCATTAATTAAGGTGAGAAATACATAAATGATGATGGTAGTCATTGACGCACCAGTTACGAAAGAGTGAGGCTGGGTAACTGGATGACACCTGCACAGGGCTCTGAGGTCTCAAGGAAAATGACAGGTGTTTGTGTATTTCAAAAATGTGGACATGATGGCATGAGGCCCAGTGAAGAAGGGGTAGATTATGAATGGTGTTATCCTGAACATAAGGAGACTGAGATAGTGTAGTTTTAAAAATGGCAGCATGAAAAAAGGTGAATGCTAACCCCACCCCACCTTACGGTAAGTGTCTGAAAAATAATCTTTCCAGGTACTACTAGTAGGTATTCTTAAAGGACAGAGGCAGCTTTCTGTTTGAGTAGGAAGGTATTGGAAGCAGTATATGAAGGAATAAAAATATAAAAGAGAGAAATATTGGAGCAAGAGTGGGAAGTATGGTTAAAGATAAAGAAATGGCAGAGCACTTTAGGGAAATATGGTGTGAGACAGAAAAGAGGCATTTTTGAGTGATGAAAATACTAATCATGGCTAACACTTACATAGCATTTATCGTATGTCAAGCATTTACGTGTATTAACTGTTATGATGCTCACATTAACCCCAGGAGGTCAGGCCTATCACTTTACAGGAAGTTTAAGCAACTTCTGAAATATTAACAATTCTTCTGAATTGCTTCTCTGGTGACAGGAATAAGAGTCGCAGTAGCATCAACTTGCTAAAAAGTTTAAAATGGTGCTCAGAATAAAGGTATTTTACTGCTTTTTGAGACTCATTGTAAAATGGCTTGAAATGTCTTTGCCCTGAATCTCTGCCAGTGGGAAATTGGATGAGTTGCTAAAGAATGTGGAATTAATTATCCAAAAACACTTCAGATATTTCTCTTTGCATAGGGTATTGTAAATGGTCTTTAGCTAATTATAATTTAATATCTCACTTGTCTCTCTCATACATAGGTATATATGTTATATACACATGTGTATGTGTACAATTCAATACATCTATGTGTCTATGTAGCTACCTATGTATGCATGTATGTATGTATGTATCTGCCTATCTATTAATCTATCTCTATGTATCTACCTACCTATCTATATCTGTGTCTATCAACTTCAGGAATGCTTGGCATTCTTCTAACATCTGCGGGGTATTTAGGGATTAGGCTATGATGATAGATTTCCAGCTTCATTTCTTTTTAAAATCTTTTATTCTTCTTGCTCATTTTCCTTTTCCTGTCCCTAAAGGACAGTTTCTCCTCAGTTTAGGACTTCTTCCTTTTGCTCTCTTATCATTTGCAGACTTTCCGTTCTCAGCCAGAACCTCCCTTTTGTGCACTGTACAACCTGTTGACACTGTCACAGTTGCCACTTGATCATTGCAGATAAAGGAGGAAGTAGCAATTCTGGAATGGGTGGCTTATCTCTTGGCTTTATAACTGGATATCTTCATCTGCTATTCAGTCACTCTTTTTTATTATGGAGACATGTTTTCTGGGAAAATGCTACCATGAAGCAGGACCAATCTCCAGTTCAAGGTACCTCTTGATTTGTTCATTCCAAAGCATCCCCTGTTAGGAATTAGGGCTCAGATCATGGGGTCATCTATTCTGTAAGTAAAAGGCTGACAAAAAGTCTGTTACTTCACTGCTCTTTACATTAGGGTAATATTAACAATGGAAATCCAGTTCATTCAATAAAACAAGTGTCGATGAAGAGTCAAACTCGGTAAAATATTTTAAGAGACTTATTCTGAGCCAAATATGAGTGACCATGGCACATGACACAGCCCTAAGGAGATCCTGAGAACACGTGCCCAAGGTGGTCAGGGTGCAGGTCAGTTTTATACATTTTAGGGAGACATGAGACATCAATCAAATACATTTAAGAAACACATTGGTTTGGTTCAGAAAGGCGGGACAATTCAAAGCAGGGGTGGGGGGTGCTTTCAGGCTATAGGTAAATTTAAACATTTTCCAATTGATAATTGGTTGAGTTTGTCTAAAAACCTGGGATCAAAGGAAAGGATATGTCCAGGTTAAGCTAAAAGATTGTGGATACCAAGGTTCTTCTGAAGTCTTATAGTGGCTGCCCTTAGAGATAATAGATGACAAATATTTCCTATTCAGACCTTAAAAGGTGCTAGACTTCTACTAATTTCTTCAGGATTGGGAGGGCTTGGAAGAAAAAGATCTAGTTATGTCAATAGAGATTCTTTACAGATGCATATGTCCCCCAACAAAGGGCAGCTTTGCAGGACCATTTCAAAATATGACAAAGAAACTTGCTTTTGGGGTAAAATTTTTTTTACTTTCTTCTTTGTCACATAATGTTATGCCAGAGTCAGATTGCAAAGTAAGCCATGATATATAGGGTTAAATAAAATCCATCTGATGAGAATTTATGGTTAGTAGGGGATGACTCCCCAGACCCCTTAGATAAGAATTTGGGCAAAATAAAAAAATCAGAGCTTAGTCTTCACAAGTTATTGAAAAACAATGAGCTACCAATTTTATTTATTTATATTCTTTCAGTGGTCTTCAACAGGTGGCTCATGAATTCAGATATTTGACAATTTTAATGTGAAATAAATTTAAGATATTTCAACAACAATCATATAGGAAAATATAGATAAATAAGAAACTATAAAAATTATACTTTCAAACCTTTCCCTCTCTAAGACACATGGTTTACCTGATCTCACACAGATATTGAACATACAATTTAATTTTTAAAATTAATTTTTCTCACTTTAGAAAACTGGCATCTTGAGGCCGGGCACAGTGGCTCATGCCTGTAATCCCAGCACTCTGGGAGGCCGAGGCAGGCGGATCACGAGATCAGGAGATCAAGACCATTCCTGGCTAACACGTTGAAACCCCGTCTCTACTAAAAATACAAAAAATGAGCCAGGCGTGGCGGTGGGTGCCTGTAGTCCCAGCTACTAGGGAGGCTGAGGCAGGAGAATGGCGTGAACCCAGGAGGCGGAGCTTGCAGTGAGCGGAGATCGTGCTACTGCACTTCAGCCTGGGCAACAGAGCGAGATTCTGTCTCAAAAAAAAAAAAAAAGAGGAAAAGAAAATTGGCATCTTGAAACGAAAGTGTCTGCTTTCCCCTTAAAGAATCATAAAGAAATATAATCAATTAGACTCAGCCTAGAATTTAAAGCTTAATCAATTTTATTGATTGGCTTCAAGAATTTTATTGAAATGTCATATATTTATAAATTAAGACTAAGATGATACATATACTATCTACTGATTTTAAAATACAACAAATCATTTAACTAAATAAAATTAAAGATTGTAGTCTTTTAAACTTACCAACCAGAAATAATAATAAGCCAGTGAAATAAAAGATGTTCCAATAGAGAAATCCTTTGTCATTATATGACATACATTTTAATATGTTACACAGATAATCTGTGTATTTAAAATTTAATGATAAAAATTATTTGCAACATTTAACTGAAAAATTTTTATTCAGAATTTATCTTGAGACTTGCCATGTATTAATATAATTAATGTACCTTATAAGTAAATATTGATTATATTAAATTTTTAGAATTGGGTTGAATGTGTATCTCCTCTCCTCTGATAACTTAGTTCATTCTATGAAATGGTGCTAGAGACTAAGAAATACAGAGGTTCTGTTATCAAGTGTCATGAACATCAAGTGCCTTTTTCTCCACTAATGTTAGAATGCCTCTCCAATTATCCTCTTTAGTAAACTGTGAGCTGAAAATAGTGAAGTCTGATATTGCAAACAATGTCTCCAGTATAAAGCTTGCTTGAGATGAGAATCTTTTCTAAGAACATTTTTCTTGTCACATAAAGTATGTCACACGGTGGCATATTCCAACTTAAAGTTAACGTGTACTAATATAAAGGCCTCAGCGGAATGTATTAAGTGGATTTCTTTTGGCATTGGGTAAAGGAATCTTTCAAGGATTCTGTGGATATACAAACAAGAAACAAATTTCAAAAGAAGCATATGCACAAAATTTTTATAACCGGTTAGAATCATGATCTGGACTAAACACAAACAAGTGAACCAAAGTACAATACAATACAAAGCAAAAATTAAAAATAAACAGGAAATTTAATTCTATACGATGCAGAAACTATGTGCCAATACTCAGTGTAAACATACACTATTAGGAGGAAGTTGCTGCCACACAAGCAGATGACAAAGTTTAAGCAAAGCTGAAGAAGTTAGGTAGTGGCGTGCGGAGGGATCACTTTGATTATTGGCGTAGTTCCTACCCTCCTATTATTCTGGTTACCATACATTAGTGAGGTGTCTCCAATGGGTTTCGAGGGTTACAAATACCTTCCTGCATATTAGTCTACCTTCCTTAGAACTTCTTAAGATGGGCCATTGTCTCATGATACTCAATAATTCAGGAAAATCAATAATTGGGATTAAAATAAACCAATTAATTACATACTTCTTTATCTCAGTGTGACATAAACATACATTTTCAGACAAGTTTTCATTACTGGGCAACTATGGTATCTACCCAATGTTGTGGCCAAAGTTGGAATATTCACAGTTCCCCCATACTTATGCCCTCCGTGTTTTGGTTTTCCAGATACATGCTGTTGCTTGTACTTCAAATACACTTTCCCTATATCTCTGTCAATTCACGTCTTTCTCAAAAAGAACAGAGAAGTCAAATGGCTCCTCTACTAAACCTCTAAACATATATGATTTCTCCTGTCTTGACATTTTTACCAATTCCTATTCTCATTATAAGCTATGGTATCCAACTTGCACTTCTCTTCCTCTAACACCCCTGGCTTTCTTACCCCATTGTCTACATAGCTCAACTTCTTGCAAGTTGTCCATTCTTGCTCTCTCCTCTGTCTACAGCGATTTGCCTTCTGCTCCCACTGTTCACAAAACTTCTGTCCTCCATGTATTCATTTACAATGTTTTAGCCTTGGGCTGACCATACACCAGCTGTTCACAAAATTTATGTTGAACTGAATGACACTCGAATCAATAAAGGAAAAAAGGGGAACAGAAGGGGAAGCAAACAACATCCTTCTTCACATGATGGCAGAAGGAGAAATACAGAGCAAAGAGAGAAAAGACCCATATAAAACCATCAGATCTCACGAGAACTCACTATCACGAGAGCAGCAGCATGGGGGTAACAGCCCCCATGATTCAGTTACCTCCCACTGGGTCCCTCCCACGACACATGGGGATTATGGTAACTACAATTCAAGATGCGATTAGGGTGGGGACACAGCCAAACTAGATCAGTGCTACAACTGACTTCACTGTAAATGAGTTTACAATGGGTAACTCCATATTATCTGAACCAAACAGCATAGAGAGACCTCAAGAAGAGTAAAGAAATCTTTGTCTCATGTACATGGTATACCATCAATAATGAAACTGAGGAAGATTCACGGAGGGAAGTCATCACGCTGCAGCAGGCAATTATATCTAAACCAGTGAGATATGAACAGTGCAAAGAAGAACTAGAACAAAGATACTGTCTGGCATAGAAAGTCCAGTATTAAAGACACAGAAGGCCCTACATTTGTCCAGTAAAGCCATGCTTGATTAATGCCTTGGAAACCCTGGAGACTGGATCAGAAATCTGTATATAAAATGGTTCTTCCTGGATAAAGTTGAGAGAAAAAGAAAGCTTATTGTGTTCAAGTAGAAACTGGGATAAGCTGTGGGCCATCTGGCTTTTCTGTTGCAAAAACCAGGGCTTAAATCTACATCTTTCTATAGTCATGAATGAGCAAACTGATTTTGAACAATCATCTAACAACGAAATATTTAGGATTCAAAAAGAATGTACTTATGAAAAGAATGTAACACAAGAAACTGAAAATTAGAAAATTTCCCCTTTTTACACTAAAAAAGACAGAAGAGCCATGACTTTTTAAAAAACTGGAGCAGTAAGCTTGTGGTGGGAAAAGTGATGGTGAGAAGTGCAGGCATAGAAAGGAAGCAGGTTTAAGTAAGATGAGAAAACACAAGGAAATCCAAAATCCCAAATAAAATAATTTTGCCTTAAATTTTATTATGTTTAATAGTAGACTGCTGTTTTCTTTTGTCAATTGCTGTCAGATAAGTTTTGCTCTTTTGATTTATTTTAAAAGAAACATTAACTCTTGGTTGGGCATGGTGGTTCATGCCTGTAATCCCAGCACTTTGGGAGGCCGAGGTGGGCAGATCGCTTGAGGCCAGGAATTCAAGACCAGCCTGGCCAACATAGAGAAACCCTGTCTACTGCAAAATAAAAAAAATTAGTCGGCTGTGGTGGCACATGCCTGTAATCCCAACTACTCGGGAGGCTGAGGCACAAGAATCACTTGAGCGTGGGAGGTGGGGGTTGCAATGACATCACCACAGTCTGGGCAACAGGGGGAGACTCTGTCTCAAAAAAAAAAAAAAAAATTAGTGGCCGGGCATGGTGGCTCACGCCTGTAATCTCAGCACTTTGGGAGGCTGAAATGGGTGGATCACAAGGTCAGGAGTTCAAGACCAGCCTGGCCAATATGGTGAAACCCCCTCACTACTAAAAATACAAAAATTAGCTGGGCATGGTGGCAAATGCCTGTAGTCCCAGCTACTTGGGAAACTGAGGCAGAAGACTCGCTCGAACCCAGGAGACAGAGGTTGCAGTGAGCCGAGATTGCACCACTGCACTCTAGCCTGGGCACAGAGAGAGAGCCCGTCTCAAAAATAATAATAATAATAAAAATAAAATTAGCAAAAAATTAGCCAAAAATTCATTAAAAATAAATATAAATATATTTATATATACATTTTATTCATTAATAAAATCATTTTATTCAATAAAATGAATTCATTATATATAATGAATGAATAAAATGTATTTTTCCATTAGGGATTTAAAAGGAGCATTGGATAAATTAAAAAATTTTTTGTCTTTTCTTTTGAAAAAATAAATTTAATGATGTATTTTTGGACTTTGATTAAAAATAATTCAATTTTATCTGTAAGCATAAATATTAGAAATACTCAGAGAAATTTAGCAGAAGGATAAGCATCATTTTGTAATGACAATAATTAAGTAGGGCTGCATAAGTGGAAGAATGGACATATAAATGCCTTTTTTTTTTTTTTTTGAAACGGAGTCTTCGCTCTGTCGCCCAGGCTGGGGTGCAGAGGTGCTATCTATGCTCACTGTAAGCTCCGCCTCCCGGGTTCACCTCATTCTTCTGCCTCAGCCTCCGGACTGGCTGGTACTACAGGTGCCCACCGGCTGATTTTTTGTATTTTTTTAGTAGAGATGGGATTTCACAGTGTTACCCAGGATGGTCTCAATCTCCTGACCTCGTGATCCGCCCGCGTCGGCCTCCAAAATTGCTGGGATTACAGGCGTGAGCCACCGCGCCTAGCCAGATTTTTTTTTTTTCCAGAGGCTCCCTCTGTAGCCCAAGCTGGAGTGTAGTGGCGCGATCTCGGCTCACTGCAGCCTCCGCCTCCCGGGTTCAAGCAATTCTCCTGCCTCAGCCTCCTAAGTAGCTGGGACTACAGGCACGCACCACTACGCCCGTCTAATTTTTGTATTTTTAATAGAGACAGGGTTTCACCATGTTGGCCTAGGATGGTCTTGATCTGACTTCGTCATCTGCCCGCCTCTGCCTCTCAAAGTGCTGGGATTACAGGCACGAGCCACCGCAGCCGGCCGACAGATTTTATTTCATCTGTAAAGTTCTATAATGTCATTCACAATAAAATAAAAAGATATTATGCAAACCAAACAAAATTTTGCCAGATATGTGATACACTATACATAGAAAATAATTGCATATCAGTAAGAAAATAACTATAAATAGATAAAATCCATGAATAGTAACAAAAGTATAGGATATTAGAGAAAAAGTATTTGACAGAATGAAAGAAAAAAATGGTTGTTTTAGGATAAGTGGTCTGAGATGCATTCATGTGTTACTTCATTAGCTTGTATGTATTTAATATATTCTATATGTGTTCAACAATTGATGCAGATTCAAAAACAAAAAAATGTTCGTTTAGTAAGGAGATACACAACAACAAAAATTTCCTATAAAAGTGGATTACAATAATGAAAGTATCTAGAAATCTAATTTTAAAAAGTGGTACTCATTATCTGGGATCATCTGGGAAGAACTCATTTAATAGACCATTTGAGTAGACACTTGAGGATGAAGATAAATTTTCAGGCAGATTAATAACAATGGGGAGAGTTTTCAAGGCAGAGGAGATGACTTTTATAAAACGAGGAAAGCATGAAGTTTATGTAGCTTGAAAAGTGTGTTGTATTCAGGTAGTAATGCACTGACTCCATCACTCTTGCATTTTGTTTGTTTGTTTTGAGGCGGAGTCTTGCCCTGTCGCCCAGGCTGGAGGGCAGTGGCGCGATCTCGGCTCACTGCAAGCTCCGCCTTCCGGGTTCACGCCATTCTCCTGCCTCAGCCTCCAGAGTAGCTGGGACTACGGGCGCCCGCCACCATGCCTGGCTAATTTTTTCGTATTTTTCTTAGTAGAGACGGGGTTTCACCGTGTTAGCCAGGATGGTCTTGATCTCCTGACTTCGTGATCTGCCCGCCTCGGCCTTCCAAAGTGCTGGGATTACAGGCGTGAGCCCCCGCGCCCAGCCACACTCTTGCATTTTTTATTGGAGGATCTGAGGAAAGGTCTGCTTCCACGTTTGTTCAGATTGTTAGCCACACTTAGTTCCTTGAGTAGGTATTATTGCAGTCCCCATTTCCTTGCTGGCCGTCAGCTGGGACCAGCCTTTCCTCCTAGACTGTCCCTGTTCCTTATGCTTTTTTCATGGGCCTTTCCAGCAGCACGAACATTTCAAATATCTCTGCCTTTCCCTCCTGCCCCGTCTCTCAGAAATCAACTACACATGGTCTCAGCTTTTAAGGGCTCATAGTGATTAGATTGGACTCATATACGGTCCTCATTTTAATATTCATAATTCTAACTGCAAAGTCTCTTTTGTCAGGTAATACAGCATATTCAGGTCTCAAGGATTAAAGTGTGAGCATCTTTGGGGGTTTTTATTCTGCTTACAACATTTACCTAGAGTATAAATTCAAGACATAAGGCAGAATCTTATGAGAAAAAGAAAGTACTATTTTGAACATACCTGTGGCAATCCTAAATGGGAATTAGATTCAGATTTGGCAGTTCTGGATAAAAGTGAAGGCTGAAGAAATAATTTGGTAGTCATCATGTTATACATTTTGTAAATGAAGCCATTATTACATATGAGAGGGTTAGCATTCACCCAGGGAGACTTCAAGTCAGTTTACAAAGTTAATATTCTATGGCATGTTCAATAGTAGCACCACCTTTTATTCAATTGGATAGTAGCCTGGGGTGAAGATTAAAAAGAAAGAAATATAACTATCTCTATATGGAGATGCCATGAGGTATAAAGAATTTGTATATAGATATATATGGAGAAATATTTATGCATACAGGAAATCCTAAGGAATCCACACACGCACGCACACGTGCACACATTAAGATGATAAAGCTGTGATTTTTTAGGCATAACTTTGTAGTAAGATGTTACATCAGGAACAGGAAACTACTATAGCAAAGCACCCAGAACAGTCTAAATAGTCTTGAAACAGAAAATTTTCTACCAAACTATATTAATTCGGTGTTGCATTAGCATAAAGATAGACATATAAATTTAATGAAATAATATTGAGCATTAATCAATAAACCTTATATTTATGAGCAATTGATTTTTAAAAGGATGCCAAGAAAATTCAAAGGGGAAATAGTAGTCTTGTCAACAAATAGTGTTGGGACAACTGTACATATGCATGCAAACAAACGAAGTTGGATTCTGACCTTACCTTACACACAAAGTTGATCAAAACCTAAATGTAAGACCTAGAAGTAAAAAACTCATAGAAGAAAACATAAGCAAAATCTTCATGACCTTAGATTAAACAATAGTTTCTTAGATATAGCACCAAATTACAAGCAACAAAAGAAAAAAAAGGGGGCTATATTATGCTTAATTAAAACTAAATTTTTTCTTTAAAAGAAAAAGCCAAGGAAGGGAAAAGACAACCTACAGAATGGGAGAACAATTTTGCAAATCATACATCTTCTAAAAGACTTGTATTCAGAATATGTATCTTACAACTCAATAATAAAAAAACATATAACCTATTTTTAAAATGGAGAAATGATTTGAGTAGAAAATTCTCCAAAAAAGATACACAATAGGCAAGAAGCACATGAAAAGATACTCAACATTATTGGTCATTTGAGAAATGCAAATCAAAACCACCAGGAGATACCATTTCATACTATGATCAAAAAGAAAATAACAAGTATGTTTGAGAATGTGGAAACAATCCCACATAAATCGCTGGTGGGAACGCAAAACGATGCAGCCATGGTAGGAACAATTTTGCAGTTGCACTTTGGGAGGCCAAGGCGGGAGGATCACCTGAGGTCAGGAGTTTGAGTCCAGCCTGGCCAACACAGTGAAAACCCATCTCTACTAAAAATACAAAAATTACCCGGGCGTGGTGGCAGGCACCTGTAATTCCAGCTACTTATGAGGCTGAGGCAGGAGAATTGCTCGAACCTAGGAGGCGGAGGTTGCAGTGAGCTGAGACCATGCCACTGCACTCCAGCCTGGGCGACAGAGTGAGACTCTGTCTCAGAAAAAAAAAGAAAAAGAAAGAAAGAAAAGAAAAAAAAGTTAAACAGTGTTATCAAATGACTGGACAATTCTACTCCTTAGGAATATCTCCCAAAGAATGAAAAACATGTCTACAAAGAACCTGGACACAAATGTTTATAGCAACATTATTTGTAATGGCCATAAAGACAGTGCAAATGTCCATCAATTGATGAATGGATAATCAAAAAGTGGTATATCCATACAATGGAATATAATTTAGCCATAAAAGGAATGAACTACTGATACATGATACATGTATGAATCATGAAAACATTAAGTGAAAAATGCCAGACACAAAATGTCACATATTCTATAATTCTACTTATATGAAATGCCCAGAAAAAGCAAATCTATAGAGACAGAAGGTAGATCAGTGATTGCCAGGGGCTAGAGAGAAGAGCAAACAAGGACTGGCTAATAAGAGACACAGGATTTTTTTGTTGTTGTTCAGTGATGAAATTATTCTGGAATTTGCAGTGATTATACCATAACCTTCTGAATATACTAATCACTGAGTTGCATCCTTGTTAAGGACAAATATTATGGTGTATGAATTATATCTTAATTTTAAAAAGTACAGTAAATTAAAAACAAATTGTGTTTCAATAATAAAATATTATTTTAATATCACAAAATCAATTATTGTAATTCACTATATTAACAATATGGAAGAAAATCTCATCTCAACAGATGCAGAATATATTTTTTAATATGCAAACAACAATGAAATGTATTTAATCTGGTGAAAGATAATCATAAAATCTTACAAAAATATTATAATTAATAAGGAAATATGGAAAGCTTTCCTTATGGGATCAGAAACAAAATTCCCTAGTCAGTTCAATAAGAAAAAAAAAGTAAGAATTAGCAAGAAAGAAATACACAGGTCATTATTTGCTAAGGACATTATTGTATATGTAGAATATCTAAAATAAAATATTAGAACGAATAACTAAATATAGCTATCAGGATCACTGGTTACAATATGAGCACATAAAAGTCTATTTTATTTCCTTACACTACCAATAACCAATTACAGAATAAAATTTTATAAATATACCATTTAGAATCAATATTTTGTTAACTTCATAAATTAACTGGAAAGTTTTTCTTTTGAAATATATTTTCAAAAATTGAAGAATTCTTCAAGTCAGTTAAATGGTTTTAAATATTTCTGGCCTACAACAACAAGGTTAAATCTGCATGTGATAATGGATCTCCCTACTGATACTAGAACTATCCCATTACTGAAAACCATTTTTAGATATAAATGGCAGGCACTTAAGAATGACTTCATTTCCTGTGGTGTTCCTTTAAAACAATTTTCCAAAACAGGCAAATCTTGCTCTCTCTCTCTTTCTCTTTAAAAAGTAACACAGGCTTATTTTTAAAGTTGCAATCAAAACAGACAGGTAAAAAGTAGAAAATTAAAATGACCCATCAGGCTTGTCTTAAAATTAACTACTGATAATATTTTGGTATATGTCCTCATATGTTTTAACGTATTTTTTCAGGTTTGTTCTATCAAAACCTAATTTAACAAAATCTGAGCAAATCATCCACTTCCTTTTCTAATATCCTTTTATACTGTGTGTTTATACATGTGGTTATGAATATATGTTCACAAGTGAGGGTATATATACACATACACACATACATGTGTGAGATAGAGACATAGGCAGAGGCAGACAGAAAGGCAGAGAATAGCTAGGAAAGTTGAGCTCAATTTAATATTGTAATTATAATATGCATGCTATTTTAAAATTGCTTTCATTTCTGAATTTAGACAGCATATAGAACTTGATAAATACAGTAATTAGAAATCCGAGAGTTATTTGCATACTTACACATCTGAAGTATCTTCCTATGTACAGATAAACATTAACCACAATTATCTACACATGTTGCTTGAATTTTTTCCTCCAGCTGTCATGTTAAAGCCATGATTGACACTTGTTTGCATACGATTTGAGAATTTAATATTTGGTTGAAATTCTCTGATCCTAAAACATACTGCTTGGAAATACACATTTTGTTTTCATACACATGGGATGTTGCACGCATACCGAAATTAAAGAATTACAATTAGTTGGTACCCAGCTTGCATCCTTAAGCAATCTTTGTAAATACTATTTTTCTTATTAATGCTGCTTTCTGTTCTCATTAAGTTTCAACAGAGTACTCTCAGTAATTTAAAACATATTGTTCCTTCAGTTAAATAGGCAATTTCCCTCTCAACAAATGCCTGGACCTTAAAGTAAGGTGTGGAAATGGACAAAATAGTCCCAAATATTTTAACCAGCAATATAAACTTTTGCAATGCTTTTATAGGATGTTTAAAATAACAAGAAAGACTTGGTTCTCGTGATTTTCACCAACGGTGGTTACAAACAGTCTTCTTCTTTACTATGTTTGAAAGGCATATTTCACTTCACATATCCTTTACTTGCTGCCAGAGCCTTAATATTGCTAGGGGGAAAAGCTTACCTAGCTCCGTGTTTGTAAATGTCAGCTAGCCAAAAGATATTTGGAAACCTATAAATGTTCGCCTTTCTAACATTTGCTTAAAGCTATCTGGAATTAACGTTCTCCTCTTTCCTCTTCTCTCACCTCAAGAAAAAAAAATCTGTATACAGAAGTTGACACAAAATATATTAAATAAAGCTGGTATTCAGCCCTCTTGCATTCAAGCAAGAATTACCCATGTATGTAAAACAGAAGAAAATGTCTTGATAGTATTCTGTACCCGTGCTGTCAAACTACCCTTTGATATGTCTGCAATTTTCTCAGTAAAACACATTTTGTTTATTTTGGATTAAGAGCAAGCTCTTGCATGTCTACCAGGATTTATTAGCCTGGTAAAGAGCAGCACTACACAGAAACAACGAATATAATGTGCTCTTTGCTATGGTTTTAAGTTCCCCTTCAAACTCATGTGAAATGTAATTGCCATTGAAACAGTATTAAGAGGTGGGGGCTTTAAGAAGTCATGCAGGCTGTTGTCGTTTTTTTTTTTTTTTCCAGGTTTTTTCTATCAAAACCTAATTTAACAACATCTGAGCAAATCATCCACTTCCTTTCCTAATATCCTCATTTTCACTACTCTCTCCTTCAGCCGCAATGATCCATTCCATCATCTAACATTAATTTAGTAAAGATTTACTAAATCCCTTCTCTGTACAAATCATTTTATAGGATCTGAGTAAAGATACAGTGATTAGCATATGGCAGCCCTTGTCCTTTGACATGGCAAGAACAACTTTTCCTATTTTCAAGAGCTTGAGTATTCTGTCACTAATAGATCTAAAACTATCCAAGTTTACCTGGCCAACTTTTTCCCTTAAACTTCTGCCTCCCTTTTACAAAACTTCAAAAAAAAGAATTCCAAATTTAATCATGCTGTTAAAACAGATTTTCACATCATCCCGTAGTTACATAAAGGGCAGTCTCCTTAGCTCATACTTAAAATCATATCTTTTCAACCCTTGAGTATTGTTACCATTACCTCAAACAATCATATAGCTACTGTCTTTCAGGTTATTCACAATACAATAATTTGAATATGCAAAAACACCACAGAATTTAAATGAAAAGTAACTAACGCACCCTACTCCCCTCAAAAATCAATTAATAAAATTTGTAATTTCAACAAATATTTTTGAATATTTACAAATCAGAAACAAAAATGGCTAACTGGAAACACAAAACAGATAAAAGATTTGGTAAATTAACCCAACATGCAATTTTGAAAAATGTAAATTTAATTTTTACTTAATAAGTGATTTCTCAAAAAGTAACATTAATAAAGGGCATTGTCAGAAATTTTGAGTCTTTTAGGAGTGAAAACATCTGTTTGAACTAAAACTAGGAGACACAGAATGATGAGAACATATGAAGTTTTAGCTAAATATCCATGAATTACAAGGTTATTCTCTGTTGGTTTGGAGTACTCATTTACACACTAATACTCAGCTTTAGGAATTTAGGGCTCATTAACTTTGCTAAACATGGAATTTAGCGTTTTTTTAAAAACTACTTATTTCTTCACTATTTTTATATCCAAGTATACTCTTCTCATTACTCACAAAGGACAAATCTTCACCAAGCCCCTGCCCCTACAGTCAGGATAGTAATTTCATTCAAGCATCCCTTGAAAGCAATTATTTATGCTCGCTGCAGAAATTAGGGTAAATTTGTTGTGGTCCCATTTATTTTCTGGAGATTGGCGATTACATGTAAAATAATTTGAACGCTTGATAGATAGACTCATAAATATTTGGTTAATACAAGTAAAGCAGGGGGAGGCCAGGCGTGGTGGCTCACGCCTGTAATCCCAGCACTTTGGGAGGCCAAAGTGGGTGGATCACAAGGTCAGGAGACCGAGACCATCTTGGCTTACACGGTGAAACCCCGTTTCTACTAAAAATACAAAAAATATTAGCAGGGCGTGGTGGCGGGTGCCTGTAGTCCCAGCAACTTGGGAGGCTGAGGCAGGAGAATGGCTTGAACCAGGGAGGCGGAGCTTGCAGTGAGCTGAGATTGTGCCACTGCACTCCAGCCTGGGGAACAGAGCGGGACTCCGTCTCAAAAAAAAAAAAAAAAAAAATGGAGCGGGGGGGCCGGGCGCGGTGGCTCAAGCCTGTAATCCCAGCACTTTGGGAGGCCGAAGCAGGCAGATCACGAAGTCAGGAAATCGAGACCATCCTGGCTAACATGGTGAAACCCCGTCTCTACTAAAAATACAAAAAATTAGCTGGGTGTGGTGGCGGGCGCCTGTAGTCCCAGTTACTGCGGGAGGCTGAGGCAGGAGAATGGCGTGAACCCAGGAGGCAGAGATTGCAGTGAGCTGAGATAGCCCCGCTGCACTCCAGCCTGGGCAACAAAGGGAGACTCTGTCTAAAAAAAAAAAAAAAAAGTAGTTACTTTCTTCTTCATCCCTTTCAGTGTGGCCACTATTTATAATGCAGTTTGGTTCATTAGTGTTTGTATTCCAAAAACACCCTCAGCCTTCCTATCCTAGTTTTAATGAATTATTAGGGTGAAACATAATAAGAGACGGAGAGTCGGAGCTATACAGAAAGGTCTACTCAGAGGTGCTTTGTTCCCTCCTGTTCTGTTCCCACCACTCCTACTTTCCACTACTTTTTCCACTGACCCTGTGAGCATCATATTTATTGTTAATGGCAGTTACATTTTTACCAAGTGCTTACTATCTGTAGGCACTTGGTGTGTATTGCTTCTTCTGGTGTTCACAGCAACCTCTTGAGGTAGGCACTATTATTATCCACCACCCCCCGCCCCGTTTTTTGAGACAGAGTCTCACTCTGTTGCCCAGGCTGGAGTGCAGTGGTGCGATCTCAGCTCACTGCAACCTCTGCCTCCCAGGTTCAAGCAATTCTCCTGCCTCCGCTTCCCAAGTAGCTGCAAGTACAGGTGCGAGCCACCACACCCATCTAATTTTTGTATTTTTAGCAGGCATGGGGTTTTGCCATGTTGGCCAGGCTGGTCTCAAACTCCTGACCTCAGGTGATCCCCATTTTTTAGATGAGAAAGCAGAGTCCCAGAGAGCATAAGGAGCTTGTCCAGAGTGGCATCTCTGATGCATAACCAGTACTCAAACCAGTATTTTTCTGACACCAAGGCCTGTGTGTAAACTGTAAAAGGGCTGTTTGGTACCTGCTTTCCTAAAGTTGTCTGATCCCTTCTCAGTCCAGGTCTTCCTGAAGCTTGGCACTTCTGAAGTCACCTTTCTGAAAACATTCTGGTAACTGTTAGATCCCTTGTTGTAGCTATTCATATGTTCTGTGTGGTTAAACAAGGTTCACAGTGGGCCACCTGGCCTTTGGAACTTGGCTGAAGAGGCTGCCTTCAGTTCATCCTCCCCACCCCCGTTTTCAAAACATGGGTTTCCATGTGTTCGTTGTAAATTAGGAAACATAACCATGTTTTGAGGCTTCATAGAAAACAAACGTCTGGGGTCACACAGGTTAAAGGAGGAACCAAATTCAGCACTATCACTGTTCTATTCGGCAGGCAATTCTGGGGCCTTCCTGTGTCTCAGGTTCTGTACTAGTTGTTTCAGGACTTTGGGATAAACACAAACTATCCCTGCCCTCAGGGGGATTAAGGTCAGGTGTACAAATGACTCTAATGCGAGGCAAGGCTGGATTCAGTGCTGGAAGAGGAGGGCATACCTAACGCTACGGGAATTCAAAGAGGAAATGATCAGAATGAGGAGGGAGAGATGGGTCATTCCGGGAGAAGCTTCAGGGAAAGGCAACATTTGAAATGAGACTTTGGAGAGTGAGGGAGGTTTGGGCAGATGGATAGAGAGGATGCAAGGCCAGGGGAAAGGTTTGAGCCAGAAAGTCAGCTTGGGCAAGTGCATGGGTAAAAAAAGAAAATCCACTTTGGGAGGCCGAGGCAGGTGGATCGCCGGAAGTCAGGAGTTGGAGACTAGCCTGGCCCACATGGTGAAACCCTGTCTCTCCTAAAAATACAGAAATTAGCTGGGCATGATGCTGGGCACCTGTAATTCCAGCTACTCGGGAGGCTGAGGCAGGAGAATCACTTGAACCCAGGAGGCAGAGATTGCAGTGAGCTGAGATCACACCACTGCACTCCAGCCTGGGCAACAAGAATAAAACTTCATCAAAAAAAAAAAAAAGAAAGAAAGAAAATCACAAAGCAGTGTGGGGAATGGTGAGTAATCTAATTTGGTTGTTGCAGAGAGGATGTAGAAGGAAGTGACAAGAGAGAAAGCCAGACAGCTGGCTTGGGGTCATCTTAAGGGCCTTTGTGCCAGTTAGGATGTTCCAGACTTCAGTCAGGCTGCCCAGCTCAGACTGGCTCAGACAATGAGGGGGTTTATTGGCCGTGTAATTGGGAAGTCCAGAGGCTCTAGGACTACAGAAAATTATTATTTAGTATTAGTTTGACAGCAACACCTTCTGTTTTCTGGGAGCAGGAGATGCTTGTCAAGCTGTAGGTCACTGAGTTGAATATTATCCTGCTTTATTAAATTGCCAAGGGCACGGTAATTGTTGAGAGGGGAGAAGTACACATGAAAGAAAACATGACCAGCTTAGAAACGTCAAATGATTATGACGTTGTTATAAAGTATTATAATTCTTTGAGCATCTACTATAAGTAGAGAAACTTGAGTTCCAGGTTGTGGGCTTGGTTCCGCCAACAATCAGGAACGTGGTTTTGCATGAAGCCCTTCTTTCTTCTATAATCTTCAGTGTCCTCACCTGCAAAATGAGGCCTTTATATATATATATATATATATTTTTTTTTTTTTTTTTTTTTTTGAGACGGAGTCTCGCTCTGTCGCCCAGGCTGAAGTTCAGTGGTACAATCTCTGTTCACTGCAAACTCCCTCTCCTGGGTTCACACCATTCTCCTGCCTCAGCCTCCCGAGTAGCTGGGACCACAGGCACCTGCCACCACGCCCAGCTAATTTTTTGTGTTTTTAGTAGAGATGGGGTTTCACCGTGTTAGCCAGGATGGTCTCGATCTCCTGATCTCGTGATCTGCCCGCCTCAGCCTCCCAAAGTCCTAGGATTACAGGTGTGAGCCACCACGCCCGGCTAAGGCCTTTATTATACTATGGTTCCTACTGTTTTTTAAAATACTTTTATTAAGTCCAACATTTTTATTAAGAACATTGCTTTTATACATGCCTATTTATGAAAGGGGTTTTCGAGTGTTTACCACTTTTTATTAGAAATAGAGACAGTAAGAATGTTTGACTTAATTGACACAGGCATAATTGAATGGGTATAAATGGCATGCCATAGAAAGAGAAAATTAAGTTGAGCTACTCTGTTGGTTTCACTGATGAGGGGATACATCATTCAAACAGCCAGGAATTAAATCCGTCCAGCTCACAAATGGGGAAACCAGCTGTGTCTGTACCCATGGCCAGCCAGACTGAACACAAATCAGGAAAGTCAGTAACTTTTCCTCAGTTCTGAGGGACTTCAGTGGCTGCGGTTCATTTTCCTTTTGCTTCTGAAACAGTGCAAGTTGATGCTCGCCTGGACAGAGCGGCAGTGAGTGGTGGCGTCTGAAGGCCAGGTCTCTGTTGAGATGACAACACGTCCTCTCCCAGTGCCCAATGCATAGAAAAGATACACTACTAAGTGTGAGATCCTCAGTGAAAAATAAAATCTGGGGTTGAATCATCATGGGGGATACTGCATACTCTGTTTCCCCCCTGCAGATTTCCAATGCTCATTAGTTTATAGAGACTCTGAGAATTCCTACAGCAAAGGCACCTGCCGAGGTACTTACAAACTAGTTTAGCTAAACCAGACTTTCAACAATTGGTTACTAAAGACCACTCAAAGTCTGTCAACACTCTGTCATCTCTATGTAATGATAGAAACATAGAAATTCAGGGTAAATGTTTAGAAATTTCTATAGAAACTTGACATTCTCCCAGCATGTGACATCAGGGGACTTGTCTCAATGAGCAGTTACAGACCAACTCAGGTTTTGTCAGACTCGATGGAAAGATGCAGAGGCTGTGAGCTGCAAACGAGTCACATACACAAGGACCACATTGCAAGCTGCGTTCTTTAAGGTTAGTTTGTCAACTATAGTATAATCTCACACATCTGAAAAATGGGAACATCTATTCTATAAAGTCTTATTTTTGCAATATTAATTTTAAATCAAGCCAATGTTAGCATTATTAGTGAAAACAAAAGAAAGTTGTATTATTTATTATTAAACCTAATTTGAGAGTGAAATAAATTGTATTAATTTTTTTAACCAATAAAAGATGCACCTTGTAAACCAAGAGATGATTATGAAAGTGATTCTGAGGACATGAAGACCAAAGGAGTTTGTCCTCGTTTTACTCAGAAGTACTATTTCTAATGGACAGATGATCCCTGACATACAATGGTTTGACTTATAATTTTTTGACTTTATGATGGTGTGAAAGTGATATGCATTCAGCAGAAACCATACTTCAGTATTCAATAAATTACATGAGATATTCAACACTTTAAAGTGGGTTTGTGAGAGAGAATTTTTGCCCAATGGAAGGTGAATGTAAATTTTCTGAGAATGTTTAAGGTAAGCTAGGCTAAGCTATGATGTTAGCTTAGGTGTATTAAATGCATTTTAATTTAATTTAATTTAATTTTATGTTTTGAGACAGTGTGTTTTGTTCTTGTCACCCAGGCTGGAGTGCAATGGCATGATCTCGGCTCACTGCGACCTCTGCCTCTTGGGTTCAAGCGATTTTCTTGCCTCAGCCTTCGCAGTAGCTGGGATTACAGGTGCGCACCAACATGCCTGGCTAATTTTTGTATTTTTAGTAGAGACAGGGTTTCACCATGTTGGCCAGGCTGGTCTCTAACTCCTGACCTCAGGTGATCCACCCGCCTCAGCCTCCCAAAGAGTTGGGATTACAGGCTGAGCCACTGCACCCGGCCTTAAATGCATTTTCGGCTTATATTTTCAACTGATGATGAGCTATAACTCCTTTGTGAGTTGAGGATCATCTGTCTTGAATTTGGTTTTACAGGCATAACTGAAGGTGAAAGGACAGAATCACCGTGTGTTACTGGCACAGATGCATCGGCTAGTGAAGAAAGAAGACATTCAAACTGTAAGTTGCATTCACGTGGGAAGCACAAAGAATTAAATTCAAAACAATGAAACATTAGAGAAAAGCATGGAGTTAAAACACAACAGAATCAGATGTTTACTATTTCTCATTTTAACACTAGTGCTTTGCGGGCTTCTAATAAAGTTGTACTCCAGGAGGCTAAGACTGAAAAGTGACACTAGTGAAAAGTAGCATTGAAATAGTTCCTTAGAAAAGTTGGGTGAATGTGGGGCAAAGATGCCACTAAACTTTAATTTTCCATCGACACACAAATTCAAAGTTTTCCAGAACTGGCAAGTAAAATGGAAGATCCACTCACAGGACACATGCAGTGTGTGAGGGGAATGCTTTTCAGCACTTCTTGATGGATGCACAAATAATGCCAACGTGGTAAATGTCTTTGGTAAACGTGCAATGGAATGCAGTGGTTGTGTGAAGGAAGAATTTTGTTTTCTGCTTCATTTTTGATAAACACAAGCAGCTCTGGACTGTGTGAAACCATGGAGCACCGCACAGTTAACAGAGGTGGTTTGGAGTTTTTTAGCTTTGCATAAGAGGATGTTCTGATGCAGAATCTACAGTGACAGGAAACCATTCTGGACAAGTTACAGAATTAAGGGGCTTGTGCCGGGATGGAAATAAATCAATGACTTCTGTCTTTGAGAAGGTTTTTCTCTGCTCCTCTGTGATGGTTAATTTTTTTTTTTTTTTTTTTTTTTTTGAGATGGAGTCTCGCTCTGTCCCCCAGGCTGGAGTGCAGTGGCGCCATCTCGGCTCACTGCAAGCTCTGCCTCCCGGGTTCATGCCATTCTCCTGCCTCAGCCTCCCAAGTAGCTGGGAGTACAGGTGCCTGCGGCTAATTTTGTGTATTTTTAGTAGAGCCAGGTTTCACCATGTTGGCCAGGATGGTCTCGATCTCCTGACCTTGTGATCCACCCGCCTTGGCCTCCCAAAGTGCTGGGATTACAGGCATGAGCCACCATGCCCCACCTTTTTTTTCTTTTCTTTTTTTTTTTCTTTCTTTCTTTCTTTCTTTCTTTTTTTTTTTTTTTTTTGTTAGTCCTTCCCTCCAGTGTCGTGGAGATAATTGGAAAATATTTTAGAGCAAAAAAGTTTATTTCTCCTTCTTGTTGTTAGCAAAGAAATTTATTTTTCCTTCTTGTTATTTATTGGCCTTGGAGACATACACCAAATAGCTCATTCTACTTCTGAAATTTTGTTTTGATTTCCCTGGCCCTCCCCACGAAGTATTTCAGATTAGCAGGGAGTCAAGCATTGTCTGTCTGTCTGTGAATAAAATATTTCAGGCTGCTTTTGCATAATATACATGCTCTTGCCTTTAAGAGTCACACTCACATCTTCTGGTTTTGTAAGACACCAGGTAGAGAAGAAAACAATGTTTCTGAATTCTGCTTTATCAGCCCAGTAGAGAACTCCTCCCTTCCCTGAACTGAGGGCCACATCTAAGGGGTTGAAACAGGGCCAGCTACATTCTATGTTCCCAACATAATTGTCCATGCACGGATCCAATCAAGTTAAATGAGAAATAGGATATTTATTCTAAAAACAAGTTATTGCTACAATAATAATAATACTATAGTAATATTATTCTAATAATGATATTAGAATAAAAACTGGTTATTAAAGTACTAAACAGTTGAAAATCTAAATGTCTCACAAGGTCAACTATAGCAAGTATATAAGATTTCGTATTAGTCGCACGTCAAAAATTATATCCATAAAAGTAATGACATATGAAAACAGTTTATTGATACAGATATAACAAATATAACTAAACTGTGCTGAAATGTATTTTAAAATAAAATATGCCAAAATATTATTGATGATGACTTTGGATGATGGTATTACCACTAAGGTTTCAAATTTAATTTGCCTCTTACTTCTGAGTACTTTTATAAATTTTTAAATAATAAAATTAGTGTGTTAAAAAATATCAAGTGATATCTAGAAATCAGAAAAAGGCATATTGCCAGAGGAGGACCGAGTTAGTAGATTTGAGGCTCCATTAAGTTTTGTTTATGATCAAAAAACAAACAAAAACCAGGCAACAGTGGCAAAAAATATCTCACTTCCTTCCTGGAAAAGTAAATGAGACTACAAAGAATTTCCAAACTTAAAAACTATACATTTCAAGTCTGTTCATAACTAGTGAAGTCACAGTTTCTGAAAACAATGATAAAATTTTAATTGATATTTAATTCATATTTTTTGTTTAAAAAACTATCAGTATTGGAAGATAAATTTCATGGGAAAAGCATTGAATCATTAAGTTTTGCAGTCACAAAGGTAAATATAATTTGCTTAATGCTGCCCTCAGTTTACAATGAGTCTTTAGTATTTTCTAAGCTATGAGTTCACCAAAATATAGGATTGTTTTGCTGTATATAATTTGCTCAGTGATCAAACACTAAGGAGTTACCTATGTTAAGATGTGAATAATAAATTTATGCAAAATTTATGAAAGTGTACATTGTAAAGACAATAAAACTTTCCATTAAATTGGTGGGAAAGGAGCTCAAAACCTAGCTGGGTGATTCATTATTTTAATGACTTCCTGCTTTACTGCAAAACCTCTCTCTTCATTCGGTGTTGGTAGTTTGAACCCCTGTTAAGGATATAGGCTCACAATGAAGCTTCTATAAATTTCTGGACCTCTGTCATGCTGGCATGTGTGTCATTCTCCTTTAGGAATGATGAGGAGACTGGAAAGCGGTTGCTCCAAGGGAAGGGATAATTTTGCAAACCTGAGCTGTCTAAGCTCAGCATGAATTGGAGTGGGCTGCTGACTCAGGCTAGCAGAGGCAGCCAGGAAACATGCAAATCTGCAATCCGTTCTGCCAGGTCTGTCGCAGCAGGTGTCACTAAAGGCACCCCTGTGTGCTTGTCACTGTGGCAGCCTTGACAAGGAAGGTGGAAAGGAAAAAGAGACCCAGTGCTGAACTCCAAGCAGAGATGGGGCTTTTCTCTATGCATATTTTCCCTCCCCTCCCAGCCTGCATTTCCAATAACATATTGATTTATATTTGTATTATGAAACAAAAGTGGTTGTAATCAGATGTTCTTTCCTTTTACACACAATGTTAGCTCCTATTTACATTCCTAACTGAACAATGTCTAGAGAGGTATTTAAACTGATGTAAAACGCAGATAATCTCATGACCAAATGCTTAGCACAAGAAAAAACTTCAATTTGCAAGAGAAGTCCCTCCAAATACAGAAAGGACCAGTATTGTAAGAGGTACCTTAACTAAAATGTAGCAATGTAAGGCGCAGAGCAGGAAGAACTTTTAAGTCTGAAACTTACAACAAGTCAATTTCATAGTCAGTTTCCCTGGGCCTTCCACAACAGCCTCCGGCACCTGTTTTCTCTACAATGGAGGTAACAATAGTAGCTATTTCAGAGTAGGAAATGGCTTAGAGCAGTGCTAGAATATGGTCGTGGCTATATAAAGTTTAGCTATTTATATATTGTAAGAAACCTACGATGTGTTCTTTTATCGGTAGTCAGTAATGGATTTCTTGTGGGAAAGTAGCAGCCTCCTATGGGGGGAACACCCGCAGGTCCCACTAAGTGAACACTGGTGTCTGCTAACCTTTGCCTCTATTTGTCGCAATAATATACTGTCAAGCTGTTCCTTGAGTTAGCAATTTTATTTACATTCTTTTTCTTTTTTTTTTCCTTTCCCTTTTCCTGCCACAGAGTCCCGCTCTGTCGCCCAGTCTGGAGTGCAGCAGCGCCATCATAGCTCACTGCCACCTAGAAGCCGGGGTGAAGCAATCCTCCTCCATCAGCCTTCAGAGTAGCTGGGACTACCTGCGCGGCCCACCACACCCGGCTAATCTTTGTGGTTTTTGTTTTGTTTTCCGTTCTGGGTTTCCGTCGGGCGCAGTGGCTCAGGCCTGCAATCCCAGCACTTTGGAAGGCAGAGGTGGGCGGATCACCCGAGGTCGGAGACCGGCCTGACCAACATGAAGAAATCCCGTCTCTACTAAAAAAAAGAAAAAAACTACAAAATTAGCCGGATATGGTGGCTCATGCCTGTAATCCCAGCTACTAGGGAGGCCCAGGCAGGAGAATCACCTAAATCCGGGAGGCCGAGGTTGCGGTGGGCAAAGATCACACCATTGCACTCCAGCCTGGACAACAAGGGTGAAACTCCGTCTCAAAACAGAGACCGGGTTTCACCATGTTGCCCAGGCGGTCTGGAACTCCTAGGCTCAAGCGATCTGCCACACTCGGCCTTCCAAAGTCCTGGGATCACAAGGGGGAGGCACCACGCCAGGCAGATCTATTCCTTTCTGGTTACTAAATTGGACCGGGGGCGCGGTGGCTCACGCCTGCAATCCCAGCACCCAGGGAGGCGGAGGCGGGCGTATCACTCGAGGTCAGGAGCTCGAGATCAGCCTGACCAACACGGAGAAACCCCGTCTGTACCAAAAAAATAAAACCAAAATTAGCTGGCATGGTGGCTCATGCCTGCAATCCCAGACACTCAGGAGGCTGAGGCAGGAGAACCACCTAAACCCGGGAGGTGGAGGCCGCGGTGAGTCGAGACCACGCCACTGCACTCCAGCCTGCAAAACGAGCGAAACTCCACTCAAAAAAAAAAAAAAAAAAAAGACAGTGTTTCACCACGTTGCCCAGGCCGGTCTGGAAGTCCTAGGCTCAATCGATCGCCGCGCTCGGCCGTCCACAGTACTGGGATCACAAGCATGAGCTACCACGCCAGGCCGATCTATTCCTTTCTGGTTACTAAATTGGACCGGAGGCGCGGTGGCTCACGCCTGCAATCCCAGCACCCAGGGAGGCGGAGGCGGGTGGATCACCCGAGGTCAGGAGCTTGAGATCAGCCCGGCCAACACGGAGAAACCCCGTCTGTACAAAAAAAAAAAACACCAAAATTAGCTGGCATGGTGGCTCATGCCTGCAATCCCAGCCACTCAGGAGGCTTAGGCAGGAGAACCACCTAACCGGGAGGTGGAGGCCGCGGTGAGTCGAGACCGGAAAACACTCTAGCCTGGAAAACAAGAGCGAAACTCCGCTCAAAAAAAAAAAAAAAAAAAAAAAAAAAAAAGACCGTGTTTCACCATGTCGTCCAGGCTGGTCTGGAACTCCTAGAACCTGTAGATGTTACCTCATTTGGAAAAAGCATATTTTCAGGTATGATTAAGTTAAGGATCTTGAGGAGAGATTATCCTGGATTGTCTCCGTGGGCATTAAATCCTGGCACATATATCCTTATAAGAGGGAGATAAAGGAGATTTAACTTCAGACAGAAGAGAAGGAGGCCCTGTGACCAAGAAGGCAGAGCCTGGAGTGGTGGAGCTGCAAGCCAATGAATGCCAGCAGCCATCAGAAGCTGCGCAAGTCAAAGGATGGATTTTCCCCTCAGCCTCTGAGAGCACTGGCTCTGCTGAGACCTAGATTTCAGCCCAGTGATACTGATTTTGGACTTCTGATATCCAAAACTGTGAGAAAATAAATTTCTGTTGTTTTAAGTCACCACATTTTTGGTAATTTGCTCTAACAGCCACAGGAAAGTAACATACATGCCTACCTGGGTCCAGTTGTGTCCTGTGACTCCTGCTTTCCTGGGACAGGCAGGCTGCTCCGTGCCTCCTGGCCATCCTACTGGGTGCTGGACGCTGTAGGCTGCTCCATGCCTGTTGGCCATTCCCTTTGGTGCTGGACAGCACTCACATTGTGAAATCCACTGGCCCTGTGAAAAACACCTGGAAATGTTACCAGGAGAGGGGTTAGTTCTCTTTTTGGCAACCCATGTTATTGCTTATGGCTTAATATCTGTGCCTCCAAGATCCCTTCTCTCTGCCTTCATCGATGCCAGGAAAGCAGTCACCTTTTGCCTTTCTTTGCTTCTCAGCAAGTGGCATGTCTCCATGTCACTTTAAGCATCAAGCACACGGAGCCCAATAAGATGCTGAAAAGTGTCTGCCTACAAGGTTACAAGGCGGTGGAGACATTCTGAGCCGGTAACTGCAGGGCTCAGTAAAACCGCTACAGGAAATCTCAAGTTCAAAATGCTGAAGTGAAAAATGGGTGATCACAACGAAGGGAAACACAAACCCCTTCTTTTAAAAACATTATGGTGATAAGGCACAACATAAAATTTACCATATTAGCCACTTGTAAGTATACAGTGCAGTAGTGTTAAAAATATACATGTTGAGTAACGAGTTTCTAGAACTTGCTTCTCTTGGAGAACTGAAACTATAGCCACTATACAACAACTCCCCATTTCTCTATCCCCTGGCTTATGGAAACAACCGCTCTATTTTCTGTTTCTATGAGTTTGACTAATTTCGAACCTAATGTAAGAGAAATTGTACAGCATTTGTCTTTGTGTGATGGGCTGATTTCAATTAGTGTAATGTTTTCAAGGTTCATCTATATTGCAGCATGTGACAGGGCTTCTTTCTTTTTTAAGGCTGATAATTTTATAGTATTCCGTTGCATGGATAGACCACATTTATTTATTCATTTATTTATTTATTTATTTACTTATTTATTTATTGAGACAATCTCACTCTGTTGCCCAGGCTGGAGTGCGGTGGCATGATCATGGCTCACTGCAGTCTGAATCTCACATTCTCAAGCGATCCTGCCGCCTCAGCCTCCTGAGTAGCTGGGACTACAGGCACATGACACCATGCCTGGATATTCGTCTTTCTGTGTAACTGGTTGAGAAACAGGGGAGTAACAGTGAAGAAACGGTCTTAGAATAAATCTGGTGACAGCAGAAGAGAATATGAGACAGATTGTGCTCACAGAGCCTTGAAGAGTGTGACAGTATTTGAGGGCCACGCTGTTGTCTTAGAGTGAAGTGAGGAGAACCTGCACTGGTTTGGTAGTCATGGGAATGGAAGGAGGAAAGAAATGTGAAAGCTCATCGGTGGCAGAGTCAAAATGGCTTGGTCTTTGTAGTCAACGATTAAGTGAGAAGGAGGAATTACTGGCTGACTTAGAAGAAGTAAAAAACGTGAAATACCGATAAAACACAAATCTCGTGATTTTAGTCAGCGTAAAGACTAAGCATTGTGTGATTCTAGATATATTATTAAGCAGTTTTGTTCCAGTATTTTATATCCCATATCTTCTAGCTATGACCCTATTTCTTTGTTTCTTGACATAGACAAACATTTTTTAAACTAAGAGCTTTATTGTGATACAGTTTTTGTATGATAAGCCTCACCCTTCAAGTGTACAGTTCAGTGGTTTTTAGTATATTCAGAGTTATGCAGCCATTACCGCTCCCTAATTTCAGAACATTTTCATCTCCCCAAAAAGAACCCCGTACCCACTAGCAGTCACTCCCTGTAGCTCTCTCCCCCACCATTGATCCTGGCAACCTCTGATCTAACTTCTATCTCTGTAGATTTGCCTATCCTGGGCATTTCATATAAATAGAATCATACAACAGTGGCATTTTGTGACTGATTTTTCTTTACAGTGATTATAAATCAAATGCCTGAAGACGCTAAGCTTAGGATAGTGTTTGCTGTACAACTTTGATAACTGAACTTTTGTAAAGCTGAAAATGTGACTGTGTCTGTATATGTGGCATATTATCCTTAGATGATCCTTACTTCGATTATTAAGAATTTTTTCCCCTAGTAATCTTCAACTGTCTCAATATTCAGCAGGAACCCCTTGGAGACAAAGATCAGTACGAATTTGGAACACCTATTGACAAAATGAATGTAATTTAATTTAGTACAGTAGTAAAGTCAACCACTTTTAGGTGTTGATGCTGCTGAAAGTGTATATTAAGGAAAAACTTACTTACCTTACTTTTTGTGGAGGTGCTAGAACTATTTCTGTCTTGTGTTTAGATTTCAAGAAACCTTTGCATGGGCATTATGTGGTTGCACAAATGTACTTCGTTTTGACCTGAAAATGCAAAAACTTCCTTTCTTCCCACTTTCTGAGACTCTGCAACCTTAAAGGAAGAGTGGGGTTCTTTAAAGGAAAGGTGGTGGTGGTTGGGTCATGGGTAACAATGTCTACTGTGTACTTCCTTTCCCAAAACAAGTCCCTGTCTACCGTCAGCATTTCCAAAACTTGAAGGTCAAGTGTGGTGTTAACTCATGAACTAATGACTAGACTTTGAGCGGTTGTGGAAGCAAAATCTCAGTGAGTGCCTGGATGTTCTAATTCTGTTAAGTCAGTGAGTGCATATTCTGTACAATACTCTCTTAGCCCAGTGGCAGGTTTAAGGAGTGGGAGAGAGATTTCTATGTTTCGGAAATCAAATACACAAAGAATAAAAATTTTTAATCCCATGAATCTTTGCCCGAGTTTAATTTCTTGGAGAGTTTTTCTTTTAGATTTTCTTTCCCTTCCATTAAACTTTTACTTAGAAAGGTCCCAGGGTTTGGGCAAAGCAAGTGGGAAAGACACTTGCTTGGGTTCTCCAGGATAAGGGATTGAAGAGGACTTCTTTCCCTCATTTTATTATTGAATAATGTCACAATAACAATTATTAAGGTGAATAGTCTACAGTGGAAGTGTTTAGATGCCTTGTCTGCAAAATAACTTGGTTTAGTCAACCCAAGGATGCCTTTGGTTAGCTGGAATGGGAGATGTGCAGGTTAGAGTGGTCTTGGCAAGTCTTCCAGGGGGAAATACAGCATTTGAAGGGTAGGAAGCAGAAGGAATCTCAGGCAAGGGAAAGGCGTGGGCAGAGCCCCGGAGGACAGAACAGGTTGTGGTGGACTTGGTGTCCACATAGACCTAATTAGTGGTCTTAGCTTTTGTGTTTTCAAAATTACCACAGTTTGTGTTCTAAAACTGTCATTCTCTTGATTTTATTTTAGACATACTATCTGTGTATTTTGAAATTTAAAATAACAGTAAAGGAGAAACGAATTTATTTTGTTTGAGAAAGAGTTAAAAGGTTAAAACATCTTGATCTTAATAATTTTCTAATGGGAGATTTGGTACACCCCCAGAAGTTGTCTTTGGTTCAGAGAATAGTGTTCAGATCTAGAAAGGACTTGAGAAGTCCCAGAGAGGTGCTGCATGGTCTGAACCATTTGATTCTCACGACAGAATGGATAAAAACAATTTGAACCAGGAAACCATGCAGATGTTCATATTTTGGATAGGGTAAGGTCAGTGCGGTCGTCAGAGGAAAAACTCTCGGCCATCACAGGATGGGAGAGAAAGTTTGAGTTGTGAAGAATACTCAAATGCCGTTTAGGGAAACGGGTTCTTCTGCACCTATTCTTTGGAATATTTAGGGCTAAGTTCTTAGTTTTTGACATCATAAAAATGTCAAAGTATTCTGTTCTAAGAGCCATTTCAAACAACTGACTAGAATTTCAGAGCAATTACATGAGAGTAATACCATTAAAATGTTTAAATTACCCATAGTCCTATATCCCTAACAAGTATGTTCACGCTTGCATGTTCTCTTCTCATCTTTACTGTGTGCATACTTTCTTAGTAATGGCACGTAGACATTGTTTAAGCAGGAATAATTCTCGAGATAATTTTGTATGTTTCCTTTTTTCTTTTTAAGGTAGGTATTGGGTGGAGGAGCATTATATTTGCAACTTCTCGCAAAACACGTGATTATTTTCTTATAATATTCAATTTTCACCCTCAATAGAGTGTTTTGATTATGTAAGTTAGACAGAAAGTAGAAGGTTCTCTTAGAGAAATTTTAGTGTTTTTTTTTCATAGCTCCTACTTTCAAGAATGAAAAAGGTAAACCAGTAAAATGACACTGTACTTGGTGCTGCATCTATGCTGGGATAGGCATTAAGAGTGACCTTTATTTAAGGTTCTAATTTGCTCATGTTGGGCACTTAGAACGTCAGTTTGTTGCTTTTTGTGAGATTTTGGAAATGGTCCAATTTTACTTTTTCCCCTTGACTCCAGACTTTTTAACACTGATCTGCTGCTGTTGAGGCATATGCCGTTTTGTTAGGCCTCCTCAAGTGGGAGTCAGGAATGCTGCTGTGTTCCAGAGAGGTTTTGTTCTTCCTGTAGGGCTGAAGCAGTGCCTACTCAATAGAACCAGTCATCGTGCAAAGAAATGCCACCTGACTCAAAGGCAAAGCCAGAGTGCAGCTTGGAGCAAAGAAGGTATTTTATTAAGAATTTTACATAAACCATAAGATATATTTTATATTACTTTGCGAGCCTTCTTCCTGTCTTGACTTAATTCTTTTTGAGAGAATTCATTTCATTTTCATTTGGTTGGTTTTCTTCTTGTTACAAAGATGATCTATAGAAAATATAGAAGTATAAGAAAATTAAAGATACTAACTGATAATTGCTTAATGATTTAGTATCTGCTTGTTTAGTCTTTGTTATATTTACAGTAGGCAAACATGTCTACCGTTGTGAATTTATTACTGGTATGTATACCCTAGTAAGTTAAAAGTTGTACGTACTTTGAAGTTTTGCAAAATTGAGTTCATATTATAGAATTAATTCCTGATGAACTTTTATGTGCTAGGCACTGGTCTTTTTATTTAATTATTTATTTTTACTTTTTTTTCCTCTGTGCCTATGCTTACCAAGTCTTTTTATTTTTTACTTTTTATTAACTCTTTTAATCCTCTGGATAAATTAAAAAGAGGGTATTATTAATATCTGCATTTTGTAGATGAGGTAACTGAAGGTAGGTAACTTGTCCAAGGTCACAGGTGGCAGAGCAAGGATTAAAACTAGACAGTCTGGCTGCCCAAGGCCCAACGAAGAGGAGCTGAGAGCAAGCCACCGGGCAGAAGGATGTTGGTCAGGCTGGTTTCCTGTTCAGTTAACATGAAACGCAGGCTTAACCTTAATTCTAGGACGTTACCGAGAAAGCCTTCCAAAGCCATAGGTTTTTTACCATGACCATGACTTCTTTTTTTTTTTTTTGAGACAGAGTCTCACTGTGTAGCCCAGGCTGGAGTGCAGTGGCGCGATCTCGGTTCACTGCAGCCTACCTCTCTTGACAGTCCGCTGCTTAAAGTCATTCTCCTGCCTCAGCCTCCCGAGTAGCTGAAATTACAGGCGCCGGCCACCACGCCTGGCTAGCTTTTGTGTTTTTAGTAGAGACGGGGTTTCACCGTGTTGGCCAGGCTGGTCTTGAACTCCTGACCTCAAATGACCCACCTCTGCCTCCCAAAGTGCTGGGATTCCAGGCGTGAGCCACCGTGCCAGGACCCAAGGCCCTTAAGTTTTAACGTCTCATTCTTCAGTCAGGTTTTCCTTGTTCCTGCGTGTTCAGCCATTTGTTTTTAAGTTTGTGTTGAAGGAGAAACTAACAACGAAAATGGACTTGTTGACGGAAGAAAAGTAGGAATGCAGCCTCTGGTGCTGTTTGAGTGATCCCTCTGCCCCAGGCCTGGCTGCGCGCTGCTGTGTTCTGGAAAGGCGCATTGTGCCCTCGCTGTGGCAGGTAAGAGTCCTGTACAGGTGCTCTGCCCACTTTACCTTTCAGGCTTCTGTATCAGCTGTTTTTCCCTTGTAGAATGTGCCCCTGACCTGTGCCCCTGACTTCCACCCCTTAACCCTGCCCAATACATCTTTACATGTCTGACCATCAAGACTCTTCTGGGTCATATTCAGTTCATGCTGATATTTTCCCTTCCTCCCCTCTTTAGTCCTTACTATTTTTGCTTTGGTCATGTTATGCTATATTCTGTAAGCCTTTAAAAATTTTGTTGTATCATGGCAGGGGAGAATATTTTATAATTATGCTTTGTGCGTTTTATCTTCCACTCAATGAATGCTTGGTAAATATTTGTTTTATTGAGTATATGACCCTTTTCTAGCTATACCGTGAACAAAAATGTTAACTGCCTTGTACGTTAACTGCTAAGAATTTGTCAAAAGTGCAGAGATGACATCCAGAACTTGTCAGAATATTACAAAAAGGTCTCTAAGGGCATGATGGAGGTCTGTAAATTGACTTCATGTGAAAGAGTGTAAGAAGTGAAAATGTGAAGCATGACTGGAGAGCCGGAGTGATAAAGCAAGGGTCCCTTTCTCCAGATCCTTTGTAACAGTGTCATGTGACCTCTTCTAGATCATTCTGAAAGACAATGCCAGCTCGGAACCTAGGAAAGCATCCAGTGGGTTTCTGCATGTTAGGTGGTTCAAATCCTCATTAGCACCTTTGTTTTCTCTGCCTCAGTTTGCTTACAGTGATGTTCTCAGTAGCTGTAATTGCTGTCTGTCTTTGAATATTTAAGCATTTTTTTTTTTAGATCACAGGGTATATGTGCATTTTTATTTTACCAAGTGTTAGAATTTTTACTCTGCCTTTGTGGGCTCTGGGTTAGCTACTTGGCTGTTTCATCGTAAAATGATTAGCAGGAAAAACTGTGTGTGTGTGTGTGTGTGTGTGTGTGTGTGTGTGCGCGTGTGTATTTTAAGTTTCTTAATTGGGTTGGTACATGTAAACCATTTAGAACAGTGCCTGCTGCATATCACATCCCCATCAGTATTCACGTCTCTCATATTCTACCCTCACACTTGATTGATAGTTTGCTTGATTACGTATTTCTAGGTTGAGGATAATTTTACCTTAGAATTTCAAAGTCTGTGCTGTTGTCTTCTAACCAGTCGTGGTGGCGAAGCCTCATGCCATCCTGAGTTTCACTTGTTTATGCATGACTTTCTCCCTGGAAGCTTTTAGGAGTTTGTCTTTTCCTTGGTGAGCTGAAATAGCACAACAGTGTACTTAGTGTGGGTCTTTTTTCATTCATTATGCTGGGTACACCAAATGAACAGGCCTATGGATAGGCTCTTTCAAAGTTGGAGTCTTGAATCTTGTCATATTTTTGTTGTTAACTTTCTCTTTTCCATTTTATTTGTTCATTTGGAAGTGTCTGTTAATTGGATTTTAGACCTCTTGTCTTGAGTCTTATATCTCACGTTATTTCTAAATGTTTTTTAAATTTTCAGTTCTGGAATATTTTCTTATCTTTCGACTTTCAGGAAATTTTATTTGGACTGTCATAACTTTAAGTTTTGTTTTGGTTATTTATTGTTGCTTAACCAATTATCCCAAAACCTAATGGCCTAAAACTACACATCTGTCTATCTGTCACGACTGTATGGATTACCTGGGGCTAGCTGGACAGTTTTTCTGCTGGTCTCATTTGGCAGCTCTCACTGTGTGGTTAAACAGTGTCAGGGACTGGTCATCTGGATGCTCAGCTGCAGTGGAATGTCTGAGACGGCTTCTTTACCCACAGGTCTGCTGCCTTGGTGATTCTTGATGTGGCCTTTCTCTCTGCATAGCATCTCATCCTCTCGGATCTCTTCATGTGGCTTTTCTTTCTCCAAGAAGGTAGCCAATTCTTATTTTTGGCTTCCAGAAGCACAGAAATGGAGCTGCCAGGAGTTCTTAAGGCTTAGACCTGGAACAGGTCCAGTGTCATTTCTACCACATGCTATAGGTTAAAGTGAGTGTTGGGGCCAACCCAGATTGACTATGGGATGGGCCTGTCTGAGGACATGATGACAGGAGGTATGGCTCATTGGAGACCAACTCCCAAGATGGAGCATGAGTTCTAAGAACTTTTTCTTCTCTGATTATTTCTTATTCATATTGTTTTGTTTTATACATGTAATATATTCACAAGTGTCTTTATGAAGTGATTTTGATACTCTTTGTCTTCTCCCTGGCATCTCCTTGTTCTTTAATAATTTTTTTCTTAGTTTATTTTGGTCTTATTTTTCTTTTTAAAGCCTTTCCTTAAATATCTATTCTATGTTGCTTATCATTTGTAGTCTTTTTTTTTTTTTTTTTTGAGACCCAGTTTCGCTCTTGTTGCCTAGGCTGGAGTACAATGATGTGATCTTGGCTCACCACAACCTCTGCCTCCAAGGTTCAAGCAGTTCTCCTGCCTCAGCCTCCCAAGTAGCTGGGATTACAGGCATGTGCTACCACGCCCAGCTAATTTGTGTATTTTTAGTAGAGATGGGATTTCTCCATGTTGGTCAGTCTGGTCTGGAACTCCCAACCTCAGGTGATCCACCCACCTCGGCCTCCCAAAGTGCGGGATTACAGACATGAGCCACCGTGCCTGACCTGTAGTCTTTTTTCCATTCCTTTATTTGTTCATTCATATTTGAGAGAGGTACTAAAAGACTGGGAGCCGAGGTGTGGTGGCTCACACCTATAATCTCAGTGCTTTGGGAGACCGAAGTGGGAGGATCACTTGAGCCCAGGAGCTCAAGACTAGTTTGGGCAACATAGTGAGACCCCATCTTTACAAAAAAAAAAAAATAGCTAGGTGTGGTGACACCCATCTGCAGTCCCAGCTACTTGGGAGGCTGAGGCAGGAGGATTGCTTGAGCCCAGGAGGTTGAGGCTGCAGTGAGCTCTGATCATGCCACTGCATTCCTGCATTCCAACCTGGGCGAAAGAGCAAGACCCTGTCTCAAAATAAATAAATAAATAAATAAAAATAAAAATAAATAAAAATTGATTGGGAGTTCTTTGTGGCCAAGACTTGTCAACTGATAGCTTTAAGGGGAATGTATGCTGATTCCTAATTGTTATCCTCCATCCCTCTATCTTATCTCCTGTTGCAATCATAAATGATGGCTGGATGACTACTCCATTCCTCTGGATGTAAAATCTACATTCTCTTGCCTGAGGTGGATACGTTTGCTTGGGTTCTGTTTAAGGAGATGGGGCCAGCAGTGTGTTTCAGGGCCTGTGAAATGTGTTCTCTATCCGGGCTTTTGCTTAATCTCTGTTTTCAGTCTTGCCTATCAGTCCCACTGTCGGGGGTACCTCGTGTCTGAGTCTAGAACCTTTCCAGGTTGCTGTGGGACAGATTAGCCTCCTTGTTCTCAGTATCCCCCTGACCTCCACCTTTGTTGCTTTGCTCCATGAATTAACCATTTTCCATGTACTGTCATTGTCTAATGAAGATGAATTCTCTTCTGTTGGTAACCCCATTCCTTTTTTGTAATGGTGTGCTTATACAATGTTTATTCTTCACTGTATTTCTATTGGAGCCTCAGGACAAAGAGCAGATGGTGAGAATCTGTGTTCAGTGTTAAGTTTTCCTTCTGTAAGACATGTGCAACTTGTGTTTTTCACTGAATAGATCATGGACTTAATGCATATAGAGCTACTTTGTTTTTCATGATTGTGCCTTCAATTATATGTAGAAATATAATTTGTGAATTGCCTGATGAAATTTTCCTAATTTTGAATTATCTTTGCATTCCTATAATAAACACTGTTGGAATGGCTATGGTAATATTTTATTTTTGCATTTTTACTTCTGTATTAAATAAGATTATAGTTTTGTTTGTTTCCTTTAAGGCTGTTATTTCAGTATCAAGGGTATGCAGGGCTGAGTTGGGAAGCTTTACATCTTTTTTCTAAGATCTAGGATGTAGATCTGGTTTACACAGTAATTTTCAACTGCAGGAGTATTTTGCCTCCTATGGGACGTTTGGAAATATCTGGAGACATTTTTGTGGTCACAACTGGTCATGGTCGGGAGGTCTCATTGGCATTCTGTGGGTAGAGGGAATGTTTACTAAATGCCCGACAACACACCAAGAGAACCCTCCACAAAGAATTATCTGGCCCAATATATCAATATTGCTGAGGATGACAAATTCTGGTTTAAATATCCAATTTGGAGGATGAGTCTTTGTCTTTTTCCTTCTTCTGCATATTGGTCTCCAGATTTCCCACTTCTTCAGTTACTTTTCGTAACTGTAGGTTCTTAAAAAAAAATGAACACTTTGGATGGGTGCGATGGCTCATGCCTGTAATCCCAGCACTTTGGGAGGCCGAGGCGGGTGGATCACGAGGTCAGGAGATAGAGACCATCCTGGCTAACATGGTGAAACCCTGTCTCTACTAAGCCAAAATACAAAAAATTAGCCAGGCGTGGTGGCGGGCGCCTGTAGTCCCAGCTACTCGGGAGGTTGAGGCAGGAGAATGTTGTGAACCCGGGAGGCGGAGCTTGCAGTGAGCCAAGATCACCCCACTGCACTCCAGCGTGGGTGACAGAGCGAGACTCCGTCTCAAAAAAAAAAAAAAAAAATGAACATGTCATCCATACTTCTAAGGTGTTGTAAAGATGTGTAAAGTTTTCACTTTTTGCATCATATTCACATGTGGCTATATGCCCTTTTCTCTTCAAAGTTTTCTTTATCTTGATTACTTATCAGAGGCTTGACTGTTTTATTATCTCAGTCTTTTGAAAGAATCCTCCTTTAGTTTTATTTTTTAAATCTAGTGGTTTTTCTTTTTCCTTAGGTCTTAATTATTTCCCCCTTTTGTTTGTTTTGCTTTTCCTAGTTTAGTGGATCAATGTAATTTAAATTGCTTTTTAAACAAACGTGTAAGGGTATACATTTTCGTTGGCTGCTGTTTGACTTCGTTGCACAAGTTTTAAAATCTATTTTTTAATAGTTTGTATTTTCTAAATTATTTTATTGCATCTTTTGTTCACATTGCTCTTACTATTAATTTTTTATTTTAATTAATTAATTAATTAATTAATTAATTAATTGAGATGGAGTCTTGCTCTGTAGCCCAGGCTGGAGTGCAGTGGCATGATCTTGGCTCACTGCAAGCTCCACCTCGGGGGTTCATGTCATTCTCCTGCCTCAGCCTCCCAAGTAGCTGAGACTACAGCTGCCTGCCACCACATCCGGCCTTTTTTGTATTTTTAGTAGAGATGGGGTTTCACCGTGTTAGCCAGGATGGTCTCGATCTCCTGACCTCATGATCCACCCACCTTGGGCTCTCAAAGTCCTGGAATTACAGGCATGAGCCACTGCACCCAGCCCAAAAGCTTTGTGCTTTTACAGATATTAGACATGTTTCTTGTTTAAGAAAAAAAATCTTAACGAAAACGTAGGAGAATAAGAGAAACATTTTTCCAAAAAAGAGAAATCATTGTGATTATTTTATCTTATTAGAATGTTGGATAATATAGTCTGCTTCATTAATCATCAAGCATGCTATGCATTTTCCATTTTTATAGGATCTGTATCTCAGTTAAGGTAATACTGGTAATTTTTGTACTGTAATCAAAGATGAAAAATATAGGCCAAAATCATAGACCTTGCATAGAAGCTGGATAATGAAGACAGCTATGGAGAAAAACATAGATACACACACATGGACACACATATATATAAAGTATACACACATATATTTTTTAAAGTTTTAAAGCTTTTAAAGCAAAAGCCAGCCCCTCTTCTCTTCCAGAGTGGGAGGCCTCTCCCCTCTCTTAGAGTGGGTGGGGAGAGCGGTTGCCATGGGCAGCTTTCCTTGTGAGCCGCAGGGCCCTCTGGACACGCTGCTGTCTGGCCACGCCCCCTTTCCCTTTCATCTTTCTCATTGACCAATGGGCTTGGAGCATTAAGGCCACGCCCCTATTCCGCATTCTACTGGGGCCCTGGTTACGCCTCCTCTGGCTCAGTCACACAGCTGCCTGGTAGGTGACTGGAGGCCTTGAACGGTTCTTATTGGGATTTTGCTGCTGTGGCCCCAACCCTTCCTCCCTCCCCACCCTGCAATGGCAGAAGAAACTCAACACAACAAATTGGCTGCAGCCAAGAAAAAGGTAAAAACGCACTAGGTCATAGCCCCTCAACCCAGCCACAGATCCCCTCTGATGACAAGACCCCTGCCAGAGTCTATATGACTCCTGAGGCACAGTGGACTGGTCCCCCCAACCCCGGTGCCTTGGGCTACCCCCACCAAAGTTTTGTCAGTCAGCCCCACCCCTTCAGCAAGCAGCCCAGTCCTTGCCCTCGCCAATCACCCCAGGGTGACTTTGGGTGGGTGACTCCTGGGGCTTCCCGCTCCATTACTGGGCCGTCATCTCCTGCCGCCCCAAGCTTGATCTCCGTGGGCTCTTTGGGCTCTCATCTCCAAGGAGCCAGGCCCCACCCTCGCCAGTCATCCTTGGGTGACTTTGGGCTGGTGACTCCTGGGACTCCCTGCTGCAGACTGTGCCCTCCCCTCCTGCTGCCTCAAGGTCGACCTCCCTGGGTTCTTTGTGCTGGCGTCTCCAAGGAGCTGGGTCCCAACCCTGTGCTTCCCTCCCCCATCGTGGAGCAGCGACTTGGACATGGTGCTGACATGGTCCCTCCCCCCGACCAGGAGGAGTGGAATGTTGTGATGTCACAGTCCACCTAGTAACTGCCGTTACTGCAAGACTGGCCTTTGACCTTACGACCCAGTCCCCTAAGCGTTCTCACCCCGTTTCTGGTTCCTCTGGTCACAGCACAAATTTCCAGCTGGAAGGGGAATGGAGACTATGGGACCTAGGAGCAAGAGGTTCCAGGCTGCCTCACTCCCTTACAGATGTTGACGGTGGGAAAAGCCTACACTTCCCCCATGAACTCAAAACATTGACAGTATCTCTGGGTGGCAATGAGAGAATGGGTTTGATTTGGTTTTCTCCCAGGCTTCTACTTTCCAGAGAGATTTTAACATTTTTTTCTGAGTTCTCCACCTCATATTCTAATTCTCCATGGTTCTGGGACCAGACTCTCCTTCAGTCAGTGGTCTCTGAAGTGACATTTGCTCATCTTCTGTGGAATAGATCTTGGGAAACTGAACTTGACACCTTGAATCTTCCTCATATTATCTCAACCTTGGGTACTTTGAGTGCCACAGGATAAATGTGGGACATCTTTCTGAAGCATCAGTTTCCCTTGATTCTCTTGAGATCAAGAGAAAAAACATGAATGTACTTAGGGAGGACAGTCACATAGGTTTCTAAGAGTATACCAGACCTCTCTCTGAAATGAGGCTTGGGTTGTCCTCTTTCTGATAAATTCTGATTTAAGAGAAAGGCTGCCTTCTGCCATGAGGACACATTGATATAAAAGTTTGAGAGGTACTGGTGCACTTCTTCACACTAACAGACGTGTGAGGATGTATGACTAAACCACATGGCATACATTTCCTGCCTACTTAATGTTTACTTTTCTACCTCTGCCTCTGGTTTTGGTCCCTGGCAGCTGCTGATTCTTGGCAAAACCTCAGAGCTTGGAGTCAGAAGACTGAGTCTCAAAGTTCCAGTATTGCCTTTTTCTTTTTTTTTTCTAGCCATGATATCAATCCTTCTCAGTCACTAAATGAGTGTGACAACACCTTGTACAGTTGTTGGTGTCATTAAATCAGATGGTGTGTAAGTGTATTTTGTAAAAACTGTAAAGGAGGTTGTGGCTGTAGGGGCTGACGGTTCTCATGAATATTACTGCTCTTCTTTCCAACAGTTAAAAGAATATTGGCAGAAAAACAGACCTAGAGTTCCAGCAGGAGTGAACAGGAACAGGAAAACAAATGGCAGTATCCCTGAGACAGCCACTTCCGGTGGTTGCCAGCCACCTGGGGATGTGAGTCTTGGCTGACCAGGCTTCTGGGGACAGGGGGCCCAAGGGGCAATAGAGGGTAATTCTTAAGATTGTGGATGGACTGCTGGGTACTGGTTAAGAATTCTGGCTTTAGCCGGGTGTGGTGGCCCACGCCTGTAATCCTAGCACATTGGGAGGCCAAGACAGGCGGATCATGAGGTCAGGAGATCGAGACCATCCTGGTTAACACGGTGAAACCCTGTCTCTACCAAAAATACAAAAACATTAGCCACGCGTGGTGGCGTGTGCCTGTAGTCCCAGCTACTCAGAAGGCTGAGGCAAGAGAATGGTGTGAACCTGGGAGGTGGAGCTTGCAGTGGCCAAGATTATGCCACCGCACTCCAGCCTGGTGAAAGAGCAAGACTCTGTCTCAAAAAAAAAAAAAGGAATTCTGGGTTTGAATCCTGCCTCTCCATCTGCTCTGCTAGGGATATGATTTAGGGCAAGTTGCTAGACCTCATTGGGCCTCTCTTTTCACATCTGTATAATAGAGGTGATATTGTTTCACTTCCATTTGTGAAGTTTAAATGAGATTTGTTATTGTTGTTTTTATGTTAATCCCTAGTACATGGCCTGCTGTAAACACTCAGGACACCCAGGATATGGTTTGATTTTCCTCATCCCCAGTCTCAAGGGGAAACCAGGACAAAGAGAACAGCCACTTGCCATCAGGAGTCACTGAAGGGGCCCCAGGATGGGATGGTGGGGAGATAAGAACCATGAGAGAAGTTGGCACAAAGGAGTTATGGGACAAAAGGTCCAAGATAGGCAGAAAAGAAAATGTTGCAGTTGATGGGGAAGAAAGGAAGTCAGAGGGCTCAGACACTGTGGGGGACAGAACATCTCCATGTGCACTCTCATCTCTTGTAGTCAGCAACAGGTTTCCACAGGGAAGGCCCTACATCATCTGCTACCCTGAAAGATCTGGAGGTAAGAGGCTCTGGGTGGAGGTGCAGTGACCCTTCGGGTCAACCCTCCAACCTCCTCCTCCAGGTGGGACTGGGTGCCCCTCTGCCAGCTGAGACAGCCCACACACCCCAGCCCTAACGATCGTTCTCTCTACCTCTCTCCCCACTCCTGCTCCACCTCCTCCTCTCTGCATGCACCTCAGAGCCCGTGCCAAGAACGAGCAGTAGTCCTGGATTCAACGTCCGTAAAAATCAGTCGACTGAAGAACACCATCAAATCTTTGGTAAGAGTCCGGTGGGGTCCCCTGATTCCACGCTGCCAATCCTGGGCTCCAGTTTCCCCTTGGGGCCCTGAAGAAAGGGGCTGGGGGTCCCTGGTGCCCGGGACAAATAGGGAGCTTGGGTGCCCAGGCCTCACCTGGAGGGACCCCAGAGCATGCAGCATGGCTCTTCTTTTGCTGCCCTCTTTGCCGACTCTCTCCTCTCCAGACACCCCTGCTCGAGTCCTTGCTACACACGCCCTGGGGTTGTTGCCTCTTGGGGAAGTGCTAGCCTGACTGGTTGTCAAGGGCCCCGTATTTCTGCCATGACTCAGTCCCTAATTTGCTCTTTGATTCTGGACAAGCCACCTCTCCTTTTTGGGCTCGTGTTTCCAGAGGAGGTAGTGAGTATCAAAGGTCTCTGTTAGCTCTCGAGTCTGAGATTTAAAGGCCCCCGGGAATGGAAACCTCAGGGCTAAGGGCTCCTGTCTGTCCTTTTCCATCCTATATCTGCTGTGAAGAACCGTACCTGGCCCATACGTGCTCAGTAAGTGTTTATTGAATGAACCCACTTTTCTAAATCACAAGCTGCCAGAAGGAGGGGCCTTTCTGAAACTCCATCTCTAGAGGTTTATGTTGCTGTCCTCTCAAGAGATTCCAGATTCAGACTGAGTTCTGTGGCTGTGGGCAAAAGCCAACAAAGACCCAAATCCTCTGTCCTTGGGAGCTTGAGGAGAGTTTACCGGTTCGTGTTCCCATTATGTCTGAGAACTTTGCCTTTAAAATCCATTCCTGGCCCCTGCCTACCGCTTCCTGATCTGGGGAATAGAGTTGAGGGGGCCACCCTCCATCACCTTATTTGACTCTCCCCACAGAAACAACAGAAGAAACAAGTGGAACATCAGCTGGAAGAAGTAACGTGATTTCGTTTCCTCGCGACATGACTGCTGGGTTTGGGGGGCACTCAGACATACAGGCCCCAGTCTCGTCTCACCCACTCCCAGCCTGGGGAAGAAGGCTCACCCCTCAGATTCCACCCCATCCCCACAGGGCCCCTGATAACCTGGTCCCATGGGTGGGCCTGTCCTGGGGCATTGGTGGCATTCTGGGGGCATGTCTCTTGCTGTGCCATCTCTGCCTCCCCCTGGTAAGAGCTCTGTCTTCCTCTTCCTACAGGAAAAGAAAGCAAACAACGAGAGACAGAAAGCCGAAAGGGAGCTAGAGGTGAGTGGAGGGTGTGCAGTTTCCTCCTGTCCTCCGGAGAATGTTTCTTTCCTTCTCTTTCAGCACTTGCTTGGCTTTTCTCCCAAAGGTTCAAATCCAGACATTGATCATACAGAAAGAGGAACTAAATACGGACCTGTACCACATGGAACGTTCTCTCAGATACTTTGAAGGTGGGAATCTGGGCACCCTGTCATCCTTCAACCTGGCACTTTGACAGGTCTTCAGGGGGAGTCCTTTGGGCCCCATCTCAACTCTCTCATTACAGAAGAGTCCAAGGACCTGGCTGTCCGCCTGCAACATTCATTGCAGTGTAAAGGAGAGTTAGAGAGGGCTCTGTCTGCTGTCATCGCCACAGAGAAGAAGAAGGCAAACCAGGTGAGTCCAGCCACCTGCCCCATCCCCTGGGAGCCTGGTTTTGCAGATGGAGGAGTGAGCCTAAAGGTCCCTTCTGCAGGATGGCGTGTCCTGCCCAGAAGGCAGCATGGCCATTTCTTGCTACTTTTTTGTATGGTTTTTAGTGGCAGCCTGGGGCCGAGTCAGCTGCTGTGGGTGAGTTGGGGGGTACTGTGGGGAGTGAGCACTGGACGCAGAGCTTGGAGGCCAAGTGCCTGCCCCGCCCTTACCTGGCTGTGGTCTTGGGCAAGTCCTAGGTGGGGTATTGGGTACTTGTACTGTGAAGGTACAGAAGAGTACCTTTAGTATGTTACCATTTCTGTAGAAAGAGGAAACGCGTGCGTGTGTGTGTGTGTGTGTGTGTGTGTGTGTGTGTACATACTGTGATAATATACATAAAACATGTCTGCAAGGGTTCATAAAAAATTCAGGAGAGAGAACAAGATGGCTGGGAGATACTTCCCTTCTGTACCTTCTGAGTTTTGGACTATGTGAATGTATCATCCTTTCAAAAAGTGAAGAAAAGATTAATTTTCCCCTTCCTATCTGTGCCCCCATCCCCAGCAAGAAAAATGGGCTTAGAGAATTGGATAGACCTGGGTGTTTATATCCCAGCTCTGCCTAAGTGAACTTAGGCAAGCACTTAACCTCAAATACTCCATGTTTTTTCATCTCCACAATAGAGGGAATCATAGTAACTGTCTCCTATGGTGGTTGCGAGGATTAAATGGGATTGTTAGCACGGTACCTGGTGAAGCATTCCACAAAGGTTCAAACAGTGGTAATAATGACAATAATAACAATAGCAATATTATCTGATCTCTCTGGGCCTCTGTTAGCCAGCTATAAACTCAGTCTCATTCCCTGTCCGTTCCAACTTTACTGTGTTCTTTTAAAAACCAGACCACGGGCTGGGAAATGCCTTGATCTTTACTGACCGAGTTGTATATTGGGCCTAGCCCTAGCCCTGTTAAGGGGCACTGTGTGGAAATGCCCAGGCTCTCCAGATTGAAACTTCTAACTCTTCACCATCCAGTTGTCCAGCTGCAGCAAAGCACATACAGAGTGGGAGTTAGAGCAGTCCCTACAGGACCAGGCACTGCTGAAAGCGCAGCTGACACAGGTGAGGTTTTCCGAGGGAGGGATGTGGAAGGACGATGACCCCAGGTGGCCAGGAGCAGGTGAGGACCAGTGACAGCCCTTCCTAACTTCTGTGCCCATTCTTGCAGTTGAAGGAGTCATTTCAACAACTCCAATTAGAAAGAGATGAGTGTGCTGAACATATAGAAGGAGAGAGGGCCCGGTGGCATCAGAGGATGAGTAAAATGTCGCAGGAGGTGAGATCTGACCCTTCAGCCCCCCCACATTAGATAGGTCACTGGATCTTTCTGGGCATCTGTAAAATGGGAATAGTAGAGCCAGAGGTGGTCATGGGTCTGGGCTTTGTGGAGGTGGGGGCAGAGAGGGAGAGGGCAGCCTGTCCAGCCACCAGCCCCTCTCTCCAGGGCCCTTTCCCCCTGTGCTTTGGGCAGATTTGCACATTAAAGAAAGAGAAGCAGGATATGCGTTGGGTAGAGCAGCTGGAGTGGAGCTTGTCCAAACTCAAAAACCAGACGGGTAAGATGGGGCTGGCATGACCTGGGAGCAGGACTGGCATCAGAGGGCTGTGAGGGTGGCTTAGAGTGCCCCAGGGAGGTGGGTGGATGGAAGGGCTTTGAGGCAGAGGGAAAGAGATCTGTGCCAGGAGACCGCAAGTCTTGTCATCTCAGTGAGTCTCAGTGTCTCAGTGTCCCCATCAGCAAAGAGGGCCCGTTGTCAGCCACCCGCAGTGCTCTTTCTCTGAAAGTGCTTTGGAAGACTGGCTACCATCTGGGTGCGAGGAATCATTAGCAGTGAGGCCAAGTTTGAGGAGCCTGAGAGGAGCTGTGCGCCAAGAGGAGGGTTTTTCTTTTCCGAGAATCCAGAGGCCCTTATTATCTGCTTCCTTTCTCAGCTGAACCCTTGCCCCCGGAGCCCCCAGCAGTGCCCTCTGAGGTGGAGCTGCAGCACCTGAGGAAGGAACTAGAGAGAGTGGCAGGAGAGCTCCAGGCCCAGGTCAAAAACAATCAGCACATAAGTCTCCTGAACCGGCGACAAGAAGAGAGGATTCGGGAACAGGAAGAGAGGCTTCGGAAGCAGGAGGAGAGGCTTCAGGAGCAGCACGAGAAGCTTCGGCAGCTGGCCAAGCCACAGAGCGTCTTCGAGGAGCTGGTGCGTTGCCCCAACTGGGGAGCCTGCCCTCCTCCCTAGCCCTCCGGGCCTTTGTTTCCCCACCTCTAAAATGGGGCAGTGTAGCCCTCGCGTGAAAGGTTACTTCTAAAGGCACCTGTGAGCCAGGTGGCTGTGGGAGAGAGGGGGTGATTTTTCTAACCTGCCTCCAGCCTTCCCAGTGCCATGGGAGGCAGACACCAAGTTCTGGGGTCTCCAGCTGCAGTGGGTGGCTGCTGATTGCTTCTCTCTGTCCAGAACAATGAGAACAAGAGCACACTGCAGTTGGAGCAGCAAGTAAAGGAGCTACAGGAGAAGCTTGGCGAGGTGAAGGAGACGGAAACCTCCACCCCATCCAAGAAGGGCTGGGAGGCGGGCAGCAGCCTCTTGGGAGGGGAGGTGCCAGGTCAGAGGCAGCTTCCAGCCTGGGGGCTGGTGACCACAGCACCCCCCAGGGCAGTCCTGCGACTGTTTCTCACTTCCTGCCTCTGACTTTTAAAGGTGGGTAGCCCTGGGCTCCTCTCAGGTCTGGACATCATCATCCCAGCTAGAGGCATGGAGCCCCCAATCACAGGGGAAGAGACAGTGCTATAACAGGCTCCTTATACCAGGTGCAGTGGCTCATGCCTATAATCCCAGCACTTTGGGAGGCTGAGGCAGAAGAATCACTTGAGGTCGGGAGTTTGAGATCAACCTGGCCAATGTGGTAAAACCTCATCTCTACTAAAATTTAAAAAAAAAAAATTAGCAGGGCATTGTGGCGCATGCCTGTAATTCCACCTACTCGGGAGGCTGAGGCACGAGAATTGCTTCAACCCAGGAGGTGGAGGTTGCAGTGAGCTGAGATTGCACCACTGCACTCCAGCCTGGGCCACAGAGTGACACTCTTGTCTGAAAACAAAACAAAAAGACTCCTTAGATTGAAACTGGATTCCAGCCTCGGTTCCACTGGTCACCGTTCAAGTACTTTGCATCTCTAAGTCTCTGTTTCTTTAACTTCAAAGGGAAGTTAGCATTTTCCTTACAGAGGTGCTGAGGATTAAATGAGAAGAGGGTATGAGATTTGAGGCTGGGGAAGGAGGCATGGGGTTCTAGGAAAGGGAGGCAGTCACTTAGGCCTGGAGTAAGGGGACAGGGGCCTGGGTAGCTGACAGAGCCCCACAGTGCCCTCGCTACCCTATTAATGGGCCCAGAATCTGGAAACCAGCCACCACGTGCCCTCACACCCAGGGTCTTCCTGCAGGTGGAGCTGAAGAGCCAAGAGGCTCAGAGTCTGCAGCAGCAGCCAGACCATTACCTGGGTCACCTGCAGCAGTACGTGGCCACCTATCAGCAGCAGGTGGCCGCCTATCAGCAGCTGACCTGTGAGAAGGAGGCGCTGTACAGGCAGTGACTGCAACAGACCCAGCTAATGAACCAGCTGCAGCAGTAGGAAGCTTGGGGCAAAGCAGTGGCCGAGATGGCCTGCCAAAAGTTGCAGGAGACCCAGGGGAGGGAGCTGCCGAGGATGGGGCTGTGAGGGGGACGACCTGGCAAACTCCATCCCTTCTCACTCTTTCCTGGCCCCTTAGGAGCACCTGGAAGCGGCCAGCCAGCAGAACCAGCAGCTAACGGCCCAGCTGAGCCTCATGGCTCTCCCTGGGGAAGGTACGGGAGACCGCTCAGAGGAAGAGGAGAGAGCCCCAGGAGGAAGGGGGGACTGCTAGCAGCATAGGATTGAGGAGTTGGAAGAGACCTTTAGAACAGCTGGTCATTATGCCGACCGGGTGCCTGCACTAAGTTCGGCATCAGTGTGGTGACCTCCTGTGAGCGGGCGGTCACCAAGTTGCCTAAGGGTGGCTGAACTGGCCAAGGTCAGAAAGGGAGCAGGTCAGAACTCCCACATCGACCAGTAGTGGGAGTGTGCCTGGGCGGAATAGCAAGATCTTGATTCTTAAAAGTAAAAATAAAGAACAACAGCTCATTCCTCTCTGGGGAGGGGCTGGCTCAGGGTTACACAGTGAGGGTGGAGGTAGAGGTGGGCCCACAGTACCTCCCTTGTTGGGTTGTCTGAAGACCCCTCTGGCCACCCCCCACAGGACACGGAGGAGAACATCTGGACAGTGAGGGGGAGGAGGCACCTCAGCCCATGCCGAGTGTCCCAGAGGACCTGGAGAGCAGGGAGGCCATGGTGAGCCTGACTCCCCCTGCACCCATTTTGCCACCTTTCTCTGTGGTCCCTCCAAGACCCCTTTATGCTCTTCGTTTCCCTGCCTTCTGATTTCTCTGGACCCTCACCCCTTCCGAGAGCCAGTGGTCAGACACCATTTCACCTGTGGCCAACAGGTGCACTCTCTGAGGCCCCAAGGGAAGGGGCTGCGCTCCACCTCTCTGCCCCATTTCTTCTGTGTATGCCCCTAGAAGAATGCTCACATCTTGCCCTCAGGTGGCATTTTTCAAGTCCGCTGGAGCTAGTGCCCAGGAGAAGCAGGCACAGTTACAAGAGCAGGTGAAAGAGCAGAGGGTGTGCTGCCAGCGCCTGGCTCACCCGGTGGCCTCGGCCCAGAAGGAGCCAGAGGCAGCCAGAGGCCCTGGAGCCCCAGGGCCTGGGGGCGAGTCTGTGAGTGGGGAGACCCACTGGGCCCTGCAGGAAGTCACGGAGAAGCTGGCCCATGCCAGGACTCACCTCCGCCTTCTCCATGACTTGAAAATGCCACCTGAGGGCAGGTCGCTGCCGAGATGTGACTGCAATATTTTGGCTCCAGAGCAGCTTTATGGACCACCTGAAGGAGAAGGCAGACCTGAGTGAGCTGGTGAAAAAACAAGAACTTCGCTTCATTCAATACTGGCAAGAGAGATGCCATCAGTGAGTGGGAGGCCAGGGCACGGCAGGGGGAGCTACAGGGCCATCAGAGGGGCCCCAGAATCTGAGCCCTGTCCTCCCGCAGGAAAATCCATCACCTTTTATCAGAACCAGGGGGCCGTGCCAAAGATGCAGCACTGGGAGGAGGACACCATCAGGCTGGAGCTCAGGGAGGAGATGAAGGTAGGGTGTGCAACATCTCTGTGGGGGTGGGGGTGGGGGTGGGTGTGAGGGTGGGCGCAGGCAGCGGCATGGCAGCTGAGCACCCCTCCCTCCAGGTGAAGCTGCTGGAGCTGCAGCAGATGGTATTGCGGCTTACAGCAACTACAACAATGGGCACAGAAAATTCCTGGCCGCTGCCCACAACTCTGCTGATGAGCCCGGTCCAGGAGCCCCAGCCCCCCAGGTGCTTGGGGCTGCAGACAAGCATGGTGGTGAGTAGAGCCCTCAGGTGGGGTGGGTAGGCAGGAAGAGGGGGGCTCCCACTGTGCTCAGATCCCCGCCTCCCTCTCTCCAAAGATCTTCGTGAGGTGACCCTCACCTCCTCTGCCCAAGGAGAGGCCAGGGAGGATCCTCTCCTTGACAAGCCTACTGCACAGCCGATCGTGCAGGACCACCAGGAGCACCCAGGCTTGGGCAGCAACTGCTGTGTGCCATTATTTTGTTGGGCTTGGCTGCCAAGAAGAAGGAGATAAACATCACCATCATCAAACAGCTGCTCAAGAAATTTTTAAATAAGAAACCAAGTTATGGGGTTAATCTCCTACACAATTCATTTACTTCCTTTGAATGTTAGACTCACTCATGATTATTTGTGTTTCTAATTTATAGTTTAAGTTTATTTGTAAAAAGTTAAAAGAGAGTGGGTGTCTGTGGCTCTCACTGATGTTCACTCTGGCATCCTTTAGCATTTTTCTTTTTTAATTTCATAATTGTAGGTCATTAGCATGCATATCGAGTTTGCCCTTACGTGGTGGGAGTTCAAACACACAAAGACCCACTCTTTGCCCAAAACTGTTCTCTTTGGTTTGGAATAGGCTGCCATGCTTTTTTAATGTTATTGCAGCATGTATATTCACTACAGCATTCAGACAAAATTTGCCTATGTTCTGCTGTTGTTTGATCTAATCTTAATCACAGTGAGCTCTTCCTTAGCTCAATATGTAGTTTGCCCCCAAGTGTGCACTGTTTATTACTTTGTAATACGCCACTATGAGTACTGACATTTAGAGTTGTTTAAAGGCCAAGAACTGGAAACAGCCTTTCCTCCATTTTCTGTGTATTGGTGATGGGAGTGATAACCTTTTGGGGGAGCTTTTTAAATCTCACAGAAGAGGAAAGTGGCCTCCTCTGGCAGGTACGTGCAGGATAGAGTGTGTTTCATCTGTTCCGGTGCCAGGAATTAGCAGTGTATTATGGTGGTTCCCTTAGGATTTGTATGTGCTCTGGGCTCATGAAGATACTGCATCATGAGCTGCAGCAGTTGCACTCTTTTTCGATGACCTAAAAAGGGCTTATTTCTGAGGAATGAAAGGTTCCCATCGTTGACTGTGGATGTGGAAAACCTTTCCTAGCTTAGAGCATTTGTATCTACAATACATTTTAAAGTCAGAGTTCATGTTACCTGTTTTAATCACATGACTACATGCCCCAGTACACAAAAGGGCACTGGTTGGCATTCTTCTTAATGTATTTAGTGAAGATCATAAGAAATCCTTTACGAGTTCAAATGTCCCTGGAACAGGCATACAGGCTCTAGTCAAGAATGAATTAGAGTGAAGGAAAGCTGTGTGACTCCTGGCATTCCTCTCTGTTCACGGAGATTCTTTGAGGCTTGAAGATTGATTTTACCATCTAGACCTCTTTGGCTAATACCTATTCTTCAACCACCTTGGTTACTCTGACATAGGAATTTACTTCTTTTTCTTTGAATGGAAAACACTTTAAAAAAAATAGAAACATTCTTATAAACTAATATATGTGAGATAGTTGAAACAAAAAGGAGTTTTAGTAGATGGTATTATACTGTCTTTGAAAATCAAGGAGAAGTTTATGAAACTTAAAATGTGTACAAACTGCAGTGCAATCTACTGTTGTTCGTGAATGTCAATGTATTATCAGGAAACGTGTCTATACAACCACAGAGTTATATTTTCTCACAAACTTCTTTACAAAGTGAAATATGTTTTTGTACCTCTGGGTTTCTGTTCGGGACATATTTTGTGCAATATTTATGTGATTGTGCCTATGCATGATGAATGAATGCATTTCAGTTATGTATTGCCTAAATCGTAACTTGATGATGCTTGGGAAAGACTCAACAGTTAAAACTTCATGAAGTTCTAATGTCTGTGTTCCAAAACACATCACATTGTTAGGATGCAGGGAGATAGGTGTGTGTGCTCCCTGCGGTGGGGATTTCTAGTTACTAGATCATCTCCATTTTTAGCATTTGGCATCCTCATGATACTTCTATAAATATAACATTAACAGGAGAGCAACAATACGATTTTACCGATGGAATAACAGATTTGCTGGCATTCACTGAAAGAGAGCAAATATTCGGTCCTTGTGACTTCCACTGACTCTTCCAAATTTTATGAATGTATCAATGTATTAGATAAACCCAGTTTCAGAATGATAAAGAAAAAATCTTAGACCAAATAATGCGGCTAATTAACAGTGGTACGATTTGTAGCCCGTGGGTTTAAAATGCACTTAAAGTCCTGTTCTCGCCTTTTATTTTCTGAACTTGCCGCTTTTGCATTCTTTGAGTTCAGTTTAAAGACAGTTACTTTAAGAGCATTTTAAACCCTCGGGCTAGAAATCGGACCACTGTTAATCAGCCACATTATTTGGTCTAACGTTTTTTCTTTTATCATTCTGAAACTGGGTTTATCTAATACATTGATAAATTATTGCAAAGGTACTTTTATCGTTGAAATCACTTCACTTTTACCCTGATAAATATCAGTGACTAGGAATGACCTTCGGATAGCGTTTAGCATCTGTAACCAATCTGACAATAATGTGTTCATGAGGTGCCTATGGATTAAATCACACACTGGCATATTTAAGCTGAAGGTCAGTCTGGAAAATAAATTTACTATATTGACTGAAATACCACTCTTTGTGTAGGTATTTGTCATATATTTAAGAAAAAGCTAAAAAGAATGGAAATTGTATGACAATAACTCAAGTCTTTCTCCAAAGTGCATGCAGTCTTTTGCGATACCTCATTCAGCCGAGTATTTGTGCTCTTCCTCATTCAGTATAAGGCAGCTTTCAGTTTGCTTAGAAGGCAACATTGGAATGTTAGAGTTCATCAGAAACATAGAATTTTAAACTGTGAGTTCCACTGAATACATTTTAATGTCTGTAGGAAGAATCAAAACACCTATTTAAAGATGGCAATGTATAATAATCATTTTAAAAGTATTTGATTAAACCTGATAATTTTCCAGAAATGAAAAAAAAAATCAGCTCTAAAACCAAAGCTGATTTTAGAAAATTTGAAAATGTAAATCAGCCCTATCCATAATATAGTTTCTCTAAAACTTTATTTTAAAGAGTCATTTTAAAATAATATAACTATTAAAAAATGTAACTGCTATCTTAATGTTCTGAAATAATTTAAAACATTTTAAAATATGAATACTGTAGTATAAAAGAAAGAAATGGTGGGAACGAAAAGCAGAGAAAGAAATGCCAATTCCAGTCCAAAGTTTTATTTGCCAAGTTTTCTTAGAATGAATTTTACCAGTTTATGAATTATTGTAAACAGAATGTGTCGTGGAAATACTGAAAGATTTTTCCCTAGAGTGGCCTTATTGACTGCTGGTGTGATGCCACTGTAATGTAATAAATTATTAAATTGTTTCTAAGTGTTGTTTTTGTCTTAAAATTTTATTTTGCGTTTCTTGAAAACTATAGTATTAAAGGTATTGATACTGTGCAAATGCTGGGCATGCTTGGCATGAGATAATGTGTTTCATTTTTACAAAGTTGTAATATAACTATGCAAGTGTTTCTTAAAAGAACACAAGATTTTAAAAGTTATGGGATTAAAAAAGTTATGGGGTGAAAAAGTTATGGGATAAAAAATGTAAAAACGTTGTGGCAAAAAAACTTGTGGGAACAAAGTAGAAAACAGTATTATGAAAAGTTACCAAAAAAAGTTATGAAAAAGAAGTTACGGGATTCTTTTTTAAAAAGTCATGGAATAAAAATAAAAATTAAAAGCAGGCCCCTGTCAGCAAAGCCTGGAAAAGTGGGGCTGGGGTCTCCACCGCCACCATGTCCCTACCACCCCTTCCCAGGCACCCCTTTACAATGAGGGTAGCAGGACAAGACCTCTGTCTAATGGGGAAAGACAAACAGACCCTTTGCCACCCTGACCAGGGCTGAGTCCCTAAATTTCTGGATGATGATGATTGTTATTTAAGAGCCAGAGGCTGGTGGAGTTGGTTTGTTTGGAGGAGGCCTGATGTCCCCCTTACTCTCACCATAGCAACTTTTCCCTCGGGGGGCTCCCTTCTTATTCAGAGAGGCAGGACAGTGGGGCTAACTGTGGACCAGGCGAGGGCACGGGCTGCTGGGGTGGCCCCCGTTCCCCGGTGTACATATTGTGTCTGTGTAAGGTTTTGTATATTCCAGAGGGTAGGGCCACCCCTGTGTCATACCTAGCTGAGGTTGGAGCCGGCACATGGGGAGGAGGTTGTAATAATTATTTGTGGCTGGGAAACTTATTTATTGCTAGCATAGGACAGAGGAAGGAGGCGGGGATGGGGTCATGGCTCCCTGGTGATGTGACTCCTGTTTATTTTGCTTTTTATTTTGGAATAAATGGATTTAGCCATACTGCTCGGCCTGGTGTGTTTCCGTTTCCCTCACTGGGTCCTGGAGTTTGTGCCACCAAACGAGGAGCCCCAGAGTGTCTTGAGCATGTCCAGCTAGGCTGTTGGGGACCTTCCAGGCGTGTTACCTGTATGCTGCTTGGTGGCGCCTGGGGGATTCCAAGGGGACTGCCATGTAGTCTATGGGGCGCAGTCTGGCCCTGACAGCCAACAGGCTCAGAAGCCTGATCTAGCGGTGGCCGGGAAGACAGGTACCAGCACCTAAGGGCACTGACTTCCACCCAGCCCCGGCATCTTCCGTTCTATCCCCTTGTCTCCCTCTCCTGTCTGCACCTGGTGGCCTGTTCTGTCTGTGCCTCCAGAGTGCCGGCTGCCCTGCAGGCTCCCTCTGGGCTGAGTTCATGGCCCTGCCCCCTGGTGGCCAGAGCCGGCTTCACAGGATAAGAGCCCGCTAAGCTCCAGGGGCTTTCCAGGAAAAGTGTCCCTTGGAAAGGGCATGGCCTTTTCACTGCTCCCAACAGCACCCTAGAAATGGCTTGGCCTTTCCCCTCCCCTGAGCTCCACAGAGAACACAGCCAGCAGACGACACACTTCCCCGCCATCCAGAAGCGGGTTTGATTCTCAGCCAAGGGACAGCAGGACTGGTAGAGACTGTCAGGCCACTCAGCTGCCTGCACAGCACTCCCATGCTTGGTGGAGGCGGGGGGGGGCGGGAGGGATGGCGGGGTGTGTCTCTCCATAGGCTGGGCGTGACAGGGAGGCTCACTGAAGGTAGCGCACTTTGGAGGGGCAATGTCAGGGGTTAGCTTTCTCTTGTTTGGCCACAAGACTCCAAAAGGACAGCACGGTGACTGATTCCCAGCGCTAGAGGCGAGGCGGTTGGCCACATGTAGGTGTATGTGTGTGTGTGTGTGTGTGTGTGTGTGTGTGTGTGTGTATATGTATATGGGTATTTGTAGATATTTCTAGAACAGGGCAGGGGCATACCACAGAGGGGGGCACAAGTTTTCAGCAACGGTCACACCTGGATGTGTCAGCTCACCGCAACAATAGACTAAGTCACAGATGAAGGGGGGCTGGCTTTGGGGCTGGGGGAGCCACTGCCAAGTCACAGAACAGCCGCCCAGGCAGGCTTGGAAAGGGAAGTCTCTGAGAAGAGGAGGAATCTGTTTAGAGTTCAAAGGGGGGCCTGGGGCTCTCAGGATGGGATGGACTTGCCTGAGCCGATTGGCTGGCAGTTGGAGAGAAAGCAGAGAGAAGACAGGAGAGAGAAAAGCGAGCATATCATCTCACACCAGTTAGAATGGCAATCATTAAAAAGTCAGGAAACAACAGGTGCTGGAGAGGATGTGGAGAAATAGGAACACTTTTACACTGTTGGTGGGACTGTAAACTAGTTCAACCATTGTGGAAGTCAGTGTGGCGATTCCTCAGGGATCTAGAACTAGAAATACCATTTGAGCCAGCCATCCCATTACTGGGTATGTACCCAAAGGACTATAAATCATGCTGCTATAAAGACACATGCACACGTATGTTTATTGCGGCATTATTCACAATAGCAAAGACTTGGAACCAACCCAAATGTCCAACAATGATAGACTGGATTAAGAAAATGTGGCACATATACACCATGGAATACTATGCAGCCATAAAAAATGATGAGTTCATGTCCTTTGCAGGGACATGGATGAAATTGGAAATCATCATTCTCAGTTAACTATCGCAAGAACAAAAAACCAAACACCGCATATTCTCACTCATAGGTGGGAATTGAACAATGAGAACACATGGACACAGGAAGGGGAACATCACACTCTGGGGACTGTTGTGGGGTGGGGGGAGGGGGGAGGGATAGCATTGGGAGATATACCCAATGCTAGATGACGAGTTAGTGGGTGCAGCGCACCAGCATGGCACATGTATACATATGTAACTAACCTGCACATTGTCACATGTACCCTAAAACTTAAAGTACAATAATAATAAAAAAAAAAAAAAGCGAGCAGAGAGCTGGTGAGGCAAGTGCAGAGCACAGGTGTGCCACAGCAGCTGTGGGAGGGCCAAGGAGTAAAGGGTGCACGTGCGGGTGTGGCAAGGTTCCTGGAAAAGAGGGGCTGGAAGGGAAAGGGGAGGAAGACAGAGGGAGGAGCCGGAGTTTCACAGGTAGTGCCTGGGGGCTGTGGCAGCCCTCCCCACCCCACACGTGCTGGCCTCTTCCACGGCACCCAGTGCACCCACTGTTAAGACTGATGCTCAGCCCCTTTGGGCTTCCCTCTTCTCTGGTCACCGTGTCTTCCAACCCACTTGTCCAGGGCCACCTCTCGCCTTGGGGAGCCCAAAACAACAGCCACCAGGCCTGATAGAGAAGAAACACTGCTTGAACCAGGATGATGAAGCTAAAAGGGATGGATGGGTGGAGTGATCGCCGGAGCCCCCTCTGGGGGGTCAGAAAGCCCAGGAACCCTTGAAGGGTCCCTGGGGGAGGAAAGGAGGGCATGCAGCTGGATGCCACTGGCTATAGACTTATAAGTCTAAGAGGGGAGCCTCAGCTTGTTGGGGGTTGCAGGTCGGATAGGTGAGGCTGGGCCCTTCCTGCTGGGAAAAGCAGAAGAGGGAGAGTCTATGGCAGGGGAGGTGGGTGGGCTTGTGGGGCGGAGGTCAGCTGGGCCAGCAGGCACTGTGGTCCCCTTGGCTGAATAGCAGAGGTGACCTCTAGGAGCAACACTCCAAGGTGCGTGAGCCTGCTGGCCAGCAATAGTGCTTCAGCGGGGGCCAGGGACTCTGCCTTCAGTCACACGCTAGCAGCTATGATGGTACCTGGGAGGGAGGGAAGGGGCCTGTGTTTCCTGCCTGGCCTGTGAGGTGTGTTGTGGGTTGACCGTGTGTATGGGACTCTCAAGGTTTTATCCTATCTCACCACTGCATTGCCGACAGATAGAGGAGGTGGGACTCTGACTATCACCCCTGCTCTGCAGTGGATTTGGCTCTCAGCACTCCCAGGCTGGGAGCTGGATGCCCTGCCCTGGCAGCATGACTCAGACTGCCCAACAGGTGCGGTGTGCACAGGAGGACTATCCTAGGACTCTGGCCGCCTCAGAGTACAGCCCCACACACCACCCCCTCTAAGCTCTCAGCCCTTACACCATAAACCATGAGCTCTGTGACGGCTCCAGGGAGCACCCATGTCTACCAGCGTGGGCACGGAGCCTGTTCCAAGAGTCCCCAGGCTCAGCCATGGGGGCTGGGGGGCTTTGGGGCCGTGGGAGCCAGCCTTGGTACCTGCATCCGGCAAGGACGCTCTGCACCTGCAGGCAGGAGTTGTCCACGGGCCCCCATGTGCGTGCTGATGGTGGTCGTGTTGATGTCGCCGATGATGCCGAGTGCCTCCTTCAGCACGTGGTACATGCGCAGCATCTCGTCGCGCCACTGTGCCTGCTCTGCCGACTCTTCCATCAGCGTTTTCTGGTCCCCACGTGAGTACAGGTTGGACAGCAGCTCCGAGAAGATGAACTCCTTGGTCTGAGAGCGGGCAAAGAGGGAAGGAGGTTGGGACCTGATGCCTTTGCTGCCCTGGCCTCCTGCCGGGCCCTGCTGGGACTGTGTGCTGGACTTGGAGCCCTGAGTATGGCTTTTCAGACGCGGCTTCTACACCGCTTAGACTCAAAGATCTGCCTCCCCACCGCCCTTTTCTCACTCAGATAGGGACACTGAGGTCCAAAGGAAAAGTCACCTGTCCAAGGTCACACATCTGGGAGGGGACCCAGGACCTATCATGCCACCAGGACACCGGTCTACTCAGTTTCTTAAAAATGTTTTTTGGAGATAGGATCTTGCTCTGTCGCTAGGCTGGAGGACAGTGGGCGAGATCACCACTCACTGTAGCCTCAACTTCTTGGGCTCAAAGTGATCCTCCAATGTCAGCCTGTAGAGTAGCTAGGACTATAGGTACGTGCCACCACCAAGCCCAGCTATTTTTAAAATTTTAGTGTAGAGATCAGGTCTCACTATGTTGCCCAAGCTGGTCTCGAACTCCTGGGCTCAAGCTATCCTCTTGCCTTGGCCTCCCAAAGTGCTGGGATTACAGACATGGGCCACTGTCCCCAGTCCCACGTTATATTTCTATGAGACAGCTCTGGTCTGGACTGTGCCTCCCTCCCTGGACCTTGGTCCCATAGGGCTGGTCAGCATCTCCCCCAGGCCAACATGGCCACCTGCATCCCCAGTGCTACAGGAGCCCCCTGCCCCTATGAGGCGGTGCATGCACGTTGTTGATCATGACGTGCATGATGGTCTTGGGCATGACACCAACCATGAGGTCCCACACGGTCTTGTTGACAATGGCCATGTAGGAGTCCACAAGGTTCTGGGTGGTTTCCATTTGCCGCTCCAGCTATGGGTCCATGGAGTGCATGAAGCTGTCGGAGCCATTCTCCTCAGCCTTGCTGTCCTGTCATGGAGAACACAGTGGCATCAGGGTGGCCAGGCCATGCAGCCAGGCTCCAGGAATCCCTAGGATCTCAGCACCTCCAAGGGTACCTGGAACATTGAGGCACAGAGAAAAACAACTGGCGTGAACATGCACCGAGCTCCCCACACGCTCTAGACGGTTTCAGGTATCTGCCTCTCAGGACCCCAGACTCCCCTGATTCAGTCTCCTCTTAGTTCTGACTCTAGTGCCCAGAATCTGCCTCAAGTTACCAATCCAGAAATTGGAAAAAAACATCTCCAGGTCCCCTGTTGGAGACCTGGCCAGAGCTTGTGCCAGGCTGCAGACGCCTGGCAGGGGGCAAGAAAGGGGCATACTCACTTTCCCCTTGTCCTGGGAGGCCCATGCACCAACACTGCCACCGCCGCCGCCACCAGGGAACACGGCAAAGTAGACACACACAGAGAGGAAAACGGGAAGGGTTGAGTGAACCTGGGACACTGCACCCCAACTTTAATGTGTTGTGGAATTCAGTTAGCTAATATTTTATTGAGGATTTTTGCATCAATATTCATCAGTGATATTGGCCTGTAGTTTTCTTTTTTGGTCTGTGTGTTTGATTTTGTTATCAGGGTAATGCTAGCCCTGTAGAATGAGTTTGCAAGTATTCCCTCCTTCTCTATTTTTGGAATCGTTTGGGTAAGGTTGGTATTAGTTCTTCTTTAAATGTTTGCTAGAATTCAGCAGTGAATCATCAGGTCCCAGGCTTTTCTTTGCTGGGAGACTTTTTATTACCACTTTGATCCCATTATTTGTTATTGGTTTGTTCAGGTTTTGGGTTTCATCATGGTTCAATCTTGGTAGGTTAGATGTGTCTGGAAATTTATCCATTTTTGGTAGGTTTTCCTATTTATTTGCACACAGTTGCTGACCACTAGTGATCCTTTGAGGTTTTTTTTCTTTTCTTTTTTTATATGGAGTCTTGGTCTGTCGCCCAGGCTGGAGTGCAGTGGCGCGCTCTCAGCTCACTGCAAGCTCTGCCTCCCGGTTTCACGCCATTCTCCTCCCTCAGCCTCCCAAGTAGCTGGGACTACAGGCGTCCGCCACCACGCCCTGCTAATTTTTTGTATTTTTTCCGTAGAGACGGGGTTTTACCGTGTTAGCCAGGATAGTCTTATCTCCTGACCTCCTGATCCACCCGCCTTAGCCTCCCAAAGTGGTGGGATTACAGGCGTGAGCCACGCCCCCTTGGGACAGGGACACACACACACACAGACACACACACACACACACACACACAGAGTTGGTGGTTGTGCCGCCCAGTCGCGAGTGTGAGGAAGGGACCAGATCGGTCGGGCAGAAAGGTGCTGGGTCAAGAGAGGAGGGGGCAGCCGGTAGCGCGGGCACGCCGGGTGCGCGCGGGGCGCGCCGGGTTGAGGGGTGAGGGGTGAGGGGTAAGAGGTGAGGGGCGACGAGGACCGGGGCGGGGTAGGGGCAGCCCTTTCCCAGGCGGTAGCGGGGGCAGTGGTGCTGTTGCCCTTTTAAACTGCGGCTTGACGGGAGCCGCGCCTCCTGTCGGTGGAGTCGGTTATAAAGGGAGCAGCCCCGCAGGCCGCCACATAGCTCCCGCCAAGTCCTCGGTGCCCCTTGCCATTTTCCAGCCGCGCTCCCACGAGGGTCACGGCGGCGGGGAGAGGTGGAGCCGCGAGAGCTCGGCCGGGGGCCCCGCCTGGTGGCCGCGGCCATGACAGCGGCTCGGGACTGGCTCCTTTTCCGCGCCCCTCCCGCCGGAGGTGAGGGGAAGATGTCCATGTCAGGGTTCAAGGCCAAACCGAAGTTACTGGCCTCTATCTTCCAGGAGAACCAGGAGCCACAGCCGCGGCTCACGCCCCACCGCAACATTAAGGTGAGTCGCCGGGTGGCGGCCTGGCGGGGCAGGGCGAGGGCGGAAAGCGGGTGCCCAGAGTCCCAGGAGAAAGGGGAAGCTGCCCCAGAGAGGCCGCGGTTCCCCGCCCCTTTCTCCCGCAACTGGCCCGCCCGGCAAGGCAGAGGCTTGGGTGGGAGAAGGCGGAGGGCGCGTCTCTCCAACTCCTAGCGCGGGGCTGGCTTGGGGGCTGCTGGCCCCTCTCGGCCCCTGTCGCTGCGCCTCGAGGTGGGAGCCCGCCGCTGCGGGAGCCCTCTTGGGACCCATGGTCGCCCTCAGTCAGCCCACCTGCTCTAGGGACCGCGACAGGGCGGGGCAGGGCGGCTCCCGCGTTGTTGGAGCCCAGGCGGGGAAGGGGAAAGGCCTTTAAGATTTTCGGTTTTTTGGCCGGGCGTAGTGGCTCACGCCTGTAATCCCAGCATTTTGGGAGGCCAACCGGGCTGATCACTTGAGGTCAGGAGTTGGAGACCAGCCTGGCCAACATGGTGAAACCCGTCTCTACTAAAAAATAGAAAAATTAGCCGGTCGTGTTGGCAGGCGACTTAATCCCAGCTATTTGGGAGGCAGAGGCAGGAGAATCGTTTGAACCCGGGAGGCGGAGGTTACAGTGAGCTGAGATCGAGCCATTGCACTCAAACCTGGGGGAGAAGAGCGAGACTTCTCTCTCTCTCTCTCAAAAAAAAGTTTTCTTTCTTTTTTTCTTTTTGTTGAGACAGAGTCTCACTCACTCTGTCGCCCAGGCTGGAGTGCAGTGGCGCGATCTCGGCTTACTGCAGCCTACCTCTCTTGACAGTCCACTGGTTAAAGCGATTCTCCTGCGTCAGCCTCCCGAGTAGCTGAGATTACAGGCGCCCGCCACCACGCCTGGCTAACTTTTGTGTTTTTAGTAGAGACGGATTTTTTAGTAGAGACGCGGTTTCACCATGTTAGCCAGCATGGTCTTGATCTCCTGACCTCATGATCCACCCGCCTCAGCCTCCCAAAGTGCTGGGATTACAGGCGTCAGCCACCGCGCCCGGCCTCTGTTTTGTTTTATACATGTAATATATTCACAAGTATCTTTACGAAGTGATTTTGATACTCTTTTGTCTTCTCCCTAGAATCTCTTTGTTCTGTAATAATTCTTTCTTAGTTTATATTGATCTTATTTTCCTTTTTAAAGCCTTTCCTTACATATCTATTCTATGTTGCTTATCATTTGTAGTTTTTTTATTTTTTATTTATTTATTTATTTATTTATTTTGAGAGGGAGTCTCGCTCTGTTACCCAGGCTGGAGTGCAGTGGTGCAATCTGGGCTCACTGCAAGCTCCGCCTCCCAGGTTCACGCCATTCTCCTGCCTCAGCCTCCTGAGTAGCTGGGACTACAGGCGCCAGCCACCACGCCCCAACAATTTTTTGTATTTTTTAGTAGAGACGGGGTTTCACCGTGTTAGCCAGGATGGTCTCGATCTCCTGACCTCATGATCTGGCCACCTTGGCCTCCCAAAGTGCTGGGATTACAGGCGTGAGCCACCGTGCCCAGCCCTGATTCTATATTATAGTGAGTTGTACAATTATTTCATTATATGTTACAATGTAATAATAATAGAAATAAAATGCACAATAAATGTAATGTCCTTGAATCATCCCAAAATCATCTCCCCCAACCTTGTCTGTGGAAAAATTGTCTTCTGCAAAACTGGCTCCTGATGCCAAAAAGTTTGGGGACTGCTGGCATAAGTGGTCTCATATAGTAGTTGTCCTTTTGTGCCTGGCTTATTTCACTTAGCATAATGTCTTTAACGTTCATCCATGTTGTAGCATGTGCCAGAATTTCATTTGTTTTTAAGGCTGAATAATATTCCCTTGTATGTATTTAATATGCCTTTTTATCTTTTCCTCTGTTGATGAATACTTGGGTTGCATCCACCTATTGGCTATTGTGAATAGGTTTGCATTGCCTGTCTTTCTCATGATCGCCATCCTATTTCACATCTAGCAGGTGTGAAATTCCATTGATTGAGTGATTGATTGAGACAGGGTCTGACTCTGTCGCCCAGTCTGGAGTGCAGTGGCATGATCTTGGCTCACTGCAACCTCCATCTCCCAGGCTCAAGCAATTCTTCTGCCTCAGCCTTCCGAGTAGCTGGGATTATAGGCATGCACCACTACCAGCTGGCTAATTTTTGTATTTTTAGTAGAGACGGGGTTTCACCATGTTGGCCAGGCTGGTCTCGAACTCCTGACCTGAAATGATCCACCTGTCTCCGCCTCCCAAAGTATTTGGATTACATGTGTGAGCCACTGCGCCCAGCTAGTAGGTGTGAATTTCTATGTCTTAGTGGTTTTGATTTGCATTTACCTGATGGCAAATGATGTTGAGTATCTTTTCATGTGTTTATTGGCCATTTGTCTGTTTTTTTGGGGAAATACTTATTCCAAAATTTAACTTATTTTTAATTGGGTTATGTATCTCTTTATTATTTAGCTGTAAGAATTTTTTACATATTCTAGATAGGAGTTATAACAACTTTCTTCCTTTTTCTGGATTGTCTTTTTTCTTTCTTGATGGTGTCCTTTGAAGCAGAAAGATTTTAAATTTTGATATAGTCCAATTTATCTTTTTTCATTTGTGTTTTTTTGCTCCTTGTGCTTTTGGTGTAATATCTAAAAAAACGTTGCTACTCCAAGGTCACAAAGGTTTCTGCCTATGTTTTTTTCTATGAGTTTTATAGTTTATCAATATCTCTTATATTGAGCTCTTTTATCCATTTGAATTAATTTTTGCATGCGGCATGAAGTAGGGGGGTATAGCTTCATTGTTTTGCACCTAGACATCCAGTTATCTCAGAACTATCTGTTGAAAAGCTTATTCTTTCCCCATTGAATTGTCTTGGAACGCTTATTGAAGATCAATTGACTGTATATGTGAAAGTTTATTTCTGGATTCTATTCTTTTCTCTGTTCATCTGTCCTTATACCAGTAGCACACTCTTGATTACTGTAGCTGTTTAGTAAGCTTTGAAATCAGAAAGTATGAATCCTCCAGAAAGTTTTTTAAGGTGGGTTTGGCTGTTCTGGGTCACTTGCATTTCCATATGAATTTTAAGATCAGCTTGTCAGTTTCTGCAAAGGAGCCAGCTGGGATTTTAATCACAGTCGCATTGAATATGTAGATCAACTTAGAAAGTACTGCCATTTTAACAATATTAAGTTTTCCTCCACGAACACAGGATGTATTTGTACTTATTTAGGTCTTCCTTTAATTTCTTTCAATCGTAGTTGTGTTGAATGCAGACCTACTTTGAATTAATTCTAAGTAATTTTTATGCTACTTATTGGTTGACAAATATAATTGCTTTTAGTTTTTAACTGTAGTTTTGATGTAATGTGAACTGTATTTGGACCTTGTGAAGCTTATTTCTGCTTTGAAATTTAGTATAAATTGGTTATAATAAAATCTGACTGTGCTAATTTTTTGGTTATGTGAAATAGAAAATCAATGTAAATTTAAAAATTTATTCTGGGCCGGGCGCAGTGGCTCACACCTGTAATCCAAGCACTGTGGGAGGCTGAGGAGGGCAGATCACAAGGTCAGGAGATCAAGACCATCTTGGCTAACACAGTGAAAGCCCATCTGTACTAAAAATACAAAAAATTAGCCGGGTGTGGTGGTGGGCACCTGTAGTCCCAGCTACTTGAGAGGCTGAGGCAGGAGAATGGTGTGAACCTGGGAGGCGGAGGTTGCGGTGAGCTGAGATCGCACCACTGCACTCCAGCCTGGGCGACAGAGTTAGACTCCGTCTCAAAAAAAAAAAAAAAAAAAAAATTCATTCTGAAATGCGATAGATGTTGAAGCTCTTCTGGCAGATGGTTATAAAGAGGAATATATAATCATTCTATTGAGAAAATATAATCAATAATGTGAATACCTAAGGTAGTTTATTTTACATATATATCTCGGTATTTATTTATTTTTGAGACAGAGCCTCACTCCTGTCACCCAGGGTGGAGTGGAGTGGCACGATCATGGCTCATTGCAGCCTCAACTTCTTGGGCTTAGGTGCTTATCTCATCTCATCGCAGCCACCTGAGTAGCTGCGACTACAGGTGTGCGCCACCATGCATGGCTAATTTTTTGTATTTTTAGTAGAGGTTTCCCCATGTTGTCCAGGCTGGTCTGAAACTCCTGGACTCAAGTGATCTGCCCGCCTCGGCCTCCCAAAGAGCTGGGATTACAGGTGTGAGCCACTGTGTTGGCCTTATGTTTTATAATTTTTAAATGATACTTTTTATTCTATTACAAAACATATATAATTGTAAAAAACTTGTAAAATATAAAAGAGGACAAAGACAATAGAAAAATTATTTACAATGTAATTCCCAAGTAAACACTGATTACCTTTTTTTTTTTTTTTAGAGCCTGTTGCTCAGGCTGGAGTGCAGTGGCACCATCATAGTTCACTGTAACCTCATACATCTCATACATTTTGATATTACTACTTCTGGTTTTATACATAATGTGTTCACTTTGAAGCAAGAGAGTATAATTTTATAACGATTATTTTCATTTAATGATCATGATCTCATTGCAATTATTGATCATTTAGTTTATTCCTGAACATTTTGTTTTATATATTTTTGCTATTGTGAGTGGGATATTTGTTATAACTTGGCATTTGTGCCTACACTCAATTTACCTATAGGAAACTAATTTTTGCATACAATTGTTTTAATTGGTGCAGTGGCACAATCTCAACTCACTGCAACCTCCGCCTCCCAGGTTCAGGTGATTCTCCTGCCTCAGCCTCCTGAGTAGCTGGGATTACAGGCACATGCCACCACACCCAGCTAATTTTTGTATTTTTAGTAGAGACAGTGTTTCACCATGTTGGTCAGGCTGGTCTTGAACTCCTGACCTCGTGATCCACCCGCCTCGGCCTCCCAAATTGCTGGGATTACAGGCTTGAGCCACCGTGCCCGGCCTCGGCCTCTTTGTGTGTTTTCGTATATCTTTCATCTGAGTTGCAAGGGGCACCTTGGGTTTCCAGGAATTTTCTTAGCTAACTCTGTTCCTTTATCTATGACCCTTCCTCACTAGTTTTGGATAATTTATTTTCCTTCTTCCTTACTTCACTGATTTACTTTTCTATTTTATTTAGTTTGCTAGTCATTGTTTCTTTTAAGGTTCTTAAGCATAAATCCTTTTTTTTTTTCTGATGGGAAATACTGGGGCATAGCACTAGGAATACAAATTATGTTTAAATAGAGCACAAAGAACCATCTCAAAGGAATAACTGATGGTGAATGTCTGGTGATTGATTTTATTATGTATCATCTCTAATGAGGCTTAATAAATAATTGAGGTTTAACACTTAGGTAACCGGTCTGTATTTAAGTCTGAAAATTTTTGTATGTTACAGTTTCAACTTCACATTGAATATTCTGTAAAGCAGAAATAAATTGATCAGCATTCTATGAATGAAAAATAAAGCCATGGGTCGGGTGCAGTGGCTCACACCTATAATCCCAGCACTTTGGGAGGCCGAGGCAGGTGGATCACCTGAGGCCAGGAGTTTGAGACCAGCCTGGCCAACATGGTGAAACCTTGTCCCAGCTACTGGAGAGGCTGAGGCAGGAGAATGACTTTAACCCAGGAGACAGAGGTTGTGGTGAGCTGAGATCGCGCCACTGCACTCTAGCCTGGTGACAGAGCAAGACTCTGTCTCAAAAAAAAAAAAAAAAAAAAAAATTAGCTGGGCATGGTGGTGCACACCCGTAATTCCACTACTTGGGAGGCTGAGGCAGGAGAATCACTTGAACCCAGGAGGCAGAGGTTGCAGTGAGCCAGGGTTGCACCACTGCCCTCCAGCCTATGTGACAGACTGAGACTCCATCCCTAAAAAAAAAAAAAAACCAAAAAAAACCATGCTGGTAATCAAAAAAGCAGTTTGCCTCATCAGAGTTTAGAACGTTGAATTGTAAAGATCTTTTTTGTAGTCCTAGCCAGTTTTAATGGTAACATGAGCAATTCAGTTACTTTCTCAGAGTTTTATATTTTTATCTGTAAAATGGAAATTATGGTACCTACAGTTTAGGATTTTTGTGAAAATCAAGTGAGACTGCAAGTGTCTTGAATAGCAGTGGAAGTACATTGATATAGGTGATATTTTACAGTGGTGTCTTCCTCAGCATCATATTAGTTCAGTGTTTTAAAGCTCTATATTAGTCACAGAAACAAAGTCAAATTTTTGTTCTCATTTCAGATTACAAGTGGACACCTGAGTCAGCAGGACCTGGAATCCCAGATGAGAGAGCTTATCTACACGACTCAGATCTTGTTGTCACCCCCATTATTGACAATCCAAAGGTGCAGAAAGCACTCTGACAAGTGAGTTGTAGACTTTACTGAGATCTGAAATCTGCATAAGATTTTCATTCAGAATATTATTTACTGTCTAATCTTTCCTGTTTCTCTTGTCCGCTACTCTTTCATTTGTGCTGCATGTCTGCATTTCCAGCTCCCGCTCTGTCTGCAACCCTTTCCTCTGCCTTCACTTCCACTTCACTGGAGTTCTAAGTTTTCCCCCCTCTGTTTTGAATGAGTCAGCTCTGCTTCTCACTACTGCTTTCTTCCACATGCCACGGAGGGGTTGCCAGCCTCTTGACCTCAGACCTTAGCTCTCAGTCCCATCGTTTCTCCATCTGCACTAATGTGAATCACTCTAAGTATTCTAGTCTCTGATGTGTTTTGAAGGCAGAAGCAGTCAGAGGGCACTGCTCACCAGGCTGGGCTGGGCAGGCAGATCACACGGAAGCCCTGCCCTGTCACAGGTTGTTAATACTGCAGGGGAGATGGTGGGGAGACACTATGGGAACTTGAGGAGTCATGGTTCACAATGTACTTCTAAACCACTGTGAGTTTTTTTGCTTCTTGTCTTTTGGAATATAATACTTTATTGCTGGGGGATAATGAGTATTTACTTTAAAAAACAGATGCATTTCTAAGTCCCTCTGTTTTGTCTTGACTTCCAGCTCCCCAACATACTCACATTCCACTACTTATTCTCTATTTTAACTTTACTGCTTCTTTTACTTTTTTTTAGTTTTACTTTTATTTTTTATTTTTTTGAGACAGAGTCTTGCTCTGTCACACAGGCTGGAGTGCAATGACGCGATTTTGGCTCACTGCAAGCTCCGCCTCCCAGGTTCATGTCATTCTCCTGCCTCAGCCTCCCAAGTAGCTGGGACTACAGGTGCCCGCCACCACGCCCTGCTAATTTTTTGTATTTTTAGTAGAGACAGGGTTTCACCATGTAAGCCAGGATGGTCTCGATCTCCTGACCTTGTGATCCACCCACCTCGGCCTCTCAAAGTGCTGGGATTACAGGCATGAGCCACCACACCTGGCCTTCTTTTTCTTTTTTAAATATCTTTTTCTGTATTAATTCATGACTGTTTTTTTCTTGTCTCATTGGGAACATTAGTGTGGTTTAGAACAATGTAAGGGTTTTTGGATTCATGTTTATTTTCTAGATAGACAGCATTTTATATAGATGATTTAGCTGTTTTTCATAATGGAGCTAATTCTTTTTGTGAGTTCATATGTCTGGCAGTGTAACTTTATTATGCTAAGTTTGATGTGCATTGGCGCATTTTCAAAATGGGCTTTCTAGAACAATTTGTGATATCTTTCCCAGGGGTGTCCAGTCTTTTGGCTTCCCTGGGCCACACTGGAAGAAGAATTGTCTTGGGCCACACATAAAATACACTAACAATAGCTGATGAACTAAAAAACCAATAAAAAAAAATTGCAAAAAAATTCTTACAATGTTTTAAGAGAGTTTATGAATTTGTGTTGGGCCATATTCAAAGCCGTCTTGGGCCGCATCCAGCCCACGGGCTGCGGGTTGGACAAGCTTGCTTTACACAATATTCTGTGTTTCCTTTTTTCCTCTTATAACCATATTTGATAGTTTATGGGAAGCCTTCATCAGTGGAAATTTTTGTGTTTAACTTTTAATTCTAAACTACTTTTAGAGAAAAGATTAAAAAATAGTTGAGAACTCCTGTATAGCTTTTGCCCAGCTGCTCTTAATGTTCACATCTTATAGGTCTATAGTATAGTTAGCAAAACCTGGGAATTAACATTGGTATAGTGTTAGTCAGGCGGGATAATCCTTACCTGTGCCTCCTTTTGGAGGGCAGCAGAATGTGGTAGTTGGAGTTGCATGATACTTGATTCATATCTCTGTGTAATGATGGCATGCAATACCCTGACTGCTCCTTTCGAATTCTTCCTGAAAAGGGAAAAATAAAACATGAGAATAGTGCTGCTAACTACCAAATGCATTTGAATTTTACCGGTTGCCTCTAATGTCCTCTTTTTTTTTGTTCCAGGATCCCACATTACAGTTAGTTGTTATGCCTCCTTAGTCTCATATAGTCTGTCCTAGTTTTTCACGGTTTTGTCAGAATTTCTCAGACTTTGCTTGTCTTTCATGACCTTGACAGTTTGTCTTTTATTTTGTTTTGTTTTGTTTTTTGTCACCCAGGCTGGAGTGTAGTGGCGCGATCTCAGCTCACTGCAACCTCTGCCGACCGGGTTCAAGCTATTCTCCTGCCTCAGCCTCATGAGTAGCTAGGATTACAGGCACCTGCCACTGCACCTGGCTAAGTTTTGTAGTTTTAGTAGAGATGGGGTTTTACCATGTTGGCCAGGCTGGTCTTGAACTCCTGACCTCATGATCCACCTGCCTAGGCCTCCCAAAGTGCTGGGATTACAGGCGTGAGCCACGGCACCTGGCCTTTGTATGTTTTTGTAATACATGTTATAAAACGTATGACTCAAGTCCTTGACACTTTGAAGAGTAACTGGTTGGGTGTTTTGAAGAATGTCCCTTAATTTAGGTTTGTCTAAGGGTTTCTCATGACTCAAATGAGATTATGAATTTGGATTATGAGATTAGAATGAGAATATGCATTTTAGTAAGAATACTACAGTAAGTACAGTAATGCTGGTTACTTAATTAGTAAAGGTTTTAAAAATATTACATATAGAAGTTTTGCAGAAGTTAGGTATAGAAATGATGGTTGAATTTTTAATTAAAAGTCTCAAGATGCAGTATCTGGCTGTCCTAAGCTCATGGATCCAACTACATGGTTTCTTCACATTTCTGAAATAAATTATGCACTTTCCAATTCATGCTATTATGGCTTCCTTGAATGGTGTCTTCTCTGATATAATCATAAAGTTCTAGCCATCCTTCAAGACCGCAACCCACCTTCTACCTCTTCCGTAAACCCGGTGTCAACTATATCAAGTAAAGTGCTTGCTGTATTCTCTAAACTACTATTTACAAAAAAAATTCTTTCTGTCCAGGGTTTTGTCTGTAGTTATGTCCTGCCTCTTTTGAATTGTGAAATATTTTCTTGTTTATCAAATGTTTGTCTCATCTTCCCAACCAGAAAGTCAGCTCGCTGAAAATAGGATTGTGTCTTTTATATCTTTGTATCCCCCTTAGCACTTGACATAGAGCCTTACCTTGGCAGGTAAGCAATAGATATTTGTTGAAAGACTGAATTTCTAATTAGAGGTAAATTACCTAAAAAGTAAGCCAGGATGGGGTGAATTTTTTCTTTGAAGCTTTATTTTATTACAGATATCAATTGAAATGATTTTAAAAAATAAATTATTATCTATATATGTATGTTTTAATCTGAAAAGGCATCGTTCTTTTTGTTTTTGGTAACAAATTTTACACATTCTTTTTTTGTCCTCATTGATTTATTATCTGATATAAGGGACATATAAGGAGACAGATATCCATCTTTAAAATTGCCTCAAAAGTTTTTTTTTTTTTTAACCACAGATAATGAAACAACCACCATCGGTTAAATTTGATGCAAAAATATTGCATCTACCAGCATTTTCAGGTAGGATCATAAAGGACTTATCGAACATGTAGACTGTCTGTATACAGATACGAATATGAAATTTATTCACAAATGGAATATTTGTATGTGAACAACTAAATTTATTTTGTCTTGACAATTGGTTATATTCTTGGGTCAGTGTTATGTGAATTGTAAATAATCTGTAATTCATTTGTGCCAGCTGTTGACATTTCTCAGCTGAGTCTGGGCTGCCCTGTCCTCTTGTGAGTGGGGAGGTTCCTGTAGATCTGGGCAAGTTTTCCTGTAGAGTGGGTGGGGGGCCTCCTCCCTTCCGTTCATAGAGCTGGTTGAATTTCCACCATTTATGGCAGGTGTAGGTGCACAGGGTTGGGGACAACAAGGAAGGATTGGGATTCTATTGGCGGGACCAGGACATTTGAGAACGGGACTAGGTGGTTCATGACTGTGGAGATGGTGTGGGAGTGGAGATACTTAAGGGATAATTATTACATTTCTGTTGAGCTAATGAAAATCTTATTTACGGTGAAAGTCAGAAATTTTTACATACCTTAAACTTTTTTTTTTTTAACAAATTATATTTTAAGCTGTTAAACTCAATTTGGGGAAAATTATTCATTGTGGCTAGAGTAGAATCTATGATTTGAAGTAAATTTAAAATATATTTAGGTTTAAATAAACCAGCTAAGGGTTTATATCAGTCAACTTAATTAGTGATAAAAACAACCAAAAAAACCTGTGTAGAAGGACGTTTTTGAAAGACCAAAGTGAAGCAAAATATTAATAGTGCTTTCAGTGCCAAGTAGGTCTATTTATGCAAACCTAGAGAATTATTATTGGGAAATACTATTTCCTTTTTCTTCTTTGAGTTACTTAGGAAATTATATTTACAATTTCTTTGTCTAAAGATTGAGATCAGCAAAAACATGTTAGCAAAAAATTTTAGGGAGTATCACATTTCCTAGATTTTGCCCTTTTTTTATAGGGATTTGGAGGTAGGAATTTCAGGTGATTTTAGCTATCATGTTATCCTCGTTATTTTTTTACAGTAATTTCATTGGAACTTTTTAATAACTGTGTGGTTTGTGCTTTTCTCAATATCTGAGAGTTGATTTATTTATACAAAGGCTTTTTTGTCTTTTACTCCAGTTGTATTGAACTTTGCATTTTGTTATAATCTAGGTTGTGAGACAATTCTGCTTTAGACATCTGCTTGGTTTGAAAGCATAGTTTTCCATTGAAGTGTTTAAAAAGTTTCCATGGATAGATAAAGAGATGAGGAATATAGAAGGACAAATAGAAGTAGTGTCATCTTTGGAGTATTTTTGGTGTTGACAGAGTAATGTTTTCTTTGTCCTCATCTTAGCTGTCGTAACTCTGTGTTTATTTCTCATGTAATGTTTCCAGCAGTTGTTTTTCTCATCATCATACTTTTGTTATTTTCTTTCCTTGGCAATGGATAAGTTATAATTTCTGAAAGACCAAGATTGGAATGACTTTTTGTAACAAGTGTGCTCGCAGATCGACTCCAGTGAGAAGAGCTCGGGGACCTCCTGAGCCAAGCTTAATCTCCTTTGCTGTTTGTGAGTGGTGGCTGGTCACCAGGAGGTGGCCACCAGGCTCCTCCTTTCCCCGCTGGTAGGCCTCTGTGACATGACTTATGCATTTAAATTTATGTTTTTTATAGAGGCTCAAACAAGTGCTAAAATAGCAATTTGATTTAACTACCATGAAAAAACTGATTTATCACGATTTTAGGTTTATGCAAATTATCCTCTGCTTAATCCTTACGTCTTAAAGTAGATAAGAGTAGACGGTGATTTTGAACTTTTTGTTGTTGTTGTTGTTTGTAATACTCAGGTTTCCATTTTATGTTAACTTGTAAGATTTTTAAAAAATATGTGAAATCAGGCCGGGCGTGATATCATAAGACAGACCTTTTACCTTCTCATCAGTGACTGGAATGAACGCCTGTAATCTCAGTACTTTGGGAGGCCGAGGCAGGTGGATCACCTGAGGTCAGCAGTTTGAAACCAGCCTGGCCAACATGGCGAAACCCCATCTCTACTAAAAATACAAAATTAGCAGGGCGTGGTGGTGCACTCCTGTAATCCTAGCTACTTGGGAGGCTGAGACAGGAGAATCACTTGAACCCAGGAGCCAGAAGTCGCAGTGAGCCGTGATCATGCCATTGCACCCCAGCCTGGGCAAAAAGAGCGAAACCCCATCTCAAAAAATAAAAACAAAAAACAAACAAAAAAAAATGTGATATCATAAGACAGACCTTTTCCCTTCTCATCAGTGACTGGAATTAACTGCCCATGTGGAACGGGTTGTGGGTGTTGGTTCCTTTACTGGGTCATCTGGTAAACTGCAAGGTTTCTGCTGTGACATTGAAGGCAGACATCAACCCTCTAAGACATTTTTTTCCTATCCTCTGGGAATATTACTTTTTGGACAATCTTGGTCCATTGGTAAGCTCATGGGAATTTGTCAGAGTTTTTTTGTTTCTTTTGGCTCATGTTTAGCATCGATTGGCAGAGTGTTTGGAGTCATCCTCAGAAAGGAATTACAGTGGTTCGGAGGTGTTTTCTGTAGTGGGCCCTCATTTGGGAATTGGCTTGAAAAAAATGTAAGTTCACTTGCTTCCAGGATGGTATTAAGATTGCTTTTTTTGATAGTTGGCGTGTGTCTATCAGGTAAGGGCTGTCATTTAGAGAATATAAAGTGGTAGGAGAAACTAAAAGTACTGTTCTTAGTTTTTATTTTAATCTTATTCATATACAAGTGCCTTTGTAATTTAGCAAATATCATTTTTGGTGTACAGTATAAATTTCCTTTTTATAAAGATCTGAGTTTTTAACTTTGCTGTCACTTTCTGTGTTTCATGACTTAAATATTTTAATTTTTTCTTTTTTTACATTTACATTTTTTATTCTAGTTCCAATTGCTAATCCAGCATTTGTGGATAGCTGCAAACTGTGATATGTAAGTAACATTTACATTTTAAAAATTATTTCTCATGGTTTTATTAAGTAGTTACAGCATACATATTTATCAAAAGCAGAGTCCTAAGTAATTATCATAAATTTTTCTGATGTAATGATGAATCTACTCATAGGCAATTTTTATGGGCATTCCAATTATAAACTTTAGAATATTTAAAAATAGCCCTTCTCCTAATATAGATACGATTCTGGGATTATCTAAGCTACTCCTGGAAACTTTATTAACTGTTGTTGTTCTTTTATTTTTGTAGAGACAAGGTCTCTCACTATGTTGCCCAGGCTGGTTTCCAACTCCTGGGCTCAAGTGATTCTCCCATCTCTGACTCCCAAAGTGTTAGGATTACAGACGTGAGCCACTGCGCCAGGCTAACTGTTACTGTTTTGAGTATTGGTTATAAAATACTTCAACCCTGATCCCTGTGTATTAATTTAGTTATACTTCCTCAAAGTTTCCCTTGGGCACCCTTATCTGTCCCTATGTAGCACATAGCTTCCCTATGATGTTATTTATAATCTAATGAGATTAATTATGATTTATAAACTCCCGATGGAAGGAAGTGTCCTTACTTTTTATAGAAGCAACATACCAGGTGGAAAGCACCGTAGATCAAGTGTTAGAAGGCTCTGGGTTCCTGTTGCCTATAAGACTTGGCCAAATGATTATCTTTTTCTCAATCTCTGTTTCCTGGGGAGTGTGGGTGGGACAAGGAAATGGCATAGGTTTAGGATTCAGACAGACCTGGGTGTGGATCAAAGATCTGCTTTCTGGGCCAATTACTTTAATTGCTGAGCCGCAGTTTCCTCATCTGTAAAATTGGGATGGGATAACTACTTCATAGATTTTTGGTAATTATTCAACTTTGAATGTGGTAAATATGTGAGATACCTGGTATAGTGCCTGTTTCTTTCTTTCTTTTTTTTTTTTTCTGAGTCGGCATCTCCCTCTGTCACCCAGGCTGGAGAGCAGTGGTGCGATCTCAGCTCACTGCAAGCTCCGCCTCCCGGGTTCACGCCGTTCTCCTGCCTCAGCCTCCTTAGTAGCTGGGACTACAGGCGCCCGCCACCGCGCCCGCCCGGCTAATTTTTTTCACCGTGGTCTCGATCTCCTGACCTCGTGATCTGCCCACCTCAGCCTCCCAAAGTGCTGGGATTACAGGCATGAGCCACCGTGCCTGGCCGTATAGTGCCTGATTCTTAGTGGGTATTTCATTGACAGTGGGGTTGGGGTTGTAGAAGTTGTAGTTATTATCATGAAGCTTGCTTATCTCATGATTGTTAGGACAGGCACATGAAAAAACGGAGGTGAAAGGATTTTGTGAATTGTGGCAGTGGTATAATAATTATTCTTCTATGCTGGTGAAATATGGGTGAAACAATAGGAGTTTAGAAAATGTTTAATAATAAGGGTAATTCTTATTATACGTCTTCTAATGTTACTCTCGCAAAGTAAAATCTGGTAATAGAAAGTAGGATTTTTAGGTAATGGTTGAGCATTTAATACTTTGAGAAGGCTTATGGTATGCTCATTAAAAATGAATCAATGAAATATGTATTTAAACACTTTTATTTAAAACGTGTTATATACCTGAATGGGGTGCTCCCTGCTGACATTTTCAGACAGACATTCCAAATCATTTCCGAGAACAGTCATCCCTCTGTATCAGCCAGGAGAATGGTTCTAGTATCCCCTTGGATACTAAAATTAACACATACTGTTTTTTCCCCCACTGTTAAAAATTGAGGTTTGATTGTAAAACAGTTTTAATTTGAATAAAATGATAGTGAGGTAGACAAGTTCTCTGGTAGGAATCTTCTTTTATTCTCTTTCTCCATCCAAAGCCACTTCCAGCGAGGTTTTCTCTGACCTCAGGTTATATTACCTTGATAGCATATGATAAAGGGTCCTTAACTTAGTCTGGGAGATAATTATTATTGAAGTAGATACTTAGTTTTGTTTTGCTTATAAAAAATTAGAATCACATGATATAGTTTTTTATGTTTGTTTTCCCCCATAACATATATATTATGTATTTTAAATGTTATCAACATTTTAAAATAAAATACATAATACTTAAGGTAAACGTTTTATATGTTGTGAATATCTGATCATTTTGTTTACTATTTTTGGATAGTATTATAATGTTGTAAACAACATTTTGATGAACATTTTTGAGATTAAATCTTCGTGCCCGCTTTTTCTTTTTCCCTTTAGGAAAGATTCATAGAACTAGAACAAATGGGTAGAAGGCAGTAAATATCTTTGTGACTTCTGAAAAATTGCTGAAATACTCTTAAAAAAACATTGTATCAATAGATAATCCCAGTCAATGTGTTTAAAATGCCTTTTGTTAGAACTTCCAACGTTGAGTATTTATCAAATTGTATATCCTTTTATCCTTGCCAATCAACTTTATGAGGTATAATTCATATATAGTAATAGTGTAATACTGTAACTTTAAAATGTGTTACTTGTAAATTACACATAATTTAAAATGTTCCATTTTAGCTATTTTTATGTGTACAGTGACATTTAGTTCATTCCCATTGTTGTGTAACCATCACCACTATTCATTTCCAGAACTTTTTCGTCATCTTGAACAGAAGCTCTTTACCCGTTAAACATAACTTCCCCTTTCCTTTCCCTTCCCCAGTCCTGGTAACCTATACTCTACTTATTCTATGTTGGTAAATTTGCTTATGGTGAGTACCTCATATTGCTACTGAAACATCGAGGGGTTTGGTCTAGGTCCTGTTGCTCACAGCGCAGAAAGCCAATCACGGAGACGATGAGTGTTGCTAGGGAACAAGGCTTCAATTGGGTGCTGCAGCTAAGGAGATGGGAGATCAATCTCAAATTTGTCTCCTCGACTGACTAAAACCACGGGTTTATTTAGCAGGGAAGAAATGTAACCACGTATGGGAAAACAGGAGTTAGGGAAGGGTGAGGGAGAGGAGTTGGTCGACAGGAAGCAGGTAGTTGGTTAGGCAATTGTGATGGGTGAGGTGGTCTGGTGTCTTATGGTCCAGATGTGGTGATCTGGTAAGTTTCAGTTCCTTGATAACTATCTGGGAGGCCTGATGGTTGGTTTCCCAAGAAAGGAACTCAGATAAGACAAATGTAACTTTCTCAAGTTTTAAGACTGGGAGGGTCAATTTCTATCTTTATTTTAAAAGACTGTAAACATCAGTTCTATAGGACAATTGGGCTGGTTTCATTTGCAAGGTTTATCCATGTTGTAACTAACATGTGTCAGCATTTCATTCCTTTTTAAGGCTGAATAATATCCCTTTGTATGTAATATACCACAGTTTATCTTTTCATCTGTTGTTGGGCACTGGCTTGTTTATATCTTTTGGCTATTGTGAACAATGCTGCTATGAACATTAGTGTTTTCACACCTGATGGGTGTGAAGTTAGTATCTCATGGGTTTGATTTGTATTTTGTGACTAGTGATGTTGAACATCTTTTTTTGTGATTGTTGGCTATTTGTATATCTTCCTTGGAGAAAGGTCTAGTCAAGTCATTTGCCAATTTTTTTTTTTTTTTTTTGAGATTGAGTCTCGCTCTGTCGCCCACGCTGGAGTGCAGTGGCGTGATCTCGGCTCACTGCAACCTCTGCCTCCCAGGTTCAAGCGATCATTCCATCTCAGCCTCCCAAGTAGCTGGGATTACAGGCACCTGCCATCATGCCCAGCAATTTTTGTATTTTTGTAGAGACGAGGTTTCACCGTGTTGGCCAGATGGTCTTGAACTCCTGACCTCAGGTGATCCACCCGCTTTGGCCCCCCAAAGTGCTGGGATTATAGGTGTGAGCCACCGCACCCAGCTGGTAGATTTTTTGTTTTGTTTTGTTTTCAAGAAGGCCTCTCAGTGGCTTACCTCTGTGCCATGCTTTGGAGTTTGAGCTGTCTTCTCTTTACTAACTGTAGCTCTGTAGGACTTGGGAGTCAACCTTACCTTCTTTTTTCCTCCCTATTTTGTAGGTCTTGTTTGAGTTAGCTTTTCTTTTTATTCCAGGCCTGTAAATTTTACTAGATTGTCTCTAGGAATTTCATTTTACTAATTTGCTTCAGCCTGCCTGCCTGCCATCTCTTTTTACTAATTTGCTTCTGCCTGCCTGCCTTCCTTCCTTCCTTCCTTCTTTCCTTCCTTCCTTCCTTAATTCCTTCCTTCCTTCTTCCCTTCCTCTCTCTCTCCCTCCCTCCCGTCCCTTCCTTCCCCCCTCCCGTCCCTTCCTTCCCTTCTTTTCTTTCCATTTATTTTGAGATAGAGTCTTGCTCTGTTGCCCAGGCTGGAGTGCAGTGGCGCAATCTTGGCTCACTGCAACCTCCGCCTCCCGGGTTCAAGCAGTTCTCCTGCCTTAGCCTCATAAGTAGCTGGGATTACAGGTGTACGCCACCATGCCCAGCTTATTTTTGTATTTTTAGTTCAGAGATGGGTTTTCACCATGTTGGCCAGGCTGGTCTCGAACTCCTGACCTCATGTGATCCTCCCGCCTTGGCTTCCCAAAGTGCTGGGATTACAGGTGTGAGCCACAATGCCCAGCCTCCTCACCCCTCCTTTAGCTATTATATTACTTCCTAGATTTCTTCCTCTCTATTTCACCCTTTTTCTGTTCCTGAAACCCCTACAGGATGGGTGTGGGAGTTTGTGTCTCTTGACTCTTCTTTCAAATTTTCTTTTGCTTTCTCACTTGCTCTTGTTTATTGAGATATAATTCACATACCATAAAATTCACCATTTTAATGTGTACAGTTCAGTAGGTGTCAGTATATTGAAAACTGTTCAACCATCACCACTATCTAATTTCAGAACAGTTTTCTCACCCAGTGAAACCCAGTACCCATTCTTCTCCAACCCCTGGCAACAACTAATCTACTTCTTGTCAGCTGATTTGCTATTCTTGATATTTCATATAAATGGAATCATACAGTGTGTGGCCTTTTGTGTCTAGCTTCTGTCATTTAGCATAATGTTTTCAAGGTTCCTCCGTATGGTGGAATGTGTGAGTACTTCATTCTTTTTCTAGCTGAATAATCTTTGTATGGCTATTCCACATTTTGCTTATGTGGTCTTGATGGACATTTGGGGTTGTTTCCACATTTGGCTATTATGAATAATGGTGCTCTGAACATTTGTCCACAGGGTTTTGTGTGAACATATACGTTTTTATTTCTCCTACAGTGGTGAGATTGCTGGATAAAATGGTAACTCTGTGTTGAACCTTTTGAAGAACTGCCAAAGTCTCTTTGTTAAACTTTTATTTTAGGTTCAGGGGTACACATGCAGGTTTGTTATATAGGTGAACTCATGTTATGGGGGTTTGTTGTATGAATTATTTGGTCACCCAGGCACTAAGCTTGGTAAGGACCAATTGTTATTTTTTCTGATCCTCTCCCTCCTCCCACCCTCCACCCTAAATAGGCCCCCGTGTCGATTGTTCCCTCTTTGTGTCCATGCAAACTTTCTTCTTTTATTGCTCTTCCTTGACTTTATCTTTGAGCTCTCAAACTTGATATTTATCCCCACTCATTTTATTATTTAGGATTTCCAGTTAATTTTTTAATTTCAACAATCATATTTGAAAGTTTTTGTTCATTTTCTTTTTCTCTGATTGGTCCTTTTTCCTAGCTGCCTATATTTGGTGTATAATATACTTTTGAATTTGAGGATAAATATTAGGATTATAAAAATCCTCGTCTTGGAGCAGAATTTAGAATTAAATATTGTTATTAATATTTAAGGCTAAACATTAGGATTATATAATATAAGCCTGGAACCTGGACTTTGAAAAAAAGGGAACAAAATTAGGATTATGAACATTGTATTCTTATCTCTTGAACTTGCAGGTCACTTCTTTTTCATCATGGTCCTGCTTTTTAATGCTGTTTATTTCTCAAATGCCTGGTGATCTCTGGTTCTTCATTTATATTATGAATAAATGATTAAATTGATTGGTATAGAAGTTGGCAATATGAGTTTCCTTTATTCTTGCCTAAGTCTCTTTCTCCAATAGCTTCTCCTTTAAAGAAAGGGCTGGTATGTGGGTAGGTGAGGCCTGTTGACTGGTTGACTTTAATTTGGGATTCCAGCTGGCTGAAGATCAGTAGGCAGGCTGGAGGCCTCTGCAATTGCCAGGGTGGGTTTTTCTTTGCAGTGGAACTGGCTTTCCTCATTTATTCCCTTCCCCGCTTCGGTATCTGGAGGACCACAGTTGCTGCTTCCCACATCCATCCATCCAGTGAGCAAGGTGGATTGCTCACTGTAGGAATGATTTTCCACATTTACCCAGGAGGCCAGGGCTGCAGGGTTTATTCTGTGTACCAGGGAAGGGAGATGGAAAAGAGACAGGACCTGATTGGCTCTGCTGTTCCTTGTACAAGGACACAATTTTTCCTTGTGCAGTTGTTTAATCTGATTATTGTCCTGTGGCTCATTCTTTCTTTTTGTCTTAGTTTATTCCAAGTCCCTGAGGCTTCCTTGGGAACGTCTGTCTACCTGTGGTTCTTAGACAGGGGATTCCTTTGTTGATTCTCTGTCAGTCTTAATTCTATTTGTGCATGTCATCTGAGATTTTCTCAAACTTTCTAGTCCACTTTTAGCCCTCCTTTTTGTTTCCAATTATCATTTAATAAAAAGAGCTTGTATTTTAGAGACTCTAGAGGGTTCAGAAAAGTGAGTGTCAAGTGTTCAGTGTGCAATCATTAAAGACAGAGAATATCTCATAAGTTTGCATCTGTGTTACTTACACGATTGTGATTTAGGGATGCTTTATTTCTTTCCCTTTCCCTTTTATTTTTCCTTTTGTTTCTTTTATGTATTTTTTATTATTATTATTTTTAGAGACTCACTCTAAAAAAAATAGGGTCTCACTGTGTTCCCCAGACTGGAATGGGACTACAGGTACATGCCACCATGCCTGGCTAAATTAAATTTTTTTTTTTTTTTTTTTTTTTTTAGAGACAGGGTCTCACTTTGTTGGCCAGGCTGGTCTTGAACTCCTGGCCTTAGTGATCCTTCCATCTTGTCCTCCTAAAGTGCTGGGGATTACAGGTGTGAACCACTGTACCCGGCCAAAGTTTTTATTTTTTAATATGATGTATAAGGTTTAGAAGTGCTTTATTTTATTTATTTATTTATTTTTGAGACGGAGTCTCGCTCTGTTGCCCAGGCTGGAGTGCAGTGGCACGATCTCGGCTCACTGAAACCTCCGCCTCCTGGGTTCAAGCGATTCTCCTGCCTCAGCCTCCCAAGTAGCTGGGATTACAGGCGCCCACCACCACGCCTGACTAATTTTTGTATTTTTTAGTAGAGATGGCATTTCACCATGTTGGCCAGGCTGGTTTTGAACTTCTGACCTCAAGTAATCAGCCTGCCCTGGCCTCCCAAAGTGCTGGGATTACAGGCGTGAGCCACCATGCCCAGGAGAAGTGCTTTTAACTCCACACGTGTTTAGGTTTTTTGGTTTGTATTTGTTATTTTTACTTTTTTCCTTTTGTTACATCAAAATGAGTCCTTTATAATTTCTGCCCTAGGGAATTCTAATAATTTATCTTTGTGGTCCAATATAAAATCATTTTAAATGTATGCCATGAATGTAGTCAAGTATTGATAATAATGTAGTACTAGTAGTTTGCTCAGTCAGCACAAATTGTCAGGACACAGTGGTAATTTCTGCATGTGGATTATCTCCTGATTCTTAGAACAACATGAAACCAGGCTCATGAAAGATGAGTAATTATCCCAGGGTACTGTCTCCCTCACCTCCAATGGTGGGCCAGAGCTAGGTCCAAGACTTTGAATTCTAGAGTGTTAGACACCATCCTATGCAGCCTCCCACTGAGTAAGGGTGGTCACTGTTTGTAGGGTGTAGAGTTTGATAGATACGTCTGTTACTTTGACTTCATTAGTTTTATTTAGGATGCTTGAATGTGTGAATGTATTGATTAATATATTCGTTATTGCCTTCTCTCTGTGCTTGGAAGAGAAGAAAATTGAAGTTTACCACTACCATGGGTTTACTTTGCGTGCTTTGTTATTTGGTGTATAAAGATTCACACCTTAGATCTTCTGTAGGTCATATGGTGTTTCGTTTAAAGGGAATCTTCTTCTGAAGAGTTTAGCCTTGAATTCTGCTGAGATTTACATTGGCAATCCTGTTTGCATTTTGTTTGCCTTGGACAGCCATACTTTTATGCACTCCTTTCCTACTAATGTGTTTATTTTGCTTTTGATGTTGATATATTTGTTCAACCAACATTTTTAGATGCCCGAGTGCGCTCCAAGCACTGTCTAGGTGTCACAGTGGCGATCGGGATACAGCCCTGCCTTCATGGATCTTCTGGGCTGGTCGAGGAGACAGACAATAAACCAGTCAACGAATGAATAAGTAACTGCAAAATTTTAGTTCTGCTCTAATGTGGTAGCCATTCACTTCATGGGGGTTATTTAAATTAGTTAAATTAATAGTAGCTTACTCATTCAGCATGTATTGTCGGACACAATGGTACTTTCTGCACATGGATTATCTCCTTTGATTCTTTTAACAACATGCGGTACGTATTGTTATCGGTCCTACTTACGAGGTAACCAGGACTAGGCACATGAAAGATGACTAATTACCCCAGGGCACTGTCTCCCTCACCCTCAACTGTGGGGGTAATTTTTAAAATAAAAATTAAGGCCAAATACAGTGGCTCACGCCTATAATCCCAGCACTTTGGGAGGCTGAGGTGGGCAGATCAGTTGAGCTCAGGAGTTCAAGACCAGCCTGGACAACATGGTGAAACCCTGTTTTTACTAAAAATACAAAAATTAGCCAGGTGTGGTGACACACACCTACAGTCCCGGCTACTTGGGAGGCTGAATTGGGAGGATTACTTGAGCCCGGGAGGCATTGCAGTGAGCGGAGACTGCGCCACTGCTCTCTAGCTTGGATGACCCTGTCTCCCCCCAAAAAAAAAAATTAATTTGAATAAAATTTGTTGTTCCTCACTTGCATGTGTCATATATTATGTGCTTGATAGTCATGTGTCTAGTGGATACTGGATTGAACAGTGCAGATGTGGGACATTTGTCAGTGCACGAAGGTTTGGTAGACAGTGGTGCCTTAGATGCCGTCATGGAGATGGGTTGGTTCTGAGGTACAGTGTCAAGTCACTGGGGGCACCTGGAGTGGTGACCTGAGAAAACCTGAATTTTGAGAAGGAACCTGTACTGTGAGGGTGTTGTCTATGGGGCATGTGGTACTTGTATTTAGGATTTTGGTAAAAAGTGACTATTCATAAGCTATTTAAAGTTTCTATTTTAAAAGTATAGGGTTTTTAGGTAGTGTGTTTTCTTTTGTTCTAATAGGAATTGTTTTGGTCATATTAGGGAAAATAATTGGCTTGTTGATACATTTTTATTTCCATTGATTAAATCTGGTAGCCATTATTTACTTTTATAGATTGAAAAATGGTTCAGTGTTTCAAAAGTATTTTGAGCTTGTCTTTGAAAAGAGATAGACAGGCAGGTGCAGTGGCTCAGACCTGTAATCGCAGCAGTTTGGGAGGCTGAGATGGGAGGATTGTTTGTCAGGAGCTCAAGGCCAGCCTGGGCATCATAGCGAGACCCCATCTCTACAAAAAGTAAAAAAATTAGCTGAGCGTGGTGGTGCATGCCTGTAGTCCCAGCTACTTGGGGGGTTGTGGTGGGAGGATGGCTTTTCCAATTATCCTACAGATATTTTTCAAAATGATTACTTTTAAACTATAATCTTTTTATTCAGAGGTAGGATGCTAGTTCTACAATTGCCTAGGTCTTCTTTAATTTGTATATGTTAAGAAATTTTAATGGGCAATTTAATAAGTGTTGAAATTTCTAAGAATTATTTCTGTATGTTAGAGTTGTGATAACGCAGACATTTTCCCTGAAGTACTTCTCTGAGTCTGATTTGTTTTCCTCCATGGGTGCCACATAGGTTTATTTTAAGAAGGTAAAAAATAAAAGCTGACTAAGGTACATATTGATTATTCCAGACAACATGCAGACATCACCCAATGAGTGCAGTTCTCATCAACTCACCATTTGTTTCAATTAGAAAAAATTCTCATCAAAACTAATTTTTCTGCATGAAATACCTTTTCAAATCACACTGAATGTGATTTATTAATTGTGATTTATCAAATTCAGTTTTCTGCTGGATACTAAAGGCACACCTCATTAAGACTAGTGATTATGGAAATAGTACAATATTTTAGAAACTTTTGATTGTAAAAATTTCTTTTAAAATGAATACATACAGATATGTTATTGTTCAGATATTTAGCACTTACGTAGAAACTCACTGATCTACTAACAAGTAGAAAAGAGACCTTTAGCCAAATGCCTCTGTACTCAGCAATAAAATGATTAATTACTGTGTTGCTCTTTTCTCTGGTTAAGGCTTTTAACAAATTTTGTTTTTCCTTTTACTATTACACCATAACTTGTTTAAATTTTGTTGCTGTTGCAGAATTACAGCAGACATTACAGTTCATGTCTCCCTGTGTATACGAGGGAGAGTTTCTCTGGGCTGTGTACATGGGGGAGTGTGGGCCTGACCTGTCACATTCAATTTTTATTTCACAGTCTTGTATCTAATGCTCATCATTGCATAATGTAACTAGCTGGGGTTAGTTTCCTCAGTCCCTGACTCTTCTCTTCAGAGCCTGTTTTCTCTCCGTTTACAGATGGGCCAAGGTTGCTCGGGTGATTGGTTTACTGGCTTCGCACAAAACTGATCTCCAGGAAAATACACCTGTTGTTGAGGTAATGTCTTTTATGACTGAAATGTGATGAATGACAAGAAATACTGTTGTTGATTCTGTAATTTAGAACATGCGGCTTTCCTTGACCTTCACTTGACTTTTCTTTGTGGGATTGTGGAAATTGTTCAAAAACTTATCACCTCAACAGACCTTTAGGCTTAAACATAGCGGCTCATTTACAATGTAGTCCATCATTAAAATGGCACAGCAGAGTTAACAAGGCTCGTGAACCCTACTCATCATTATTTCATTTGTTTTTGAATAAGGCTTGTTCATTTCCCGTTTTCTTGTAGTCTGTCCAACATTTTGTTACAGCTAATGTATTTCCTAATTAAATCATAGCTTATAATTCAAAATTCAAATTCTTCTGGCTTTTAGTGTTTTCGTATGAAAGATTACTTTCTACCTATTCTGTTAATGTATATTACACTTTATTGGTAATAGAGTGTTATACCTTGAACTGGGAGAGGCTCAAGAGTCAGTGTAGGTGAAAAGAACCAAGGCTTTTTAGGGGAAATAGCAAGAGGTCCTGAAGGAAGTTAAAAAGGGTAAGGGAGAGAGGATTTTGTAGAGCTGAAGCTGGTTGTGTGGTATTTGGGGCTTTAAGAGGAATTGGAAAACTTTCTATGTCTGTGTTGTCCACTATAGTAGCCAATTGGTATTTGGAGCCTCAAGAGGAATTGGAAACTTTTCTCTCTGTGCCATTCACTGCAGTAGCCAATTGCTGGGATAGTATACCAGCTGGCCTTACAGTGTCTGGGTGGAGATTAATATAATTTCACTGTATTTCCCTTGCTTACAATTACATCTCTATTTCCTGCAAACTGTTGGATCTCTGAGCTACTAGTAAAATGCCACTAAGTCTAATTTTTTCCTTTTTTGGGGGGCCTAAAATAAATGAATTGTGACCTGTGTGATTACTGATGGTACCCAACTTGGTTCTCAGAGATGTGTCGAGTAGATTTTTATCTAAAAGATTGAGCATATAGGGCAGTATTACCAGGAAGATGAGAAGGCTTAGGATCTTAAAAATGGGGGTTCCTTCTGATGGCTCAGAGCAAAAGGTCTCCAGTGAGATGGAGTAGCTGTAGAAGATGGGAGAGAACATAAAGTCCAAGACAAAGTCCCAAGATTTTAGAGGATATTCATGCATCGTCAGAGCAGGCATTTGTTGCTCAGAAGCTGTGAAGAAAGAGCCTCTGAATATGTAAAATATGACTGTTGAATTAAATGATTCAGTAGTTGCAGTAGATTATGGATACTTTAGGAAGCTGAGTTAGTGAATTTGAAGATCAGTTGGATGAATTCTCTTAGGATTCAGAAAGAAAGAGGATAAAGATTGTGAATTAAAAAGGCATGGATGATAGTTTCAGATGTGTTCCACTATCCAGTATAGTAGCCACCAGCCACTGTGGCTATTGAGTGCTTGAAGAACAGCTAGTCTGAATTGAGATGATCAACTTATAGAAAAGAATACTATGGGCACCCTGTAATTTCCAAACCCCTTGTTCTACTTGATCTTTTTCACAGCATATATCACCACCTGGCATTTTATGTATTTATTTCTCTTTCCATACTAGACTACAAGCTCCATTGGAACAGGGATTGTGAATTGTCTTGTTCAACACTCCACCCCCGTGCCTAGACAGTGTCTTGTGTATATCTAGATACTGACAAATATTTTGAAATAAGTGAATGAAAGTGTATCAGTATGCTTGGGACTCCCTGTAGCAGTGCCTGGAAGATGGTATGTTTTGCTGCTGCAGGAATTCTCAAGGGACTGGGCAGAGGGCATGTGAAGTAATCTGGGACCTGCTTGTCACCCTGGGTGATGTGCTGCCCTTGTTCTACTGGTACTTGCTGTTGCGGCTGCTGCACTCCCACTTGGAGAGTTTGGCCCAGCAGTTCCTGGACCATATTTGTTACTTGTGCTCACTCAGGTTGAGTTCTGTGGCCAGTTTGTATTCTCAAAGTATTTCTGCTACTCCAGTTATACTTTGTCAACGTTGTATTCCTGGTCCTGCCTCAACTGAGAGGAAAGGGTGGGTGTTAATTCCCGAGGTTCTTGTATCTTTGATTCCGGTACTGTTCTCTTCATGGGTGTTTGCTGATGCTTTATTAATTTGAAATGCAAGACCTTAGGGAAAATCATACTTATTTCATTTAAAAAATGGTGTGTACTGAACTATCTGGTGAACTGTTTTGAATTACACACACTGTATTGTGAACTACATTTGGTTGGATAGTAGGGAGCTTATATAATAACTTGAAATTGAGCCAGGTGCTCCTTTGTGATGCCATCTTAATTTTATTATTTCTCCACACCTTTTAGTTCTTTAGTTTGTTACTTTTAATGGCAAAATCTGTGAATTTCTTTTACATCAACCTATTTCCTGCTGTGAGCAATTGGCTGTGATAATTTAAGGAGCCACTAGAGGTCATTCAAGCACTAGAAAAAAAGTTGTGCAAGTTTTAAGAATTTGTTTCAACTTCCGGAAGCAGGATCTGTAGAGGCTGAGCAGGTACATGGTACCACGTTTCATCTTTTTCCTGGTTTTTTAGAAGTTTCTGCTACAGGATGTGTGGCTCCATTCCACTGGTGATTTTTACCATTTGAGAGGAATCAGATGAATGAAAACCATTATAGCCTCTCCAGAAAAATGCAGTCAGCACCTAGCACATGATTTCAGGGGATCTGAAAACTCTGCGGAGTCCACTGGTGAATCTTTGGTTCATAACTCCTGAGACCAGGTTTCTGTAAAACTCACAATTGGGTGCTTGTAGATAATTTTTCAGTAATCAGTAACAAAATTTCAAGTGTAAGATAAATCCTGAATTCTCTATTAGATTTACTATCAGTGAACAAGAAAAATTGTGGTTGAAGTTCCTGTAAGCATTTTATTTTTTATTTTACTTATTTATTCATTTATTTTTTGAGACAGAGTCTCGCTCTGTTGCCCAGGCTGTAGTGCAGTGGTGTGATCTCGGCTCACTGCAACCTCTGTTTCCCAGGTTCAAGAGATTCTCAGCCTCAGCCCCAGCCCCACAAGTAGCTGGGACTGCAGGTTCATGCCACCATGCCCCGCTAACTTTTGTATTTTTAGTAGAGACAGGGTTTCACCATATTGGCCAGGCTGGTCTTGAACTCCTGGCTTCAAGTGATCCACTTGCCTTGGCCTCCCAAAGTGCTGGGATTACAGGTGTGAGCCACTGCACCAGCCTGGTACTTTCTAATATTTTGGATGCTTTCTTACTTGCTAAGCACTTTCTCTTACCTGGAATGTTTTTTACATTACCCCCTCCCCCAGTGATCTAATTTCTACTTTCTCTTTAAAGCCCAGCTAACATTCCATTTTCTCCATCAGGCCTTCCCTAACAGTCCCAGAACTCCTACATTGCCTGGTGTGCTGACCTAAAGCCCTCATTAAGACCAGTAACAAATCAAGCCTATCTTATCAACTGACAACACATTCTGGAACCATGGCGTGTCCATGGATAAGACATGAAGTCCTTCTTTCAAGACTTGGTTTTCTGGTACTGGAAAATACCAATATGGATAAAAGACCTTCAAAGCTGCTACGATGGGTAAGGAACAATGCACACAGTATACCATTAAGGCAAAGAAGATAGTCTTAATCCTGTATGAAATGCCAATGAAGATGTAATTAATGAATAGACATTTCATTGAAATGAAATCAAAAGACATTTTCCTTCTCTGACATAACAGAGTAGAACTCTCTAGTAAGAACACAAAACTGACCAGCCTGACCAATGTGATAAAACCCCCTGTCTCTACTAAAAAGACAAAAATTAGCCATGCATGGTAGCAGATGCTTGTAATCCCAGCTACTCAAGAGGCTCAGGCATGAGAATCTCTTGAACCCAAAAGGTGGAGGCTGCAGTGAGTCGAGATCGCACAACTGCACTTCACCCTGGGCGACAAAGCAAGACTTTGTTTTTTAAAAAAAAGAAGAAGAAGAGAAAAAGAAAAAGAACACAAAACTCTGGTTACTGCTCTATGAGAATTAAGTGAATGTGAAGGAGAAGTTGGAATAATATTACAAGTTGGTGAAATATTGGAATTCTGGTCTGTTGGTGATTGGTCTTCATCTTTCCTATAAGAGATAGCTCATTACACAATGTATTCTCATTTGTCTGAACGGGATTATTTCCCTTAAGGCGATGGCCTCTTCTGCATCTTTATGTCTCTAATGTCTAGCATGGGAACTACTCAATATATATTTCAGGTTGTTGACAATGATTGCTGCTGTCTATTCCATCTAGGTAAGGGTTTTTGCATTCAAAAGGCCCTTTGCCTTAAGACCTAAAGAGGTTTTGGAACATCAGCAAGCATCCATCTCGAGGTAAATAACTGGAATCCCAATGGGCTGTGTGTGTGTGTCTGTGTGTGTGTGTGTGCGTGCTAACTGGAATCCCAGTGGGGTTTGTGTGTGTGTGTGTGTGTGTGTGTGTGTGCTAAATGGAATCCCAATGGGGTTTTGTGTGTGTGTGTGTGTGTGTGCGCTCATGCCTGCATACACATGCGTGCACTTCTGGTACATTTTGAACAGGCATCAGATTATGTTCCCACAGCCCCTCTTCATCAAAATGAAGACCTTGTACGTCTGAAATACAGTTTGTGAAAGTCAAATTGTTATCCCTGTGACATAGAACAGCCGTTAAAAATGTATTTCACTGGAATGTCATTCTAAATGAATATTTTTAAATAGATATCCAAAAATAAGAAAATACAGTGATTTTAGTGTAATAAAACTGATTTCACAATTGTTTCAAGAAACTCGGAAAATAAAACTTCAAACTGGAAAAATGTGGCCATAAGAATGCATGGAGCCGGACGCGGTGGCTCATGCCTGTAATCCCAGCACTTTGGGAGGCCGAGGCGGACAGATCACGAGGTCAGGAGATCGAGACCATCTTGGCTAACACGAGGAAACCGCGTCTCTACTAAAAAATACAAAAAATTAGCTGGGCGTGGTGGTGGGCGCCTGTAGTCCCAGCTACTCGGGAGGCTGAGGCAGGAGAATGGCGTGAACCTGGGAGGCGGAGCTTGCAGTGAGCCGAGATTGAGCCACCGCACTCCAGCCTGGGCAAAAGAGGAAGACTCCGTCTCAAAAAAAACAAAAACAAAAACACAAAAAGAATGCATGGAGTTAGTTCATTCTTCTCGCCCCCTGGAACTTCTGATCAAAAGTCAATACCTTTGTGACCTACAAGTCTCTTTATTTGCCCTCCATTATAGACTGAGCTGTTAATAACATTTAATGAGCTCACATGGATTCACTGGCTAATAAAGAAGAATAGAGTTGAGGACATTGCTGCCCTGTTTATGCCCAAAAATTACCCTAAACTGAAAGTTGCTTTGTGTTCCTTCACTCCCCTCTGCTGGTAAATTTTAATATAGTTCTTAATTTTTTTAAGTCAAATTGATAGAAACATCAATTGTGTTTTTAAAACTGTAAGAAAAAATAATGTTGAACATCACAAAAATGTACTCAATCTTTCCCAAAACCCATTTCTTTCCAGTTAGTTTTCATAACTGTAGGTTCTTAAAAAAAAAAAAATGAACACTTTGGCCGGGTGCGATGGCTCATGCCTGTAATCCCAGCACTTTGGGAGGCCGAGGCGGGTGGATCACGAGGTCAGGAGATCGAGACCATCCTGGCTAACATGGTGAAACCCCGTCTCTACTAAGCCAAAATACAAAAAATCAGCCAGGCGTGGTGGCGGGCGCCTGTAGTCCCAGCTACTCGGGAGGTTGAGGCAGGAGAATGTTGTGAACCCGGGAGGCGGAGCTTGCAGTGAGCCAAGATCACGCCACTGCACTCCAGCGTGGGTGACAGAGCAAGACTCCGTCTCAAAAAAAAAAAAAAAAAAATGAACATGTCATCCATACTTCTAAGGTGTTGTAAAGATGTGTAAAGTTTTCACTTTTTGCATCATATTCACATGTGGCTATATGCCCTTTTCTCTTCAAAGTTTTCTTTATCTTGATTACTTATCAGAGGCTTGACTGTTTTATTATCTCACTCTTTTGAAAGAATCCTCCTTTAGTTTTATTTTTTAAATCTAGTGGTTTTTCTTTTTCCTTTTTCCTTATGTCTTAATTATTTCCCCCTTTTTGTTTGTTTTGCTTTTCCCAGTTTAGTGGATCAATGTAATTTAAATTGCTTTTTAAACAAACATATAAGGGTATACATTTTCGTTGGGTGCTGTTTGACTTTGTTGCACAAGCTTTAAAATCTATTTTTTAATAGTTTGTATTTTCTAAATTATTTTATTACAACTTTTGTTCACATTGCTCTTACTATTAATTTTTTATTTTTATTAATTAATTAATTTATTTATTTATTTATTGAGATGGAGTCTTGCTCTGTAGCCAGGCTGGAGTGCAGCGGCATGATCTTGGCTCACTGCAAGCTCCACCTCGGGGTTTCATGTCATTCTCCTGCCTCAGCCTCCCAAGTAGCTGAGACTACAGTTGCCTGCCACCCCATCCGGCCTTTTTTGTATTTTTAGTAGAGATGGGATTTCACCGTGTTAGCCAGGATGGTCTCGATCTCCTGACCTCATGATCCACCCACCTGGGGCTCTCAAAGTCCTGGAATTACAGGCATGAGCCACTGCACCCTGCCCAAAAAGCTTTGTGTTTTTACAGATATTAGACATGTTTCTTGTTTAAGAAAAAAAATCTTAACGAAAACGCAGGAGAATAAGAGAAACATTTTTCCAAAAAAGAGAAATCATTGTGATTATTTTATCTTATTAGAATGTTGGATAATATAGTCTGCTTCATTAATCATCAAGCATGCTATGCATTTTCCATTTTTATAGGATCTGTATCTCAGTTAAGGTAATACTGGTAATTTTTGTACTGTAATCAAAGATGAAAAATATAGGCCAAAATCATAGACCTTGCATAGAAGCTGGATAATGAAGACAGCTAAGGAGAAAAACATAGATACACACACACAGACACACATATATATAAAGTATACACACATATATTTTTTAAAGTTTTAAAGCTTTTAAAGCAAAAGCCGGCCCCTCTTCTCTTCCAGAGTGGGAGGCCTCTCCCCTCTCTTAGAGTGGGTGGCGAGAGCGGTTGCCATGGGCAGCTTTCCTTGTGAGCCACAGGGCCCTCTGGACACACTGCTTTCTGGCCACGCCCCCTTTCCTTTTCATCTTTCTCATTGACCAATGGGCTTGGAGCATTAAGGCCACGCCCCTATTCCGCATTCTACTGGGGCCCTGGTTACGCCTCCTCTGGCTCAGTCACACAGCTGCCTGGTAGGTGACTGGAGGCCTTGATTGGTTCTCATTGAGATTTTGCTGCTGTGACCCCAACCCTGCCTCCCTCCCCACCCTGCGATGGCAGAAGAAACTCAACACAACAAATTGGCTGCAGCCAAGAAAAAGGTAAAAACGCACTAGGTCATAGCCCCTCAACCCAGCCACAGATCCCCTCTGATGACAAGACCCCTGCCAGAGTCTATACGACTCCTGAGGCACACTGGACTGGTCCCCCCTACCCCGGTGCCTCTGGGCTACCCCCATCAAAGTTTTGTCAGTCAGCCCCACCCCTTCAGCAAGCAGCCCAGTCCTTGCCCTCGCCAATCACCCCAGGGTGACTTTGGGTGGGTGACTCCTGGGGCTTCCCGCTCCATTACTGGGCCCTCATCTCCTGCCGCCCCAAGCTTGATCTCCCTGGGCTCTTTGGGCTCTCATCTCCAAGGAGCCAGGCCCCACCCTCGCCAGTCATCCCTGGGTGACTTTGGACTGGTGACTCCTGGGACTCCCTGCTGCAGACTGTGCCCTCCCCTCCTGCTGCCTCAAGGTCGACCTCCCTGGGTTCTTTGTGCTGGCGTCTCCAAGGAGCTGGGTCCCAACCCTGTGCTTCCCTCCCCCATCGTGGAGCAGCGACTTGGACATGGTGCTGACATGGTCCCTCCCCCCGACCAGGAGGAGTGGAATGTTGTGATGTCACAGTCCACCTAGTAACTGCTGTTACTGCAAGACTGGCCTTTGATCTTACGACCCAGTCCCCTAAGCGTTCTCACCCCGTTTCTGGTTCCTCTGGTCACAGCACAAATTTCCAGCTGGAAGGGGAATGGAGACTATGGGACCTAGGAGCAAGAGGTTCCAGGCTGCCTCACTCCCTTACAGATGTTGACGGTGGGAAAAGCCTACACTTCCCCCATGAACTCAAAACGTTGACAGTATCTCTGGGTGGCAATGAGAGAATGGGTTTGATTTGGTTTTCTCCCAGGCTTCTACTTTCCAGAGAGATTTTAACATTTTTTTCTGAGTTCTCCACCTCATATTCTAATTCTCCATGGTTCTGGGACCAGACTCTCCTTCAGTCAGTGGTCTCTGAAGTGACATTTGCTCATCTTCTGTGGAATAGATCTTGGGAAACTGAACTTGACACCTTGAATCTTCCTCATATTATCTCAACCTTGGGTACTTTGAGTGCCACAGGATAAATGTGGGACATCTTTCTGAAGCATCAGTTTCCCTTGATTCTCTTGAGATCAAGAGAAAAAACATGAATGTACTTAGGGATGACAGTCACATAGGTTTCTAAGAGTATACCAGCCCTCTCTCTGAAATGAGGCTTGGGTTGTCCTCTTTCTGATAAATTCTGATTTAAGAGAAAGGCTGCCTTCTGCCATGAGGACACATTGATATAAGAGTTTGAGAGGTACTGGTGCACTTCTTCACACTAACAGACGTGTGAGGATGTATGACTCTAAACCACATGGCATACAGTTCCTGCCTACTTAATGTTTACTTTTCTACCTCTGCCTCTGGTTTTGGTCCCTGGCAGCTGCTGATTCTTGGCAAAACCTCAGAGCTTGGAGTCAGAAGACTGAGTTTCAAAGTTCCAGTATTGCCTTTTTCTTTTTTTTTTCTAGCCATGATATCAATCCTTCTCAGTCACTAAATGAGTGTGACAACACCTTGTACGGTTGTTGGTGTCATTAAATCAGATGGTGTGTAAGTGTATTTTGTAAAAACTGTAAAGGAGGATGTGGCTGCAGGGGCTGACGGTTCTCATGAGTATTACTGCTCTTCTTTCCAACAGTTAAAAGAATATTGGCAGAAAAACAGCCCTAGAGTTCCAGCAGGAGCGAACAGGAACAGGAAAACAAATGGCAGTGTCCCTGAGAAAGCCACTTCTGGTGGTTGCCAGCCACCTGGGGATGTGAGTCTTGGCTGACCAGGCTTCTGGGGACAGGGGGCCCAAGGGGCAATAGAGGGTAATTCTTAAGATTGTGGATGGACTGCTGGGTACTGGTTAAGAATTCTGGCTTTAGCCGGGTGTGGTGGCCTACGCCTGTAATCCTAGCACTTTGGGAGGCCAAGGCAGGTGGATCATGAGGTCAGGCGATCGAGACCATCCTGGTTAACACGGTGAAACCCTGTCTCTACTAAAAATACAAAAACATTAGCCAAGCGTGGTGGCGTGTGCCTGTAGTCCCAGCTACTCAGAAGGCTGAGGCAAGAGAATGGTGTGAACCTGGGAGGTGGAGCTTGCCGTAGCCAAGATTATGCCACTGCACTCCAGCCTGGTGACAGAGCAAGACTCTGTCTCAAAGAAAAAAAAAAAAGGAATTCTGGGTTTGAATCCTGCCTCTCCATCTGCTCTGCTAGGGATATGATTTAGGGAAAGTTGCTAGACCTCATCGGGCCTCTCTTTTCACATCTGTATAATAGAGGTGATATTGTTTCACTTCCATTTGTGAAATTTTCATGAGATTTGTTATTGTTGTTTTTATGTTAATCCCTAGTACATGGCCTGCTGTAAACACTCAGGACACCCAGGATATGGTTTGATTTTCCTGATCCCCAGTCTCAAGGGGAAACCAGGACAATGAGAACAGCCACTTGCCATCAGGAGTCACTGAAGGGGCCCCAGGATGGGATGGTGGGGAGATAAGAACCATGAGAGAAGTTGGCACAAAGGAGTTATGGGACAAAAGGTCCAAGATAGGCAGAAAAGAAAATGTTGCCAGTTGATGGGGAAGAAAGGAAGTCAGAGGGCTCAGACACTGTGGGGGACAGAACATCTCCATGTGCACTCTCATCTCTTGTAGTCAGCAACAGGTTTCCACAGGGAAGGCCCTACATCATCTGCTACCCTGAAAGATCTGGAGGTAAGAGGCTCTGGGCAGAGGTGCAGTGACCCTTCGGGTCAACCCTCCAACCTCCTCCTCCAGGTGGGACTGGGTGCCCCTCTGCCAGCTGAGACAGCCCACACACCCCAGCCCTAATGATTGTTCTCTCTACCTCTCCCCCCACTCCTGCTCCACCTCCTCCTCTCTGCATGCACCTCAGAGCCCGTGCCAAGAACGAGCAGTAGTCCTGGATTCAACGTCCGTAGAAATCAGTCAACTGAAGAACACCATCAAATCTCTGGTAAGAGTCCACTGGGGTCCCCTGATTCCATGCTGCCAATCCTGGGCTCCAGTTTCCCCTTGGGGCCCTGAAGAAAGGGGCTGGGGGTCCCTGGTGCCTGGGACAAATAGGGAGCTTGGGTGCCCAGGCCTCACCTGGAGGGACCCCAGAGCATGCAGCATGGCTCTTCTTTTGCTGCCCTCTTTGCCGACTCTCTCCTCTCCAGACACCCCTGCTCGAGTCCTTGCTACACACGCCCTGGGGTTGTTGCTTCTTGGGGAAGTGCTAGCCTGACTGGTTGTCAAGGGCCCCGTATTTCTGCCATGACTCAGTCCCTAATTTGCTCTTTGATTCTGGACAAGCCACCTCTCCTTTTTGGGCTCGTGTTTCCAGAGGAGGTAGTGAGTATCAAAGGTCTCTGTTAGCTCTCGAGTCTGAGATTTAAAGGCCCCCTAGAACGGAAACCTCAGGGCTAAGGGCTCCTGTCTGTCCTTTTCCATCCTATATCTGCTGTAAAGAACCGTACCTGGTCCATACATGCTCAGTAAATGTTTATTGAATGAACCCACTTCTCTAAATCACAAGTTGCCAGAAGGAGGGGCCTTTCTGAAACTCCATCTCTAGAGGTTTATATTGCTGTCCTCTCAAGAGATTCCAGATTCAGACTTTGAGTTCTGTGGCTGTGGGCAAAAGCCAACAAAGACCCAAATCCTCTGTCCTTGGGAGCTTGAGGAGAGTTTACCGGTTCGTGTTCCCATTATGTCTGAGAACTTTGCCTTTAAAATCCATTCCTGGCCCCTGCCTACCACTTCCTGGTCTGGGGAATAGAGTTGAGGGGGCCACCCTCCATCACCTTATTTGACTCTCCCCACAGAAACAACAGAAGAAACAAGTGGAACATCAGCTGGAAGAAGTAACGTGATTTCGTTTCCTCGCAACATGACTGCTGGGTTTGGGGGGCACTCAGACATACAGGCCCCAGTCTCGTCTCACCCACTCCCAGCCTGGGGATGAAGGCTCACCCTTCAGATTCCACCCCATCCCCACAGGGCCCCTGATAACCTGGTCCCATGGGTGGGCCTGTCCTGGGGCATTGGTGGCATTCTGGGGGCATGTCTCTTGCTGTGCCATCTCTGCCTCCCCCTGGTAAGAGCTCTGTCTTCTTCTTCCTACAGGAAAAGAAAGCAAACAACAAGAAACAGAAAGCCAAAAGGGTGCTAGAGGTGAGTGGAGGGTGTGCAGTTTCCTCCTGTCCTCCGGAGAAGGTTTGTTTCCTTCTCTTTCAGCACTTGCTTGGCTTTTCTCCCAAAGGTTCAAATCCAGACATTGAACATACAGAAAGGGAAACTAAATACGGACCTGTACCACATGAAACGTTCTCTCAGATACTTTGAAGGTGGGAATCTGGGCACCCTGTCATCCTTCAACCTGGCACTTTGACAGGTCTTCAGGGGGAGTCCTTTGGGCCCCATCTCAACTTTCTCATTACAGAAAAGTCCAAGGATCTGGCTGTCCGCCTGCAACATTCATTGCAGCATAAAGGAGAGTTAGAGAGTGTTCTCTCTAATGTCATGGCCACACAGAAGAAGAAGGCAAACCAGGTGAGTCCAACCACCTGCCCCATCCCCTGGGAGCCTGGCTTTGCAGATGGAGGAGTGAGCCTAAAGGTCCCTTCTGCAGGATGGCGTGTCCTGCCCAGAAGGCAGCATGGCCATTTCTTGCTACTTTTTTGTATGGTTTTTAGTGGCAGCCTGGGGCTGAGTCAGCTGCTGTGGGTGAGTTGGGGGGTACTGTGGGGAGTGAGCACTGGACGCAGAGCTTGGAGGCCAAGTGCCTGCCCCGCCCTTACCTGGCTGTGGTCTTGAGCAAGTCCTAGGTGGGGTATTGGGTACTTGTACTGTGAAGGTACAGAAGAGTACCTTTAGTATGTTACCATTTCTGTAGAAAGAGGAAACGTGTGTGCGTGTGTGTGTGTGTGTGTGTGTGTGTGCATACTGTGATAATATACATAAAACATGTCTGCAAGGGTTCATAAAAAATTCAGGAGAGAGCAACAAGATGGCCGGGAGATACTTCCCTTCTGTACCTTCTGAGTTTTGGACTATGCAAATGTATCATCCTTTCAAAAAGTGAACAAAAGATTAATTTTCCCCTTCCTATCTGTGCCCCCATCCCCAGCAAGAAAAACGGGCTTAGAGAATTGGATAGACCTGGGTGTTTATATCCCAGCTCTGCCTAAGTGAACTTAGGCAAGCACTTAACCTCAAATACTCCATGTTTTTTCATCTCCACAATAGAGGGAATCATAGTAACTGTCTCCTATGGTGGTTGCGAGGATTAAATGGGATTGTTAGCACGGTACCTGGTGAAGTATTCCACAAAGGTTCAAACAGTGGTAATAATAACAGTAATAACAATAGCAATATTATCTGATCTCTCTGGGCCTCTGTTAGCCAGCTATAAATTCAATCTCATTCCCTGTCCGTTCCAACTTTACTGTGTTCTTTTAAAAACCAGACCACGGGCTTGGAAATGCCTTGATCTTTACTGACTGAGTTGTATATTGGGCCTAGCCCTAGTCCTTTTAAGGGGCACTGTGTGGAAATGCCCAGGCTCTCCAGATTGAAACTTCTCACTCTTCACCATCCAGTTGTCCAGCCGCAGCAAAGCACGTACGGAGTGGAAGTTAGAGCAGTCCATGCGGGAGGAGGCACTACTGAAAGTGCAGCTGACACAGGTGAGGTTTTCTGAGGGAGTTATGTGGAAGGAAGATGACCCCAGGTGGCCAGGAGCAGGTGAGGACCAGTGACAGCCCTTCCTAAGTTCTGTGCCCATTCTTGCAGTTGAAGGAGTCATTTCAACAAGTCCAATTAGAAAGAGATGAGTGTGCTGAACATCTAAAAGGAGAGAGGGCCCGGTGGCAGCAGAGGATGAGAAAAATGTCGCAGGAGGTGAGATCTCACCCTTCAGCCCCCCCACATTAGATAGGTCACTGGATCTTTCTGGGCATCTGTAAAATGGGAATAGTAGAGCCAGAGGTGGTCATGGGTCTGGGCTTTGTGGAGGTGGGGGCAGAGAGGGAGAGGGCAGCCTGTCCAGCCTCCAGCCCCTCTCTCCAAGGCCCTTTCCCCTTGTGCTTTGGGCAGATTTGCACATTAAAGAAAGAGAAGCAGCAAGATATGCGTCGGGTAGAGAAGCTGGAGAGGAGCTTGTCCAAACTCAAAAACCAGATGGGTAAGATGGGGCTGGCATGACCTGGGAGCAGGACTGGCATCAGAGGGCTGTGAGGGTGGCTTAGAGTGCCCCAGGGAGGTGGGTGGATGGAAGGGCTTTGAGGCAGAGGGAAAGAGATCTGTGCCAGGAGACGGCGAGTCTTGTCATCTCAATGAGTCTCAGTGTCTCAGTGTCCCCATCAGGAAAGAGGGCCCGTTGCCAGCCACCCGCAGTGCTCTTTCTCTGAATGTGCTTTGGAAGACTGGCTACCATCTGGGTGCGAGGAATCATTAGCAGTGAGGCCAAGTTTGAGGAGCCTGAGAGGAGCTGTGCGCCAAGAGGAGGGTTTTTCTTTTCCGAGAATCCAGAGGCCCTTATTATCTGCTTCCTTTCTCAGCTGAACCCTTGCCCCCGGAGCCCCCAGCAGTGCCCTCTGAGGTGGAGCTGCAGCACCTGAGGAAGGAACTAGAGAGAGTGGCAGGAGAGCTCCAGGCCCAGGTCAAAAAGAATCAGCGCATAAGTCTCCTGAACCAGCGACAAGAAGAGAGGATTCAGGAGCAGGAAGAGAGGCTTCGGAAGCAGGAGGAGAGGATTCAGGAGCAGCACAAGAGCCTTCAGCAGCTGGCCAAGCCACAGAGCGTCTTCGAGGAGCCGGTGCGTTGCCCAAACTGGGGAGCTTGCCCTCCTCCCTAGCCCTCCGGGCCTTTGTTTCCCCACCTCTAAAATGGGGCAGTGTAGCCCTCACATGAAATGTTACTTCTAAAGGCACCTGTGAGCCAGGTGGCTGTGGGAGAGAGGGGGTGATTTTTCTAACCTGCCTCCAGCCTTCCCAGTGCCATGGGAGGCAGACACCAAGTTCTGGGGTCTCCAGCTGCAGTGGGTGGCTGCTGATTGCTTCTCTCTGTCCAGAACAATGAGAACAAGAACGCACTGCAGTTGGAGCAGCAAGTAAAGGAGCTACAGGAGAAGCTTGGCGAGGTGAAGGAGACGGAAACCTCCACCCCATCCAAGAAGGGCTGGGAGGCGGGCAGCAGCCTCTTGGGAGGGGAGGTGCCAGGCCAGAGGCAGCTTCCAGCCTGGGGGCTGGTGACCACAGCACCCCGCAGGGCAGTCCTGTGACTGTTTCTTGCTTCCTGCCTCTGACTTTTAAAGGTGGGTAGCCCTGGGCTCCTCTCAGGTCTGGACATCATCATCCCAGCTAGAGGCATGGAGCCCCCAATCACAGGGGAAGAGACAGTGCTATAACAGGCTCCTTATACCAGGTGCAGTGGCTCATGCCTATAATCCCAGCACTTTGGGAGGCTGAGGCAGGAGAATCACTTGAGGTCGGGAGTTTGAGATCAGCCTGGCCAATGTGGTAAAACCTCATCTCTACTAAAATTACAAAAAAAAAAAAAAAATTAGCAGGACATTGTGGCGCATGCCTGTAATTCCACCTACTCGGGAGGCTGAGGCACGAGAATTGCTTCAACCCAGGAGGTGGAGGTTGCAGTGAGCTGAGATTGCACCACTGCACTCCAGCCTGGGCCACAGAGTGACACTCTTGTCTGAAAACAAAACAAAAAGACTCCTTAGATTGAAACTGGATTCCAGCCTCGGTTCCACTGGTCACCATTCAACTACTTTGCATCTCTAAGTCTCTGTTTCTTTAACTTCAAAGGGAAGTTAGCATTTTCCTTACAGAGGTGCTGAGGATTAAATGAGAAGAGGGTATGAGATTTGAGGCTGGGGAAGGAGGCATGGGGTTCTAGGAAAGGGAGGCAGTCACTTAGGCCTGGAGTAAGGGGACAGGGGCCTGGGCAGCTGACAGAGCCCCACAGTGCCCTCGCTACCCTATTAATGGGCCCAGAATCTGGAAACCAGCCACCACATGCCCTCACACCCAGGGTCTTCCTGCAGGTGGAGCTGAAGAGCCAAGAGGCTCAGAGTCTGCAGCAGCAGCCAGACCATTACCTGGGTCACCTGCAGCAGTACGTGGCCACCTATCAGCAGCAGGTGGCCGCCTATCAGCAGCTGACCTGTGAGAAGGAGGCGCTGTACAGGCAGTGACTGCAGCAGACCCAGCTAATGAACCAGCTGCAGCAGCAGGAAGCTTGGGGCAAAGCGGTGGCTGAGATGGCCTGCCAAAAGTTGCAGGAGACCCAGGGGAGGGAGCTGCCGAGGATGGGGCTGTGAGGGGGACGACCTGGCAAACTCCACCCCTTCTCACTCTGTCCTGGCCCCTTAGGAGCACCTGGAAGCTGCCAGCCAGCAGAACCAGCAGCTAACGGCCCAGCTGAGCCTCATGGCTCTCCCTGGGGAAGGTACGGGAGACCGCTCAGAGGAAGAGGAGAGAGCCCCAGGAGGAAGGGGGGACTGCTAGCAGCATAGGATTGAGGAGTTGGAAGAGACCTTTAGAACAGCTGGTCATTATGCCGACCGGGTGCCTGCACTAAGTTCGGCATCAGTGTGGTGACCTCCTGTGAGCGGGGGGTCACCAAGTTGCCTAAGGGTGGCTGAACTGGCCAAGGTCAGAAAGAGAGCAGGTCAGAACTCCCACATCGACCAGTAGTGGGAGTGTGCCTGGGCGGAATAGCAAGATCTTGATTCTTAAAAGTAAAAATAAAGAACAACAGCTCATTCCTCTCTGGGGAGGGGCAGGCTCAGGGTTACACAGTGAGGGTGGAGGTAGAGGTGGGCCCACAGTACCTCCCTTGTTGGGTTGTCTGAAGACCCCTCTGGCCACCCCCCACAGGACACGGAGGAGAACATCTGGACAGTGAGGGGGAGGAGGCACCTCGGCCCATGCCGAGTGTCCCAGAGGACCCGGAGAGCAGGGAGGCCATGGTGAGCCTGACTCCCCCCTGCACCCATTTTGCCACCTTTCTCTGTGGTCCCTCCAAGACCCCTTTATGCTCTTCGTTTCCCTGCCTTCTGATTTCTCTGGACCCTCACCCCTTCCGAGAGCCAGTGGTCAGACACCATTTCACCTGTGGCCAACAGGTGCACTCTCTGAGGCCCCAAGGGAAGGGGCTGCGCTCCACCTCTCTGCCCCATTTCTTCTGTGTATGCCCCTAGAAGAATGCTCACATCTTGCCCTCAGGTGGCATTTTTCAAGTCCGCTGGAGCTAGTGCCCAGGAGAAGCAGGCACAGTTACAAGAGCAGGTGAAAGAGCAGAGGGTGTGCTGCCAGCGCCTGGCTCACCCGGTGGCCTCGGCCCAGAAGGAGCCAGAGGCAGCCAGAGGCCCTGGAGCCCCAGGGCCTGGGGGCGAGTCTGTGAGTGGGGAGACCCACTGGGCCCTGCAGGAAGTCACGGAGAAGCTGGCCCATGCCAGGACTCACCTCCACCTTCTCCATGACTTGAAAATGCCACCTGAGGGCAGGTCGCTGCCGAGATGTGACTGCAATATTTTGGCTCCAGAGCAGCTTTATGGACCACCTGGAGGAGAAGGCAGACCTGAGTGAGCTGGTGAAGAAAAAAGAACTCTGCTTCATCCACCACTGGCGAGACAGATGCCATCAGTGAGTGGGAGGCCAGGGCACGGCAGGGGGAGCTACAGGGCCGTCGGAGGGGCCCCAGCGTCTGAGCCCTGTCCTCCCGCAGGAAAACCCATCACCTTTTATCAGAACCAGGGGGCCGTGCCAAAGATGCGGCACTGGGAGGAGGACACCATCAGGCTGGAGCTCAGGGAGGAGATGAAGGTAGGTTGTGCAACATCTCTGTGGGGGTGGGGGTGGGGGTGGGTGTGAGGGTGGGCGCAGGCAGCGGCATGGCAGCTGAGCACCCCTCCCTCCAGGTGAAGCTGCTGGAGCTGCAGCAGATGGTATTGCGGCTTACAGCAACTACAACAATGGGCACAGAAAATTCCTGGCCGCTGCCCACAACTCTGCTGATGAGCCCGGTCCAGGAGCCCCAGCCCCCCAGGAGCTTGGGGCTGCAGACAAGCATGGTGGTGAGTAGAGCCCTCAGGTGGGGTGGGCAGGCAGGAAGAGGGGGCTCCCACTGTGCTCAGATCCCTGCCTCCCTCTCTCCAAAGATCTTTGTGAGGTGAGCCTCACCTCCTCTGCCCAAGGAGAGGCCAGGGAGGATCCTCTCCTTGACAAGCCTACTGCACAGCCGATCGTGCAGGACCACCAGGAGCACCCAGGCTTGGGCAGCAACTGCTGTGTGCCATTGTTGTGCTGGGCTTGGCTGCCAAGAAGAAGGAGATAAACATCACCATCCTCAAAGAGCTGCTCAAGAAATTTTTAAATAAGAAACCAAGTTATGGGGTTAATCTCCTACACAATTCATTTACTTCCTTTGAATGTTAGAGTCACTCATGATTATTTGTTTTTCTAATTTATAGTTTTAAGTTTATTTGTAAAAAGTTAAAAGAGAGTGGGTGTCTGTGGCTCTCACTGATGTTCACTCTGGCATCCTTTAGCATTTTTCTTTTTTAATTTCATAATTGTAGGTCATTAGCGTGCATATCGAGTTTGCCCTTACGTGGTGGGAGTTCAAACACACAAAGACCCACTCTTTGCCCAAAACTGTTCTCTTTGGTTTGGAATAGGCTGCCATGCTTTTTTAATGTTATTGCAGCATGTACATTCACTACAGAATTCAGAGAAAATTTGCCTATGTTCTGCTGTTGTTTGATCTAATCTTAATCACAGTGAGCTCTTCATTAGCTCAATATGTAGTTTGCCCCCAAGTGTGCACTGTTTATTACTTTGTAATATGCCACTATGAGTACTGACATTTAGAGTTGTTTAAAGGCCAAGAACTGGAAACAGCCTTTCCTCCATTTTCTGTGTATTGGTGATGGGAGTGATAACCTTTTGGGGGAGCTTTTTAAATCTCACAGAAGAGGAAAGTGGCCTCCTCTGGCAGGTACGTGCAGGATAGAGTGTGTTTCATCTGTTCCGGTGCCAGGAATTAGCAGTGTATTATGGTGGTTCCCTTAGGATTTGTATGTGCTCTGGGCTCATGAAGATACTGCATCATGAGCTGCAGCAGTTGCACTCTTTTTCGATGACCTAAAAAGGGCTTATTTCTGAGGAATGAAAGGTTCCCATCATTGACTGTGGATGTGGAAATCCTTTCCTAGCTTAGAGCATTTGTATCTACAATACATTTTAAAGTCAGAGTTCATGTTACCTGTTTTAATCACATGACTACATGTCCCAGTACACAAAAGGGCACTGGTTGGCATTCTTCTTAATGTATTTAGTGAAGATCATAAGAAATCCTTTATGAGTTCAAACGTCCCTGGAACAGGCATACAGGCTCTAGTCAAGAATGAATTAGAGTGAAGGAAAGCTGTGTGACACCTGGCATTCCTCTCTGTTCACGGAGATTCTTTGAGGCTTGAAGATTGATTTTACCATCTAGACCTCTTTGGCTAATACCTATTCTTCAACCACCTTGGTTACTCTGACATAGGAATTTACTTCTTTTTCCTTGAATGGAAAACACTTTAAAAAATAATAGAAACATTATTATAAACTAATATATGTGAGATACTTAGTTGAAACAAAAAGGAGTTTTAGTAGACGGTATTGTACTCTCTTTGAAAATCAAGGAGAAGTTTATGAAACTTAAAATGTGTACAAACTGCAGTGCAATCTACTGTTCGTGAATGTCAATGTATTATCAGGAAACGTGTCTATACAATCACAGAGCTATATTTTCTCACAGACTTCTTTACAAAGTGAAATATGTTTTTGTACCTCTGGGTTTCTGTTCGGGACATATTTTGTGCGATATTTATGTGATTGTGCCTATGCATGATGAATGAATGCATTTCAGTTGTATATTGCCTAAATCGTAACTTGATGATGCTTGGGAAAGACTCAACAGTTCAAACTTCATGAAGTTCTAATGTCTGTGTTCCAAAACACATCACATTGTTAGGATGCAGGGAGATAGGTGTGTGTGCTCCCTGCGGTGGGGATTTCTAGTTACTAGATCATCTCCATTTTTAGCATTTGGCATCCTCATGATACTTCTATAAATATGACATTAACAGGAGAGCAACAATACGATTTTACCGATGGAATAACAGATTTGCTGGCATTCACTGAAAGAGTGCAAATATTCGGTCCTTGTGACTTCCACTGACTCTTCCAAATTTTATGAATGTATCAATGTATTAGATAAACCCAGTTTCAGAATGATAAAGAAAAAATCTTAGACCAAATAATGCGGCTAATTAACAGTGGTACGAATTGTAGCCCGTGGGTTTAAAATGCACTTAAAGTCCTGTTCTCGCCTTTTATTTTCTGAACTTGCCGCTTTTGCATTCTTTGAGTTCAGTTTAAAGACAGTTACTTTAAGAGCATTTTAAACCCTCGGGCTAGAAATCGGACCACTGTTAATCAGCCACATTATTTGGTCTAACGTTTTTTCTTTTATCATTCTGAAACTGGGTTTATCTAATACATTGATAAATTATTGCAAAGGTACTTTTATCGTTGAAATCACTTCACTTTTACCCTGATAAATATCAGTAACTAGAATGACCTTCGGATAGTGTTTAGCATCTGTAACCAATCTGACAATAATGTGTTCATGAGGTGCCTATGGATTAAATCACACACTGGCATATTTAAGCTGAAGGTCAGTCTGGAAAATAAATTTACTATATTGACTGAAATACCACTCTTTGTGTAGGTATTTGTCATATATTTAAGAAAAAGCTAAAAAGAATGGAAATTGTATGACAATAACTCAAGTCTTTCTCCAAAGTGCATGCAGTCTTTTGCGATACCTCATTCAGCCGAGTATTTGTGCTCTTCCTCATTCAGTATAAGGCAGCTTTCAGTTTGCTTAGAAGGCAACATTGGAATGTTAGAGTTCATCAGAAACATAGAATTTTAAACTGTGAGTTCCACTGAATACATTTTGATTTCTGTAGGAAGAATCAAAACACCTATTTAAAGATGGCAATATATAATAATCATTTTAAAAGTATTTGATTAAACCTGATAATTTTCCAGAAATGAAAAAAAAAATCAGCTCTAAAACCAAAGCTGATTTTAGAAAATTTGAAAATGTAAATCAGCCCTATCCATAATATAGTTTCTCTAAAACTTTATTTTAAAGAGTCATTTTAAAATAATATAACTATTAAAAAATGTAACTGCTATCTTAATGTTCTGAAATAATTTAAAACATTTTAAAATATGAATACTGTAGTATAAAAGAAAGAAATGGTGGGAACGAAAAGCAGAGAAAGAAATGCCAATTCCAGTCCAAAGTTTTATTTGCCAAGTTTTCTTAGAATGAATTTTACCAGTTTATGAATTATTGTAAACAGAATGTGTCATGGAAATACTGAAAGATTTTTCCCTAGAGTGGCCTTATTGACTGCTGGTGTGATGCCACTGTAATGTAATAAATTATTAAATTGTTTCTAAGTGTTGTTTTTGCCTTAAAATTTTATTTTGCGTTTCTTCAAAACTATAGTTTTAAAGGTATTGATACTGTGCAAATGCTGGGCATGCTTGGCACGAGATAATGTGTTTCATTTTTACAAAGCTGTAATATAACTATGCAAGTGTTTCTTAAAAGAACACAAGATTTAATAAGTTATGGGATTAAAAAAAGTTATGGGGTGAAAACGTTATGGGATAAAAAATGTAAAAACGTTGTGGCAAAAAAACTTCTGGGAAAAAAGTAGAAAACAGTATTATGAAAAGTTACAAAAAAAGTTATGAAAAAGAAGTTACGGGATTTTTTTTTAAAAAGTCATGGAATAAAAATAAAATGAGAATCATAAGAGAATCATTGAGAATCATAAAAATGCAGATTCTGATTCAGTAGGTCTAGGGTGGGGCCTGAGTTACTTCTTTTTTTTGTTTTAGACAGAGTCTTGCTCTGTGGCCCAGGCTGGAGTGCAGTGGCGTGATCTCCGCTCACGCAAGCTCCGCCTCCCGGGTTCACGCCATTCTCCTGCCTCAGCCTCCCAGGAGTAGCTGGGACTATAGGCGCATGCCGCCACGCCCGGCTAATTTTTTTGTATTTTTTAGTAGAGACAGGGTTTCACTGTGTTAGCCAGGATGGTCTCGATCTCCTGACCTCGTGATCCACCCTCCTCGGCTTCCCAAAGTGCGGGGATTACAGGCGTGAGCCACTGCGCCCGGCCCTGAGTTACTTCCTTTCATGCACCACATAGCAATGTTTCGGTCAACAGTGGACTACATATATATCTATCACTGTCTTCCACCTCCACATTCTGTCCTACTGGAAGGTCTTCAGGTGCAATAACACACAAGGAGCTATCATCTCCTATGATAACAAGGCTTTTTTCTGGAATAGCTCCCCACAGACCACCACAAATATGTGATGTGAGTAATGCACTGTGCTACAGTGATGCTATACGTCAACAACATCACTAGGCAATAGGAACATTCCAACTCCATTATAATCTTTTTTTTTTTTTTTTTTTTTTTTTTTTTTTATTGAAACAGACTCTTGCTCTGTCGCCCAGGTTGGAGTGCAGTGGCACGATCTGGGCTCACTGCAAGCTCCGCCTCCCGGGTTCACGCCATTCTCCTGCCTCAGCTTCCCGAGTAGTTGGGACTACACGCGCCCACCACCACACCTGGCTAATTTTTTTCTATTTTTTAGTAGAGACGGGGTTTCACCGTGTTAGCCAGGATGGTCTCAATCTCCTGACTTCGTGAGCTGCCTGCCTTGGCCTCCCAAAGTGCTGGCATTACAGGCATGAGCCACTGCGCCAGGCCCCAACTCCATTATAATCTTATGGGACCAGTGGATATAGATGATCCTGACCCTGCCTAGGCCTAGGCTAATGTGTGAGTTTGTATCTTCATTTTGGTTTTGTTTGGTTTTGAGACAGGGTCTCGCTCTATCGCCCAGGCTGGAGTGCAGTGGTGCGATCTCAGCTCATTGCAACCTCTGCTCCCCAGGTTCAAGCAATCCTTCCACCTCAGCCTCCCAAGTAGCTGAGACTATAGATGTGTGCCACTATGCCTGGCTATTTTTCATATTTTTTTGTAAAGGCGGGGTTTCGTCATGTTGTCCAGGCTGGTCTCAAACACCTGGACTCCAGCAATCCACCTGCCTCGGCCTCCCAATGTGCTGGGATTATAGGTGTGAGCCACCACGCCCAGCCATGTCTTGGTTTTTAACAAAAAAGTTTAAAATTAAAAAAAAATAGAAAAAAATCTTACCGAATATGGATAGAAAGAAAATATTTTTGTACAGCTGTACAATGTGTTTGTGTTTTGAGCTATTACTACAAAAGAGTCAAAAGTTAAGAAAATTTAAAAGCTGATGAAATTAAAAAGTTATAGTAAGCTAACCTTAATTTATTACTGAAGGAAAAAATTTTAATAAACTTAATGTAGCCTAAGTATATGCTGTTTATAAAGTCTATAACAATGTACAGTAAGGTCCTAGGCCTTCACATTCACTCACCACTCACTGACTCACCCAGAGCAACTTCCAGTCCTGCAAGCTCCACTCATAAGTACCCTACGCAGGTAAAATTTTAAATCTGTGGCCGGTCGCAGCGGCTCACACCTGTAATTCCAGCACTTTGGGAGGCCGAGGTGGGTGGATCACAAGGTCAAGAGATCAAGACCACCCTGGCCAACATGGCGAAACGCCATCTCTACTAAAAATACAAAAATTAGCTGGGCGTGGTGGTGCACGCCTATAGTCCTAGCTACTCGGGAGGCTGAGGTCGGAGAATCGCTTGAACCCGGGAGACAGAGGTTGCAGTGAGCTGAGATTGTGCCACTGCACTCCAGCCTGGTGACAGTGCAAGACTCCATCTCAAAAAAGAAAAAAAAAAAAAAGAAAAAAATTTAAATGTTATATCACAAATTTTAAATCTGTTAAGATATATAAAATACTTGGTATTGTGTTACAATTGCCTACAGTATTCAGTACAGTAATCTGCTGTACAGGTTTGTGGCCTAGGAGCAATAGATTATATCACATAACTAGGTGTGTGTGTAGTCAGCTACACCATCTAGGTTGATGTAAGTACACTCTATGATGTTTGCAGAATGACAAAATTGCCTAACAATGCATTTCTCAGAAGGTATCTCTGTCATTAAGAGACACATGGCTATAGTTTCCAGGCGATACCTATGCCGTATTTGAATAGCAAGGCTCTAGTTTAGAGCACTGTTTAGGGAAATCCATTGGCCCTGTATCTTAAGTTGGGTTGCCTGAAAAACAGGTACTGAGATGGAGATTTCCCCACAGGAGGCTTACTTGGGAAGGCTCTTGGAACAACACAAGTAAAGGAGTAAAAGAAACAGGATTGGGCAGCCTGTGAAACAGTTGCCACCATCTCAGCTGCTCCTTCAGGAAGCTCTAGAGCTGGGAAGTCCTTCCGTTGTCTTGAGATATGGGGGCCAGGCCTATGAAACCCCATATTAACCAGGCACGGAACGTAGACTGCCCAGGGGAAGGCATCACTTGGGGTGAGGCAGGTCCTTTTCATGGAGCAGCTCTCAGAGGGGGACTTTGTTGTGAGCCATGAGGAACCAACACTTCTGCAAGTGGGGCGAGTGAGCACCTCAGCCTGGAGGGGGATCTAGGTGAAGCACCACAGTGTCTACTATTCTGGTGATAGCCCAGTGACCTCAGGAAATCACTGTACTATTTTCCATCTTAGTCCACATTTAGGACAGAATATGATAGACATTTCTGTTTTATTAATAAATGGAACAATGTGGCCGGGCGCGGTGGCTCACGCCTGTAATCCCAACACTTTGGGAGGCTGAGGCGGGCGGATCACGAGGTCAGGAGATCAAGACCATCCTGGCTAACACGGTGAAACCCCGTCTCTACTAAAAATACAAAAATTAGCCGGGCGTGGCGGCATGCGCCTATAGTCCCAGCTACTCGGGAGGCTGAGGCAGGAGAATGGTGTGAACCCGGGAGGCAGAGCTTGCAGTGAGCCGAGATCACACCACTGCACTCCAGCCTGGGGGACAGAGCGAGACTCCGTCTCAAATAAATAAATAAATAAATGGAACAATGTGTCTGTGGAATGTGCCAGGCCCTAGAGGCAGTGATTCTAGGAACAATCATTTTGGTTTTACAGAAAAAAACTCGGACCTAATTTGAAAGTTGCACAAATCATCTTATTTCAAGCAGGGATGCAGGTAAAAGGTTCAGGAAGGCCCTTTGGCAGACACTTTATGGACTGATTTCACAGAAATGAGGGTTAGGTGATCTAACATCTAAGGAAAAGGATGTGTGCCATCTAGTGGCACTAAAAGCAAAGCCTAATGCTTAACGAAAGATTTCCCTTTTCATCGTCAGGGAACTCAGTGAGGTTTTCAGTAGTGTTTTCCTACTTTTAGAAGTAGGTGTGGGAGTTCACTAAATGAAATAAAATTACAATATCTACAGCTGGATAGCTGTGTGGGGTAACACATAAAATTGGATCCATTCTTTCTACACTGGATAAATTCCAAATTTAAGGACCGGGCGCGGTGCCTCACGCCTGTAATTCCAGCACTTTGGGAGGCAGAGGCAGGCAGATCACCTAAGGTCAGGAGTTCAAGACCAGCCTGGCCAATATGGTGAAACCTCGTCTCTACTAAAAACACAAAAATTAGCCAGGTGTGGTGGCATGCACCTGTAGTCTCAGCTACTCAGGAGGCTGAGACAGGAGAATCATCTGAACCCGGGAGGTGAAGGTTGCAGTGAGCAGAGGTCGCATCACTGCACTCCAGCCTCAGAGATCTAACATTAACAAATGAAAACATAGCAGTACTAGAAAATTAAGTACTAGAATTCACAAGAGTGAATACCTTTATAACTCAGAAGTGGGGAAAATACTCCTATCTATAATCAGAATCCAGAAGCATTAAGGGAAGAGATTAACTATAATTTAAACAAACAAAAAAGCAAGGCAAAAAGTCTAAAAAATATATGCAGCTTATATCATGAGGGACTAATATATAAAAAGCTTCTAAAATATTTTTAAAGACCATCCTGAAAGTAAAAGATGGACAATTTAAATAAAAAGAAGTACAAATAGCCCTTAAACAGGTGAAAAGATTGATTTATTGCACTTTGTTTTCCATTTTAGGAGTTGCTTTTACATTTTATTTTATTTTATTTATTATTATTTTGTTTAGATGGAGTCTCACTGTGTCACCCAGGCTGAAGTGCAGTGGCCGGATCTTGGCTCACTGCAACCTCCGCCTCCCAGGTTCAAGCGATTCTCCTGTCTCAGCCTCCCAAGTAGCTGGGATTACAGGCATGCATCACCACGCATGGCTAATCTTTGTATTTTTAGTAGAGACGGGGTTTCACCACGTTGGCCAGGCTGGTCTCGAACTCCTGACCTCAGGTGATCCGCTCACCTCGGCCTCCCAATGTGCTGGGATTACAGGCGTGAGCCACCACCTTATTTTGGCCTTATTTTGTATTTTAAACATGTTACACATTTACAGGGTTCCAAGTTTATATATAAAACAAGATATATTCAGAGAGGTCTAGCTTCCATTCCTATTTTCTACTTCACCTGTTCTTGATCTTCTCCTATTGTTTACCATTTTTATTAGATTTTGGTTTACCTTTCTATTGTTTATTTTTGAAAATATAAGTAAGTATCCATTTGTATATGTATCTCTACCACCCCGTATACCAAAGGCAGCATACTATATACACTCTTTTATGCATTGCTTTTTCACTTCACTTCACATCATAGTCATATATCTTCCACATTCCTTAACAGCTTCATAATACTTTGTCGTATGCATGCATCATTTGAAAAAATGTTCCACTTCATTGACAAAAAGATAAATACAAAACTATACTGAAGGCTGGGCGCAGTCGCTCATGCCTGTAAACTCAGCACTTTGCGAGGCCGAGGTGAGTGGATAGGTTGAGGTCAGGAGTTCGAGACCAGCCTGGCCAACATGGCGAAACCCTGTCTCTACTAAAATTACAAAAATTAGCCAGGCGTGGTGGTGATTGCCTGTGGTCCCAGCTACTCAGGAGGTTGAGGCAGGAGAATCACTTGAACCTGGGAGGCAGAAGTTGCAGTGAGCCAAGATAGAGCCACTGAACTCCAGCCTGGGCAACAGAGTGAGACTCCGTCTCAAAAAAAAAAAAAACTACACTTTGATAACATTTCCCACATATCGATTTAGCAAACATCTAGGAGTTTGACAATTCATTCTATTGGAGAGGCTGCAGAGAAACAGGAAATGCTGCTGGTGTGAATACAAAACTGCACAACCCCTATGAAGGGGAATTTGGCAGAATTAAACAAAATAACATGTTCTTTTACCCTTTGACCTAACAATCCCATTTATAGAAATCTATGCTAAAGACCCACTGGCAAAAGCATATTATATATGCACAAGGAAACTTTTGTATAGCAAAAGACTGGGAATAGTCCACATATCCACTAGTAAGGGCCTGGCTAAATAAACTACAGTACATCCATATATAACCAAAAAGAATAATTATGCCCAGTTCATTTAAAACACAGTATCTTGATTTTACATCCTTAGTTGGATACAATTTTAGAAAAAAGGAAGTACATGCAAAGTTAAACTTCATTTATCTGTTAGCAATATCTCTATTGTTATTCTGTTTTTATTCTTTATCCTGTTATTGCTATTGTTGTTTTTACATACCTGTGAATATAGGTAGATGAAGCAAATAACCATTATGTTACTATTAATATTTATTAATAGTAACATTAATAATAATTAAGGCAATGAAAAGAACCAATATTTTCATTGCCTCCTTGTGTGTAGGAAAAAAGAACCAATATTTTCATCTTAAGAGAAAGGAAGGGCCGGATGTGGTGGCTCACACCTGTAATCCCAGCACTTTGGGAGGCCGAGGCGGGTGGATCACGAGGTCAGGAGTTCAGGACCAGCCTGGCCAAAATGGTGAAACACCGTCTCTACTAAACATACAAAAATTAGCCGGGCCTGCTGGCAGACGCCTGTAATCCCAGCTGCTTGGGAGGCTGAGGCAGAGAATTGCTTGAACGTGGGAGGTGGAGTTTGCAGTGAGCCGAAATTGTGCAACTGCACTCCAGCCTGGGCGACAGAGCGAGACTCCGTCACAAAAAAAAAAAAAAAAAAAAAAAAAAAAAAAGAGAAAGGAGACGAAAAACAAAAAGAGCTCAGCTTTAAAAAAGGATTATGACGTAGAAAAAGACACAACACTGAAGATTGTCATGGGTCTTTAAGAAAAGGAAATTTGAGACGGCTAAAACGCAGAACAGTGTGGAGTTTGGGGAAGAGATGTGGCTAAAGACAGCGTAAGCAATTTTTTAAAGTTATGTCTGAAGCAAGAAGAAAAGACAAGGAATAGGTTCAGTTTCATCTCTGATACACTGTTTCTTGTTAAAATTGATGTTTTTTTCTGCAGGCATTTGCTTCCTGAATGATGGTCCCACTCAGCCATCCACCTATACTTTCTACAAAGTCAATTTATACTGATTCTTCAGATCAGTTAATCACTGGTACGTTTCCCCTCCCCGGTCAAGGATCTTTTATTATACGCTATCATAGAATCATATTCCTTTCCTTAGCGCACTTCTCTCAACTGATAAGTGCCGCCATTAATGTACTTACTTGATAAATATATGCCTGCCTTTCCTCTTCCAGGGCCGAAACTGTGCCTGGTTTTGCTCATCATTCTACAGTATATAGCACGAGTTCAATAAACAGTTGTTAAAGCAACATATTTAACTTACATTTTGTTCCCATCTCTTCACTCAGAGACTTTTCTTTGGATTGGGAAGGGTAAAATATCCGAAGATTTGAACTCCAAAAGAAACAAAATGATTCTATGCAAACGTTTCCTACTTAAAACTCATTCATTGGGCAAATATTCACTTAGTCCCTGGCACTATTTGGTAATAGGAATACAGGAGTGCATATGGCAGATAAAGTTCTGTTGCTGCCCTTACCAAGTTTCGTGGGGGTGAGATGTGGTGTTAGTAAATGCATACTATTTTGTCTGTATTTAAATCGAGTCCAAATCTCTCGCTCTACAGCCCGCCTTGGGATGTTTCTTATATCCCAAGAAACAGAATATTTTGATGGGATCGCTGATGTTTCAGACTGCAAAAGCAGCTCAGGGCGTTTGCAGTCGTGCAAGTCAACAAGATAACCGTCTGGACCGGAAGCTGGGCTCCTCCCGGTCTCCTAACTCCAAATCCAACACCAAGCTTCTGCAGCTGCCACCTCCCGTAGACTTCGCATTTCTTCCGCACTCTCCTCTCACGACGGGTCTTCTTTGTTGTACTTAATTTCCTACGCAATAAGATTTCAGCATCACCATCAGTCCCCCAAAGACTAATTCCCACAGAGCCGAAGTTCCCACCAAGGGCCGAGGGTTAAGGTTACTAAAATCAGCGTTTCTGAATCCTGTCTCAAGTTGTCTCAACTGGGCTTCCGTAGAACGGTTTCTTCGTAAGAGGGCCTTCAGCGACAGCCGAGCTCGGAAAAGAACGGGAATAAGTTGTCTCTTACATTTCCTCAAATACTGTGAATGGTCTGAGGCGCAGGTCAGGTGTATTTAAAAACCTTTAAACAGTATTCCCCCGCCCCAAAAACTGGCCTTGAAGGAACAAGTGAAACTCATCCTGCTTTTCATGTTTGCTGGGTTTGCCCGTTACACCCCTTCGCCCGCACCTATCTAGACAGGCAGCTCTCGGCCACCCTCCGGGGTCCTGATTTTGAAAAGAGGAGTGGACCAATCAGATGTGGAGCGCTGTTTGGCGCTGCCATTTGAGCCTGGGCTGAAACTGCGGGTGTGACCCCCCCGTGGTGGCTCCGGGTGTCTGCAGTGGAGCTGGGGGCGGAAGCATGAGGCTAACGGCTTGGCTTCAGTGAACGCACCGGGATGTGCAGGCCGGGAGGTAGAGGCAGGCTGATGGGGGAGGGAACGAGCAGCCTGTGAGACGGGGTGACGGCGGCTACCAGCCCGGGCGGGCACCGGGACTGGAAGAGTTGCCTGAGCAGCCGGCTGGTCCGGCGGCCAGGCTAGGGCGGGGGCGAGCGCCCAGTTGAGCCTGCTGGGGCTGGAGGAGCGAGAAGGGTTCTCTTCACATTTCAGAGCGAACCAGACGGACAGTAAGGTTTGGAGGAAGGGGGATCGTTGGAAGTAGCAGGAAGTGGAGAGAATCTGGCAATAGGCGAGAAACCGAAAGAATCAGAAAGAAGTCTATGTGAGTAGCTGAAAGCATTGGGTGACCAGAAAGAAGGTCGCTGTAAGTGAAGGAAGAGTGAGGTGTGGCTGGATCAAAGGGCTAAGAGAAGCGGGTCTGTGTAAGTGGATGTGAGTGAGGATCAAGGAAAAGCCGTGGAAGTGGCCGGGGGTCGGGGCCGCAGAAGTGCCAGACGGGGCCGGAAAGCAGCCGAGCGGAGTTCAAATTTGAGAGCGTTTGGAAATTGGAAGACTTGGTGGCGAACGAGGGTCAGGACCTGCATCCTGCCTCAGAGTTATCGACGTATCCGGAATGTGGGATCAGAGGCTGGTGAAGTTGGCCCTGTTGCAGCATCTGCGGGCCTTCTATGGTATTAAGGTGAAGGGTGTCCGTGGGCAGTGCGATCGCAGGAGACATGAAACAGCAGCCACGGAAATAGGGGTAAGTTCTGTGAAAAGGGATTTAGGTTTAAAAGAAAGGGCACACCCTTTATCATCACTTATTAGCAGATCGTGCTAAAATGTTCACTCTGTGTATCAAAAAGAATGGTTAGGTGTGTAATTCAGTTCAGATGATCGATTGCTGATATTTAAAAAGTGACATTCTTGTTTTTTTTTTCCCCAAGGATTTTTGATCATTGAGAGAAAGTTGCAGGATTTTCCAACTTCAGCACTATTGACATTTTGGATTAGATAATTTTTGTTAGGGGAAGACGAAATGCTGTTCTGTGAATTGTGGGATGTTTAGCGGGATGTCTGTCTTTTACCCACTAGATGCTGGTAGCATCTCTCAGTTGTGACGATTAAAAATGTCTCCGGATATTGCCAGCTTACTGTATTTGGAACAGGTAGTACGTTGGGAGGGACAAAAACTCTACCCCTCCACCCTTGTTTTAGAGTAAGGTTGTAGAGGGACAAGGGAGACCAGTGCATTTTCTACATGAATCTGTAGATGAAGTATGACAGAACATTAGAAATAGGCTTCAAATGATGACTGCATATTCACTAATTTGGGAAACAGATTTGCTGCTTGGCCATATCATACTTTTGGGACAGCAATTTTTTTTTTTGTATGAGTAAATTGAGAAGCCAGAGTGGAATAATTGAGAAGTTGTTGATGTTTTGGTGGTTGAAATAAAGGGATTTTGAATGAGATTTTAATAGCTCTGCCACATAATCAGGAATTGCATTGTGAAAAATAAGCTGAATGTAAAGCATTTTATTTTAAATTTATGTGCCTAATTTATATGGTACTTCCTAGTACTTGGAGACAAGCTAATAAAGTTAATATACGTTGCTTTTAATAGTTTATGGTTTCTAAAAAAAAGTGCTTGGAGAAGAAAACCACTAACAAAAGTAATATGTGTGTCTCTTAATCGCTGATAAACTTTGGAGAAGTTATTTTTGTTGGTAGCAAATTAATGGCAATACATGTACTTACATTTAAAAAGCTACAGTGATTTTTTTCTGATTGTAAAACTGGCTTTCCAAGATCTCAAATGTAGCTGATTTTGTAAGTATATGGAAGAGTTTGTATATGGACTTTTTTTCACCCCTTTTCTTTTCTTTTCCTTTTTTTTTTTTTTGTTTTTGAGATGGAGTCTCCCTCTGTCGCCCAGGCTGGAGTGCAGTGGCGCGATCTTGGCTCACTGCAAGCTCCGCCTCCCGGGTTCACGCCATTCTCCTGCCTCAGCTTCCCGAGTAGCTGGAACTACAGGCGTCCGCCACCACACCTGGCTAATTTTTTGTATTTTTTAGTAGAGACGGGGTTTCACTGTGTTAGCCAGGATGGTCTCGATCTCCTGCCCTCGTGATCCGCCCGCCTCGGCCTCCCAAAGTGGTGGGATTGCAGGCGTGAGCCACTGCACCTGTCCTTTTCACCCCTTAACAAGAAAAACTGTTGCCTGTTTTCAGAGTCGGATAGACCTGAGTTTGAGTGCTGTTCCACCCCTACTACATCTGTAAACTTGGGCTGCTTGTTTGATTTCCCTAAGCTTCAGTTTTATATCTATAAAGTGGGAACGTATTTCTCCTTGGATTATTTAGGGATTTTTAAAAAGTGAAGCTCTTTATGTAGGCCTAGCACAGTGCGTGTCACATGCCACTTCATCTAATGATAGTTGTCATATCATTGGTCTGCCTCCTAATTGGTAATCACGCCATATAAATTCAGCTAGAAACACTTATAAGAATATTCTAATGAAGAAATATAGAAGATCATTGTGTTATGAGATCTAATGGGATAGTTTGTTTGAAAACAATTTCTTTAGCCGACTGGTGTTTGTTAGCTAACTGTAGTTTTAAGTTTTAAAAACATTTTATGAGATTAAATTTTAGTGGTTACTTGTGAAGCCAGTTATTCTAAATAATAAGACTTAAGGAAAAAAACACGCTGAATTCTAGTTATATATAACAGAAGTAGACTTACCAGCCTAAGTATCTGGTTTATTTTTACATTTGGTTTGGCTGCACAGTATCAAGAAAATTCTGATTTACCCAATAAAGGGGTTGCCCATACTAACATTTTTTTAAATAGTTCAGCTTAAAATGATGATCATAAGATTAACAAATATTTTTTGAATGCTTACTGTGTGTCAGACACTGATACAAGTGTTTTGTATGTTTTAATTTATTTAATTCTTCCTACACCTCTATGACTTAGGATCTGTGTGAGGATACCGAGGAACAGAATGTTAATTTGATCCAGGTCACTCAGCTGTTAAGTACAAGAGTTAAGATGTAAAACCTGGCATTTTTGTGGGTGCGATGGCTCACGCCTGTAATCCCAGCATTTTGGGAGGCCGAGGAGGGTGGATCACGAGGTCAGGAGATCGAGACCATCCTAGCTAACACGGTGAACCCCCCCGCCCCACGTCTCTATTAAAAATACAAAAAAATTAGCTGGGCGTGGTGGCGGGCGCCTGTAGTCCCAGCTACTCGGGAAGCTGAGGCAGGAGAATGGGTGAACCCGGGAGGCGGAGCTTGCAGTGAGCCGAGATTGTGCCACTGCACTCCAGCCTGGGCCACAAAGTGAGACTCCGTCTCAAAAAAAATACACCTGTCATTTTTGCCTTCAGGAGCCTACTCTCTTAAGCCCTTACCATACTATACTGTCTTTTCAGCTTACAATATTTGTAAATTAATTGGAGCCAGGTGCTTGAAAGGGAATTAGTAAAATTTTGTTACTGTGTTGCGTCATTGACAATGCTGAGTGATTTTTATTGTAAAGTTAAATATAATGCTCATAAAACATAAATGCTTCTTGGTTGATAACTTGTGACATCAAAAAAAGTACTTCAGCATTCACAGAGCAGATGCATGTAAACTAAATTAACATGTGAGATTATGCATACCCACTTAAGTTTGAATAACCAGACATTTACAGGCTTGAATTTGCCTTTCAGTGCTGTGGAAAGCGACACATTTTTAAGAGGTTCGAATGCACGCACAAAGATAGTGGCAGATTCTTTATTCTTCAGTGTGCAAAAACATTCAAGTTAACCAACAAACAACTTTACTCTTGGGATCTTCAGTGTATTAAAATTTGAATGTGAGGTTTTAAAAATGGGTTTCCAGCTAGTTAAATGAAGTTTGACTTAAATATTTGCACACTCCTGCCTTGCTTACCGCAGGGCATGGTTTGAAAAGCACTCTTCTATAGAAGGTGGAAAATGTATTAGGTATAAAAATAACCTCTTCTGATGTAATTTTAGGAAGACTCAATGAATGACAGGAATTAGTGTTTTGCTTTTCAATTGACTTAGTCTTTTGTGTAAGTATTTATAAGGTGACCAAAAGAAAGTATCTAGTAAGTATTTATAAGATCATTAAAGCAACCTATAGTGTTTTGGGGTAAATGTTAGTGTTTTGGACCAAATTCTGTTTTAAGAATTTACTGACTAACCACTAACCAAATTGACTTTATGATCAGATTGGAAACTTGAGTTTACTAGATTATTTGAGGGGAATGACATTATCTTGGCCATCTTTGTACTCCCAGCACTCAGCATACTATCTAATATAGTAATTATTTGTTATCAAATGCACTTGAAATGATTATTTTTGTCTTGATTGATAGTTTATCATTTATTTCTGATTTTTTTTAATTTCCTGAGTTCTTTAATTTGCCTAAAGTTTAAGAAAACTGATATTATGCCTAATATTTGTGTTAGAGTAACTGAATTTGTCATTTTAGGGTAAAATATTTGGAGTACCTTTTAATGCACTGCCCCATTCTGCTGTACCAGAATATGGACACATTCCAAGGTAAGCAGAGTTTGAAATGAAGAAGGCCGGGTGCAGTGGCATATGCCTGTAACCCCAGCATTTTGAGAGGCCGAGGTGGGCAGATCACTTGAGTCCGGGAGCTTAAGACCAGCCTGGGCAACATGGTGAGACCTTGTCGCAAAAGATAGAAAAATTAGCTTGGCGGAGCACACTTGTAGTCCCAGCTACTCAGGGGGCTGGGGTGGGAGGATTGCTTGAGCCCAGGAGGTGGAGGCTGCAGTGAGCCTTCTAGCCAGGGAAATGAAGAAGAAGAGAGTAAGCATTTCAAACTGGTTTTAGAGAGTTTAAAAGAAATAGTTGATTAAAACATAATTGTTTCAAACCAGCAAATGATTTAATCTCTCATAATGTTAAAAATATTTTTTTAACTTTTACATATTTTAAATTTATAATTTGTACTCATTCCCAGGATTGAATTTTAAAGTCCAGTAATGAGTAAATGTTAGAAATCACAAAAAATTTTTGTTCTGTTAAGTCAGTTTTCAGTTCTATGTGAATTCTTTTGCCACAACTCAGATTAAGTAATATACTGAATTACCAATTCAGTAATAATTTTGCCTTTTTTTTGTTTGTTAAAAAAATATTGGCCAGGCACAGTAGCTCATGCCTATAATCCCAGCATTTTGAGGGCCGAGGCAGGAGGATCGCTTGAGCTCAGGATTTTGAGACCAGTCTGGGCAACAAAGCAAGACTCCATGTATAAAAAAAATTTTAAAGAAAAATCAGCTGGGCAAGGTGGTGTGCACCCCTGTAGTCCCAGCTACTCCTGAAGCTGAGGCAGATGATTGTTTGACCCTAGGAGTTTGAGGCTGCAGTGAGCTATGCTCATTGCCACTGCACTCCAGCATTGGCAACAGAGTGAGACCCTGTCTCTTGAAAACAAATATTGGATAAAAGAATATTTAAGCTAAGATATTAGAGTGTTTGTGAAAATGTATTATGTATCACTTAGCTTTTCTATGCCACTTACTATTTATAAATAACCTTTTATTCTTTTTTTTTTTTTTTTGAGACAGAGTTTCGCTCTTGTCGCCCAGGCTGGAGTGCAATGGCGTGATCTCGGCTCACCGCAACCTTCACCTCCTGGGTTCAAGTGATTCTCCTGCCTCAGCCTCCCGAGTAGCTGGGATTACAGGTGTCCACCACCACACTTAGCTAATTTTTGTATTTTAGTAGAGATGGGGTTTCACCATGTTGGCCAGGCTGGTCTCAAACTCCTGACCTCAGGTGATCTACCTGCTTCAGCCTCCCAAAGTGCTAGGATTACAGGCGTGAGCCACTGTGCTGGCCTATTCTAACTGCATCAGAAATTACTAGGAAAGTTTATGTTTTAAGAATATAATTTAGCCGGGCGCGGGGGCTCACGCCTGTAATCCCAGCACTTTGGGAGGCCGAGGCGGGCAGATTACGAGGTCAGGAGATCCAGACCATCCTGGCTAACACGGTGAAACCCCGTCTCTACTAAAAATACAAAACATTAGCTGAGCGTGGTAGCACGCACCTGTAGTTCCAGCTACTCGGGAGGCTGAGGCAGGGGAATGGCATGAACCCAGGAGGCGGAGCTTGCAGTGAGCCAAAATTGTACCACTGCACTCCAGCCTGGGCGACAGAGTGAGACTCCGTCTCAAAAAAAAAAAAAAAGAAAAAAAAAAGAATGTAATCTAAAAATGCATATGATGAAACTTATCCTTAATTCATTTCCCCTCCATCTAAAGTAGGGTTCATTTGGGCTACTATAGACCAATAATCTAGGTTTTAATTGACATGTCATCCAAAAGCAATTATCGAACACCTGGTTGCCTTAGGACAGTTTCCCCCCATTCATCCTATAGGTGTAGATTCACTGTCTTCTTAGGTAACCGCTTAACCATTTTGCTCTTTAAATGACCTATGAAAGGCTTGATTTTCTTATAATGAACACCTATAATGATTTTCAACAGGCCGGGCACAGGAGCTCATGCCTGTTATCCCAGCACTTAGGGAGGCCCAGGTGGTGGATTGCTTGAGCCCAGGAGTTCAAGACAAGCCTGGGCAACATGGTGAAACCTTGTCTCTACAAAAAATAGAAAAATTAGCTGGGCGTAGTGATGTGTGCCTATAGTCCCAGCTAGTCGGGAGGCTGAGGTGGGAGGATCACTTGCGCCCAGGAGGCAAAGGTTGCAGTGAGCAGTGATCGCACCACTCCAGCCTGGGTGACAGAGCGAGACACTGTCTCAAAAACTAAAAGAAAAAAAAAAAGCAGATTTTCGGCGTCTGGAATTGCAAAGTCATATTCCCAGGAATCATGACTAAATCTTCATTGCAATTTCATGACCTACTTTTTATTTAATTAAAAAGACTGTTTTGTCAGTTACCTTCTGTAAATAAGGCTGACATTCAGCCACTGTGCACCAATACAGCTGTATCAATTGTTGGTAGCCGATATTCATTCTAATTTGTGGGTCCCAGCTGTTCAATATCTAGGTATCTAAAGCCAACATTGAGATTTATTTGAACATTGTTCAAAATAAAGAAATTGAGCACATTCCCCTTAATATGAAAAGGCTTGTAAGGACTGGGATATATCCTACTTTTCTGAGGGATAATGTTGGGGTGAGGAAAAAAAACCTCGCCCTGTTTTTGGGTGATGTAGGAGATGAGAAAATCACCCATGAAGAGATAGTAGATAAAAGAAGGTGGCCTTGGACGGAGCCCTGGGTTGTTCCAGCATGTAGAGGTTTCACATAAGAGGAGTGAGAAAAGGAATTTGAGAAGGAGCAGGCAGGGAGATAGCAGGAAAACTAAAAGAGTAGTGAAAAAGTATTTTTGAGATGAACAGGGAAGGGATCAGGTGTGTCAAATGGTGATAGATCGAGCAATACGAGGACAACACACTGACCATGGATTTGGCAAGGCAGAGGCTGTTAGTGAGCTTGAAGAGAGCTATTTCTTTGGAGTAATGAGGTATGAGAATGATTGGATAGGGGTGAGTAGAGACTGAGATATGAAGAAGTAGAGGCAGAAAAAAAAGACAAGTCTTACGCTCTGAAGGGAAGCAGAAATGAAGTAGGATTGAGAAAGATAAAATTTAGTGTGCATATTGGAGTTGTTATAAGTAAAAAGATGGGCCTTGGAGAAGAATTTGGAAAGCAAGTAGACAACTAAAAGTAACATTTCATCTCAAAGACTACAGAGATTTGTGGCTTTAGAGCCTCTGAAAGGTCTGTAGTGCTTGGCCTGCTCATGTATGTTAGCAGAGGAATAGGATGTGATATGTATGTCTAGCCACCTGAAAAAATCTCTCTTTCAGCTTTCTTGTCGATGCTTGCACATCTTTAGAAGAACATATTCATACCGAAGGGCTTTTTCGGAAATCAGGATCTGTGATTCGCCTAAAAGCACTAAAGGTGAGCATATTGTTGAACTATAATTTTTCATTTGAGCCATTTTCTGATTTGGTTTTTAAAACTGAAATATTTAGAACTATTAATATGAATAGTTGACAGAAATTGAATTTGCATTTTTTTCATGGCAGAAGATTTTTTTTTTTTCCAAAAGAAATGGTATATTATTTCTATCGTGCTTTAAAAATTTAATAGGGTACTTTTAAATTCATGGTCCTTATTTCTATCAAGTATTATGTAAAATGAAAAAATGTGTTAAGTTATATTGTTGTTAGCCTTCTAGAAGGAGTGATATAGCTGAGTGTGGTGGCACATGCTTGTAGTCCCAGCTACTTGGGAGGCTAAGGCAGGAAGATTGCTTGAGCCTGGGAGTTTGAAGCCAGCCCAGGCCACATAGTCTGTGCCACATTTCTATAAAAATAAAAATAAATTCAAAAATCATTAAAAATAAAGTAGTGACATATATTAAAATAAGAGTTAAGAGAAATTTATTAAAGAAAAGTGTAATTAGAGTATAACAAAAGATTCTTTATTTGCAATAAACTCTTAAGTTGCCAAAATACTCAAGATTATTATATTTATTTCAGAATAAAGTGGATCATGGTGAAGGTTGCCTATCTTCTGCACCTCCTTGTGATATTGCGGGACTTCTTAAGCAGTTTTTTAGGGAACTGCCAGAGCCCATTCTCCCAGCTGATTTGCATGAAGCACTTTTGAAAGCTCAACAGTTAGGCACAGAGGAAAAGAATAAAGCTATACTGTTGCTCTCCTGTCTTCTGGCTGACCACACAGTTCATGTATTAAGATACTTCTTTAACTTTCTCAGGAATGTTTCTCTTAGGTAAGTGGTAATTAAAACTCTTGGCAAATAATAGTTGAATTTTTCAACTAACGTTTTATGCTTGTAGATATGTACAATTTCATTTGGAATGGAAATTTTTCTTTAAAAATTCCATATTTCATTACTATGAGGAGTATACTCTAATTTAAGAAACAGCATACCAAATGATTTAATATTTCCTTATCTTAAAGTCATCATCATGAATGCCTTAATGGTTCATCATTGGTGTTTATAAGATTCATTGTCCACTGAAAGCCTTTGTTTACTGGGTTTTTAAAATATTTCTGTTTTGCTTTTCAAAATTTCCCTCTCCCTGCTGTCAGTGAGCCTGCTTATTCTAGACATACTTGCTGCCTTCTGATACTTCCAACTTTTTATGTGTAGGTCTGAAAATCAGATAAAGATGTTCAATTTGTGTGGAAAAGCAAAGTATGAACTCTAAGATTAGCATGGTTTTTAGAATACATATTTAAATATAGAGAGGCTATATATTTCTGGTTCTTTCTTGTGTTCAAGCCAATCATGTAGATGAAGGGTAACTATTTTGACTTGTGTATGACTGATAATAAAGTCTTCAAAATGTACTACATACGTTATTTTAACTCTTCTGTATTTTCACGTTTGGCTCCATCTAATAAAGCGTTTATTCACTTAAGATCCAGTGAGAATAAGATGGATAGCAGCAATCTTGCAGTAATATTTGCACCAAATCTTCTTCAGACAAGTGAAGGACATGAAAAGATGTCTTCTAACGCAGAAAAGAAGGTACGATTACAGGCTGCAGTAGTACAGACTCTTATCGATTATGCATCAGATATTGGTAAGATGTAGTTGCATTATTAACAGAATTTGTTTAAATGAGGAAAATCTCTGTTTCTTTCAAAGGAACTATGAAGGCAACTGTTAGAAAGTTGGTATATTACTGACCTCACCCCCACCCTACAGTACCGGCCCCTCCTGCAAAGAAAAAAAGAAAAGAAATTGGTATATTAGTATCTAAACATTTTTGGGGAAGAGTGGAGGAAGGATAATAATTGTCTTACTTGTGAACATTTTCATTTAGGGCGTGTACCAGACTTTATCCTGGAAAAGATACCAGCCATGTTGGGTATTGATGGTCTCTGTGCTACTCCATCACTGGAAGGCTTTGAAGAAGGTGAATATGAAACTCCTGGTGAATATAAGAGAAAGAGAAGACAACGTGTAGGAGGTAAGTGGTGGTCCCATTTTATGGAGGTACGGTGATTTGCTTTAATCGAAAGTACATTTCACATAAAGAAGCATGAACTGTGGTATGTGCCTTTTTGGTGCTTAAAGCACAGCTGGAAAGATAGGACGTATGCGTGTAAAAAGTTAAAGCGATAGTACAATCTAATGTTAAGTGCTACATCTTTAGCACAAACATAAAATGTGTTAAAAGGAGAAAAGTTCCCTGGATTGTAATTATCAGGGACTTGTCAAAGAGGAGCCAAACTGAACCTTCTTGAATAATGGATAGAATTTAGTGGGATTGGGTGGAGGATCAGAATACTTGTATCCTATTCTAGATGAGAAGGATGCTATGAAGAAAGGTTTGTGTAGGGAAGAAGTAACCTATGTCTAATGTAGATAGCGCAGTATGACTTGAGTGAAGTGTTCAGCATAAGGATAAAGGATGGTATTATGGTAAACTTAATGCCAGGCTAAAGAATTAGAATATTAACCTGGGTGTTGGTGAATCATTGAAGATTTATGATGTGAGGCATGATATGATTTAAAAATTTTAGAAAATTACCTGATTTGAAGAATTGAGACTTGGAAGTAGGGAGAATGGTCAGCAATGTGTGTCAGTAGTCCAGGCATGAGATTATTGTTTGAACTTGTTAGTGACATGGATTAGTTAGTTAGGAGTACGAACTAAATAATGAAGGAAATATTATCAAGGAAGAATCAGAAAGACCAAAAGACCATCATAAGATGGTAGAGTTGGTAATAAAACTTGCAATCTCCTTGATCAAGAAATCAGAGGCCATTATTCTTCCAATTACTTTAGGAAATTTATTATCTTTTGAATATCAGAACCAAATGTTACTAACTATCCCAATCCCTTTTTCATCTTTTGGTTTATTTGTTATTGCATACTTGTGTTTCTTCTTTACCTCCTTTGTAGATAGGATAATACTGATGACTTATGTATGATTTTCCTAGGGCTACTGTAGCAAAGTACTACAAACTAGGTGGCTTAAACCAACAGAAATTTGTCTCACCGTTCTGGAGGCCAGAAGTCTGAAATCAAGGTGTTGGCAGAATGCCTGAAACCTGCAGGGGAGAATCCTTTCTTGCCTCTTCCTGGCTCCTGGTAGTGGCTGTCAGTCCTTAGCATTCCTTGGCTTGCAGCCGCGTCACTCCAATCCCTGCCTATGTCATCCCATGGTGTTGCTCTGTGTCAGAACTTCCCTCTTACAGGGCACATTGGATTAGGGCCCACCCAAATGACCTCATTTTAACTCGAGTACATCTGTAAAGACACGAATTCCAAGTATGGTCACCTTCATAGGAACTGGGGGTTAGGACTTAAACATAGGTTTTTTGGAGAACACAATGCAACCCATAAAACTTCCTATCCCAAATGGAGATATTTCTCAGATGCAGATCATCTTTATTGCCCTCTTTCCCAGTCCTGTAGTTTCAGTTATCACCAGTCCTGTAGTTTCAGTTATCACATCTAAATAGATAACCACCACATCTGTACCACCGTTATCTTGAAAATGTCAGTTCCACTTTACTAATGGCTTGCTAGGGAGACCTCATCACATCTGCTTTTCATTGGTGCTTTAAGCTTAACGTTTTGAAATGACCATCTTTATCCTCTTTATCCTGGTTCTGTGTGAATTCCATTTTCTTCTAACAGCACCACTATTCCCTAGATAACTCAGGCTTTAACCATGGGTTCTACCTCTTCCTCTACCATCTATAATCAGACAGTTTTTGTGTCATATAAGATTCTATCTCCATAGTGTTTATTGCATTGTTACTGTAAGAATCTTCTTGGCCGGGTGCGATGGCTTACGCCTGTAATTCCAGCACTCTGGGAGACCAAGGTGGGCGGATCATGAGGTCAGGAGATCGAGACCATCCTGGCTAACACAGTGAAACCCCGTCTCTACTAAGAATATAAAAAATTAGCTGGGCGTGGTGGCGGGCGCCTGTAGTCCCAGCTACTTGGGAGGCTGAGGCAGGAGAATGGTGTGAACCTGGGAGGCGGAGGTTGTCGTTGGCTGAGATCGGGCCACTGCACTCCAGCCTGGGCAACATAGCGAGACTCCGTCTCAAAAATAAAAATTAAAAAAAGAATCTTCTTGGTCTTTATGCCTCCTCTTTGAATCTACCCTACATATTGCTATTAAGGCTCACTTTTTTTTTTTTTTTTTTTTGAGACGGAGTCTGTCTTTGTCACCCAGGCTGGGGTATAGTGATGCTATCTTGGTTCACTGCAATCTCCACCTCCTGGGTTCAAGCGATTCTCTTGCCTCAGTCTCCCAAGTAGCTGGGATTACAGGTGCACGCTACCATGCCTGGCTAATTTTTGTATATGTAGTAGAAAGGGGGTTTCACTGTGTTGGCCAGGCTGGTCTCTAACTCCGGACATCAAGTAATCTGCTTGCCTTGGCCTCCCAAAATGCTAGGATTACAGGTGTGAGCCACTGCACCTGGCCAAGGCTTACATTTTAAATGTATAACTCTACTCAAGTATCTCACACACATACCCTTCAGAAATTTTAATTGGTAATAGGGATATTTATAGCTTGGCATTAAAGGTCTTTCATAGGATTGCTCTAGCAATCTGTCTACCTGTCTACTATTTCCTGTCTTTGAGCAACTTTAGTCAAACTGTGTTATTTATTTTCCAGACACTTTTATTCATTTGCTTACATTATTTATTGATATAATGTTTTTACTTCCATCTCTACTGATCTTTTAAATACTTTTATTCGTGCCTCCATTTCCATGGTTCTTGCCTCAGTTCAGACCTTCATCTTTTGCCTTAACATGTAATGATTTCTTTTTCCCTACCCTTACTGTACATTATATGTATTTGTATTACATTTCTTTCTGTATTATGTCTTTTTTATTTTAGGGATATGGAAGTATAAGTGGGGAATGGAATAAAAATATATCCTTTAGTATTTTTCCTATTTTGAAATAATTCCTCTTAAATAACTTAAAATTTATAAGCCGATGTAAAGTTACATGTTGAAAGAAGACCGCAAATATTAATATGAATTATTGGTGAAAGACAAGTAAATGTGAAGTTGTAATTGCTTATGTCTTGCATTTCAGATTTTGTTAGTGGAGCACTAAATAAATTTAAACCTAACAGAACACCTTCTATTACACCTCAACAAGAAAGAATTGGTAGGTATTTATTATATGCATTTATTTAAATTAAAATTTGTATAGTATTCTATAAAATACAATTACAATAATAATTGCCTAACTTAGTAATCAAATTTAGTTTAATCAAATCAAATATTATTTTTAATAGTCATACTGTACTATACACACTATGTTGTGACATTGCTAATTACATAGGCTATAATGAACCCAAAATTGTAGGCAAAAATTTTTTTAGTTTCCTATGTCTTTAATCTTCTTAATCATGCTTTTCTGTTTGTAATTTAGATGCTATTGAACGTGTGAAAATAGTTCAACCTCATTTTTATCTTAGGACTAGAAGTTCATTATTGTATATTTCAATTTTTTATCCTAATTTGCTTGTGGCTGAAATTATTCAGCCAGTAAGAGTCAACATGATCTTCTGTTTTCTAGAGTGAAGAAATGAACTGGTTAATACTCACTTATGATGAAAAGCAAAAATAATATTTAGATTAGTTTTTGTTTCAACTCCTTGATTGTAATTTCTTCCTTACATTAATATTCTTTAATGTATATCATATGCATCTTTTAGTCTGTTAGATTTAAGTAACTGCTGTCTCTTAAGAGTCTTGCCTCTGCGACTTCCTTATTTTCATTTAAGTAATTGCAGAGTGTTTTAGTTAAACAACATCTACTTAACTGATGATGTAAATATATTCTCATTTTTTGTTTAGCTCTAAGTAATAGCTTTATAAGAAGAAATTATGTAAAGCTTTTATATGTTGTCAACTCTGCAGTAGAAGCAAGAAGTTGGTTTTGTTTTGATATTTTTTCAGCCCAGCTATCTGAATCACCAGTGATTCTTACACCAAATGCTAAGTGTAAATTGCCATGCCAGTAGATTCTTCTCATGGTTTCTCAAGTAAGAAAAGGAAGTCCATCAAGCACAATTTTAACTTTGAGCTGTTGCCAAGTAATCTCTTCAATAGCAGTTCTATACCAGTATCAGGTAGCAAATAGAATTTATATAAATGGATTGTAAAGATTAAAATGAGTGCCTATTCTGGGCACAGTGCAATTTCATATTAATAATACCACCCTTAGGAACTAGAACTTTATTCTGTTTTATCCAACCTATGAATTTTTATAAAACCCCCTGCCTTTTAAAATAGACAGTGTTTCAATATAGAGTGTGTGTGTGTGTGTGTGTGTGTGTGTGTGTGTGTGTTATGACAACATCTATTGAAAGTTGTGATAACCCAGAGTAGTAGTTTGGGCTTCTGGTGATAGCATTGATGCTTAGGTTTTATGTGATTAGACATCCTGAATCCTGCTATAGTTACATCTGGGTCTATAGCTGTGGCTTTATTGCTGTCATTTGTTGAATTGAGGTTGCCAGATGTTTGATCATGTCTGATTCCCAAGTGGGAGCGTTACTATTGCAGGTTATGGTTTGAAAATGAGGGTATTTTTAAAGTTTTAGACTCAAGTACCTTTTGTAAAAGCTTTAGAACTTTGTTGACGCTGTTCCTTGTGCCATGGCTTCCAGATCCCTTACCAGCCCAGCCATTTTCTTCCATATTAACTACAAGTTCTAATGTGGCCAACCAGAGCCTTCAGAGAGTAATAGAGTATGATCATGCTAATCCGGAGATTAGTCTGGGTCTTAGATTCAATTGGCTCTTTTAGCATATACAGAATTCAAGTTGGCTCATATTAACCTTACGATCAACCAAAAATGAAATGAAACTCTAAGCCCAGGGTCCTCCATCTCATTTATCTTACATTTAGTCAAAATGTGAGTGATCTCTGATTATTTTAGATTTTTATTTTGTTGGTTTCAGACAATGTTAAGTTTCATTTTTGATTCATTATCTGAGTTATATGAGTTCCTTCCCAAAGCCTGTCTCTTTTTTCTGTTGTCCAAAAGGGTTCTTATTTGTTTTATTGAGAAGTTGAACAGAATAGCAACTTGAGGTTTTCCAGAAAAAACACTTCCTCACAGGTTCTCTAGGGCTCATTGAAATGTGATGATAGTAACTCTGAAGCTTATGTCTGTAGCTTTTGCAGTGTTCACAGGTTGGAGACTTAAACTTTTTTAAGTAACATAGTTCAGTTTTTTTTTTTTTGAATATTTAAAAGCCTTTGCAGTTTGGAGGACTTTTTCCAAATGGCAAATGGGAGTTGTAGTTCTACCTGCCTTTGCTTATTAGCATTACATTTTCCCCAAGGAATGAACATACTGATTCCTTCTTCTCCTCCTCCAAGCTCCCAAAACAGAGGTTAAACAGTCTTGTTCTATTTTTAGTTTGAGCTTGCCTAATCAATGAATTTTTTAATAAAAAAATTTAAAAGTTCAACAATAATAATCGTATTATTTTTACACCACTTTTCTTTGACCCTACTTTCTCAGCCACAATTCAACAAATTCCATTTGCAAAATTGAAAATAGATTGATTTCTAAGTTTAGATTATAAAAAATATGATGCTTTTAAAAATATATAAAGACAACATTAGTCTGTAGTCCATAGAGTATCTATTCATAATTGTCTCTTTTTTTTTTTTTTGAGACAGAGTTTTGCTCTTGTTGCCCAGGCTAGAGTGCAATGGCACAATCTCGGCTCACTGCAGCCACCACCTCTCAGGTTCAAGCGATTTTCCTGCCTCAGCCTCCCAGGTAGCTGGGATTATAGGTGGCCACCACCACACCTGGCTAATTTTCTTTTGCATTTTTAGTAGAGACGGGGTTTCACCACGTTGGCCAGGCTGGTCTTGAACTCCTGACATCAGCTGATCAACCTGCCTTGGTCTTCCAAAGTGCTGGGATTACAGGTATGAGCCACCATGCCTGGCCATAATTTTCTTACAGATGTGATAAATTTGCATTGTTCCATATATTCTGACTGTGCCTTCTGCGACCATTGACGCATTTTTTTATTTTTATTTTTTGAGACGGAGTCTCGCTCTGTCTCCCAGGCTGGAGTACAGTGGCATGATCTTGGCTCACTACAACATCCACCTCCGATGTTCAAGTGATTCTTGTGCCTCAGCCTCCTGAGTAGTTGGGATTACAGGCATGCACCACCACACCCAGCTAATTTTTGTATTTTTAGTAGAGATGGGATTTCACCATGTTGGCCAGGCTCGTTTGAACTCCTGGCCTCAAGCAATCCGCCCTCCTCAGCCTCCCAAAATACTGGGATTACAGACGTGAGCCACGGTGCCTGGCTGGACACATTTTTAAAGTGACTAGACTGCAGCCCTAGAATAAAGCTACTTATGACACTTTAGATGTATAATATTGGCTTCCAAAATTTTCTTTAGCTAAATGCACCCAAAAGTTTCTAAGGTGGTTGTATTTTTTTCCGTTTTCATAATTGAAAAAATGTGAATGTCTCTGGGAAACTTTGTGAATTCTTTATTAATAACTCAGATGAATTGAGAGGGTTCATGTTTGTTGAATGTGTCCTGGGCGTGATTCAAACATAAATGTATATGGAGCCTTTGTTCATAACTATTTTACTTCTTTTGTAATTGTTTACTATAGTTGATTTCATAATATAAATGGTGTTAAATAATTGAGCTTCTGTTGTACCAGTAATTATTTGCATGGAACACAGCAGCAGCCAAGGGATTAGGAATGTGTTATAGAATAATTAGTTTTTGTTTACTTGCCAAAAATATTGAACAAATTACATTCAGGAGTCAGGTGGGTAGCAGTTGGCCAGCAGGTATATCTCAAATACTCAGATTCCAACTTGTTTGCCAATAGCTTATTTTTTATAATACCATTAATTAGTATTATGTACTAGATACTGACTAAATATTTTATATAGATAACAGTAATATTCATCATAGAAGTCCGTTTTCAGAGCCTAAAGCCATTTAGTAAGTGATGGAGCAAACTCAAGCCTGTCTCCAAATCTTGTTCTTTTTCCAGTCTGCAATGGTGCCTATCCCTGCCTTGTATTATTAAAAGAGTTTAAAGAAAAGCTCTAATATAAAAGTAATGCTTAAGCTGACCTTTAATTGGCAAGTCAAAAGTAAGAAATGAATGCTTTTTCTTAGCTGAGTTGGGTTATTTGACACTTGAAGTTTCTAACCAGAAATTAAGTGATTTCGGTTGTTGCTTGGGATAGAAATTAAGGCTTTGAATCTAATTGCTGCTATTGGAGGGCAGTAGAATGTGGTAGTTGGAGTTGCATGATACTTGATTCATATGTCTGTGTAATGATGGTGTGCAGTACCCTGATTGCTCCTTTTACATTCTTTCTGTAAAAGGAAAAATAAAACATGAGAATAGTGCTGTTAACTAAACTATCAAATTTATTTGAATTTTACCAGTTGCCTCTAATATTCTTTTTGTTTTCTTCCAGGATGCCACATTACAGTTTGTTGTTATGCCCCCTTAGTCTCATATAATCTGTCCTAGTCTTTCATGGTTTTGTCAGAATTTCTCAGACTTTTCTTGCCTTTCATGACCTTGACAGTTTTCTTTTTTTTTTTTTTTTGAGATGAAGTCTCACTCTGTCACCCAGGTTGGAATGTAGTGGTGTGATCTCAGCTCACTGCAACCTCTGCCGACCGGGTTCAAGCTATTCTCCTGCCTCAGCCTCCTGAGTAGCTAGGATTACAGGGGCCTGCCACTGCGCCTGGCTAAGTTTTGTAGTTTTAGTAGAGACGGGATTTTATCATGTTGGCCAGGCTGGTCTTGAACTCCTGACCTCATGATCCGCCTGCCTAGGCCTGCCAAAGTGCTGGGCGTACAGGCGTGAGCCACGGCACCTGGCCTTTGTATGTTTTTGTAATACATGTTATAAAACGTATGACTCAAGTCCTTGACACTTTGAAGAGTAACTGGTTGGGTGTTTTGAAGAATGTCCCTTAATTTAGGTTTGTCTAAGGGTTTCTCATGATTAGAATGAGATTATGAATTTGGATTATGAGATTAGAATGGGAATATGCATTTTAGTAAGAATACTGCAGTAAATACAGTAATGCTGGTTACTTAATTAGTAAAGGTTTTAAGAAATATTACATATAGAAGTTTTGCAGAAGTTAGGTATAGAAATGATGGTTGAATTTTTAATTAAAAGTCTCAAGATGCAGTATCTGGCTGTCCGAAGCTCATGGATCCAACTACATGGTTTCTTCACATTTCTCAAATTGTGCACTTTCCAATTCATGCTATTATGGCTTCCTTGAATGGAGTCTTCTCTGATATAACCATAAAGTTCCAGCCATCCTTCAAGACCTCAACCCACCTTATACCTCTTCTGTAAACCCAGTGCCAACTGTATCAAGTAAAGTGCTTGCTGTATTCTCTAAACTACTATTTACAAAAAAAAAAAATTCTTTCTGTCCAGGGTTTTGTCTGTAGTTATGTCCTGCCTCTTTTGAATTGTGAAATATTTTGTTGTTTATCAAATGTTTGTCTCATCTTCCCAACCAGAATGTCAGCTCTCTGAAAATAGGATTGTGTCTTTTATATTTTTGTATCCCCCTTAGCACTTGGCATAGAGCCTTACCTTGGCACGGTACCCAATAGATATTTGTTGAATGACTGAATTTCTAATTAGAGGTAAATTATCTAAAGAGTAAGCCAAGATAGGGGTGAATTTTTTCTTTGAAGCTTTATTTTATTACAGATATCAATTGAAATGATTTTTTAAAATAAATTATCTATATTTGTATGTTTTAATCTGAAAAGGCATCGTTCTTATTGTTTTTGGTAACAAATTTTACACATTCTTTTTTTGTCCTCATTGATTTATTATCTGATATAAGGGACATATAAGGAGACATATCAATCTCAAAAATTGTCTCAAAAGGTTTTATTTTTTTTAACCACAGATAATGAAACAACCACCATCGGTTAAATTTGATCCAAAAATATTGCATCTACCAGCATTTTCAGGTAGGATCATAAAGGACTTATCGAACATGTAGACTTTGTATACAGATACGAATATGAAATTTATTCACAAATGGAATATTTGTATGTGAATAACTAAATTTATTTTGTCTTGACAATTGGTTATATTCTTGGGTCAGTGTTATGTGAATTGTAAGTAATCTGTAATTCATTTGTGCCAGCTGTTGACATGAGTCTGGGCTGCCCTGTCCTCTTGTGTGTGGGGAGGTTCCTGTAGATCTGGGCAAGTTTTCCTGTAGAGTGGGTGGGGGGCCTCCTCCCTTCCGTTCATAGAGCTGGTTGAATTTCCACCATTTATGGCAGGTGTAGGTGCACAGGGTTGGGGACAACAAGGAAGGATTGGGATTCTATTGGCGGGACCAGGACATTTGAGAACGGGACTAGGTGGTTCATGACTGTGGAGATGGTGTGGGAGTGGAGATACTTAAGGGATAATTATTACATTTCTGTTGAGCTAATGAAAATCTTATTTAGGGTGAAAGTCAGAAATTTTTACATACCTTAAACTTTTTTTTTTAACAAATTATATTTTAAGCTGTTAAACTCAATTTGGGGAAAATTATTCATTGTGGCTAGATTAGAATCTATGATTTGAAATAAATTTAAAATATATTTAGGTTTAAATAAACTAGCTAAGGGTTTGTATCAGTCAACCTAATTACCGATAAAAACAACCAAAAAAACCTGTGAAGGATGTTTTTGAAAGACCAAAGTGAAGCAAAATATTAATAGTGCTTTCAGTGCCAAGTAGGTCTATTTATGCAAACCTAGAGAATTATTACCTGGAAATACTATTTATTTTTTCTTCTTTGGTTTATTTAGGAAATTATATTTACAATTTCTTTTGTCTAAAGATTGAGATCAGCCAAAAATATGTTAATTTTAGGGGGTATCACATTTCCTAGATTTTGCCCTTTTTTTGTATAGGGATTTGGAGCTAAAATTTCAGGTGATTTTAGCTATCATGTTATCCTCGTTATTTTTTTACAGTGATTTTATTGGAACTTTTTAATAACTGGGATTTGTGCTTTTCTCAATATTTGAGAGTTGATTTATTTATACAAAGGCTCTTTTGTCTTTTACTTCAGTCGTATTCAACTTTACATTTTGTTATAGTCTAGGTTGTGGGACAATTCTGCTTTAGACATCTGCTTTATTTGAAAGCATAGTTTTCCATTGAAGTGGTTAAAAAGTTTCCATGTGTAGATAAAGAGATGGGAAATATAGAAGGACAAATAGAAGTAGTGTCATCTTTGGAGTATTTTTGATTTTGACAGTGTAATGTTTTCTTTATCCTCATCTTAGTTGTCGTAATTCTGTGTTTCTCATGTAATGTTTCCAGCAGTTGTTTTTCTCATCATCATACTTCTGTTATTTTCTTTCCTTGGCAGTGGATAAGTTATAATTTCTGAAAGACCAAGATTGGAATGACTTTTTGTAACAAGTGTGCTCGCAGATCGACTCCAGTGAGAAGAGCTCGGGGACCTCCTGAGCCAAGTTTAATCTCCTTTGCTATTTGTGCATGGTGGCTGGTCACCAGGAGGTGGCCACCAGGCTTCTCCTTTCCCCGCTGGTAGGCCTCTGTGACATGACTTATGCATTTAAATGTATGTTTTTATAGAGGCTCAAACAAGTGCTAAAATAGCAATTTGATTTAACTACCATGAAAAAACTGATTTATCATGATTTTAGGTTTATGCAAATTATCGTCTGCTTAATCCTTAGGTCTTAAAGTAGATGAGAGTAGATGGTGATTTTGAACTTTCTGTTGTTGTTGTTTGTAATACTTAGATTTCCATTTTATGTTAACTTGTAAGATTTTAAAAAAATATATAGGCTGAGGCAGGAAAATGGCGTGAACCCCAGGGGCGCGGAGCCTGCAGTGAGCTGAGATTGTGCCACTGCACTCCAGCCTGGGCGACAGCGAGACTCCGTCTCAAAAAAAAAAAAAAATATGTGAAATTAGCCCAGGCGCAGTGGCTCATGCCTGTAATCCCAGCACTTTGGGAGGCTGAGGCGGGTGGATCACCTGAGGTCAGCAGTTTGAAACCAGCCTGGCCAACGTGGTGAAACCCCATCTCTACTAAAAATACAAAATTAGCCGGGCGTGGTGGTGCACTCGTGTAATCCTAACTACTGGCGAGGCTGAGGCAGGAGAATCACTTGAACCTGGGAGCCAGAGGTTGCAGTGAGCCGAGATTGCGGCATTGCACTCCAGCCTGGGCAAAAAGAGCGAAACTCCATCTCAAAACAAAACAAAACAAAACGTGATATCATAAGACCTTTTCCCTTCTCATCAGTGACTGGAATGAACTGCCCATGTGGAATGGGTTGTGGGTGTTGGTTCCTTTACTGGGTCATCTGGTAAACTGCAAGGTTTCTGCTGTGACATTGAAGGCAGACATCAACCCCCTAAGACATTTTTTTCCTATCCTCTGGGAATATTACGTTTTGGACAATCTTGGTCCATTGGTAAGCTTATGGGAATTTGTCAGCGTTTTTTTGTTTTTTGTTTCTTTGGGCTCATGTTTAGCATCAATTGGCAGAGTTTTTGGAGTCATCCTCAGAAAGGAATTACGGTGGTTCAGAGGTGTTTTCTGTAGTGGGCCCTCATTTGGGAATTGGCTTGAAAAAATTTAAGTTCATTTGCTCCCAGGATAGTATTAAGGTTACTTTTTTCGATAGTTGGTGTGTGTCTATCAGGTAAGGGCAGTCATTTAGAGAATATAAAGTGGTAGGAGAAACTAAAAGTACTGTTCTTAGTTTCTATTTTAATCTTATTCATATACAAGTGCCTTTGTAATTTAGTAAATATCATTTTTGGTATACAGCATAAATTTCCTTTTTATAAAGATCTGAGTTTTTAACTTTGCTGTCACTTTCTGTGTTGTGTGAGTTAAATATTTTAATTTTTTCTTTTTTTATATTTAAATTTTTTATTCTAGTTCTAATTGCTAATCCAGTATTTGCGGATAGCTCCAAACTGGGATATGTAAGTAACATTTATATTTTAAAAATTATTTTTCATGACTTTATTAAGTAGTTATAGCATACATACTTATCAAAAGCACAGTCCTAAATAATTATCATAAATTTTTCTGACATAATGATGACTCTACTCATAGGCAATTTTTATGGGCATTCCAATTATAAATTTTAGAATATTTAAAAATAACCCTTCTCCTAATATACAATTCTGGGATTATCTAAGCTACTCCTGGAAACTTTATTAACTGTTCTTGTTTTTTTATTTTCATAGAGACAAGGTCTCTCTCTATGTTGCCCAGGCTGGTTTCCAACTCCTGGGCTCAAGTGATTCTCCCATCTCTGACTCCCAAAGTGTTAGGATTACAGGAGTGAGCCACTGCGCCAGGCTAACTGTTACTGTTTTGAGTATTGGTTATAAAATACTTCAACCCTGATCCCTGTGTATTAATTTAGTTATACTTCCTCAAAGTTTCCCTTGGCCACCCTTATCTGTCCCTCATGTAGCACGTAGCTTCCCTATGATTTTATTTATAAGCTAATGAGATTATGATTTATAAACTCCCAATGGAAGGAAGTGTCCTTACTTTTTATAGGAGCAGCATACCAGGTGGAAAGCACCGTAGATCAAGTGTTAGAAGGCTCTGGGTTCCTGTTGCCTGTAAGACTTGGCCAAATGATTATCTTTTTCTCATTCTCTGTTTCCTGGGGAGGGTGAGTGGAACAAGGAAATGACATAGGTTTAGGATTCAGACAGACCTGGGTGTGGATCAAAGATCTGTGTTCTGGGCCAATTACTTTAATTGCTGAGTCGAAGTTTCCTCATCTGTAAAATTTCGATGGAGATGAGATAACTACTTCATAGATTTTTGTAATTATTCCACTGTGAATGAGGTAAATATGTGATACCTTGTATAGTGCCTGATTCTTAGTGGGTATTTCACTTACAATGGGGTTGGGGTTGTAGAAGTTGCAGTTATTATCATGAAGCTTGCTTATCTCATGACTGTTAGGAAAAGCACATGAAAAAACGGAGGTGAAAGGATTTTGTGAATTGTGGCAGTGGTATAATAATTATTCTTCGATGCTGGTAAAATATGGGTGAAACAATAGGAGTTTAGAAAATGCTTAATAATAAGGGTAATTCTTATTATACATCTTGTAATGTTACTCTCCCAAAGTAAAATCTGGTAATAGAAAGTAGGATTTAATACTTTGAGCATTTAATACTTTGAGAAGGCTTATGGTATGCTCATTAAAAATGAATCAATGAAATATTTATTTAAACACTTTTATTTAAAACATGTTATACCCTTGAATGGGGTGCCCCCTGTTGACATTTTCAAACAGACATTCCAAATCATTTCCAAGTACAGTCATCCCTCTGTATCAGCCCGGAGATTGGTTCTAGTATCCCCTTGGATACCAAAATTCACACATACTATTTTTCCTCTGCTTTTAAGAATTGAAGTTTGATTGTAAAACTGTTTTAATTTGAATAAAATGATACTGAGGTAGACAAGTTCTCTGGTAGGAATCTTCTTTTATTCTCTTTCTCCATTCAAAGCCACTTCTAGTGAGGTTTTCTCTGATCTCAGGTTATATTACCTTGATAGCATATGATAAAGGGTCCTTAACGTAGTCTGTGAGATAACTATTTTTGAAGTAGGCATATTTATTCCTTAGTTTTGTTTTGCATATAAAAAAATTAGAATCACGTGATATAATTTTATAAGTTTGTTTTCCCCTGTAACATATATATTATGTATTTTAAATGTTATTAACATTTTAAAATAAAATACATAATAAGGTAAACTTTTTATATGTTGTGAATATCTGATCATTTTGTTTACTAATTTTGGATAGTATTATAATGTTGGAAACAACATTTTGATGAACATATTTGAGATTAAATCTTTGTGCCCACATTTTCTTTTTCTCTTTAGGGAAGATTCATAGAATTAGAACAAATTAGAACAAATGGGTAGAAGGCAGTAAATATCTTTGTGACTTCTAAAAAATTGCTGAAATACTCTTAAATAAATTGTATCAATATATAATCCCAATGTGTTTAAAATGCCTTTTGTTAGAACTTCCAACATTGAGTATTTATCAAATTGTGTATCCTTCTATCCTTGCCAATCAACTTTATGAGGTATAATTCATATATAGTAATATTGTAATAGTGTAATTTTAAAAATGTGTTAATTGTATATTATGCATAATTTAAAATGTTCCATTTCAGCCATTTTTATGTGTACAGTGGCATTTAGTTCATTCCCATTGTTGTATAACCATCACCACTATTCATTTCCAGAACTTTTTCGTCATCTTAAACAGAAGCTCTTTACCCATTAAACGGTAACTTCCCCTTTCCCTTCCCCAGTCCTGGTGAGCTATACTCTACTTATTCTATCCTGGTGAATTTGCTTATGGTGAGCACCTCATATTGCTACCGAAACATCAAGGGGTTTGGTCTAGGTCCTGTTGCTCACAGCTCAGAAAGCCAATCACAGAGACGATGAGTGTTGCTAGGGAAGAAGGCTTCAACTGGGTACTGCAGCTAAGGAGATGGGAGATCAATCTCAAATTTGTCACCTCCACTGACTAAAACCAGGGGTTTATTTAGCAGGGAAGAAATGTAACCATGTATGGGAAAACAGGAGTTAGGGAAGGGTGAGGAAGAGGAGTTGGTCAACAGGAAGCAGGTAGTTGGTTAGGCAATTGTGATGGGTGAGGTGGTCTGGTGTCTTATGGTTCAGATGTGGTGATGTGGTAAGTTTCAGTTCCTTGATAACTATCTGGGAGGCCTTATGGTTTGTTTCCCAAAAAAGGAATTCAGATAAGACAAATGTAACTTTCTCAAGTTTTAAGACTGGGAGGGTCAATTTCTATCTTTATTTTAAAAGACTGTAAGCATCAGTTCTATAGGACAATTGGGCTGGTTTCATTTGCAAGGTTCATCCATGTTGTAACTAACCATGTGTCAGCATTTCATTCCTTTTTAAGGCTGAATCATATCCCTTTGTATGTATATACCACAGTTTGTTTATTTTTTCATCTGTTGTTGGGCACTGGCTTGTTTATATCTCTTGGCTATTGTGAACAATGCTGCTACGAACATTAGTGTTTTCTGTTTTTGTTTTTTGCTAACAGCTATCCTGATGGGTGTGAAGTAGTATCTCATGGTTTTGATTTGTATTTTGTGACTACTGATGTTGAACATCTTTTTGTTTGATTGTTGGCTATTTGGAGAAAGGTCTAATCAAGTCATTTGCCAATTTTTGTATTGAGTTTTATGTTGTTTAGAGTTGTAGGTATTTTTTATATATTCTAGATATTAACCCCGTGTCAGATAAATGATTGTAAATATCTTCTCTCATTACACTGGTCGCTTTTTACTGTGGCAAGTGCCTTTTTGAGATATGAATTTAGGAAGAATTTTTCTATTTTTTAAATAAGAGTTTTATACTTGAATAAGGTAAATGCTCATCCATCATTAATTTTTTAATTAAAAACACAGTTTTCCTGTTTCTTTGGTGTAGTTCTCCTCTTGGTTGATTATATTTTATCATTGGATAGGTTTTTTTGTTGTTTGAGACGGAGTCTCGCTCTGTCGCCCAGGCTGGAGTGCAGTGGCGCGATCTCAGCTCACTGCAACCTCTGCTTCCTGGGTTCAAGCGATTGTTCTGTGTCAGCCTCCCGTGTAGCTGGGATTACAGGCACCTGCCATCATGCTTGGCAATTTTTGTATTTTTGTAGAGACAGGGTTTCACCATGTTGGCCAGATGGTCTTCAACTCCTGACCTCAGGTGATCCACCTGCTTTGGCCTCCCAAAGTGCTGGGATTATAGGCATGAGCCACCATGCCTGGCTGACAGATTTTTTGTTTTGCTTTCTTTTGAACAAGGCCTCTCAGTGGCTTACCTCTGTGCCATGCTTTGGTGTTTGAGCTCTCTTCCCTGTACTAACTGTAGCTCTGTAGGACTTGGGGGTCAACCTTACCTTTTATTTTTACCCCGTCTTTTGTGTGTCTTATTTGAGTTAGCATTTCTTTTTATTCCAGGCCTGTAAATTTTACTAGATTGTCTCTAGGAATCTCTTTTACTAATTTGCTTCAGCCTGCCTTCCTGCCATCTCTTTTTACTAATTTGCTTCTGCCTGCCTGCCTTCCTGCCTTCCTCCCTCCCTCCCTCCCTCCCTCTCTCCCTTCCTCCCTCCCCTTCTTCCCCTTCCTTCCCCTCTCCCATGCCTTCCTTCCCCTCTCCCATCCCTTCCTTCCCTTCTTTTCTTTCCATTTATTTTGAGATAGAGTATTGCTCTGTCACCCAGGCTGGAGTGCAGTGGGGTAATCTTGGCTCACTGCAACCTCTACCTCCCAGGTTCAAGTGAGTCTCCTGCCTCAGCCTCCTGAGTAGCTGGGATTACAGGTGTGTGCCACCATGCCCAGTTAATTTTTGTGTTTTCAGTAGAGATTGGTTTTCACCATGTTGGCCAGGCTGGTCTCGAACCCCTGACCTCAAGTGATCCACTTGCATTGGCCTCCCAAAGTGCTGAGATTATAGGTGTAAGCCACAATGCCTATCCTCTTCACCCCTCCTTTAGCTTTCATATTACTTCTTAGATTTCTTCCTCTCTATTTCATCCTTTTTCTGTTCCTGAAACCCCTACAGGATGGGTGTGGGAGTTTGTGTCTCTTGACTCTTTTTTCAAATTTTCTTTTGCTTTCTCACTTTCTCTTGTTTATTGAGATATAATTCACATACCATAAAATTCACCATTTTAATGTGTACAGTTCAGTAGGTGTCAGTATATTGAAAACTGTTCAACCATCGCCACTATCTAATTTCAGAACAGTTTTCTCACCCAGTGAAACCCAGTACCCATTCTTCTCCAACCCCTGGCAACAACTAATCTACTTCTTGTCAGCTGATTTGCTATTCTTGATATTTCATATAAATGGAATCATACAGTGTGTGGCCTTTTGTGTCTAGCTTCTGTCATTTAGCATAATGTTTTCAAGGTTCCTCCGTATGGTGGAATGTGTGAGTACTTCATTCTTTTTCTAGCTGAATAATCTTTGTATGGCTATTCCACATTTTGCTTATGTGGTCTTGATGGACATTTGGGGTTGTTTCCATATTTGGCTATTATGAATAATGGTGCTCTGAACATTTGTCCACAGGGTTTTGTGTGAACATATACGTTTTTATTTCTCCTACAGTGGTGAGATTGCTGGATAAAATGGTAACTCTGTGTTGAACCTTTTGAAGAACTGCCAAAGTCTCTTTGTTAAACTTTTATTTTAGGTTCAGGGGTACACATGCAGGTTTGTTATATAGGTGAACTCATGTTATGGGGGTTTGTTGTATGAATTATTTGGTCACCCAGGCACTAAGCTTGGTAAGGACCAATTGTTATTTTTTCTGATCCTCTCCCTCCTCCCACCCTCCACCCTAAATAGGCCCCCGTGTCGATTGTTCCCTCTTTGTGTCCATGCAAACTTTCTTCTTTTATTGCTCTTCCTTGACTTTATCTTTGAGCTCTCAAACTTGATATTTATCCCCACTCATTTTATTATTTAGGATTTCCAGTTAATTTTTTAATTTCAACAATCATATTTGAAAGTTTTTGTTCATTTTCTTTTTCTCTGATTGGTCCTTTTTCCTAGCTGCCTATATTAGGTGTGTACTTTTGAATTTGAGGATAAATATTAGGATTATAAAAATCCTCGTCTTGGAGCAGAATTTAGAATTAAATGTTGTTATTAATATTTAAGGCTAAACATTAGGATTATATAATATAAGCCTGGAACCTGGACTTTGAAAAAAAGGGAACAAAATTCAGATTATAAACATTGTATTCTTATGTCTTGAACTTGTAGGTCACTTGTTTTTCATCATGGTCCTGCTTTTTAATGCTGTTTATTTCTCAAATGCCTGGTGATCTCTGTTTCTTCGTTTATATTATGAATAAATGATTAAATTGATTGGTATAGAAGTTGGCAATACGAGTTTCCTTTATTCGTGCCTAAGTCTCTTTCTCCAATAGCCTTTCCTTTAAAGAAAGGGCTGATATGTGGTATGTGAGGCCTGTTGACTGGTTGAGTTTAATTTGGGATTCCAGCTGGCTGAAGATCAGATAGGCAGGCTGGAGGCCTCTGCAATTGCCAGGGTGGGTTTTTCTTTGCAGTGGAGCTGGCTTTCCTCATTTTACCCCTTTCCCGCTTCAGTATCTGTAGGACCACAGTCGCTGCTTCCCACATCCATCCATCCAGTGAGCAAGGTGGATTGCTCACTGTAGGAACGATTTTCCACGTTTACCCAGGAGGCCAGGGCTGCAGGGTTTATTCTGTGTACCAGGGGAAGGAGACGGAAAGGAGACAGGATCTGATTGGCTCAACTGTTCCTTGTACAAGGACACAATTTTTCTTTGTGCAGTTGTTTAATCTGATGATTGTCTTGTGGCTCATTCTTTGTTTTTGTCTTAGTTTATTCCAAGTCCCTGAGGCTTCCTTGGGAACGTCTGTCTACCTGTGGTTCTTAGACAGGGGATTCCTTTGTTGATTCTCTGTCAGTCTTAATTCTATTTGTGCATGTCATCTGAGATTTTCTCAAACTTTCTAGTCCACTTTTAGCCCTCCTTTTTGTTTCCAATTATCATTTAATAAAAAGAGCTTGTATTTTAGAGACTCTAGAGGGTTCAGAAAAGTGAGTGTCGAGTGTTTAGTCTGCAACCGTTAAAGACAGAGAATGTCTCATAAGTTTGGATCTGTGTTACTTACATGATTTTGATTTACAGATGCTTTCTTTCTTTCCCTTTCCCTTTTATTTTTTCTTTTCATTTACTTATTTTATTATTATTATTATTAGTATTATTTTTAGAGACTTACTCTAAAAAAATAGGGTCTCACTTTGTGCCCCAGGCTGCAATGGGACTACAGGTACATGCCACCATGCCTGGCTAAATTACAATTTTTTTTTTTTTTTTTGAAGAGACAGAGTGTCACTTTGTTGGCCAGGCTGGTCTTGAACTCCTGGCCTTAGTGATCATTCCATCTTGTCCTCCTAAAGTGCTAGGGATTACAGGTGTGAGCCACTGTACCTGGCCAAAGTTTTCACTTTTTAATATGGTGTATAAGGTATATAGAAGTGCTTTATTTATTTATTTATTTATGAGAGGGAGTCTTGCTCTGTTACCCAGGCTGGAGTGCAGTGGCATGATCTCGGCTCAGTGCAACCTCTGCCTCCTGGGTTCAACAATTCTCCTGCCTCTGCCTCTCGAGTAGGTGGGATTACAGGCGCCCACCACCATACCCGGCTAATGTTTGTATTTTTTAGTAGAGATGGCATTTCACCATGTTGGCCAGGCTGGTTTTGAACTTCTGACCTCAAGTGATCCACCCGCCTCAGTCTCCCAAAGTGCTGGGATTACAGGCATGAGCCACCATGCCCAGGAGAAGTGCTTTTAACTCCACAAGTGTTTAGGCTTTTTGGGTTATATTTGCTATTTTTACTTTTCTCCTTTTACTATATCAAAATGAGTCCTTTATAATTTCTGCCCTAGGGAATTCTAAAGATTTATCTTTGTGGTCTAATATAAAATCATTTTAAATGTATGCCATGAATGTAGTCAAGTATTGATAATAATGTAGTAATAGTAGCTTGCTCAGTCAGCACAAATTGTCAGGACACAGTGGTAATTTCTGCATGTGGATTATCTCCTGATTCTTAGAACAACATGAAACCAGGCTCATGAAAGATGAGTAATTATCCCAGGGTACTGTCTCCCTCACCTCCAATGTTGGGCCAGAGCTAGGTCCAAGACTTTGAATTCTAGAGTGTTAGACACCATCCTATGCAGCCTCCCACTGAGTAAGGGTGGTCACTGTTTGTAGGGTGTAGAGTTTGATAGATACGTCTGTTACTTTGACTTCATTAGTTTTATTTAGGATGCTTGAATGTATGAATGTATTGATTAATATATTCATTATTGCCTTCTCTCTGTGCTTGGAAGAGAAGAAAATTGAAGTTTACCACTACCATGGGTTTACTTTGCGTGCTTTGTTATTTGGTGTATAAAGATTCACACCTTAGATCTTTTGTAGGTCATATGGTGTTTAGTTTAAAGGGAATCTTTTTCTGAAGAGTTTAGCCTTGAATTCTGCTGAGATTTACATTGGCAATCCTGTTTGCATTTTGTTTGCCTTGGACAGCCATACTTTTATGCACTCCTTTCCTACTAATGTGTTTATTTTGCTTTTGATGTTGATATATTTGTTCAACCAACATTTTTAGATGCCCGAGTGCGCTCCAAGCACTGTCTAGGTGTCACAGTGGCGATCGGGATACAGCCCTGCCTTCATGGATCTTCTGGGCTGGTCGGGGAGACAGACAATAAACCAGTCAACGAATGAATAAGTAACTGCAAAATTTTAGTTCTGCTCTAATGTGGTAGCCATTCACTTCATGGGGGTCATTTAAATTAATTAAATTAATAGTAGCTTACTCATTCAGCATGTATTGTCAGACACAATGGTACTTTCTGCACATGGATTATCTCCTTTGATTCTTTTAACAACATGCGGTATGTATTGTTATCGGTCCTACTTATGAGGTAACCAGGACTAGGCACATGAAAGATGAGTAATTACCCCAGGGCACTGTCTCCCTCACCCTCAACTGTGGGAGTAATTTTTAAAAGAAAAGTTAAGGCGAGATGCAGTAGCTAACGCCTGTAATCCCAGCACTTTGGGAGGCTGAGGTGGGCAGATCAGTTGAGCTCAGGAGCTCAAGACCAGCCTGGACAACATGACGAAACCCCGTTTTTACTAAAAATACAAAAATTAGCCAGGTGTGGTGACACACACCTATAGTCCCGGCTATTTGGGAGGCTGAGTTGGGAGGATTACTTGAGCCCGGGAGGCATTGCAGTGAGCGGAGACTGCGCCACTGCTCTCTAGCTTGGATGACCCTGTCTCCCAAAAAAAAAAAAAAAATTAATTTGAATAAAATTTGTTGTTCCTCACTTGCATGTGTCATATATTATGTGCTTGATAGTCATGTGTCTAGTGGATACTGGATTGAACAGTGCAGATGTGGGACATTTGTCAGTGCACGAAGGTTTGGTAGACAGTGGTGCCTTAGATGCCGTCATGGAGATGGGTTGGTTCTGAGGTACAGTGTCAAGTCACTGGGGGCACCTGGAGTGGTGACCTGAGAAAACCTGAATTTTGAGAAGGAACCTGTACTGTGAGGGTGTTGTCTATGGGGCATGTGGTACTTGTATTTAGGATTTTGGTAAAAAGTGACTATTCATAAGCTATTTAAAGTTTCTATTTTAAAAGTATAGGGTTTTTAGGTAGTGTGTTTTCTCTTATTCTAATAATAATTGTTTTGGTCATATTAGGGAAAATAACTGACATGTTGTTAGATTTTTATTTTAGTTGATTAAATCTGGTAGCCATTATTTACTTTTATAGATTGAAAAATGGTTCAGTGTTTCAAAAGTATTTTTAGCTTGTCTTTGGAAAGAGATAGGCAGGTGCAGTGGCTCAGGCCTGTAATCTCAGCAGTTTGGGAGGCTGAGATAGGAGGATTGTTTGTTAGGAGTTCAAGGCCAGCCTGGGCATCATAACAAGACCCCATCTCTACAAAAAGTAAAAAAATTAGCTGAGCGTGGTGGTGCACGCCTGTAGTCCCAGCTACTTGGGGGGTTGTGGTGGTAGGATGGCTTTTCCAATTATCCTACAGATATTTTTCAAAATGATTACTTTTAACCTATAATCTTTTTATTTGGAGGTGGGATGCTAACTCTCCAATTGCCTAGGACTTCTTTAATTTGTATATGTTAAGAAATTTTAATGGGCAATTTAATAAGTGTTGAAATTTCTAAGAATTATTTCCGTATGTTAGAGTTGTGATAAAGCAGACCTTTTCCCGGTAGTACTTCTCTGAGTCTGATTTGTTTTCCCCCATGGGTGCCACATAGGTTTATTTATTTATTTATTTATTTATTTATTTATTTTGAGACAGAGTCTCACTTTGTCACCCAGGCTGGAGTGCACTGACGTGATCTCGGCTCACTGCAAGCGCCACCTCCCAGGTTCACGTCATTCTCCTGCCTCAGCCTCCCGAGTAGCTGGGACTACAGGTGCTTGCCACCACACCCAGCTAAGTTTTTTGTATTTTTCGTAGAGACAGGATTTCACTGGGTTAGCCAGGATGGTCTTGATCTCCTGACCTTGTGATCCGCCTGCCTCGGCTTCCCAAAGTGCTGGGATTACAGGCGTGAGCCACCATGCCTGGCCACACATGGGTTTACTTTAAGAAGGTAAAAAATAAAAGCTAAGGTACATACTGATTACCCCAGACAACATGCAGACATCACTCAATGAGTGCAGTTCTCATCAACTCACCATTTGTTTCAATTAGAAAAAATCTCTTCAAAACGAATTTTTCTGCATGAAATACCTTTTCAAATCACACTGTGATTTATTAATAGTGATTTATCAAATTCAGTTTTCTGCTGGACACTAAAGGAACACCTCATTAAGACTAGTGTTTATGGAAATAGTACAATATTTTAAACACTTTTAATTGTAAAAGTTTCTTTTAAACTTAACGCATACAGGTATGTTATTGTTCAGATATTTAGCACTTACATAGAAACTCACTGATCTACTAACAAGTAGAAAAGAGACCTTTAGCCAAATGCCTCTGTACTCAGAAATAAAATGATTAATTACTGTTTTGCTCTTTTCTCTGGTTAAGGCTTTTAAAAAATTTTATTTTTCCTTTTACTATTACACCATAACTTGTTTAAATTTTGTTGCTATTGCAGAATTGCCGCAGTCATTACAGTTCGTGTCTCCCTGTGTATATGAGGGAGAGATTCTCTGGGCTGTGTAGATGCCCAGAGAATGGGGAGTGTGGGCCTGACCTGTCACATTCAATTTTTGTTTCACAGTCTTACATCTAATGCTCTTCGTTGCATTATGTAACTAGCTGGGGTTAGTTTCCTCAGTACCTACTCTTCAGAGCCTGTTTTCTCTCCGTTTACAGATGGGCCAACGTTGCTTGGGTGGTTGGTTTACTGGCTTTTCACACAACTGAGCTCCAGGAAAATACACCTGTTGTTGAGGTAATGTCTTTTATGACTGAAATGTGATGAATGACAAGAAATACTGTTGTTGATTCCGTAATTTAGAACATGCGGCTTTCCTTGACCTTCACTTGATTTTTCTTTGTGGGATTGTGGAAATTGTTCGAAAACTATCACCTCAATAGACCTTTAGGCTTAAACATAGCGGCTCATTTACAATGTAGTCCATCATTAAAATGGCACAGCAGAGTTAACAAGGCTCGTGAACCCTACTCATCATTATTTCATTTGTTTTTGAATAAGACTTGTTCATTTCCCGTTTTCTTGTAGTCTGTCCAACATTTTGTTACAGCTAATGTATTTCCTAATTAAATCATAGCTTATAATTCAAAATTCAAATTCTTCTGGCTTTCAGTGTTTTCGTATGAAAGATTACTTTCTACCTATTCTGTTAATGTGTATTACACTTAATTGGTAATAGAGTTTTATCCCTTGAATTGGGAGAGGCTCAAGAGTCAGTGTAGGTGAAAAGAACCAAGACTTTTTAGGGGAAATAGCAAGAGGTCCTGAAGGAGGTTAAAAGGGGGTAAGGAGAGGGTATTTTGTAGAGCTGAAGCTGGTTGTGTGGTATTTGGGGCTTTAAGAGGAATTGGAACATTTTCTGTGTCTGTGTTGTCCACTATAGTAGCCAATTGGTATTTGGAGCCTTAAGAGGAATTGGAAACTTTCCTCTCTGTGCCGTTCACTGCAGTAGCCAATTGCTGGGATAGTATCCCAGCTGTCCTTATAGTGTCTGGGTGGAGATTAATATAATTTCACTGTATTTCCCTTGCTTACAATTCCATCTCTATTTCCTGCAAACTGTTGGATCTCTGAGCTACTAGTAAAATGCCACTAAGTCTAATTTTTTCCTTTTTTGGGGGGCCTAAAATAAATGAATTGTGACCTGTGTGATTACTGATGGTACCCAACTTGGTTCTCAGAGATGTGTCGAGTAGATTTTTATCTAAAAGATTGAGCATATAGGGCAGTATTACCAGGAAGATGAGAAGGCTTAGGATCTTAAAAATGGGGGTTCCTTCTGATGGCTCAGAGCAAAAGGTCTCCAGTGAGATGGAGTAGCTGTAGGAGATGGGAGAGAACATAAAGTCCAAGACAAAGTCCCAAGATTTTAGAGGATATTCCTGCATCGTCAGAGCAGGCATTTGTTGCTCAGGAGCTGAGAAGAAAGAGCCTCTGAATATGTAAAATATGACTGTTGAATTAAATGATTCAGTAGTTGCAGTAGAGTATGGATACTTTAGGAAGCTGAGTTAGTGAATTTGAAGATCAGTTGGATGAATTCTCTTAGGATTCAGAAAGAAAGAGGATAAAAATTATGAACTAAAAAGGCATGAATGATAGTTTCAGATTTGTTGCGCTATCTAGTATAGTAGCCACCAGCCACTGTAGCTATTGAGCGCTTCAAGATTGGCTAGTCTGAATTGAGATGACCAACTTATAGAAAAGAACACTATGGGCACCCTGTAATTTCCAAACCCCGTTGTTCTACTTGATCTTTTTCACAGCATATATCACCACCTGGCATTTTATGTATTTATTTCTCTTTCCACAGTAGACTACAAGCTCCATTGGAACAGGGATTGTGAATTGTCTTGTTCAACACTCCACCCCGGTGCCTAGACAGTGTCTTGTGTATATCTAGATACTGACAAATATTTTGAAATAAGTGAATGAAAGTGTATCAGTATGCTTGGGACTCCCTGTAGCAGTGCCTGGAAAATGGTATGTTTTGCTGCTGCAGGAATTCTCAAGGGACTGGGCAGAGGGCATGTGAAGTAACCTAGGACCTGCTGGTCACCCTGGGTGATGTGCTGCCCTCGTTCTACTGGTACTTGCTGTTGCGGCTGCTGCACTCCCACTTGGAGAGTTTGGCCCAGGAGTTCCTGAGCCATATTTGTTACTTGTGCTCACTCAGGTTGAGTTCTGTGGCCAGTTTGTATTCTCAAAGTATTTCTCCTACTCCAGTTGTTGTACTTTGTCAACGTTGTATTTTATTATTCCTGGTCCTGCCTCAACTGAGAGGAAAGGGTGGGTGTTAATTCCCGAGGTTCTTGTATCTTTGATTCCGGTACCGTTCTCTTCATGGGTGTTTGCTGATGCTTTATTAATTTGAAATGCAAGAACTTAGGGAAAATCATACTTATTTCATTTTAAAAAATGGTGTGTACTGAACTATCTGGTGGACTGTTTTGAATTACACACACTGTATTGTGAACTACATTTGGTTGGATAGTAGGGAGCTTATATAATAACTTGAAATTGAGCCAGGTGCTCCTTTGTGATGCCATCTTAATTTTGTTATTTCTCCACACCTTTTAGTTCTTTAGTTCATTACTTTTAATGGCAAAATCTGTGAATTTCTTTTGCATCAACCTAATTCCTGCTGTGAGCAATTGGCTGTGATAATTTAAGGAGCCACTAGAGGTCATTCAAACACTAGAAAAAAAGTTGTGCAAGTTTTAAGAATTTGTTTCAACTTCCAGAAGCAGGATCTGTAGAGGCTGAGCAGGTACATGGTACCATGTTTCATCTTTTTCCTGGTTTTTTAGAATTTTCTGCTACGGGATGTGTGGCTCCATTCCATTGGCGATTTTTACTATTTGAGAGGAATCAGATGAATGAAAACCATTATAGCCTCTCCAGAAAAATGCAGTCAGCACCTAGCACATGATTTCAGGGGATCTGAAAACCCTGCGGAATCCACTGGTGAATCTTTGGTTCATAACTCCTGAGACCAGGTTTCTGTAAAACTCGTAGTTGCGTGCTTGTAGATAATTTTTCAGTAATCAGTAACAAAATTTCAAGTGTAAGATAAATCCTGAATTCTCTATTAGGTTTACTATCAGGGAACAAGAAAAATTGTGGTTGAAGATCCTATAAGCACTTTATTTTAGTTTCTATTTTACTTATTTATTCATTTATTTTTTGAGACAGAGTCTCGCTCTGTTGCCCAGGCTGTAGTGCAGTGGTGTGATCTCAGCTCACTGCAACCTCTGCTTCCCGGGTTCAAGAGATTCTCAGCCTCAGCTTCATGAGTAGCTGGGATTGCAGGTTCATGCCACCATGTCCCACTAATTTTTGTGTTTTTACTAGAGATAGATTTTCACCATGTTGGCCAGGCTGGTCTTGAACACCTGGCCTCAAATGATCCACTTGCCTCGGCCTCCCAAAGTGCTGGGATTACAGGTGTGAGCCACTGCACCTGGCCCCTATAAGCATTTTAAAGGCATAGAACCTCATTTTGTTACTCACCTTTGTACCCCCCAGTGCCGAGCCAGCAAAGTAATGTGTATTTCAGGCACTCAGTCAAAGCTGAAGGGTTTAATGAATGATTAAAAGAATGTTAGAAGATTATGATGGTGTAATTTGTTACAAAGAGAAAGAAAAAATAAAGCAAAAATCTATTTTACTGTCCTTGTAATATAATTTAAGTCTCTTTTATCTTATTCTCTCATTAACAGCTATAGAAAATAACTGGTCATGATCTCCTTTATGCATTTAGAAGCCTTTATTGGCATCTGTATCTTTTTCACAGAAAAATATAACTATCTGAAGCTTATTTTCCTAGATAACACATTTACCACTGTGTAATCATTGTGGTTTCTATATGTAATTTAAATAAATATTTCTGTTATTAAGCCAATATATTTAGTTTGAAGCATGCAGTGGATATATTTTAGGAAATTAATACAGACTCATCAAATGCAATAACTGAAAGGAATTTTTTTTTTTTTTTTTTTTTTGGTGACCAAGCCTCACTGTGTCAGCCAGGCTGGAGTGCAGTGGCACGATCTTGGCTCACTGCAACCTCCGTCACCCAGGTTCAAGAAATTCTCCTGCCTCAGCCTCCCGAGTAGCCGGGATTACAGGCGTGCACTGCCATACCAAGCTAATTGTTTTTGTATTTTTAGTAGAGACAGGGTTTCACCATGTTGGCCAGGCTGATCTGGAACTCTTGACCTCAAATAATCCACCCATCTCAGCCTCCCAAAGTGCTGGGATTACAGGCGTGAGCCACCATGCCCAGCCAAAAGGAATATTAACAGACATTCTAGGTTAACCCTTTCATTAAATTTCTTTATTATCGGTTGGGCATGGTGACTCACGGGTGTAATCCCAGTACTTTGGGAGGCTGAGGTGGGAGGACGACTTGAACCTAGGAGTTTGAGACCAGCCTGGGCAACATAAAGAGACCTTGTCTCTAGAAAAAATAGAAATAGTCTGGCGTGGTGGTGCGGATCTGTGGTCCCAGCTACTCAGGAGGCTGAGACATGACCCTGGGAGGTTGAGGCTGCAGTGGGCTATTATCATGCTACTGCACTCCAGCTGGGTAACAGAGCAAGAGCGTCTGAAAATTTTTTTTTATTATAATGGAAAATGTCAACATACATAGAAGTAGAGAGACTACAATAATGAGGAAGCATCATTTGCTTCCAGCAGTCATCAACATTGGCTAATCTTGTTTCATCTATGTCTCCTGCTTTCATTCTCCCTCTCCCTTTTTCTCCCCCTCTCTCTCTCACTGGAGTATTTTAAATAAAATGATATCATTTTATTAGCAAATGTATTTTTCTAACAGAAAAAGATTAGAAAAATATATAACCACAATTTCATTATCACTCACAATACATTCAACAGTAGTCCTTGAATATCATCTAACACCCAGTTAGTGTTCAGATTTTCCTGATGGTTTCATACATGTCATTTTGTAATTTTTCTTTGAGCCAGGATTGTGTTTAGATAATGTGACCCTTAAGTGTCTTAATTCCTGGTCTCTTTTTTTAATGTCATTTATTTGTTACAAATTGTCCCTTGTCTTGGCCCAAATGGGAACATCAGAAGCTTTATTGCACCCTTTTGGTGTTATTTAACAGAGTCCTTTATCACCTGCCTTTCCCTTCTTGCACCTGGCTGCTTATATGTGGACCCTTGGTTCAGTGCTTTTTTGGGGGCATGGCTTAGGGAAATAGGAATTTTTCATAGTTGGTGCTGTATTTTTCCTATTGCTTCATAGAAAGTGAGACAACTAAGCATTATATACCTCTATTAGAGGGGTTAAAGTTGATCACTGGAGTCAGATGTTGTTGGCCTTATTATAAATATTCCCATCACTCTTTTTTTTCTTCATACCCTCATCTGTGAGCCAGGAACTCATCACTCTTTTATTTAATAGTTTTAACATCAATTGATTATTGTCTACATGTAATAATCCTTTAGAGATGCAAAATGATAATTTTCTTGTTCTGTAATTTCCTTTCTATTTGTAGTTGGAAGTTTTCTTACAGAAGAGCTTTCCCTGATCAACTGTTTGGTTATCCTAAAATAGAATTTGTTTCTCAAGGCAGGATAAATGCTTGATTGTTTCTCTTCATAGGTCAGTTTTCAGAATAAAGAGTTGGTACCATAGAAATCTCCATAAATGTCCAGTGAGTTGGTACCTTAGAAATCTCCATAAATGTCCAGTGAAATTGATTTTATATTCTTAAGAACTTATAGATGTATATATGTATATGTATATCATCTAGTCCTTTGCAGTCGTTAGTCTTTTTGATGCTTAAATTGTTTCATCTCCATCCAGTGGGAGCCATTCAAGTTTGCTCCTTTCTCCCGTTGACATGAGCCTACTCCTGTCTCTGATAGCTTGCTGGCTTCTCGGCAGTGAGCTTTCACAGGCTTGTTTTGGGAATAGTCAGCCCCTAGTTTTGAAACCACTTTTATAAGGAATCTCATTTACTTTTTGTTAGAAGATGTAGTTAGAGAACACAGTCTGGGTTCTCTAGGATTTTTTTCTTTTTCTTGTAGAGCTTTTCAGAGTTCAGATCTGGGTACTATTGTTTCTTAAAAAGAGAAAAATTCTGAGTTTATTGATACCTTTCCAATTCAGATTTTTTTATTGAGATGGAGTTTTGCTCTTGTTCCCCGGCTGGAGTACAATGGTGCGATCTCGGTTCACAGCAACCTCTGCCTTCGCAGTTCAAGTGATTCTCCTGCCTCAGCCACCCGAGTAGCTGGGATTACAGGCATGCAGCATCATGCCTGACTAATTTTGTATTTTTAGTAGAGACAGGGTTTCACCATGTTGGCCAGGCTGGTCTCAAACTCCTGACCTCAGGTGATTCGCCCGCCTTGGCCTCCCAAAGTGCTGGGATTACAGGTGTGAGCCACTGCACCTGGCCCCAATTCAGATTTAAAATTCATTTTTACCTCTTGATTTACAATTTTTATTTTTCTTCTCATAAGCTAAAAATCCTGGCTGGGCGCAGTGGCTCATGCCTGTAATCCCAGCACTTTGGGAGCCAAGGCAGGTGGATCACTTGAGCTCAGGAGTTCGAGACCAGCCTGGCCAACATGGCAAAATCCCATCTTTACTAAAAATATAAAAATTAGCTGAGCATGGTGGTGCACACCTGTAATCCTGGCTACTTGGGAGGCTGGGGCATGGGAATTGCTTGAACCCAGGAGGCAGAGGCTACTGGGATCACACTACTGAATTCCAGTCTTGGCAACAGAGTGAGACTGTCTCAAAAAAAAAAAAGAAAAAGAAAAAGCTTGACCATTAATAATATTAACATAATGATCTTTTTTTTTAGCTTAAAGTTTAGAATAGTTTAAAAATAGTAGTACACGTATTGTTACTAACAACAAAACTACAAAGAACATTGTAAGTACTTTTTTTCCCTGGTGATATAACCCACTGGATGATATATACAGTCAAAACAGTGAGTTTTAAAATCAATTGAAATAATTCTTCAGTTCGTACTTTTGTCACCAATATGATATATAGTTATATATGTTTCCATTATTTTTTAGATATTTAGGGATGACTTTGTACTTTCTTTCTGGTTTGAAAATTATAATTCTTTTTTACTGAAGTGTTAGAAATATACAGAAATATGTACAAAAGGTAAATGTACTGCTTCATGAATTATTGCCAAGTGTGAAAACCCAAGAAACTGCCACTGGGTCAAGAAACAGAACATTAAGTAGGACGTTGCCAGCATACCCGGGGACCCTCTTGTGCCCTCTCCTGATCACTGTTCTCTCCGTTTGCGCCAAAGGAAGTTACCATAACTTCCAACTCTATGATGATTTTGCCTGCTTTTGAATTTTATTTAAATTGAGTCATATGATATGTATACTTTGGTATCTGGCTTCTCTTATTTCATATTATGTTTATGGAATCATCCTTGTTGCAGGTACCTGTAGTTCATTTTTAGTGCATGAGTATACTACATCACTGGCGATGGGCATTTGGATTGTTTTCTGTATTTGGCTATTATAAACCTTGCAAACACATTTTGATGCACTTGCGCAAGCTCTCTGTTGGGTATGTGTAGGAATAAAATTGGTAGGTTATAGGATATGTGGGTGTTCAACTTTAGGGGGTAATCTAAACTGTTTTCCAAAAAGGTTGTAGAAGTTAAAATGCTTTGACTAATGAAAGAATGCTCAGTGCTCTGTATTCTCATTAATGCTTGGTGTTGGCATAAATCATGTTAAATAAGTATTTACCAGTTTCCTCTTTGTTTTTAACATTAATGGTTATTGAGTTTGGTATGGCATCTGAAGATATGAGTATAGAATTTTTCTTCCCATCTCTATTAATAGGTGGATTATATTAATGGAATTCCTAAAAATAAATCACCTTTGCATCTTCAGAAGAAACAACTTGGTGCTCTCTATAATTCACTTTTGGAGTCTCTTTCCTAATGTTTTTTTCTAGGATTATTCCTCTATTTTTTCTAGCCACATTACATTGACTCTTGGAGAGCCCAGGCTGTTTGTCCTGTAGAATGTTCCACATTGCAGATTTGTCTACTTGCTTTTTCTTGGTATTGCTAACTTATTCCTCTAGTCCACACATTCCCTATAAACTGTAAGTTAGGTCTGGAAGCTTCATTAGATTTGGGTTAAACCTTTTTTTTTTTTTTTTTTTTTTTTGATAAGAACATATCGTAGGTGATATTGGGTACTTCATATTTCAACTCATCAGGAAGCATGCAGTGTCAAGTTTTATTAGTTGTGCCTACTTTGACCATTTGATTAAAGTGGTGCTGCCAGAGAGCTCCATAGTAAAGGTACATCTTTTCCTTTGCAGTGCCACTTTACCTTTCACGTGATATATGCAATAAGAACATAATATTAAAAATCATGTAGATTATAACTGCTGTTTTAACATTTTTCTAAAATAAAACATACAATTTTAGTTCAGGAAATGTTAATCATTATATTGTCATTAATCGCCATTGCATTTTCTCTTTTTTTCAACAGATTATTACTATTTTTATTTTTGAGATGGAGTCTTATTGTGTTGTTCAGGCTGGACTACAATGGCACAATCATAGCTCACTACTTGGGCTTAAGCTATCTTCCCACCTCAGCCTCCTAAGTAGCTAGTACTACAGGTGTGTGCCACCATGCCCAGCTGTTTTCGTTTGTTCTTTTTTTTTGTAGAGATGTAGTCTTCCTATGTTGCCCAGGCTGGTCTTTTTAGTTTTAAAAAAATCATTTTAGCCTAGCTTTATTGAATGCTTACTGTGTACCAGGTGCCAGGCTGGTCTTAAACTCCCGGGTTCAAGTTATCCATCCATCTGAGCCTCCCAAAGAGTTGGGATTACAGGCATGAGCCATCACACCTGGCCTCAACAGATTATTAATTCACTATCACCATGATTGTTTTTGAAATTAATCTAATTTAATTTTTGTTTTTTGAGGTAGGGTCTTGCTCTGTTGTCCAGAGTGCAGTAGCATGATCATGGCTCACTGCAACTTCACACTCCTGGGCTCAACTGACCCTCCCACCTCAGCCTTCCTAGTAGCTGGGACTACAGGTACATGCCACCATGCCTGGCTAATCTTTTAATTTTTACTTTTAGTAGAGATGGTGTCTCGTATTATTTCCCAGGCTGGTCTCTAACTTCTGGTGACAAGCAATCCACCTGCCTCAGCCTTCCAAAGTGCTGGGATTACAGGCATGAGCCACTGCACCTGACCTCTAATTAATTAATTGATATATTTTTAATGTTTATTTTTTATTTCAATAGCTTTTGGAGTATGAGTGGTTTTTGATTACATGGATGAGTTGTACAACAGTGAAGTCTGAGATTTTAGTGCACTGGTCACCCGAGTAGTGTAGATTGTGCTCAATATGTAGTTTTTTTAATCCCTCTCTCCTCCCTCACTTGTGAGTCTCCAGTGTCCATTATACCACTCCGTATGCCTTTGCATACCCATAGCTTAGCTCCCACTTATAACTGGGAACATAAGATATTTGGATTTCTGTTCCTGAGTTACTTCCTTAGAATAATGCTGGCCTCTAATTTAATTTGAAAAATTTATTTTGCATTCTATGTCCTCATGTTTTTTGTGGGATAATCACATTTTATGATTTAGTTCTTTAAAAGAGTGAAATATCATAAGAATTATTGACTTAAGTATATTGGTACTGTGTTCTTTAGCTTTCTACTGAATTGGTTATAGAATTGAATTTTATGTTAAAAGTGGGTATATGGTGATTGGAAGCATTATTTAACTTAGTTCTTTCTGAAAGTTCTGTGCCTTTGGAAACTCTAAACATAGCATATGATGAATCTGTTTCAAAGGCTGTGAGATTGTGTGCTCCACTTTGGGCTCTTGCTCCATATTAAGATGCACAATTGCACTACTTTCTCTTCTCTGTCTCCTAGCTTGAGTAGTATTGCTTTTCATTTCTAGAACAACTACACGGTGTCAGTTCTGTCATTGTCCTTATTTTCTATAGTCCTCATTTTTAATTTATAATCTTTTTTAAGAACAAACAGCACTTGTTGCACTTTCTGAGATGTATGAATTATATATACATATACATGGACTTATTTTTCCCTATAGTTTTTCCATGTAGCATTTATGATTTTGTAAATATTCTAATTATAAAAATAACATGTGGTCTTCTAATTATGGCAATTTAGCTATTGAAATAATCTTGCAAATTATGTGTGATCCTCCCACATCAAAAGAAAAAAAATACAAAAACAAACGTAGAGGGTGGACTCAGTGGCTCACACCTGTAATCCCAGCACTTTGGGAGGCCGAGGCAAGTAGATCAACTGAGGTGAGGAGTTTGAGACCAGCCTGACCAATACGGTGAAACCCTGTCTCTACTAAAAATACAAAAATTAGCTGGACATGGTGGCATGTGCCTGTAGTCCCAGCTACTCAGGAGGCTGAGACAGGAGAATTGCTTGAACCTGGGAGGCAGAGGTTGTGGTGAGCCGAGATCACAACACTTCACTCCAGCCTGGGTGACAGAGTGAAACTCCATCTCAAAAACAAAAAACACAAAACAAACAAACCTAAAAATGCAAGGTAAAATGTAACAAGAAGACTTTGGAATACACGTGGGAATGAACAAGAAAGTGAGGGAAATTTTCAAAAGTCAGAAATGGGGGCAACTAAAATCCTGAACTGGTAACACTTTAAGGCTGCCTGGGACAAGATGAGGTGGTAGTTATTGCTGTTGTATAATAGTTTTGAGGTTTGATACAATTTAAGAATAGAAGATGAGGTCAGAGGTTTGCCTGAAGCAGTTAGGTGGAGCTAAGAGCCTTGAAGAGCTATCAATAAAATGGGGAATTTGGAAAAAAAAAAAAAAAAAGGCAACTCACTTACCTACACAGAGAGATAACAAAGAAGTTTGTTTGTTTGTTTACTTATTTATTGAAGACTGAGTCTTGCCCTGTTGCCCAGGCCGGAGTGCAGTGGTGCAATCTTGGCTCACTGCAACCTCTGCCTCCTGGGTTCAAGCAGTTCTCTGCTTCAGCCTCCCGAGTAGCTGGGATTACAGGCATCTACCACCACACCCGTCTAATTTTTGTATTTTTAGTAGATACAGGGTTTCACTATCTTGGCCAGGCTGGTCTTAAACTCCTGACCTTGTGATCCACTCGCCTTGGCTTCCCAAAGTGCTGGGATTACAGACATGAGCCATGGCGCCCAGCCAAAGTTTGTTGATTTTTATCTTCAGCTCTAGAAAGAGGGAAAAAAAGTCTTCCATATAAATTTTCAACTGCAGTTTTTTGTTTTCAATTTTCATCATGTTTTGAGGTATGAATTTATACTTCTCCCAAACTGGGAAATTAACATAACAGCCACACCTGGGCTTCTGGTTCTGGTAAAGGTCGAGGAGCTGTATTGGGCTTACCCTCTTGCCAATAATAATAATAAAAGATCTGGATGGAATATAAAAACAAAAATAGGTAGAAACTGGAGGCAACACACTACTTGAAACAAGGGAAGTGACCTGGCTGAGCTGTACATTTAACTGGTTTATCCTGCAGATGTGCTAGGTTCACACCAAGGGAATAGAGTTTAGGCAGGAAGTGACTTCTTCCTGGGGCAAGGAACTGAGGTTGGAATTTGGCCCTGCTGGGAAAGAGTGGTGGAGAATGAGTAGGGAAAAATCATAGTGACAGCAGAGTCACAAAATATGTGTACAAGTTCCTCTACAGTCATTGGCTATCTTTGACGTTGTGCCTGTGCTGAACGACACCCTGTGGAAGCCAGCAGAAAGCAGCAGCTGTGAGGTTAAAGAGTTGAGCAGAAATTCCAGCAGTTGCTTGAGCTAGGGAGATAGAGTTTGGAGGTGAAGTCTCACCAAGTTAAGAGGGGCTTGGTAAACACCTTGAACTTTCCATTGAAATGTGAGAAGGGCCATGCCACACCTTAGGACTAAGAATCATGTACTGGGACTAAGGGCTACATCCTAGGGCTAAAGGAAAAACAAGAAAAGACTGGTACTAACAAAAGCAAAAAGAAGCCTTCACAGGATTGAGGTGACTGGCCAGACGCTACTTGCCAGAACACACAACTCAGTGCTCTGTGGAGGAAAATAAGGTTATCGAGAGTCTTTAGTATATATTATCCTGAAGGTTCAGAGGAGAAACACTTGGTGACTGTGACTTAGATAAAGAGATTTTAGACTTAACACCAAGAGCATCATCTAGAAAAGAAAAAAGTTAATAAAAGTTAATAAATTGGACTTCATCAAAATTAAAAACATTTGCTCCACCAAAGACCCTGTTGAAATGGTGAAAAGACAAGCTAGACACATGGACTAAATATTTACAAGCTACATATCTGACAAAGGACTCATATCTGGAGTATGTCTCAAACCTCAATGCAAAAAACATTCAATTAGAAAATGGGCAGAAGACATGAGAAACATTTTACCAAAGAGGCTATATGAATAGCAGATGAGTACATGAGAATATACTTGTCATTGTTATCTGTTAAAGAAAAGCAAACTAATTCTGCAACTATACACCTATTAAAACAATATAATAGTGGCAGTACCAAGTGCTGTCAAGGATGCTGAAAAACTAGCTCTGTACATTGCTAATGGGAGTGTAAAATCGTACAACTACTCTGGAAACATTTTGGCCATTTGGTAAACTAAACATTTACTTACCATATTTTAACTCCATATTACATATCCATATGAATAACATATTAAATATTCACTTTGAGCTTTTTTTCAGAGGTATGAAATCTTATGTTCATGCAAATATCTATATATGACTATTCATACTAGCTTTATTTGTAATAAACTGAAACTGGAAACACTAGAATGTCACCCAGTTTGTGAATGATTAAACAAACTGTGTTATATCCTTAGAATGGAATACTCCTTAGTAAAGTGAAATGAACTATTGATACCCAACAACTTGGATGGTTTTTAAGGGCATTAGGTGAGTGAAATGTCATATTAATATACCATTCTTGAAATGACAGTGTGAGGAAACAGATCAGTGTGTATTAGTCCATTCTTATGCCGCTATGAAGAAATACCCAAGACTGGGTAATTTATAGGGAAAAGAGATTTAATTGACTCACAGTTCCACGTGGCTGGGGAGGCCTCAGGAAACTTACAATCATGGCAGATGGCACTTCTTCACATGGCGGGAGGAGAGAATGAGTGCCGAGTGGAGGGGGAAGCCCCTTATAAAACCATCAGATCTTGTAAGAACTTACTATTGTGAAAACAGCATGAGGGAAACCGCCCCCATGATTCAGTTATCTCCACCTGGTCCCACCCTTGACATGTGGGGATTATTACGATTCAGGGTGAGCTTTGGGTGGGGACACAGAGCCAAACTATATCACAGTGGTTGCCAGGGGTTAGGGATATTGGGGGAAGAGGGAGAGTTTGAGTGCATAAGGATTACATGAGGGAGATCTTCATCATGATTGATTGGTTCTGTACTTTGATTGCAGAGGTGGTTGTGTGAATCTACACATGTGGTAAAGTGATGTAGAATTATATATGCACATTGTACCAATGGCAGACTTTTGGCTTTGATATTGTTCTATAATTATGTAAGATGTTACCATTATGGGAAACTGGAGGAAGGGCATATGGGACTTCTTTGTACTGCTTTTTCTATTCCCTGTGAGTTTATAATTATTTTATAATAAAAGTTCAAAAACACTTATTGGATGGACATCACAGAACATAATAGAAAAAAGAATCAGTGAATTATAGGTCTGTTTAATAGAAATGACTCAAACTGACACACAAAGCAAAAAGAATGAAGAAAACAGAACACAGTGTCTGAGACTTTGTGGAATAATATTATATAAAATTATCTAACAGTCACATGATTTGACCCTCAGAAGGAGATGAAAGAATGAGATAGAAGGAATATTTGAAGGAATAATTGTTGAAAATGTTTCCAAATTGATGATAATGTCAGCTCACATTCCCAAGAATCACATTGAACCCTGACCAAGATAAACCAAAGAGGACTACATCTAGGCTCATCATAGTCAAACTGCTTAAAATCAAAACTAAAGAGAAAAATCCTAAAAGCAATTAGAGAAATCCTATATAGTCCATGTTGGGAAACAGTTACATCAATGTGTGCTGACTTCTCATTTGAAACCATAGATGCCATTAGACAGTGGAACAATATTTTTAAAGTGTTCAAAGAAAAAAATTGCTATCCCAGAATTCTGTATTTTGCCAAAATACTCTCAAAAATAAAAAGGAAATAAAGAAAAAAATGGGTAAATTAGTCTCCAAACTGAGAGAATTTGACTCAAAATGTTAAAATGAGTTTTTCATGTTAAATGAGCAAATATAAACCTGGGTTTACAAGAATAACTGAAGAGTACTATAGTGGTAAATATGTTGGAAAATAAACAATTTTTCATAACTTGTTAAATCTATTGATTAAGGCCAGAAAAATGTATTGTGTGTTTTATAACATAAGTAGAAGTAAAATATATGACAGCAATTGTATAAAGGGTTGGAGGAACATATGCAGAAGTGTTTAATGTGAATTTTATTGTATCCCTATACTTTATGTGTATATTGTTTTATGTATATATTGTATGTGTTTTTTTTTTTTTTTTTTTTTTTTTTTTGAGAGAGCACACTCGGTTACCCAGGCTGGAGTGTGGTGGCATGATCTTGGCTCACTGCACCTCTGTCTCCTGGGTTCAAGTGATTCTTGTGCCTCAACCTCCTGAATAACTGGGATTACAGGTGTGTGCTACCATGCCCGGCTAATTTTTAATTTTATTTTTTAGTAGAGGTGGGGTTTCATCCTGTTGGCCAGGCTGGTCCTGAACTCCGGCCTCAGGTGATTCATCTGCCTTAGCCTCCCAAAGTGCTGGGATTATAGGCACCAGCCACCATGCCCTGTATAGCCCATAATACAATATTATGAGCTAATACTGTGTATGTACTTACATGTATGTGAAATAGTATAATGTTGATTAAAGGTTACTTCTGATAATTTATGCATACTATTATAATTGGAAGACTATCCAGAAAAAAAAAAAACACTAAAAAACAAGAGTAATTACTAAATAGTGAGTAGAAGAGATAAAAAGGAAAACTTGGCTAATCATAGTGCGGTGGTGTTTACACCTGATTGCAACTAGTTACAGATTTGTTTCTTCTCCACTCCCACTGCTTCACTTGACTAGCCTTAAAAAAAAAAAAAAAATATATAAATTAACATTTAATCAGGAATAAGTCAGGAAAGGAGGAATAAAGAAAGAAAGATAAAATAGGGCAAATAGCAAATGACAAGATGATACACTTAAACCTCACCATATTAATAACTGTTAAATATGAGTAGCCTAAATATTCCCATCAAAAGGCAGAGATTGTCATACTAGATTGGGGAAAAAAAAAGACCTAGGCTGGTGCAGTGGCTCACACCTGTAATCCCAGCACTTTGGGAGGCCAAGGTGGGTGGATCACTTGAGGTCAGGACTTCAAGACAACCCTGACCAACATGGCAAAACCTGTCTCTACTAAAAAAAAAAAAAAAAAAATTACAGCTGGGTTCGGTGGCTCATGCCTGTAATCCCAGCACTTTGGGAGCCCAAGGCGGGCGGATCACAAGGTCAGGAGATCGAGACCAACCTGGCTAACATGGTGAAACCCCGTCTCTACTACAAATACAAAAAATCAGACGGGCGTGGTGGCAGGCGCCTGTAGTCTCGGCTACTCGGGAGGCTGAGGCAGGAGAATGGCGTGAATCTGGGAGGTGGAGCTTGCAGTGAGCCTAGATCGCGCCACTGCACTCCAGCCTGGGCGACAGAGCAAGACTCTGTCTCAAAAAGAACCAGAAAAACAAAACAAGAAAAAATTAGGTGGGCATGGTGGTGCACGCCTCTGTAATCCCAGCTACTTGGGAGGCTGAGGCAGGAGAATGGCTTGAACCCTGGAGGCAGGTGAGCTGAGATCCCACTACTGCACTCCAGCCTGGGTGACAGAGAGAGACTCCATCTCAAAAAAAAAAAAAAACCCAAAAAAACAAAACAAACAAGAAAAAATTAGGTGGGCATGGTGGTGCACGCCTCTGTAATCCCAGCTACTTGGGAGGCTGAAGCAAGAGAATGGCTTGAACCCTGGAGGCAGGTGAGCTGAGATCCCACTACTGCACTCCAGCCTGGGTGACAGAGAGAGACTCCATCTCAAAAAAAACAAAACCCAAAAAAACAAAACAAACAAGAAAAAATTAGGTGGTCATGGTGGTGCACGCCTCTGTAATCCCAGCTACTTGGGAGGCTGAGGCAGGAGAATGGCTTGAACCCTAGAGGCAGGTGAGCCGAGATCCCACTACTGCACTCCAGCCTGAGCGACAGAGTGAGACTCTGTCTCAAAAAGAAAAAAAAAAAAGAAGAAGGACTAGCTGTATACAGTTTCTATGAGACATAGTTTAAATAGGAGGTTAGACCTATAAAATAGAAGGAAGATATACCATGGAAACACTAGCAACAAGAAAGCTTGAGTAGCTATATTAATAACAAAGTAAAAATTAAGGGAGTATTACTAGAGATAAAAACAGTTCATAATAATGAAAGTTTCAGTTCATTAGGAAGCATTAACAATCCTTATTTTGTCTGTGTAAAATGAGACTACTTTAAAATATATGAAGGAAAAATTGACAGAACTAAAAGGAGAACTTGATAATGACAAATTCATTATTGTTGGATATTTTTAAAATAAGTAGATAAAAATTCTGTGAAAACATGGAAGATTTGAATGATATTAATAAAATTGAAAAAATTAACATTTATAGAATGCTAATTCCCACAATTGTGCAATACCTTTATTTTGAAACCACACTGAATAGTCACTGAAACAGACCATACTCTTGGCCACAAAACATATCTTTGTAACAAAGTATTGAAATTGTTTAGAATATGTTCTCTGACCATGATTGAATTAAATTAGAAATGTCTTAACAAGAAGAAATCTAGAAAATCCCCCAAATGTTGGGAAATTAAGAAAAATACTTGTAACTCATGGGTCAATAAAATCTCACAAATTTTTAGAAAATATTTAAAACTGAATAACAAGGGAAACCCAACACCTCACCATGTTTGTGATTCTGCTAACGTGGGAGTAAGAGTGAAATAATTCATAGCCGAAATGCTCAGATTAGAGCAGTCGTTCTGAAAACTCTGAGGATCACAATTGCCCAGACGGTTTTTGCTAAAACAAAGATTGTCACACCGAGCGTGGCGACTCATGCTTGTAATCCCAGCACTTTGGGAGGTTGAGGTGGGCAGGTCACTTGAGGCCAGGAGCTTGAGACCAGCCTGATCAAGGGTGTTTTAGTAGAAACTCTGTCTTCTAAAAATACAAAAATTATCTGGGCATGGTGGTACACACCTGTAATCCCAGCTACTTGCAAGGCTGAGGCATAAGAATCGATTGAACCTGTGAGGTGGAGTTAGCAGTGAGCCAGGATCTTGTCATGCACTCCAGCCTGGGTGACACCTTGCCCCCAAAAAACAATAGCCTCAGCCAGTCTCCTGAAAAAAAGCTCTTTAACAGCATCTTAGTTTGCCACAGTGGGCTCCGGAGGCCGAGTTTCAGTCCTGACTCATAATCCTGGGGACGTGCAAACCTGGCCAAGTTGGTGATGTATCAGCACTCCATTTCCTTACATCTTAACTCAGTGGATTGCTGTGAGGGTGAACTGAGACAAACACAAAGGGCTGAGAACAGAGCCCAGCTCAGAGCAAATCTAGCCAGATGACACTGACATCTGTCACCATTACCTCCCCTGAGTTTGGTCAACTCTGGCTCTTTCTGACCCTCCACCAACACCCCCTCCTCTACCAGACTCACCGTGGGCCCCACTCACTATCTGGACAACTATAGGATTTGTGAATAAGCTGTTTCTTCTGCCTGGGTGTTCTTTCCACCCTCTACCTCCTCTACCCCAACATTCACATCCTGCTGCTCAGCCTGACTAATTCCTATTGGTCCTTCAGAGTTCAACTTAAACGCTTTTTCCTCTAGGAAGCACCCCCTGGCTGCCTAGACCAGGTCAGCCCTCTGGCTCTCTATCCTGAGCATGCCTGTGGCTCTATTAGGGAACAGAGATTACATCTGTCTTGTTCACCACTGTCTCTTCAGTGCCTAGCATGGCACAGGGCCATAATACCCCACAAATATCTGCTGAATGAATGAAGTCATGGCTGGAACTGTCACCATGGGGTCAACTATAGGCAGGATGCTGTCTGAGTGCTCTCAGATGGCAAGTTTGTCGGAAAAAGAATTCAAGACTCAAGTCTTAGCCACATAACGGGGAAATACAATCAGCAGTCAAGAGAAAGAGGAGACCCAACCAGCCATCCAAAACAAGAGTGTTCAGAGGATGCCTGAAAGCTACAGGTATGGAGACAGGACAAGCTAGAGAAGCTGATCATGTTTCAGCAGGGGCAGGTGAAACACGTTAATATAAAAAATGTCAATTTTTTCAAAATTAACCCAAAGCTGGAATGCACTGTCAATCAGAGTTCTAATATTGCATTTCGGGGAATTGGATACAATTATTTTGAAGAATGAACAAAAGAACTGATAAGAATAGTAGTAGTACACCAACAACAGTCAAACCAAGAGCTAAATCAGGAACCTACTCCCATTCACAATTGTCACGAAAAGAATAAAATACCGAGGAATACAGCTAACCAGGGAGGTTAAAAATCTCTACAAGGAAAAATGCAAAACACTGCTCAAAGAACTCAAAGGTGACACAAACAAATGGAGAAACATTTCATGCTCATGGATAGGAAGAATCAATATGATTAAAGTGGCCATACTGCCCAGAGCAATTTATAAATTCAATGCTATTCCTATTAAACTACCATTGAGATTCTTCATAGAACTAGAAAAAACTATCTTAAATTTCATATGGAACCAAAAAAGAGCCTGAATAGCCAAGGTAATCATAAGCAAAAAGAACAAAGCTGGAGGCATCATGCTACCTAACTTCAAACTATATTACAGGGCTACGGTAGCCAAAACAGCATGGTACTGGTACAAAAACAGATACATAGACCAATGGTACACAATAGAGAGCCCAGAAATAGGACCGCACACCTTCAACCATTTAATCTTTGACAAACCTGACAAAAACAAGGAACGTGTAAAAGACTCTCTATTTAATAAGTGGTGCTGGGATAACTGGCTAGCCATGTATGGAAGATTGAAACTGAACCCCTTCCTTCCACCATATACAAAAATCAACTCAAGATGGATTAAAGACTTAAATGTAAAACCCAAAACTATAAAAGCTCTGGAAGATAACCTAGGCAATACCATCCTGGACATAGGTACAGGCAGAGATTTCATGATGAAGATGCCAAAAGCAATTGCAACAAAAGCAAAAATTGACAAATGGGATCTAATTAAAGAGCTTCTGCACAGCAAAAGAAACACCAACAGAGTAAACAGACAGCCTATAGGATGGGAGAAAATTTCAGCAAACTGTGCATCTAACAAAGGTGTAATATCCAGCATCTATAAGGAACTCAAACAAATTTACAAGAAAAATTATGAGCTAATATTGTATATGTGCTTACACGTATGTGAAATAGTATAATGTTGATTAAAGTTTACCTCTGATAATTTATGCATACTATTATAATTGGAAGACTATCCAAAAAAAAAAAAAAAACAACTGAAAAACGACAGTAATTACTAAATAGTGAGTAGAAGAGATGAAAAGGAATACTTGGCTAATCATAGGGTGGATGGAGAGATCAACGTTTCAAATGAACAGTAACTACAACATGTGGTATTCCTGCCTGGGCTGGTACTGTGGAAGAAACTGGAAAGCCTAGAACAGGCCTTGGACTATGTAGGAACTTGTACAAAATAGAGGCAGCCTTGTAAATCAGCACAAGCTCTGCTGTGGGAAGGTTGGGAAAGGTGGGGATATGAGGTGAGGTTGAGAGATGAGCCACTCGGAGTATGGGATACCAGGCTGAGAATGGATGCATGGCCAAGTTCTTGTGCTGGACATGATGGGGTGATGGATTTGAGACCTGGTAGGGGAGAGAGTCTCTTAGGGGAGAATGAGCGCTTGGAGCTAGCACCTGCTCCCACATGGCCCATGGCCCTGGTCCAAAGCCTCCTGTCTCCCTCTCAGTCAGCCTCACCTCTCTGATTAGGAGTCAAAATAGGGAGATGTAAGTGAAGATTTCAGACGTTTCCATGTATCGTAATAGGACATAGTGAAGCAGGCCGCATGTGTTTTTCTGTTACTATTTTTGCTGTTTTCCCTCTCTAATTCAGGTGGATTTTCCTAGAAATTGACCTATGCAGGAACAACCTTCCCATTGAACACTGTTGACAAAAAGAACCGTGGCAATGCCATCGTCACTTCTAACATTGAGAACTCCTCTAGAATGTGCTCTTGGCTGATAGGTGCAGTGGATCATTGCAGCCATTGGAGCCCACATGAAGTTACTGATGACTGAAGTGTCCTGTGAGAGCAATGTTCTCAAGGGCATATTTCTTAAGGAATATACGTCTTGGGAAAGGGTCTAGTTTAGGTTCTGATTCTTGCTTCGCAAAATGATTTGTTGAAGACAGGTTGCTAATGGGGTACAATAACATTCTGTTCGTAGTGTTTACATTTTCTGTTTGATGTGATCAAGCTTAGATCTCCCTTTCCTTTTTTCCTTCCTTCCTTTCTTCTTAGCTACACTGTTCAAGGGATTTTTTTTTAATTATGAAATTTGCTCCAGTCTTACTACTTAAGTGGGAAAAATGCAAACACTATTTCACAAAGTGTGTATGTGTGTGTGTGTGTGTGTGTGTGTGTGTGTGTTGATGTCTTCAAGGAGCTTTTTTATATTAGGTAATAATGGTTGTTGATTCAATAGTGAAATTCAGGAGACAGAGACAATGCTTAAATTCAGTTTCAAGAGTCCAGAGTCATGTAGGAACTATCCAGGAATTAAGCGATGTGTACTAGAGAGGTATTAGTCAGGGCTAGAGATTTAAATTTGGAAGACCCTAGTGCTTAAATATTTAAGGCCCGATACGGAATAAGATTACAAAGGAGGAAAGTGTAGATAGAGAAGAAAAAGGAGCTCAACACGGAGTCCTGGGTGCTTGAATATTCATAGGTTAAGAAAAGCAGAACCGAAAAAAACTCTGTCTAGCTCAGGGTTGAGGACTACATTAGAATTATAAATCTGAGAGTGATCAATATAGAGATATTTGAGTCCAAGGGAATGAATGAAGGTACTTTCAATTAGTTTAAGTTAGATACAGTAACACATAGCCCCCAGATCTCGGCAGCTCAAACCACAAAGGTTTATTTTCTGCTCCTGGTGCACAGGGAAGTCAGGGCTTGCTACATGCCATTCTCCTCCAGGCTGATGGAGCACTGCCATCAGGAGGTCACCAGGCTTAGGGGCAGGAGGAAGAGAAGGACTGGAGAGGTAAGCACTGGCAATTAAATGCATCCACTTAAAATGACACCTGCCACTTATATTTCATTGGTCAAAGCAAGTTACAGATCCACGTGTATCTTTGGGGAGGCCAGGAGCTGCAATTCTTCTGAGAGCCCAGAAGCAGAAGAAAAGTGGATATTAGTGAACAGTTTTAATGCCAACCACAGTCTACCCTTTTGGTCACCGAATATTTGATTCAGTCTTTTTGGTACACAAATATCAAAGGTAGTGGGAGACATCCTAAAGTCTCATCAGCCTCAAAGTCACGGGCTTCTGCGTGATGCCCAGTGGTCTCTTTGTAAGATGCAGATATAGCTTCTTTGAGTCTGGAGACCCATGGGCTAAATAAAAGAACAAGTTAGCTGATACCACACAACCATACAGTCACACCCACACAACAACATGCAGTAGTAGAACAGGAACGGAATAACTGGAGACAGGTGACTGTCAATGGCCATAGAAACCCTGAAATTCCACTGGGCAGAGGCTGTGAGGTCCCATCACCCTTGGTCGTTCAGTTTCCCAGCAGGGCAGGGGCTTCACCGTTTCCTACTCTCCTGGCCTTGGCCCCTCTTTGGAGCATAGGGCACTAAAGAGACCGTGGCATCCTTGCAAGGTGGCAGCTTTCTCAGCCTGCTTCCTACCTGTAGTCATGGGGGATCTCTGGGCTCATTTTGTGTCTGGAGCAGTCCCAGGTCTCTGCTACATGAGGCTTCCGATCCCTCTGCCCCGCAATCGCTCATAGCACAGAGGCTTGGAATCTGGTGGTTCCTTATCAGCTGCAGGTGCCAGTTGCCATCCACATTCCTCTTGGAGATTTCAGATAAGTGGCATTTCTTTGCTTTCGTGCCCCCAACCCCTGCCCCCTCTTGACTTAATTGTAGCTGGCTTCAGCAGGAGGACCTACCCTTAAGCTCTTTTCCCTAAAACATCATGTCTAGTTTTTCCACTGTGTGTGAGTCAGCCTTCGAACAACCATAATCCAGGGAACATGCCTTCAGGTAAAGGCTGGATGGTCCTTTCACATTGGTTTCAGGACCCCAGCACTCCTGCCCTTGTATTCTGACTGTGAAAGATGCGATCTCAGGTGTGTGAGAGCAACTGCATGGCTCAGCTTCTATGTATGCTCCCATTCTGTGAGTAGCAGAAACAATCCCAGTTCCTTGAAGCCCCACTCCAGCTTCTATCACCCATTCCTATCTCCTTAGGATTGCATCAAAGGCATATTGTGTATGATAAATGTGGTATTTCAAATCAGTGATGAAGGACAGATCATGTAACTGTGTAGCAACACTTGGTCATCCATGTGAAAGCAATTCACTAGGGAAACCCTTTACCATTTGCAAATGTTACTTCCAGATGTATTAAAGTGTGAACGTTTAGGAGAAAAATAACCCCAAGAACTATTACAAGGAGATATCAGAGAATAGTATTTATTTTACGGGAAGAATTTTCTAAGCAAACCCAAAACCCCACAAGCCATAGAAGAGAAACAGCACAGATTTTATTTCATTAAATTTTCAACTTCTGTAGGGAAAATCATTTTTTAATATGAAAAGACAAGCCACCAGTGATAATATAATGCCCTTAATACACAGAGTGCCTCAGATCAATAAGAAAAATGAGCAAGTAAAATTAATCAGGAAATATATACATAGGCAGTTCACCAAAGAAGAAATATAAATAGCCCATAAACATGTGAAAAGTTAACCAGCTCCGTGAGTAGAGGAGAGCCAATTAACAACAACAACAAAACTCTGAGGTACCACGTTTTACTTACTATGTTGGTAAACAAAATAATAAAGATGTCCAGTCTTGGCGAGGGTGTGGGGAGACGGCACTCACCTGGCTAGTGACTGGTGATGCGTTACTTGGTATATGGTCCTTGAAGGACAATATGGCGGTCTCTGTCTAAATTTTGCAATTCCATTTTGACCCAGCAACTCCACTTGCAGGATTTTTTTTCTACAGCAACTTCTGCCTCTGCAGGCTGAGAGAGTCAGACAAGTGTCCCAATTTTACTTTTGTTTTGTAATAGGAAGACAAAGCCCATGAAACAAAAATGGTTAAAGGAATCACAGTACATGTACACAAGGGAAAGCAATGCAGCAAGTCGGGGGAAATGAACTAGCTCTCTCTGGTGACACAGAGAAATATCTATGGCATAGGAAAAACAAATCACCCAAGAACATATCATATGATCTTAATTATATCATTGAAAAAGTTGAGGGCTTGAGTGTCAAGGGAAAGTCCAGAAGGATGTATGACTTGCGTTTCCTTCTCTCGGCAAGGCTGGCCTCCGAGATGAAGTGGCCAAATTTCATGGGCAAAGGGAGAGGGTAGGGCAGGGGTGAGGGGGTGGGGAGTGGTACATATACTTTCAGAAGGCGGCAGGGCAATTGTGCCCCATGTAGCACTGGCACCACAAGCAAGGGCAGATTGTGTGTTGAGGTGGGGCAACACCTCCAGAGCCGTGCCATCAGCTGAATAGTTGGCTGGCAGGCCTCCGGGCCTCCTCCCAAAAGCTTCAATCCCTTGCCACGCAGCCATCCTGAGTTCTCAGGCTCTGCAGGAGCTCCCCTCCTTTCTGGCTGGGCTCCATGTCCTTGCCTCCTTCACCTCCTTGCCCTCCTGCATCCTATCTTCCACTCTCCTGACTTCTGCCCCATGGTCCTCATGGTGGAATCACTGTCCTAGCTAGTAGGAAGGACTGCTGGTCATCTTTCCAGCAACGCTGAGGCACTCCTGAGGGCTCCAGCCAGCAACATCTTCCCTGCTCTCTTCCTATCCACACTGCTATCAGGGGGCTAAGGGGATTTGGGTCACAGCTGCTCAGGCAATCAGACAGGCCAGGGACTCAGAACTTTCCTTTTTGACAGCCAATTGGAAATCCCATGGCCTCTGCGTGTATCGCTGTCTCTGGGATGTAATCTTATATTGTCTAGGCCTGTTTTGCCAACTGTAAGACCACGAAGTGGACAAGGACCACTGTGCTAGGGACCTTTCAACCCAAACATCCTGCAGCCCAGCCTGGCTCATTAGCAGTTCCTCCCGGGCCCCGGGTGGTGGCAACTCTGCTGACTCTGGTCACTCCCTGGGCCGCAGTGGTCCTGCCTGCATTCCATCCATCTTCAAACCAGCATCCCCAGGCCTCTTTCTGTGATGAACCTTGTCTCCCTGACAGGGCCACCATTCCATGCAAACTGTCACTCCATGCCACGTGGCTATGCATTGAAACTGGCAGTGCATTCAGGAGTGTGTTTGCAAACCTGCGATTTCCAGCCAGTGAGAGTGTTTGGAGTCAGTGGGCACCCATGTCTGTTCTGTGAGAAGCTGCCCATTTTCTGAGAGATCCATGAATATCTACCAAGAAGTCTTGTGTAATGGCCATAGAATATATACCTGTGTGGACCTGGACAGCTTGGTTTTCTCTAGATGGGAGCTGTGGCAGGCTTGGAAACTTCAGGGCCATTCCTGCGTGGCTGAGGTGAGGAGGGACTGACTGTGTCCATACCAATCAGAGCTCATCCTACACCCTCTCCCAGTCCCTGCCAGAGATTCCCTTGACCTCAGAGGGATCGGGGGCCCTTCACTCCCTATGGTATGTCTGGCTCAATAACCAGAACCTGCAAGGGCTGATGAGGCTGTGCCACAGACTGTGTGCCACTGTGACTTCATGGCACAGTCCTGGCAGATCTTCCCTTAGTCTAAGTTCACACAAGCAGACCCCGCCTCTTCTCCTTCAGTTATTTATCCATTCCCTCAGGCAGGCAGGCAGCAGAGTTTTATTGAGCACCGGCTTCGAGCCAGATGCTGCACTGGGCATCGGGAATTCAGTGAAAAAGATGCAGTCCCTGGCCTAGGAGCCTGGGTCCGATGCGGAGGCTGCTGTGCAGCGCATTTGCCTTCAGTCCCGTGACACAGCCAGGCTGTGAGGAGCAGGCATCCCTGGTCTTCTCTGTGGGATACACTTTCATGGTTTTTCAATGGTCTTCATTTATTTAAGGTAAAATTTTAATTTTATGGGCAGAAAAAGGAAACCAACTGTTGATCACGTTGATTTAGAAATGATTACATTGTTTTCTATTAGACAGAGTTCTTAATGTCTTTCTCAAAAGATGGAGGAGGAAATGAGTGATAGGGCTTTGTCTTTTTTACTTGATTTTCAACTCATTCCTTAAAAATGCTTGAAAAGGCTAACTGTGGCTGAAGACCACTGTAAGGGAGGAGAAAACAAAACCTGCATTGACGAAGGAAAGGCAGCATCTCTGGCGGAAATTAATCACCTAAGCCACCTACTATGACTGCACAGGAGACAAGTGGTGGCCCAAAGGCTCTGTGTGTTTACAGTGTGGACATTTGAAGCAGCATCAGCATGGCCTTCACACAAACCTCATGATACTGTTCTAATGCCTTCTCCCCAGTTGTAAACCATCTGCTGCCTTGTACTGAAATATTGCACCCTGCTGACCTCAAAAGCAACAAGCATTCATGTACACACACACTGCGTATCCAGACATATAGATACATAGATGTGTGCATGCAGCATACACACTGATTACATAGAGGTACAGTCATGTGTTGCTTGACCACAGGGATACAATCTGAGAAATACGTTTAGGTGATTTTGTCATTGTGTGAACATCGTAGAGTGTGCTTGTACAAACCTAGATGGCATAGCCTACTACATGCCTAGGCTATGTGGTATAGCCTGTTGCTCCCAAGCTACAAACCTGTACAGAATGTTGCTGTACTGAATACTACAGGCAACTATAACACAATGGTAAGTATGTGTGTTTCTAAACTTAGAAAAGGTATAGTAAAAATACAGCGTAAAAGATAAAAATGGTATACCTGTCTAGGGCACTTACCATGGATGGAGCTTGCAGGACTGGGAGCTGCTCTGGGTGAGTCAGTGAGTGAGCGGTGAATGTGAAGGCCAGGGTGGTGAATGTGAAGGCCAGGACATTACACTGCTGTAGACTTTAGAAACACTGTGCCCTTAGGCTGCACTAAATTTATTTTTAAAAATTAAGTTACTGTCCAGGTGCGGTGGCTCACGCCTGTAATCCCAGCACTTTGGGAGGCCGAGGCGGGCAGATCACGAGGTCAGGAGATCGAGAGCATCCTGGCTAACACAGTGAAACCCCATCTCTACTAAAAATACAAAAAATTAGCCAGGCGAGGTGGCGGGCGCCTGTAGTCCCAGCTACTCGGGAGGCTGAGGCAGGAGAATGGTGTGAACCCCGGGGGGCAGAGCCTGCAGTGAGCTGAGAGCGCGCCACTGCACTCCAGCCTGGGCGACAGCGAGACTCCGTCTCAAAAAAAAAAAAAAAAATGAAGTTACTGTGCCATGATGTTATCAACAGCTATGATGTCACTAGGTGATGAGAATTTTTCATTATAATCTGATAGGACCACCATTGTATATGCAGACCATTGACTGGAACATCATGATCTATCTGCACATGACTGTAAATAACAACTATTGGATGTGGCACAGATGGAAGCTACATAAACACTCTATACAATATGGCCAATTCACCGGGCTCCCTGTTAGTCTTGTGAGCAATTTTAAACTCTTCCACGATTCTTTCTCTGCTTTGGAGTGTTTCAATTAATTCTCCATTATATTACAATTTACATTTTTATTAAGCCTTTACAGAGAGCAGCTGAATTTCTTAATTATTTTGTCAATACAAATTATATTAGCGTTTAAGCTTAAAAGGGAAAAAATATAGTATATATGTGTCATATATTGAAGCACCAGGAAACTTGAGGAAGGGGACATGGGCTATCCCCAGACGGGGAGGATGGTCGAGGCCTGAGGCTGGAGTGTGTATGGTCAGAGGGGTGAGGGGACACTTTCAGGGAGTAGCCAGAGGGAGTGTGCTGGTGGGGAGAAAGGGAGAGGAAGTAGTTTATATCAGAGAGGAACAGGATATCACATCATTCAGAGCATTGTAAGATGTGGTAGGACTTGGCTTTTCTTCAGAGTAAGATGTGATGTCATTGGAGAGGCCTGGGCAGAGGGACTTAATCCAGTTCAGTTTAACAAGATCACCGTGGCTGGTGTTTGAAAACCAGAAGTCAGCGTGGCAGGGCAGGGACGCTGGCAAGGAGAGAGCTGCAGTATTGCAAGGGAGGAATGACAGTGCTGGGCAAGGATGGTGGCAGAGGAACAGTGCCAAGAGGAGGGCTGTCTCTTCAAATTATATTTAGAACCCAACAGGACTTGCTGATCGGCCAGATGCAGGTGTCAAAAATGTTAAAGTTGACTCCTGCATCTTTGGTCTGAACAAATGGAAGCTTGAGGTTGCCCTGATCAGAGATGTGGAAGATTACAGGAGAGTTTGATTTGCAAGGAAATACCAGCCTCTCTGCAGCTGAGTTTTGGCATGTTTACTTTCAGATGTGCATTACATGTCCAAGTTCTTGAGAAAATAAGGGAGTATGTTGTAGCCAACAATGAAGGAGGGATTTCAAACATAATGCATGGGCGAGCAATGGTGGTGCACGCCTGTGATCCCAGCACTTTGGGAGACTGAGGATCGCTTGAGTGCAGGAGTTCAAGGCTGCAGTGAATTGTGATTGCACTACCGCACTCCAGCCTGGGCAACAGAATAAGACTCTGTCTCTAAAATAAAAATAAAACATAATGCCAGAACTTTCATGAATGTGAACCAATAATGCATTTCTCAGTAATGTAAAACAATGGGAAAAAATGACCAAAGATATAGATCCCAACAACAAAGTGATGAGACTCTATCTAATAGAAGCCTGTAGAATAGCAGGTTATATAAAGTCAGAGGGTTTACACAGTTTTTTTTTTTTTTCCTAATCACTTATTCAGCATACATGTATTGAGTTCCTCATGTGGACCAGGGAGGTGCCTTAGAAGGATAATAAAGAAATGTGAATCACAAACCAACTGCTTATAAGCCTAAACAAACAAGCACAGTGCACAGTCCGTGATAACAATGGAGTCATGTGGTAGCAGCAAGATTTGGGACGGGAACATGAGAAGTTGGGGAAAGCTTCTAAGGGGGCTGTTTAACAAGTGCTGGGAATTATCCAGCCAATAAGTGGGTGGTGCCATCAGAAGAGCTGCAGAGAAGCATGATGTGTTTGCAGAACTAGCACTTCAGGAAAAAACAAGTGGCCAAAGAGTGATGGGGCTTGTGTGATGAGCACTGGGACAATTTGAGCCTCAAACTACTAATTATAGTAACAGGTGATTATTTATTAAATAGGTGATGATTCTTAAGAAAAATGCATATGTTTGTATTAAAAGAAAGAAATGGATGAATAGAGAAATAAGTGGGGGAGAAGGGAAAGTGCTTTCTTATAGTGGAGTGTCAGCTAATAAATGTAGGAGAAAGGAAGGAAATAGAAAGTCACCATTTGATGACCACCAAGTTTTAATTGTTGCAAACAGAAATTTCATTGCATGCTAAAACCAATGGGGGAGAAATTCAATGAGAAACAGAATATTTACAAAGAGTATATCTCTGCAAGATACAAACACAAAAATAGTAACTATTTAGGGGTGGGACCTGATGCACATCACCTTAGCCAAGAGATCAACATAAGCATCATCAACATGGACCAAGTAGACATGATTTGTCCCTGATATGGTTCACAGGGGACAGAGCATCACTTCCACAGTGTTCCTGCCAGAAATACACAACAGAGTCTAATCATGAGGCCTCACAGGGCAGACCCAGACTGGGGACATTCTACCCTAAGTAGGGTATCAGGGTTGCAGAATGATAGACTGAGCCCTGCGCAAGGATACCATCTCACACCAGTTAGAATGGTGATCATTAAAAAGTCAGGAAACAACAGATGCTGGAGAGGATTTGGAGAAATAGGAATGCTTTTACACTGTTGGTGGGAATGTAAATTAGTTCAACCATTGTGGAAGACAGTGTGGCAATTCCTCAAGGATCTAGAACTAGAAATACCATTTGACCCAGCAATCCCATTACTGGGTATACACCCAAAGGTATATAAATCATTCTACTATAAAGACACATGCACATGTATGTTTATTGCAGCACTGTTCACAATAGCAAAGACTTGGGACCAACCCAAATGCCTATCAATGATAGATTGGATAAAGAAAATGTGGCACATATACACCATGGAATACTATGCAGCCATGAAAAAGGATGAGTTCATGTCCTTTGTAGGGACATGGATGAAGCTGGAAACCATCATTTTCAGCAAACTAACACAGGAACAGAAAACCAAATATTGCATGTTCTCACTCATAAGTGGGAGTTGAACAATGAGAACACATGGACGCAGGGAGGGGAACATCACACACTGGGGCCTGTTGGGAATTGGGGGCCGAGGGGAGGGATAACATTAGGAGAAATACCTAATGTAGGTGACGGGTTGATGGGTGCAGCAAACCACCATGGCACGTGTATACCTATGTAACAAACCTGCACCTTCTGCACATGTATCCCAGAACTTAGAGTATAATAAAAATTTTTTAAAAGAAAATAAGGTGATAGACTGAGAAACTGTTTCAGATTTTCAAAAACTAGATTAGAAACATGAAAACGAAATGCAATGTGGGATCTTGGACAGAAAACAACCATTTTGTTACAAAGGACATTGTTGGGACAATGGATGAAACCTGAATAGTATCTGTAGAACAGACTCGTATGTGGAGAGAATGATAAATGTAAAACTTTAACCTTCGAGGGGCTCTAGTTGTGAGGTTATGTAGGAATTCTGTATACTATTTTTGCAAGTTTTCTATATATCTGAAATTATTTCAAAATAAAATTTTAAATAAAGTAGGCAGAGTTAAAGAAGGCCTTTTATGCCACATTACCGAGCAGGATGTGTGACGGCCTCACAGGCCACAGGCTTTGTGGCTCATCTTCACGGTGAAGTCCTCTGGGCAACTTCAGCCAGGGACTTCCCCATGCAGCCTCCTCCCTTTGTCCATATGCACAGATTCTGCATAGTGTAGTCCAGGTACCTAGCCCTGGGAAGTCTTCATCTTTTGATAACTTTTAATCTGCAAAGTATCTCACTATAATTGATAGGCCAGGTTCCATGCAGCATTCCCCACTGTTGGATTCTCATCAGTTTGCCTCCAGCGTGCCTTTGAGATGCAGTAACAAAGGTATCAGAACATGTGTTGTCTCTCCCCACTGCACATTCTCACGGGAGCCATCGCTGGTCCATGTGTGCCCATGGTCTGAAGGCTCATGCTCCCCGCTGTCCTGTTGCTCTCTGTGGAGGCTGTGCCCACTCACACGTCATTTGCTCCTCCATCTTTGAATGCTAATGTGTCTCAGCAAGATGATCTCCTTTTAGAACACAGAGCAAAGGTGTTAATACAAATTCCATTATTGAAATAACATATGTAATAATATATAATATGTAATTAATCCATATGTAATATATTAATATTACATATAATACATAATATGTAATATGTATTATATAATGTATTGTATATAAATATATTAAAATATATTTGTATATTTTATATATAATACATGTGTATTATGTTATATATATTTTATATACTATTATATATAAAATATGTTTAAATAATATAATTGTAAATTATTTTATATATATAAAAAACACATATTTCTCATGCTATTATCTGTTTCTTTGGGTTTCTGCCAAAAAATCGTTTTCATATTTATATTATAAATTATAAACATTTTAATATGTATATATTCGTTTTTATAGTTTTTGTAACTATCTAACTTCCTTACAAACCAGCATGAGCCACAGCTCTCTCTATTTGCGTCTCACTGCACCACTGCACTGTGGGCAGCACCCGTTCTTATTGTACCCTCAGAACAGTGTGCAGCCTAGCACCTGTAGGAAGGACTCGATAGAATTTTCTTGAATGGAAATAGCAGTGTACCCTTCAAGAAAGGGTCACTTTGGAGTTAGGAAAAGGATGAAATGCTCAGAGATAAAGCAGAGGAATGTGTTGAATGGCCAGTTGACTTTATAATTTTCATTTATTTCTTCAACTTGTTTTCACTGAGTGGCTGCAGCATCCCCTGAACTGTGTACTAAGGTCCCAAGGATAGAAAAGACAAAACAAGCAAGTTCCCAGAACTTAAATTCTCCAGGGAACAGAATGGCATATATGACTGGATGGATGGATCAATGAATGGACAGATGATGTATGTAGTGTTATTACAGACAATGGTAGTGCTACAAAAGAAGTGATTGGTACTGCAGTAAAATAATGGGGAATGTAGTTCAGCAAGGAAGTCAGAGAAGGCTTCTTAGCAGTGGTGAAATTGAAGCAGACACTTGAACTAAAAGGAGGGGGAAGGGAAGCACTGTGGAAGCTCTTCCAGGTGAAGTCAGTGCCAGGGCACAGAGGCCAAGGAAGCAGCAGGCTGTGTGTGGGGCACACAGAAGGCTCAGCCTGCAGTGCTGGTTCTGGACAGCCAGGCGCCATCTGAAGCTGCAGAGGTGGAACAGCGAAGTGAGGCAGGACAGTTGAAGGCTTGGAAAGAAGTTTGGTCTCACTCCAGTGCAGTGGGAAGCTATTGGGTTTCAAGCAAGGTAGGATGTGACATAATTTACATCTTTTGTTTTGTTTTGTTTTTTTGAGACAGAGTCTCACTGTTGCCCAGTCTGGAGTGCAGTGGTGCGCTCAGCTCACTTCAACCTCAGCCTCCCAGGTTCAAGCAATTCTCCTACCTCAGCACCCTAGGTAGCGGGCACTACAGGTGCCCACCACCACACCCGGCTAATTTTTGTATTTTTAGTAGAGACGGGGTTTCACCATGTTGGCCAGCCTGGTCTGAAACTCCTGAACTCAGGTGATCCGCCTGCCTCGGCCTCCCAAAGTGCTGGGATTATAGGCGTGAGCCACCACGCCTGGCCAATTTACATCTTTTAAAGATTCTTGTGGCTGTGTTGAGAAGAAATTGGAGAAAGCGGCAGACTGTGGTTTGCTCATGTTAGTAAAAATACTTAAACTAAATGAACTGATCAATAGCACACCAGCAAATGTCCAGCTGAATGCCACTAATGCTGTTTTTCAAAAATGTGTGCTGACAGAAGTTGGAAAAGTCCTTCACAAGCTTATTAGCTTTGCATAAGGGCTGTTTTATGGCCCATAGATTTTTGCGGCTCATTGTTTTTATTGAAGAATAATGTACATACAGAAAAATGCACATCAAATGTACAACTTCATGAATTATAAAAAAAATGTAAATATGCCTTTTTATTAAATAATCACTGCCCAGCTCAAAAACTAGAACATGAGATGCAGGCATCTGCCCCCTTGAGCCTTCTCCCTATTCTTTCTCCTTTATTCAGTCTTTCCATTCTCCTGACCTCTCACCTGCAGTTTTGCCTATTTTTAAACTCAGTGTGATGAATGGAATGAAATAATGTTTGCTGTGTGTACCACCAGTTCATTCATTCATACTATGCTATTCATGTACTATTTGTCCATGTGTGAGTATACTGTAGTTTATCCATATATTCCAATTGTCCAGTGGATCCATTGGTTATCATTTGGGCTGCTTCTAGTTCTTAGTCCTATGGCGATATTTCCCGTATTTTTTGGTGCACAGGTGTACACATTTTGGTTGTGTAGGTACCGAGTGCTGAAAGTACTGGCTTACAGGGGTTGTGTAGGATGAGCTGTGGTAGATTCTGCCAAGCGGTTTTTCCAAGTTGCCTTACTAATTACACTCACACCAGCTCCGTGGGAGGGCCCTGGTTGCGTCACATCTTTGCCAACACTCGGTATTTTCAATTTTTGTAATTTAGACATTCTGGTGGGTATCTAATTTTCATTTTAATTTAATTTCACTGATGACTAATAAGGTTGAGCAACTTTTCATTGATTTTTGGCCATTCAGATGTCATCTTGTGAAGTGTATGTACAAATATATTTCCATTCTGCTATTGAATTGACTGTTTATTTCTTATTAACTTCTGAAGTGTTTATTCAGGGTACCAGTCCTTTACTGAGTCTATGGATTGCAATGATGTTTTCTCTCTGTGTAGGTTGCTTTTCACCTTCTCTAGGTTGTTTGCTAGTGCAGAGAAGTTCTTAATGTATCTACTTTATCTGTTAGGGTTTTTTGTTGTTGTCGTTATTGAGACAGAGTCTCTCCCTGTTGTCCTGGCTGGAGTGTAGTGGCACGATCTCAGCTTATTGCAACCTCTGCCTCCTGGGTTTAAGCGATTCTTCTGCCTCAGCCTCCCGAGTAGCTGGGACTGCAGGCATGCACCACCACACTTGGCTAATTTTTGTATTTTTAGATGAGACAAGGTTTCACCATGTTGCCCAAGCTTGTCTCAAACTCCCCACCTTAAGTGATCTGCTCGCCCCAGCCTCCCAAAGTGCTGGGATCACAGGTGTGAGCCACCATGCCCAGCGTACTTTACCATTTTAATAGTAGTTTTGGCATCTTGTTTCAGAACTCTTTGCCCATCCCAAGTTCATGCAGATGCTCCTCCATGTTGCTTTCTAGAGGATTTATTGTTTTACCCTCTACATTCAGAAACACCATCAACTTGGAGTTGATTTTCATGTATACTGTGAAGTAAGAAGACAGATTTTCTCATATGGCTCTCCCATGGACTCAGCACATTTACTATGGACATAAATACTCTCTCAAATACTCCACAATGTTTTTTTTTGTCAAATATGACCTCTATAAAGCCACATGCAACAGAATGTCAGAATTGAAGTTTGACAGCAATATGGAAGTGTAACAGATGACACATCTAAAATGAGATGCCAGGCCAGAAGCCCCAGTTAGGAAGGAATGAGCTAGGATCATTTCCCTCATTTTTGAACACCTTGAACTGATCAAGAATATAAAGAAGGAATCAGATGTAGGGAGGAGAAAGGATTCTGTGAAGAGAAATTTTTGAAAAAGCTGTTAGAATGCCACTGTCAACTCAATGTCCTTCTGTTTCTGGGGCTTGGGGAAGGTGACCTACCCCTCACCTGGAGCCTTTAGGCTGAGGATCAAGAGAGTGTTGAAGATAAAGGTGCCAATGCTTGGATCTGGGCATCTCATGAGTGAGGAAAGGGACCAGGATGCATTCCTTACGGTTGTCAGAGTGCGTGAGGACCATTATGGCCCCCGGATGGGCCGTGCCTGTGGGAGCTGGCAGGGGTGGTGTTGGGCCCTGTCACTGGGGCAGCGTGGAAGGAGAGAGGGACCCGAGTAGCAAGAAGCTAGAGGAGGACTTCAGATGCCTAGTACGCTGACACTGCAGAAAGTGACTGTTAAGAGGAGGCGTGCAGCTGCCTGCGGTAGGAATGCTGCACGTGAGTGACCCCACCGTGGAAATCTCCAAAGAGGCTCCCAGGAGAGCAGCTGAGCCTCCTCCGGTGGCCGGACCCCAAGCCCGAGACAGGACACGAAGCAGTCCCTTCAGTCCAAAATGCTCCTTCCCCCACCTCCACACCACTACCCCAGAGCAGTTAGCAGAAGACAGATGCCAGGCACAGCACCTTCCCCAGGAAGGACCCTTTGGAATTCTCTCAACTAAATGCATTTTAAAGGGGCCAGAAAGAGATTTAAAACAATAAGTAAATAAGTTGCATTTTGATTACATCCCCAAAGTCCTGCTCTTTCAGTTTCCCTTTGAGCAGTTAACTACTGACCCTCTGCACCGCCCTAAGCAGAGGTAGCTGATCACTCAGGAGGGTCACTCTTGTGTGAGGGGAAGCCTCCCACTAGCCCAGAAGTGCTCTGGGCCATAGTTGAGCTTTCATATTGCTGCACCATGTAGACGCTCAAGTGAGACAGAAACACAAAAACACAATAACCGCCGTCTGCCAAGGAAGCAGGAAAAATCACCTTTCAGGCCATTGTCCTGGTAAGTGGCCATGGCCTTCCAGCCACTCAGCATTTATACATAGGGAAAGCCACTTTAAGTAATGCAGTTGATGTATCTTAATCTGAGATGACACAAACATCAAAGGCATTTCTTCTCCTTGATTTCCAATAATCTCAAATATGCATTCTTTTCATATGTTCTTTGAACCTCAGTATAAAACATGGAATCAACTCTCTAACTTAAAAGCAGTGCAGTTTTGCAAAGTATCTTGCTCTAAGAGATGTTAGGGAGGTGATGCCTTTGTCATTCCTGGTTTGTATTTTTCCATTTTCCAAAAACTCTGTAGGTATTACAGATATCATTGCATAATTTAGAATTTAATCCTCCTGGAGAGTCAGGTGTCTTCAAGGTGATTTATAGCAAGTGAAGCTTGCAGAATTCTGGAGAGTGGTGATATAAAGTAAGGTAAGGCAAGAGAGAGGGAGAAAGAAAGGAAGGAAAACATGTTTTATGTGGGCTTCCAGTTATGGAAGTGTAAACTGCATCCTGGGAGACAGAACAGAACTGGGAAAAGAATATGACAAATACAGATTCATTGATCACCATGAGTGTGCCCTGATTTTGTAATAGAAATAAGGAATAAAAATGTTATCGGTTACAGCCTTTAAGTGATAGGATTCTAGATCATTGTTATTTTCATCTTTGTTTCTTATGTGTTTTCTGAACTTTCCCTAATAGACATCTGTCAGTTTTGTAACCAGAAAAACATACATATTAAATGAGCACAAAGGTGTTGAAGACTTCAACTCTATTTGCTATTCACCATAGAAAGGGTTTTGTTTTTTTTTTCCTAGTCAGGCCACAATCAATTCAGCTGAATGAACATGAACCGAAATACACACCTGCACGTGCTCCTCAGGTGAGTGTTCTGAAGGACAGGCACCCACCACTGGGCCACCGGGACTTGAATTTCACCCAGCCGCACGGCCATGGGAATACTTGGGAGGACAAGGTAGCTGGGCAGTTAGAAAGAAAGACTCCCCTACCCCAAGTTTGTGGCCTGGGGGCCCCAGATGCTTGGCTATTGCAGGAGGTAAAGCTGTAGAAATTGACTGGGACTGCTTCTATGGACAGCAAAGGGAGAAACAGCAATACAATAATAGTGGATTTCAGTATTCCACTTTCAATAATGGATAGCTCTTCCAGACAGAAAATCAAAAAGGAAGCGTGGGTGTGAACAGCAGTGTAGGCCAAGTGGACCTAACAGACATTCACAGATCATTCCACCCGGCAGCAGAAGAACACACATTCTTCTTATTTCTTACTGCCCAGCTGTTGGCCTTGTCCTCCCAGGTCTCCCTCTGGTGCCCCCTGCCCTGAGATCTTGCTGTCCCCCTCTGCACCTCTATGCAGGGCTGGAGGCCATTCTGGATGTCTGAGAACTTTTCTGGCAGGTATTCCCATGGCCGTGCGGCTGGGTGAAATTCATGTCCTGGTGGCCCAGTGGTGGGTGCCTGTCCTTCAGAACACTCACCCCAGGAGCACGTGCAGGTGTGCGTTTCAGTTCATGTTCATTCAACTGAATTGATTGTGGCCTGACTAGAAAAAGCCCTTTCTGTGATAAATAGCAAATGGAGTTGAAGGCTTCAGTGCCTTTGTGTTTGTTTAATATCTACGTTTTTCTGATTACAAAAAAGACAGATGTCTATTAGGGAAAGTGCAGAAAACACATAAGAAACAAAGACAAAAGTGACAATTAGAATCCTACCACTCATGGCTGTGACTGATAACATTTTTATTCCTTATTTCTATTACAAAATCAGTGCACACTCGTGGTGACCAGTGACTCTGTATTTGTCGTATTCTTTTCCCACTTCTGTTCTATCTCCCAGGATGCAGTTTATACTTCCATAACTTTTTCTGTACTTACACAAACATGACTATTTATAGGGTTTTATTTTGTTTTGTTTGTTTTGTCTTAACAAAAGGACTTAGACCATATATTCCTCTGCAACTTGTTTTCTTTAGTTAACAATAAACTATGGAAGCATTCCCAGATACACACACACTTATGTGTGTGTATAATATATGTGTGTGTATATATATATATACACATATATTTGCATATACACACATACAAAAACATTTTTTAAGGCAGCTGCACAGTCCTCTTTCATGGGCAGCAGGCCTGCATATAGAACCACCACACACAGATATGCAAAGCAAATGGAGCTTTATTTTCCTCTAACTGATGTGTCCTCCTGTGCTCTGTGTTCTGTCTCTTCCCGCCCTCAGCCTTTCCATCAGTGTCATCCCATGCTCTGCGGCTGTAAATCCTCTTTGGTGAATGCCCGGTTCTTCAGGACCCCATCTCCTCCTGGTTCCCTGGCCACATCATCTGTTGTGCAAATGTAAAACTCTTGGGAGTGAGGGGGCACTTTAGTAAGGACACTGGAGCCACAAGTGTATCCGGGGATCTCATAGCTGTCCCTATGCAGGTTCCCAGGTGCCCCACGTGTGTGCAGGCTGGTGTCCAGAGAATGCTGCTGGGTTTGTCCACACCTGTGGTGCCCCGCTGGCACCTTTGTGGACGTCTGTATCTCATGGAGCTCCTGCCCTTTCCTGTGAGTGTTCATGCCCCTGGGTCCCTCAGCTCTCTGCTTCTGAGTCTGCCAGTCCTGCTTTTCCAGCCCTGAGTCTTGGGGATTCATCCTGTGGTCCTAGGCCATAGCATCCTTGCTCTAGCAGGCATAGCTAGGAGGTCTGGCCTGTTCAGCCCTCTGCAGGAGCGCACACAGCTCTTCCTGGGCACGACCTGGGAGTGGCCTGTGTTCTCTCTCCCTCTCTGTCCTGCAAGTCTTTTGCATTACCGTGTATGCTGTGGCATTCCGCTCGGATTCTGTCTAGTCTCCTCCCACAATCCCAAAGAGGAGCAGAGTGTAATCTACTCCTCGACTGCTGTCACTTTCGCATCTTCTCTGACATTCCCCTCCACTGGGGCCTTGGGCCCAGAAACAGCCCAGGCCACCTGTATCTCTCACTGCCTCCTTCCCCAGCTTCCTCCCCGTCAGAGTCCCTTGAAGTGGGGCTTTCCATTTCTTAGTCATCGAGTCTTGAAGTCCCCTTGTCCGTGACAGATAGTAAAATTCTCTGTCTGGGTCTCCCTCAAAAGACCCTTGAAATGCTAATGGAGCTATTGGAATTTAGAAAATTGGTTAATTGCTTCCTTTTCCTCCAATAAACCTGGATTTCTAGAGGATATTCTTGCTAAGGAGGTTAAGAAAAGTCAGCACTAAGGCTCAGGGCTGATCAGTGGCCTCTTTGATTCTGAATATAAATCAGTCTTAAAGAGGAGGGCTGCAAAGGAAACATGACTTAAGGAAGAAAGATATGACAGTGCGAAAGTGTATGCTCATTACAATATAGTGCGGCTGCGTCCAAATTCCTCCCGCCTCTCCCCTATGGATGGTGGTCACGCTTTTGCCATCCCAAATAATGCTGAGGAGGGGAAAGCCTCTTACACATGTCTTCTTCTTTATTAAAACTCTTAATTTCTGTGGAATAAAATCCTAACACTGTGATGCAAAGGGCATGTGCAATTTAACTTTTTAAATCTGCTGATTCATCTTTTTTCGATTCATGCTCTCACCATTAATGTATGAAGTGCTGTTTCCCCACATCTTTACCACCACCGGATGTTAGAAACTCTTTTTAAGTTTTACAGTCTCATTGGATTAAAAAGCAAAAGTGTCTTGTGTCATCTCACATTTGCTTGACTGCTTGTGCGGGGCAGGTGGTGTGTGCTTTCACAGGCTGTCAGCTGTCCCCAGCCTCTCTTTTACAGAAGTGGCTCCTGCCCATTGTCTCCTAAGGCTGTTCTCCCTTTTAATTCTCTATGGTGCAGGCTCTTTATATATTAGGAACTCTAACTTTTGGTCAGATGGGTTGGGAGTTTCTCCCAATCTCTTTTTTACTTTGTATATATTATATTTATGTTTTACCATAGGAATTCATACCAAAAGCAAGAAGTATGACAAGTATGACTTTTTATTAAAGGACTTAAAAATCTAGATAAATGAAGAATTATACTGTACTCCTGGATGGGGAAGCTGAATTTGAAGCCATCAGTTATTTTGAAATTAACATGTATTTGTAATGCAATTTTGGTCAGTACTCTAGGTTTTTGTTTTAACTGAGCCCAAGCTGTCCAGCAATGTCAGCAAGAAATTCTTCAAGAAGAATAGTAAGAGGGGTCTTGTGTCATCTATAAAGGTGTCACATAGCTACACTCATCAAAAAATATAGTATTGGTGCCAAAAATGAAAAAAATTAAAATCACTGAAAGAAGAGATTTTGCAAACAGATCAAAGTATAGATATATTTTAACTCACTTGGAAAAGATGGCATATTTAATAAGTATCTTGTTGTAATCAATGATGTTGGAAGGGAATAAAATTGGATGCCAACACTGAGGCACGCACATGAATAAATTCCAGATGGGTTTTGAACCTAAATGTAGAGCAAAAAAATCCAATTATGTAAATAGTAGGAAAAAGAGTAGAATGTGATCCATATAATCTCAATTGAGAGAGGTCTTCTTAAATAATGCAGGAAACCCAGAATGATAAAGAAATAGAGTGGCAGATATGGCTATATGAAAACAGTTTAGCATCTTTTCCTTTAGTCTTTTACATATGCAGTTTTACATTCTTGAGGTTTTTTAATATATATGGTTTTCTCTTGATTTTTTTCACTTCCTAAGTGTTTCCCCAAGAAATATAAAACTTCAAAAATGTAATTTCAGTATCTATGTTCCAGTTTATACATGTGCTGTCATTTAATTAGAACTTACCATTTTTAAACACAAGCCACAGTTCTTTGAAATTATATTTCAAAAGTAGAAAACACATTCCATAATATCTTGAATAGATCTGAATAGAATCTTGACATGCAAGACACATGGCATACCGTGGTAGCAACTCTCAGGATAAGACAAGTGTGCACTACATGGTAAACTAGACCTGGTGCTCATACATAGAATCCAAGGAGAAACAATGTTTAATAAGTTATTAGCATCATTTCATATAAATTGGGAAGAAAATTATTGGACCCTTTCCTCATCCCATGTATACGGACAAATAGAAGATAGAGGCAACAGAGATACCTCAGGGACCAGGCGCTGATTGCAGATGTGTGGCAGAAGTACTGTGTGAAATCCACGGCGCATCCAGGGGGCTTTTCTTTGATCACACCCTGAGAATTTTCGTAAACTAAACACTGTTTGGGAGTTTTAAGAGGAGGAAAAGAACTTTGCTTCTGCAAATTATGGCAGTCATGTCAATGTTACCGAATATTCCGGGACAGATTTCCAGAAGAAAAGAGTGCATCTTGTGAACCGTCAGCTTGCAGTGGCCTTGGCTAGAAGTCAGCATAGGGTCTGACTTCATTTTCTTTCTGGGTAATGTTTTTGAGGGGGAACACCGGGGACATTATACATCTGAATTTTTGGAGTACGTTTGATTAAAGAGGTAGCATAGTGTAATTGTGAAAAAAAGTTTATTTGGAATTAGAAGAGTTGAGTTCAAATCTCTAAACCCTCACTTACCTGTTATTCTCTTTAGAGAAGTCACTTCACTTTCAAGACCAGATTTTCCATTTGTAAAATGAAAGTTTGGGATCTAAGTGACTTCAAAAGTCCCTTCAAGCTATAACACTCTGCTCTTGTAAATTCCTCATGACAGTCCTATGGTAAAGATGGGAAAAGTGTAGCCTGAATGTCATTTTAATGAGATAGGAGTCACCATTGTCAATGACTATATACAGAGAACACATTTGTCTGTCAGTCCTTTAGTTAAGCCTAGAAAGGGGTCTCTGGCAGACTGCTGTGAGGCTGTGTCTTCCTTCCCATCTAGCCATTTTCTAAATGCTGTAGAATAAGGGTTAGCAAAGTTTTTCATGAAGGATCAACAGTAAATATTGCAAGTTTTGCAGGCTCTATGGTCTCTGTTTACAACCAGCCAACTCAGCCAATAGACATTACATAAATGAACAGTTGTGCTTGTGTTCCAGTAAAACTTAATTTATAAAAAACAGGCAGCTGATGGGCAGGCTGAGGTGCCCTGACACCTACTCTTGCACAGTGAGAACATTCGTGGCCCACAGATCAAATTGTCATTTATTTGGTTAAGTTTTATTCAGCACTAAGTCGTAGGGTTGCAAATATGCATGTGTCAGTTCTTGATCTCCAGGAACTTCCCAGTGAGGAGATAGCAGGTGAATGAGATGGGATGCTCCTTAAGATAGTGAGGTCCCTGGGGTGTGGATCCGGTCCTGTGAGTACGCAGAGCTGTGAGTGTGTGATTCTGCCTGGAGGTTAGGCCGGGCAACTAGAGCCAAAAGGAGTCCAGATGGCTTGTCCTAGGCAGGAGTTGTGGTGCACTGAATCTAACAAGATGAAAGTCAGTACTGACGGAAATGGGACAGTGAGTATAGACTACAAGATAAAAGCAAAGAAGCAAATAAAAAACAGCTGTTCAAGTGGGAAGCAAAAGCTGTCACTTAACCAGCAACTTCATGTGAGTTTCTGCAGCTGCAGGAAACTAGAACAGGATAAATGGGTCCCAACTCATCAGGGCCTTGAGCTTCTCCATCCTGTGGGCCGATCGTGTCTGAAAGGTTGTCTTCATTTCTTGGCCAGTGCAAGGAAGGGCTAGAGGGAAGTAATTTCCTGACACTAGGCTGACTGTGATGGAAAAGGAAAGAGTAAGTACCGGGTATTCTGCTAATTCTCACATCAACCCTGTGAGCCAGGGATTACATTATATCCATTATAGAGCAGCACTTCTCAAATTTTGCTGTGTGTAAGCATCTCTGGCGATACAGTTGAAATGTGGGTTCTGGTTCAGTAGGTCTGAGTGGGGCCTGAGAACGTTAATTTCTGATGAGCACCAGCAGATGCCAACACAGCTGGGCAAAAGTACTGTATGAAATCCACGGCGTATCCAGGGGGGTTTTCTTTGATCACACCCTGAGAATTTTCATAAAATAAACACTGTTTAGGAGTTTTAAGAGGAAGAATAGAACTTTGCTTCTGCAAATTATGGCAGTCATGTCAATGTTACAGAATATTCCCGGACAGATCTCCAGAAGAAAAGAGTGCATCTTGTGAACCGTCAGCTTGCAATGGCCTTGGCTAGAAGTCAGCATAGTGTCTGACTTCATTTTCTTTCTGGACAATGTTTTTGAGGGGGAACACTGGGGACATTATATGTCTGAATTTTCACAGTACCTTTAATTAAAGAGATATCTTTAATTAAAGTAGCTCTGTGAACAGCAAGGAAGTGGATGAGGAAACAGAAATTGGCAGAGTCCATGATTTGTCCAGATTAAACTGCCATGAGTGACTGTAACAAAAATTCAGAACTTATGTAACTCAAATAGGTATATTTGAGAAATAGGTCGGCACAGGTCAAGATGTGAAAGCCCAATAAAGCTAGGCAGAGACTTGGTAAGATAAAAAAAAAAAGTGCCTCAAAATGTTCAGTGACAGTAGTGCCCTGATACAGGCAGTACTTAAGGAAAAATCAGTATTTAAGGAAGAGCTGTAAAGGGTCTCCAGGAGTGGGCAAAGTATGTTTTTAATTAAACATTTTATTTTGAGATGATTGTATATTGATCTGCAGTTGTAAGAAATAATAGAGTTCCAGTGTCCCCTTTACCTGTTTTCTCCCAATGGTAGCATTGTGCAAAACTATGGTCCAATATCACAACCAGGACATTAATGTTGATGTAGTCAATATGTAGAACATTTCCATCCCACAAGGTTCCCCAGTGCTGCTCTTTATATCCACAGTCACTTACCCAACCTCATTCTTAACCTCTGGCAACCATTAATCTGTCTCCATTTCTACAATTTTGTATTGTAATAATGTTATATCAATGGAATCATATAATATGTAATTTGGGGATTTTTTTTTTACTTGGAATAATTCCCTGGATATTCATCCAAGTTGTTGTGGTTATCAAGAGTTCATTCCTTTTCCTTACTGAGTAGTATTTCATGGTATGGGCATTCCACAGTTTGTTTAGTCATTCACTCCTTGAGGGTTCTGGATCATTTCTGGTTCCAGGCTATTATGAAGAAAGCTGCTATGAACATCCTTATAAAGGTGTTTGGGTGAATGTGAAGACTCCATTTCTCTAGGATAAGTGCTCAGGAATCCAGTTGCTGGGTTGCATGGTAGTTTTATGTTTAGTTTTAGGAGAAACTGCTTTCCAGAGTGGCTGTGTCATTTTCGTTCCCACAAACAGCATGTGAGTGATCCGTTTCTCTGCGTCCTTGTCAACTATTGGTGTTGTCACTGTTTTTTATTTTTGCTGTTCTGATAGATGTGTAATGATAACTCATTGTGTTTTAATTTGCATTTCCTTGATGGCTAAGGTTGTTGAACATTTTTATGTGCTTATTTGTCATATATACCTTCTCTTCAGTGAAATGTCTCTTTGTGGTTTTTTTGCCAATTTTCTAATGGATTTAACTGTTGAGTTTTGAGAATTCTTTATATATTCTAGATAGTAGTCCTTTGTCAGATACATGGTTTGCAAATATTTTCTCCCAATCAGTAGCTGGTCTTTTTACTCTCTTTCACAGAACAAAAAGTTCAAGTTTATCAATTTTTACTTTTATGGATCATGCTTTTGGTATGAAGCCTAGTAACGACTTCTTTCCTAACCCTAAATCCCTAAGATTTTCTCGTATGTTTATTTTCAAAAAGTTTTGTAGTCTTATATTTTACATTCAAGTTTGTGATCCATTTTAAGTTAATTTTTACTGTATACAAGGTATGAGACTTAGGTCAAGTCTCTTTCTTTCTTTCTTTCTTTCTTGTTTTTTGTGCCTATGCCTGTCCCTTGTTCCAGCACCATTTGTTGCCAAGACCATCTTTCCTCTGTCAAGTTGCTTTTTCACCTCTGTCAAAAATCAGTTCCGGGTTCTCTATTCTGTTCCTTCAATCTATATTTCTATTCCTTCACCAGTACTGCCGTCTTCATTACTGTAGTCATATGGTAAACCTTAAAATTGGCTAGATTGATTCTTCCCACTTTATCCTTCTTTTTCAAAATTATTTTAACTATTCTAATTCTTCTACCTCTCCATATAAATATTACAATAACTTTGTCCATATCTATTAAAAATCTTGCTGAATTTTGACAGGAATTGTCTGTCAATTTATACATCAATTTGGGAAGTATTGGCATCATTAGCGTATTGAGTTTTTCAATCTGTGGACACAGTATGTTTCTACATTTATTTAATTAGTAGATTTTTATATCTTTAATGTTTTATGGTGTTCAGCATACAAGTCCTATGCATATTTTGTTAGATTTATAACTATTTTTATTGAATGATTATAAATAGAATTACATTTTTAATGTTAGTGTCCACACGTTCACTGATATTACAGAGAGATACAACTGATTTTTATGTTGACCTTGTGTCATGTGACCTTGCCGTAGTCACTTCTTAGTTCTAAAAGTTTTCAGAGTCCTTGAGGTTTTCTGCATTAGACATCTTGTCATCTGCAAATAAGTTTTACTCCTTTTCTTCTAATATACATGCCATTCATTTCCTTCTCTTACCTGATTGCACTGGCAAGAATATCCAGCACTATGCTGAATAAGAGTGATGAGAGCAGACATCCTTGCTTGTTCCCAATCTTAGGGGAAAACCATTCTTTCACCATTAAATATGATGTTAGCTGTAGGTTTTTTGTGAATGCTCTTTGTTAAGTTGAAAGTATTCTATTCTTATTTCATGAAGGGGATGTTGAATTTTATGAATTTTTTTCCTTCATCAACTGATGTGATCATGTGATTTTTCTTTTTAGTCTGTTAATATGGTGGATTACATTGACTGATTTTTGAAGATCAAACCAGACTTACATTTCTGAAATGAACCCCACTTAATAATGGTATATAATTACTTTTCAATATTGATGAATCCCATCAGTAATATTTTGTTAAAGATTTTTGCATCTATATTCATGAGGGATATTGGTCTATAGTTTTATTTGTTTACACTGGGTTTGTCTGGTTTTGGTATGAGAGTAATTGTGGCTTCATAGAAGTGTCGGAAAGTGTTTTCATTTCTTCTGTTTTCTGGAAGAGACAGTAGAATAGGTGTTAATTCATATTTAAATGTTTGGTAGAATTCTCCAGTGAAACCATCTAGGCCTGGACATTTCTTTGGAGGAGGCTTTTAAATTCTGAATTTAATTTTCCATAGTTGTAGGACTATCCAAATGACCGGTTTCATATTAGATTAATTAAGGTAGTTTGGGCTTCTCAAGGAATTGGTCCATTTCATCTAAGTTGCTAAATTTATATATGTAGAATTGTTCATAATATTACCTTATTATCCTTTTGATGCCTCCAGGGCCAATATTCCTTTTTCATTCCAGATATTGATCATTTGTGTCATCTTTTTAAGCTTTTTATTTTAAATATTTTTTTAAATTATAATAACTTTAAATAATAATTTTTTAAGTTAGGAAAAAATTGTAAAAAGTTTAGAGTTCCCATTTACCTTTCACCGAGTTTTTCCAAATGTTAACACTTTACGAAACCACAGTACTATTATCAAAACCAGAGAATTAACATTGACACAACCGTGTTAACTATTCTACCAACATCATTACAAAAATTTCACTACTTTTCTCACTAATGTCCTCTTTCTGTTCTAGAATCCAATCTAGGTCCTACCCTGCATTTGGTTATTATGTCTCATTAGTCGCTTTTAATCTGCGACAGTTCCTAAGTCTTTCCTTGTCATTACCCTTATACTTTTGAAGAGAACTGGTCAGTTATTTGGTAGAATGACCTTCCATTTGGGTTTGTCTAATATTTTCTCACAACTAGATCAGGGTGAGGCTGTGCACTACAGGGAAGGAGACGGCTGATGTGCTCTGCTTGTTTCTGTGCTGGTGCACATGCTATTGATATGTCTTATACTGGCATGTTGACCTTGGTCCCTTGACTAAGGTGCTATCTGTCAGGTTTCTCTAGTGCAAAGTTACCATTTTTCCATTTGTCATTAGTAAATATCTTGCAGGAGATACTTTGAGACTATGATGCAGGTATCTTTTTCTCATCACACCTTTGAGTTAGAAAGGTTTGGGGGCTCAGAGGAAAATCCTCAAGACATATTCTTACACCACTGAATGATATCAGGTGGCCTGTGATAGTGGCATCTATACAAGGGACAAGGAAAGCAGAAAAAGGCCATTCTCTATGAATATCATGATTTTATGATTGCCTGAATTGGGGAGAAGAGGTGAGGAGTGAGAGATACAGAGAAAGAGATAGAGGAAAAGAGAAAGACTGATTCACAGAGAAAGAGATCTGAAGTTCAGAACTCATTGAGATGGAGAGGGCGAAGTCAAGGGAGAATTCAATTTTTCAGTCTTGACTGACTTGAAGAACAGGTAAGTTTTGCAAGGAAGGCAGGTTTGGTTCTAAGAAATCTGAGGTACCTGTGAGACGTGTAAGTGCACATCCCATCAGAGAGCAGGGCAAAGGGTGGAAAAGAGAACAAGACTAGAGAGGGCCACTTGGGAGTCACCCGAACACAGGTGTTATGAATATTTAGTGAGTATAAATCAGTTATCCAACAGAAAGAGCCAAGCCAAGCACAAAGTTGGGAGAATACCCATAGTTTGTTGGAAAAGGAATCAGTGAGACAAACTGAAGTCGTGGGGAGATGAAGGATGATGGTGCCATGTATAAGGAAGAGTTCACAATGGCAGCATGACCACTGTGTTAACTAAGAGCTAGAAGGTCAGTGATTCCGTCATTAGCAGGGGGTGACTTCTGTGGCTGTGGTTTCAGTCAGGTGGTAGGGATGGAATCCAGATGTAGGCAGGGGATAGGAGAGTGCAGAGAACGCAGTAAGTGATGAAGAAAGAAGTGGACAGCAATTATTGTGAGCGGTTCAACGGGGAATTTTCTTTGTTAACAATGCAGAGGGAAACATAACTGTAACGTCACTTCCACTAACAGCGCAGTCAGACAGATTCGATTGCTAAAGAAGACTCACAGGGCCCAGAAGGACAGTGCTCACAAGTCTGTGGTTTATTGACAAGAAGGGATGTGATAGAGCAACAAGCATGAAGGCAAGGACCTGCCTTGCATCCAAAGGCTGCCTCAGAGCAAGCAGTGTGGACACACTGAGGCCGATACGGGCTGCCTCCAGTGGTCTTCCCTCTGCAGGCCTGAGCCAGATGTGTTTTTTCTCTCGGAACCACGTACCCATGCAAGGAAGGAACACCTCAGATCCACGCAGCCCAGTGGAGTCACAGTGGGGCTTTTTGCAGCCTTCTGGTCACATAAGCACATTATTGCTACATGAGCAGCTCTAACATCAGAGCCCCCTCCCCAAACACGTGCAAAACATCAGTCTCACAGTCATCCATAAACAATGAGGACAAACAGGCAGAACCTACCCTGAAACTCACCTCGGACCCACGGGTAAAAACAACAGTATTGGCCGGGTGCGATGGCTCACGCCAGTAATCCCAGCACTTTGGGAGGCCGAGGCGGGCGGATCACGAGGTCAGGAGATTGAGACCATCCTGGCTAACACGGTGAAACCCCATCTCTACTAAAAGTACAAAAAATTAGCCGGGCGTGGTGGCGGGCGCCTGTAGTCCCAGCTACTCGGGAGGCTGAGGCAGGAGAATGGCATGAACTCAGGAGGTGGAGCTTGCAGTGAGCTGAGATCGCACCACTGCACTCCAGCCTGGGTGGCAAAGCGAGACTCCATCTCAAAAAAAAAAAAAAAAAAAAGTATTAATCACTGCCTTTCATAGTTTGATGCAGAATGTCTCGTACTTCAGCAAAGCAGCTCGGGCCAATTTCAGACCTGCTGGAATTAACCCTCCTAGCACATCCCTCTACGAATGTTATCTCAGTAAGTCCTTATCACCATCCTGTTAAATAGGTGCCATTACTCTTATTTTTAAGAAGGGCAATGTGATGCTCAGAAAGAGTAAGTACACTGCCAAAGCAACACACCAGGAGAAGGGAGGCGGGAACTGATTCTGTGGGACAGGAGGGCAGATGCCTTCACAACAAGAGGCCCCCGGGTGTGTTTGAAACAAGCTGGGAGTAAAAAGGATTAGAGAGGAGGAGCTTGCAGGTATGAGAGCAGCAAAGGGATAACTGTGAAAGGCGGGTCTCCTGAGAAATGAGAACAAATGTGCTCCTGAGACTGCTTAAGAAGAAAGAGAGAAGATGAAGCTATTAGCAGAGGCTGGGGCCCAGGCCTCGGTAGCCTTTAGATGAGTGGTTCTCCACCCCAGAGGGCTGGTGCAAACACAGCTTGCTGGGCAGTGCCCCCACTTCCAACTCAGCAGGTCTAGGTGGAGCCTGAGAACTTGCATTTTTAACAAATCTCCAGCAGTGCTGATGCTGGGGGCCAGGGGCCTCACTTTGAGAACCACTGTTCAGGCTTGTCAGTGCCACATGGGTTGGGTCAACTGGAAGGAGAAGAGCTGGGGTGGAGGGATGACTCTCTGGGACCCCTCTTGCTGGTCTCTGCAGAAGTATCAACAGGTCATGATACCAGGGAAGGAACATAAATAAAAGGGACCAAGTTGGATAAATGCCAGGGTATTAGAGTAAAATGTGTTTCAGCTGCTTAGCTTTGATGTGAAAATTTGAACAAATAACCAGAGAATAAGGGACTGTTTCCATTCCTAGTTTGAAAAAAATTATATTTAATAAAAGATGGAATTGTCACTAGCATAATTTTAACGATTTTGAAATAGAAAATATCCTTGGAGGGGAGGGAAGGGTTAGGAAAGAATGTGTGTAGTTTGAGGAAGGAACAATGCTTGGCTGCTGTCCTGGTGGGAGTCAGTGAAGCTGCCTGATGAGCAGTAGCAGGACCATGGGCTCGATTATCAGGGAATGACTTTTTAGATGGCGGAGATGCCTCTGGGGCTTCAGGGGCTGTGGAGATAAGGTGACCAGTGTCTTCAAGCTGGGATAAAGCATTGTTCACATCTCAGCACATTTCGAGAAGTGGCGCAATGCTAACACAGCGCATTGGCTTTGCTGTTCAGGTTGCAGGTGACTGGTTGTGTGACCCTGGGCAGGTTGTCTCACTCCTCTGGGCTCAGGACAGGTGGTCTTTAAGCAGGTGTGCATGCTAGCTAGCCCCTGCAGCGCAGGGTTGTTGTGAAAATGTAATGATAGAGAATATGGCGCATGCCTGGTACGAGGAGACACTCAGAAATGTCCTCTTCTGCTTCAGGGTCAGGTAGAAGAATCTTTTCAATTTCACCTCCTGAACCCCAAGTAGCTCTAAGTCTCATTCTTCTGAAACCCTTGTCTTCTGTGGCCCCTGAGCCTAAAACCACAGACGCTGGGTCTTTGTGGCCCCCTGGAGGCCAGGCTTCAGGAGGACCCTGGTCACAACCCGAATGGGATAGCAGCCTAGCAAGATTCAGCAGACAGCATGCGAGTAAACAGATTAACAGGGTGATTGCTAACGCCACAGAAAGTAATGTGGGTGAGTGAGTGACAGCAAAGGTTGAGAAACATCATTCATAAAGGGCAGCCAAGGAGGGCCTTTCTAAGGAGGTAGCAGCATTAAACCTGAGGGTGAGGAGGGGCCGCCTGGGGAAGGAGGCAGGTAGAGGGGAGGAGTCCACTCGGGAAATCCCAGGTCACCTGGACATGTCACTGGGCCCTGGGATTGGTGTGCAGGTCAAATGCAATGTTGGTTGTGCTTAGGCAATTGAAAGCAAGTAGAAGCTAAAAAAGGGATGATTTATCTTGGTTCTGAGAAGTTGGGTTAACAGTGAGGTCAGGAAGCAGAGGTGAGCAGCCAGCACCCTCTTTCTCTTGGGAAACTTGAACACATTTTAGAGTTATAGTTCCCCCAGGGAAGAAGTTAGCAGAGGCCACCCCACACCCAGGACAGGTGACAGAGCAGCAGTCTCCTCTCCCTGACCTTGATGCCTGGGCACAAAGGCAGCTTTTGCTGAGCAACAAGATGCTTGGACTCCCCACTCCTCCTCTATTTTCCTCTCCTGGCTGCATTTGCTCTGAAAGGCTGCAGACACCTGGCCCCAGGCCCTCCAAGTGGGCACCCACCCCCATCTGGGTGACAGAGGCTGCTACTCATGGGAACTCCGCTAACTCCCTCTGAGTCCCTCTGAGTCATCTGGGTGGTGGACCAGCAGCCGTTGGGTCTGACCTCTCACCAGGACGCGTGCCTCTGAGCACTGGGACACAGGCCCTTTGAGGTCTCTCTGGAGCTGAAGGGCCGGCTCGCACACTGGGATGGAGTGGAATATGTGTGATATGTTGGTGAGGGATGCAGGCAGGTGTGGGAGGAAGTGGAGCAGGCACAGTCCATGGAGGACACGGGGCCCGGGTGCAGAGGCACACAGGCATCATCTAGATGGTGAGAAGGCGATGGGCCCAGATTCTGCCCTAGTGCAGGGAAGGCACCAAGATTTCAGATCAGAGGGAACTGCAGGAGAGCTGCAGAGACCCTCTCCCTTCAGCAGATTTAGGTGCTGCCTGTGACTTGCCAGACTGGCAGTCCCCAGCATGCTGCCAGCAGGCACGCTCAAAATGCGCTTCTGGCCTGAGCCCTTGCTGGCCTCAACACGCCAGCGGCTGCCCCTCTGTGGAGAGGAGTTCTCTGTAATGGTGCTGCAGGGACAGCCCATTCTGCCTGTCCACCCCCAGCCCCTTGTGCCCCCCTCAACCCTGTGCCCTGTCACTCACACCCGCAGCTACACCAAATCCTTCCCCAACCCCCTGCACAGGGGACTCCTTCGTGTGCAGGCCACCCACCCCCAACCCGTGTCTGCACTGGAGGTTCTCTGCGGAGAATTCTCCTCCGTGGGGCAGTAGAAGGACAGGCCTGTGTGTGCCTGAGCCCCTCTTCCTCAGGTGTGTGTGAGAGAATTTACCTGAGAGAAGTTAGCAATGCCTGCCTAGTGAAGGCCTGGCACAGAATAGGCCCTCAGCAAACACCAGAGACCTCTGCCCTCCTTACCCTTCTGGGAACTCTTATTTAGAGTTTAAGGCCCAAGCCAAGTATCTCCTTCTCTCTGAAGAGTTCCCTTTCCCCGGAGGCAGATGACAAGGCAAGCCGTGACTTCCCTTGGACGGGGGCTGCTCTGCATCTCAGGCGTTCACCAGGGAGCGGGCTGAGCTGCGGGTGTCGGTCTCCAGGTCTGTCTCCTGTTTCAGATTACAGGGCTCTTGACGGCAAAACCACTCAACTTTATTTCTGCCTCGTGGCCTACACCTCCTAGCATAGTAAGTGCTCATTAAAATGTTGCTGGTTTGTGCAGGATCTGGATTTTATGCAAATGAATAATAAACTAAAGTTTTGCTAGCTGACTACAGTGAAATATCAATCACTTCATGTCTGTTTGGATGACTGTTACCCACAAGAGAAGAGATACGTGTTGGTGAAAGTGTGGAGAAAAGAGAACACTAGTACAGTGTTGGTGGGTATGTAAATTAGTGCAGCCATTACGGAAAAAGTGTGGCGGTTCCTCAGTAAAATAAAACTAGAACTACCATGTAATCCAGCCATCCCACTGCTGGTATATAGTCAAAGGAAATGAAATCAGTACATCAAAGAGTTACCTGCACTCCTATGTTCACTGCAGCACTATCCACAATAGCCAAGACATGGAACCACCCTGTGCTCATCCAAAGATGAATGGATAAAGAAAATGTAAAACGTGGCCGGGGCGGTGGCTCACGCCTGTAACCCCAGCACTTTGGGAGGCCGAGGTGGGCGGATCACGAGGTCAGGGGATCGAGACCATCCTGGCTAACACGGTGAAACCCCGTCTCTACTAAAAATACAAAAAATTAGCCAGGCGTGGTGGTGGGTGCCTGTAGTCCCAGCTACTCAGGAGGCTGAGGCAGGAGAATGACGTGAACCCGGCAGGCGGGGCTTGCAGTGAGCCGAGATCGCGCCACTGCACTCCAACCTGGGTGACAGAGCAAGACTCTGTCTCAAAAAAAAAAAAAAAAAAAAGAAAATGTAAAACGTGTATAGATACACAATGGATAATATTCAGTCATAAAAAGAATGAAATCCTGTCACATATGGCAAGAATGAACCTGGAGGGCATCATGTTAAGTGAAATAAGCCAGGCACAGAAAGACAAATACTGCATGATCTCACTTATGTGTAGAATCCAAAAAAGGTGAACTCACGGAAGCAGAGAGCAGAATGGTATTGGCCAGGTGCTGGGGGAGGTGGGGTGGGTTGAGATGTTGGTCAAAGGATACAAATTTCATTTAGGCAGGATAAATAAGTTCAAGGGATATATGGGGACTATTATAACATGGTAACTATTGTAACAATGTATCCTTAAAAATTCTTGAGACTTGCTGAGAGTAGATAATAATAAAGTAAACTGGTGTTACAAAAAGTTTTTTGGTTGAATGATGAGCAAAGGTTTCCCGGGGGAAGGGGGGTTGAGGGGATCTGGGCTTGTGAAGGGTGGAGGGGTGTTATGACAGGGAGAGGGAGAACTGAATGAAAGAAGACAGCAAAACCTAGGTAGGAGTGGGGGACAAGGAGAGCGGTAAGAGCCCAGGATCCAGGTAGCCTGAGGGAGGAGGCCCCCAGCCGAGGGATGCCAGAGAGCATGCCAGTGCCTGTTGACCCTTCACACACCTGCGCTGCGTGGGCCCCCTCCACTGGCTCTGTGAGGGCAGTGTCCTGGCTTCTGAGCGCCACTCCGGGGTCACTAAGGTCACATGGCACCCTGCTGGGTAGCTGCTGCTCATTTTGTACCTGCTGTTTCCCAGCAGTCAGTCCTGGAAGCATCTCTGGTCCCGTAGTCCTGCCTTCATCTTGAGCCCTTCTCAGTGCCTTGTATTTTTACTTTACAATAGTGTCAGCTTAGAGCAGTGAATCCTTCGGGTCCCTGGAGCATCTTCAGAGGTCCCTTTTCATCTTCACCAGGACCTTTGGAACAGCCCAAGTCCCGTGGTGATGCAGGGACAAAGCAGGTGTGGTGGCTTTTTAGACCATAGGCAAGTAGGGGACATGACTAGTACTGATCCCAGACCTGGGGAAGCCCGGCTGATGGGTTTCCCGTGTGTGCTGGCCTTCAGTGACACCAAGGGGCTGGATGGAGAGGAGGATTCAGCTAGAACAGCCTCTTTGGGCTTTCACTTGCACCTGACAGACCTGGGTCTCTGCTCTCACCTGGAGCGCCCCAGACACGCGGTGTGTCCACAGCGTTAGCACACTCCCTGGGCCCGCTGTCAGCCCTGGGGGCTTTGAGAAGGGTGTGTCTGCCTGGCATCACCACATCCAATCCAGCCACATTCTGCATTTCAGAGCCAGAATACAGGTCTAAAATGCCTGTTTTGTTTTAGAAACTACTGTTCTCCCCAGGATTAAAATGTGCAGGAAGCATTCATCCCACCCTTAGTTTAGCTGATAGCCTTACCCCCCTCCCTTTTGTTTTGTTGTGGATCTGAACTTATTTTACCCAATGGCTATTTTCTTGCATTTCCCTCTAGAGGTAGTGGCATTTTCAAGAAGCACTTCAGCCTTCTGTATCTTTACATAATTCATTACGGACATATTTTGGACTTACAGTATCTTACAGTACAAAAAAAAAAGAGACTCTCCTCTTTATTTCCAGAAGTTGTTACAGACTTCTCCAGAATTTAAATTTCCTGAAAATTCGTCCAGGACATGCTGTAAGTTTTTATTCCATTAGGGAACCATAAACAAAACCACTTACTAGCAGGCCTGAGGCAGAGATGAACACCTGGCCTAAGCATCTCTCCTGCACCTTCCTGAGAGACAGACCGAGTGATCACTGTGTGAATTAAAGCCCATTTCCTAGAAACTCACTCTTCTCTTGAAGCTTTTAGGAAGACTAAGAGATAAAGCCATCCACCAAGAGATAAAGCCAGGAAAAGTGTCTGTCCCAGTGCAAGTGTGTGAGGGTTGTTAGTGGTGGGGGTGGGCATCCTTCATTCTTTCAGCCAGGGGACTGCACGTCCGTGGAGTGAACACCCCAGAGGTGGGCAGGGGACCAAGTCCAGCATGGGAGACAGGACCCCTGGGTCAAAGGCTGTTCTTAGGTAAGCTTCGTGACAAACATGGCATTTGAGCTGGGTCTTGAGTGGAGCCAGGAGAGAACAGGAATTTTGAAAATTCCTGAGGGAAAAAATGTGAACAAAGAAAGGGACCCAGGAAGTAGTTTATTGTTAACTATAATTTTCCTACTATGGTATCAAATACAAGAATGAATTTCTTCTATCCAACTGCATGTTGGTACCCATTAGTCAACTTCCCTTCCTCCCCACTTCCCTTCCCAGCCCCTGGTAAACACTGTTCTACTCTCTACCTCTTTGAGACCCACTTTTTTTTGCTCCCACATTTGAGTAAGAACATGTGATATTTGTCTCTCTGTGCCTTGCTTATTTCACTTAACATGATGATATCCAGTTCCATCCATGATGCTGCAAATGACGGGATTCCATTATTTTTATGGTTGAGTAATATTCCGTTCTGTGTATATTCCACACTTTCTTTATCCATTCATCCATTGATGGACACTTAGGTTGATTCCACATTTCAGCTATTGCAGACAGTGCTACAATAAACATGGGAGTGCAGATATTTCTTCAATATACTGATTTCCTTTCCTTTTAATATATACTCAGCCGTGGGATTCCTGGATATGTGGTCCTTCTATTTTTAGTTTCTTGAGGAACCTCCATACTGTTTTCCATAATGATGGTACTAATTTACATTCCCTTTCTCCACATCCTTACCAGCATCTGTTATTTTTTGTCTTTTTTATAAAAGCCAATTCTAACTAGAGTGAGATGATATCTCATTGTGGTTTTAATTTGCATTTCCCTGGTGATTAGTGATATTGAGCATTTTTTCATATGCCTGTTTTCTGTTTGTATGTCTTCTTTTGAGAAACATCTATTCAGGTCATTTGCTGATTTTCTAATCAGATTATTTGTTTTTTTGCTATTGAGTTGTTTGAGCTCCTTATATAATCTGGTTATTAATCCCTTGTCAGATGGAAGTTTGCAGATATTTTCCCCCTTTCTCTGGGTTGTCTCTTCACTTAGTTGTTTTGCTTCCTGTGCAGAAGCTTTTTAGCTTGATATAAACCCATTTTTCTATTGTTGCCTTTTTGAAATCTTATGCAAAAATCTTTGCCCAAACCAATGTCCTGAAGTGTTTCCCCAATGTTTTCTTCTGGTAGTTCCATAATTTTAGGTCTTATATTTAAGCCTTTAATCCATTTTAGAGTTGATTTCTGTATATGATGAGATGAGGATCTAGTTTCATTCTTCTGCATATGGATATTTGGTTTTCTCAGCACCATTTATTAAAGAGACTGTGTTTTCCCTGGTGTGTGTTCTTGCCACCTTTGTTGAAACTGAGTTGGCTGTTAAGTGTGTGGATTTATTTGTGGGTTCTCTGTTCTGTTCCATTGGTTGATGTGTCTGTTTCTATGCCAGTACCATGCTCTTTTGGTTACTATAGATTGGTAGTATCATTTGAAAACACAACCATGATGCCTTTAGCTTTGTTCTTTTTGCTCAGGATCACTTCAGCTGTTCAAGGTCTTTTGTGGTTTCATATGAATTTCAGGCTTTTTTCTATTTCTGTGAAGAATGTCATTGGTATTTTGACGGGAATTGCATTGAATCTGTAAATCACTTTGGTTAATATAGACATTTTAACAATATTAATTCTTCTAATCCATGAGCATGGGATATCTTTCCATTTTTTCAGGTTCTTCTTGTTGAGTTACAGGGGTTCTGTATATGTTATGGATATTAATCCCTTATCAGATATATGATTTGCAAATATTTTCTGTCATTCTGTTGGTTGCCTTTTCACTTTGTTGATAATGTCCTTTGGTACACAAAAGTTTTTAATTTTGATGAAGTCCATTTTATCTATTTTTCCTTTTGTTGCCTGTTCTTTTCGTGGTGTCATACCCAAGAAATAATTGTCAAATCCAGTTTCATAAAGCTTTTCCTCAGTATTTTCCTGTGTGAGTTTTATAGGTTTAGCTCTTACATTTAGGTCTTTGATCCATTTTTAGTTAATTTTTGCATACAATGTTAGGTAAGAGTCTAACTTCATTATTTTGCATGTGGATATGCGGTTTTCCCAGCACCATTTATTGGAAAGATTGTCCTTTCCACATGGAATGGTCTTGTGGAAAACCTTTGGCCATTTATGCAAGGCCATGTGTGGCACCCTTGTGGAAAACGATTTAACCATATATTTGAGGATTTATTTCTGGTCTACCTTGTGTGGACTATAAATCTGTCTTTTTGCCCACACCACATGCTTTGATTACCATAGATTCATAGTATGTTTTAAAATCAAGATGTGTGAGACTTCCAACTTTATTCTTCTTTTTCAAGATTGTCTTGGCTATTGATTCTGTTCTTTTGCATTAGAAGTCAGAAAATTTATTGCCTACAAAATCATTTTGAAAGTACTACTCAAGCCTTCTAGTAAAATTAAAAATTAATAAAGGACCAATGAGAGATATGCAAATTATTCATGATCAATTAGCAAACACCAAAACACAGTTGTGTTACAAGTAATAATATAGAACTGAAGCTTAAAGCAGTTGTTAAGAATTATGATTCCTAAGAAAGTAGAACCCAAAAATCAAAAGCAATTTCAAATCAACATTTTAAATGATTTCAACAAAATATAGCAGGTATCAGAGGAAGAGATGGGAATTAGATTGAACTAGGGACCTTATCCTATGTGGAAATTAGAGGTTGTGTATGTTATTTGACTGAGTAAAAATTAAATTTTATGTATAAGTTATTAGATAAAATAAATGGCCTAAAAAGGTAAAAATATACAGACATCTGCTGACCTAGGGGATGCCCAGTCGAGATGGGGTGTACCTGGTTCCACTGTGTGGAATATGAACAGCCCCCTCACTTTGAGGTTCCCTGCAGATCACACCCCCAGAACCTCTCTACCAGAATCTCAGAAGTCAGAGTTCAGTGTTCGAGCCCCGCTGAGAAGCACAGTCCCCTCCCCTGGCACATCAGCTTCTAGGGGCTCTGAGCTCACCGCCACGTCTGTTAAGTCCACCAGATGAGACTTTTCCCATTGATCCTCATCTGTCTCCTGATGGGACATTCATTTAAAAATTAAAGGGTGGGATCGTGTGTTGGGAGTGGGATTCGGGGGTGTGGGATTCACCAGCCAATTTCAAATGCATGTTAAATATTTAAAATCATTTAAAAATTTGAAACATTAATATTTAATTTTTAAAATATAAAAAATTAATCCTAAAATTGAAATTGTTAATTCTCACTTCCCATGAAGTGTGAACATTCTCTTTTATTCTCACTGTCTTTTCCAGTGTTCTCAGGCGCTGTGGTCTCACCTTCCACTGGGGCAACAATGGGCCATTTCCAGCAGGGACGGCGCAGTGTTGGCCTGCATGCCTGACTGCCACACACCTCCAGAATCAGGTGTCTGAAAAGTAAGTCCTGTGTTCGTGGGGCCTTAATGGCAGGCCAAAGGGGCAAGTGCAGTCACCGCCTCTGACAATAGAGCTGGTAGTGGTTCTGTGGACTCCCTGGAAATCAGATCTAAAGCCCAGATAAAGTGTAAGGTTCATTGAGAAAGAGTCATGAAATGTATTTCATACTGCATTAGAATTTGAGATTGGAATAATAGGCATTATTCTTTAAAAGGAAAAAAAAAACAACTGTAGTGATTGACAAGTGACTTGATTTATACCAGTGCAAAATTTGTCATCTGTTGCAACCATTATTGATTTTTTAAATATTATAAGCAAAAGAAAAATAGTGCCATTATCTTAACACACTTAATTATTTTTACTTTTACTGTTTCCTGTTACTTCTTATCCAATAATACAATTTTAATCTGACTGAGAGCATAGCCATTCTTTTGCTTTATGACTCTTGGAACAAAATTTTTATATACCTTCTTGCCTACTTTTTATTTTATAAGCTTTAATTCTACAGCAAACTTGAAGGAATAGAAAAGTGAACACCCGTAATTCTTCACCCAGATTTACCAATTGTTTATACACAAACAGACACACACAGGTGGTAAATATGTGTTTGTGTGTGTTTGATTCTTTTTGTCTGAATCATTTGAAAGTAAGTTGCTGACATCATGACACACTTTGGCATCATCTCCTAAGTACACAGCTACCTTCTACAAAAGTACAGCACTATTACCACTGTGAAATACAATATTGATAAAGTGATATTATCCAAATATGTTGTCCCTACCCAGATACCCCTGATTGTCCCCCAAATATTCATCATAGCTGTTTTTCCCTGCCTAGTGTTCAATTAAGTATCACTCACTGAATTCAGTTATGCCTCTTTTTATCAGAACTAAAGGCCTGCTTTCGTTTTTCTCTTTCGTGATGTTGACGTCTTTGAAGAGTCTGAGCCACTTGTTTTATGGAGTGCTGCACAATCTGGACCTGTCTGATTATTTCCTCGTACTTAGATTAAGATAGACATTTCCTCCATTTCTCTTTCCAGCACATCAGTGGGCACACCGTGGCTCATGGTGATAAGTTTGTTCACTGGGCTAAGGTCGTTTCTACAAGAGTTCTCTTTATAAAGTTACTTTTTTTTTTTTTTTTTGAGATGGAGTCTCGCTCTGTCGCCAGGCTGGAGTGCAGTGGCACGACCTCGGCTCACTGCAACCTCCACCTACCGGATTCAAGCGATTCTCCTGTCTCAGCCTCGCGAGTAGCTGGGACTACAGGCGCCTGCCACCACGCCCAGCTAATTTTTGTATTTTTAGTAGAGATGGGATTTCACCATGTTGCCTAGGATGGTCTCGATCTCTTGACTTCAGGTGATCCACCTGCCTTGGCCTCCCAAAGTGCTGCGATTACAGGTGTGAGCCACCATGTCCAGCCTGTAAAGTCACTTTTTACATTCTTTGTCTTTTACTAGTAAGCAATGGGGCAAACTTTGAAGCCCTGTGAACATTCTCTTCCCTGGCTGATTTTCATCCAGTGATCTTAGCATCCCTTGATGGTTGTGTTATGATTTTTAACCCATTAGTTTATTGGGACCTCAGACTTTCTTTGTCACATAGTCCTTCATGTTTCACATTTTCTGTGGTTGTGGGGTCATCACACAAGGGAAGCATATACTGAGGTGGTCAAGAGGAGGACTCTGAAGTTAGACCATTCAGATAGGCATCTAGGTATGCATCTTGTCTCTGTCATACAACAGCCTGGTGACTGCAAGCAAACATTTCTCCTCACAAACCTTCAGTGTCCTTATAATTACAATTAGGAGACTGGGAGTGACCATCGCAGGAGGCATATGGCAGAGGGTACAGCCTTTGGCTGTCCTTGCTAAGCAGTAGCTGTTAATTATTATCAGACACAGGAAACATGGGCTAGAGCCACCGGATGCTGCTTTTATTCCTGAGATCTCTTATAAGACCTTTAGCAAAAATGCTAATAAATCTGAGTGACAGAGCAGAGGCCCCACGCTCTGTGTCCCTGCAGTTAAAAGGTTGCATAGGGAATGAAACCACTATGGCAGGAAGTATTCATCAGCGAACACTGTCCCGATGTGCACTCCCCCATCGGCTTCCTCCTCCTGCTCTCGGTCAGCCTTAACTGCCTCCCCTCGCTAGGCCTGAACCTCCCTGGTCTGTTGTCAGGTTTGCCTTTCAGTCAGTAACCAATTGGGCTTTTTATCTGAAGATTATGTGTGGTTTTTTTTTTCTACTTAAATCAAGTCCTTTTAGTTTTATTGGCATACCATTGCCACAGAATGCATCTTCCTTGAGAATGTTTTGAAAATTTTACCAAGAAAACAGTTTGTGAAAATATAGGTTATTTTAGAAGCTGTACACGAATATGAATTAGACTGAGTCTTCAAAAAAATTGCTGTTGGAAAACATGTTAGTATCTTAAAAATACTTCCTCTGAAAAGGTTACTTGCCTCATTTTCTTCCCCACAACTCTTAAAAGCAGATGAGAGCTGGTGCTCACAGAGAAGACCGCTCTGTGTCCTGCATCCAGATGACATGCTTTCTGTCGGCTTCTTGTCGGGCTGAGCTTGAAGGGATGGCCCTGTGGGGTTCCCCTGCTTTCTGGGGCGATATCAACCCAGCCAGCCTGGGGTTTGCCAGGACCGGAGGACTCTTCTGGTAGGCTCCAGCCCCAGGCTTCCCTGAAGCCTTTCCACATCTCCTTTTTCCTTCTTACCAGCTGTTTACATGCCAGGAATCCTTGCTTGTCTCCTCGTCCTCTGGATCTCCTCCTTGGAGATGGGACTGTGGCTTTTCTGCTTTCCCAGGAGCAAACCCAAAGGTTATGGGAGGAGTGAAGTGCAGGTGAAAGCAAACCTCTGGTTCTGCATCAACACCAAGGAAATCACTGAGTTTCACCTGAGTGTGTGGATGGAAATATCAGGGCTGCTTTTTTTCAGTTTCCCAAAGCACATCCTGCAGAATGTCTGTCCACTTGGAAACCTGAGCTCTCTAGTCTTGAGTGAGCTCCACACTCATGGCCTGTGTGCTGGAGAACCAAATGGAGGTGGCTGGAAGCCAAGGCAAAGCCCCTGCAGAGAGGCCCACTCCCAGGAGGCTTGCAGGTGCTTGGCCACACTCAGGGGAAAAGGACCCCTCCTCCTCCACGGCGCTGGGCCAGGCCCCTCCCTGCGTCTCCCTCTTCCTGTTCCCTTCTCCTGCACAGCAGCAGCCCGGAAGTATGTGTTCCCCAGTGTGGGTTCAACAGCATCACCAGCCAGGAAACCCTCATACTCAGAACTTGGTTTTGGGGCTTACTCTTCAAAGCCCTGGTGCTGAGCCATGGAAAGAGACACAGTCCCCCGTGAGATGGCATAAGTATAAATTCACAAAAGGCTTGAAGACACACCCTGAGGGCAGTTCTTAAATCCCCTGGGGGCTTGCGATCCACACAGAGATTGTGTCCCATAAGTGTGTGAAGGTGGGTCAGCCAGTCAAGAGAAGGCCAGGAACCCAGTGTCTATTCAGCACTTTGCTGAATTCCCTATGTACATCTTGGTTCTGGTTTACTCCTAGAGCATGCGAAAGCTCAATTCTCAGGCAAAGTCATCTGTTGCCATGTTCCAAAGCTTTATTTAACTCATCAGTAAGGGAACCAGCGAAAAGACAAATGATCTGGCTCCACAAGCATTTGGTAACTGAGATCTTTTTTTGAGATGGAGTCTCGCTCTGTCACCCAGGCTGGAGTGCAGTGGTGCGATCTCGGCTCACTGCAAGCTCCACCTCCCGGGTTCACACCATTCTCCTGCCTCAGCCTCCCGAGTAGCTGGGACTACAGGCGCCCACCACCACGCCCGGCTAATTTTTTTGTTTTTTGTTTTTTGTTTTTTTCAGTAGAGACAGGGTTTCACCATGTTAGCCAGGATAGTCTTGATCTCCTGACCTCATGATCCACCCGCCTTGGTCTCCCAAAGTGCTGGGATGACAGGCGTGAGCCACCGCACCCAGCCAGTAACTGGGATTTTTAAGTTCTGTTGGGAAACAAATGTGGAAATAAGATGCTAAGTTAAGGCAAACCTCTACAAAGCAATGAAAAAAATGCCAAATTTGGAGTTAACTTGTTTACTAGGCAGTAAAAGTCATAAGCTATCAATTCTGCAGGCTAATCTCACAGGGCTATAAACCTCTTTATTTAACCAATTGTGAATGATTAGATAAATATTTGTCACACTGCTCAAGAGCTTCCGAATGGGATCAGTCAGACTTATTTGCATTCTAGTAGAATATCACAGATTCCAGAAATCATCATTTTTCCCTTTTTCAAGTTTGGAATCAACGTTTCCATAACAATCAGCTAAAATATGGTGATTGACAAGTTGTGAGTGATCACGTAGCACCGGGTGAAGGTGCTGCTTTTTGGCCTGCACAATGCACTTGAGCTCCGGTGTAGATACTGCAAGGCCATGTGTGGGAGGCAGCTTCTGACACAGCTCCCAACCATTCCTGCCTCTTGACATCGCATCTTTGTGTTGTCCCCTGCCCTTGGGTGTGGGCTGGACATGGTGACTTGCTGTTAATAAACAAAATACAGCAGAAGTGACAGATGTCACTTCCAAGACCAGGATACAAACACTGTGACTTCTGTCTTGCTCAGGCTCTCTCTGACTCTTCTCACATGGTTGCTCTGATGAAACAACTCTGATGTTGTGATCTCACCTATGGAAAGGCCCACGTGGCAAAGAACTGAGCTTCTTAGTTCAACAACCCTCAGAAACAATTCTGTGAATGATCACATGAGTAAGCTTGGAAGAGAATGCTTCCTCATTTGAGCCTTCAGACGAGACTGCAGCCTCAACTCACATTTTGGTTGCAGCCTTGTGAGAGACCCTGAGAAGGTGCACTCTGACTCCTGCCCCACAGAAATGGTGAGATTATGAATATGTGTTATTTTAAGTCCCTAAATCTGGGAGTTGTCGTTTCACAGCAATAGGTAACTGATGCAGCATCCATGAAATTTATAGTGTTGATTGTTCTTGGATATATGCTTCTCAGCAGAGCTGTGTTTCATCTTTGCCGGCTTCTCCCATCTCCTTTCTCCTGCTTCTCTACTCCCCCTTTCCTATTATTTATTAATCTTCCTTTCTTTATTCCCACTCCATTTGAGTTCCACTTCTCTGCAACTGTAATTGCATCCTTGGCCATTGATTAGGGAGGCTTAACTAGAGGCACCTTATTTGTGGAGACAATGTGCAGGTCAGAAAGATTCCCCATCCTTGGCCAGTAGCAAAATCGTTTTCTTTGTTGAAATCAATTGCTTCCAACTTACTGTGGCTACATCATCCAGGGCTGCAATGCTTCTTATTTGGTCTTGAGCCAATGCTTAGTGTTTGAATGAAATTGGCTTTAGCATTCTTTCCTCAGGGGAGTGTGGACAAATAAATTTTCTGCTTAAGAATGCAGTTTCTTTCTGACTCAAACAGCTGATCCTATAAACTTGGACTTCATAGTCATCAGTTTCAATTCAGAACCAACCTTTTAAAAATTATATGTTATTTTGATATAAAAAGTACCAAAAGCAAATCTTCTGAAGGAATAGAACTCCAGACGGTTTTATTAGGTTTCCAAGGTTATTAGTCTAAGAATATGTTGCAAATAAATACATAAATAATGACCACAATAATCATAATCATACCTATCTTTTTAATTTTTTTATTTCTATGGGTGTATAGTAGATGTATATATTTATGAGGTACCTATCCTTTTTTTGGTACTTGCTGTGTGCCAGGCACTATGCTATGTAATCACCACCACAACCATATTAAAATAGGAACTGCTATCCTCATTTCAAAACTGAGGCAGTGAGAACCAGAGACTACACATAAATTGTCCCCAGGAATTTTTGGAATGCCTGCGTGGATTTGTATTTGTATAAGTGTTTCTAGTGACTAAAAATGAAAACCCAGGGAACTAAAGAAGAAAACAATTAGTAGATTAATCTATTAGGTCATAAAGTTGACAGGGTATTATAGAAAGTTGGGTGGGTTCTTCAGAATCCACCTATCTCACTGTTATCTATTTTAAAAGTTCAGAGCCATACATGATGACAGATATTTATTTCCTTTATGTTTATTTTTTTATTTGGGAAAGTTGTTTATTCTATTTGAAAAGATAGACACTAAAATGAAACACTGAATTTTACCAGTCGCTGACATGTGTAAGTAGTCCACTAATATGGGCCGATGAGAAAGCCCAAAAGCTGAAATTCTCCTGTATTTGTGAAATCTTAATTCTTTTTTCTTAATGGAAAGAGCCACTGCCATCGACTCTCTTGGTTTCACTTACTCTAAGTGGAACTCTAAGTGGTCTGGAAACTTCCAAGTATAAGCAACCAGCCCACTGGAATTTCTAACCAAATGTCCCTTAGACACCCTTCCCTGTGTCCCTTTTTAACATGCACAGTCACACACAGTTATGCGAATGTGCACATACATTCACACACACATGTGCATGCAAACATGCACATATATTCACACACACTCAACATAAACATGCACACAGAAGTCACAAACACACATACACACTATTAAACACATGCACACTCACATGGACACGCACACACACAGCACATGCATGCACATGCTCACACATGGACACCTAAACATACAGGCACACCTAGTCTATGATCCATTCAGAGTTAATTTTTATATATGGTGTTAAGATGTAGATTGAGTTTACTTTACTGAAGTCCATTTGCTCCAGCATCATTTTTTGGAAAAGTCTATCTTTTCTCCATTGAATTGTCTTTGTGCCTTTGTCAAAAATCAGTTGTCTTTTGTTTTGGTAATAAACGTGTCTATCCTTTACTATCCCAATACTATACTGTCTTGGCCACAGGAGGTTTATAACACATCTTAAAATCAAGTGTGTGAGTCCTCTAACTTTTTTCTTTTTCAGTGTTGTTTTGGCTAATCTAGTTTCTTTGTCTTTCTATATAAATTTAGAATCAGCTTGTCTGTGCCTACAAAGAAACCTGCTGGAGTGTTGACTGGGATTGCATTGAATTTATAGATCAGTGTGACTATACTTGACATCTTAACTGTGGTATATCTTAAAATCCATAAAAACAATACATCTCTCTATTTATTTAGGTCAATTTTGGTCTCTCTTGTCTGAATTTTGTGAATTGCTTAGTTAGAATTTTTGACTGTGTCCTGGCTCTGTTGTTCTCCAGGTCTACATGGACCCCGTTCCCTTTTCCTGGCTTTGCACCACTGTCCATACCCCTTCCCCAATTACATGGAGCTCAGCCCTCTATTTTGCAAAATCCCCAGTCCTCTGTGGTTTTCAGATGAGAAGTCACTTCCTCAGAGCCTCTCTCACTCTCTCCTCCACTCCAGTCTAGCATGGGTGCCCTTCCCTTGTGCCTGACACCATCTTGTCTCTCATAGCTCTAAGCATCATATAACTGCCTCATTAATTTGTTTTTTAGGCCAGCAGCCCAAATACTCTTAGAAGGTAGAGACCCTGCCTAATTTTAGGTTGTATCCCTAGCACATAACACAGAGCAATGGCCCAGTTAATGGCAGCTGAGTGTAGGAATGGAGCAATGAAGGAGTGAAAGGAACTGAAAAGGGGGAAGTAAACTAGCCTTGAGTGAGGCTCTGCTCTGTGTCAAGCACCATGAAGGTAGGTCAACAGTGGTCAATAGAAATTAGACTGTCAGAGAGAAATTAGACAGTCATTATTAGACAGTGAAACACAGTCAGAAAGGTATAGAGGGAGAAAGGAAAGGAGGGAGGGGGATATATAGACAGACATTCAGGCAGGTTTTGGATAATCAGATAAATACATTCATAGGCATATGGGTAGATATGCAGACAAACAAGATAGGTTGAAAGACATACAGACAAGAAGGAAAAACATTGAGATTACAGATGGACAGACAGAAAAACAGAGTTTCCAGCATAGAGAGACAGACAGGTAGTCATATAGACAGATATATAACACAAAGACATACAGACATACTGACAAACAGACAACCAGAAACATGCATAGGTGGGTGGCTGGGTGGGTGGGTGGGTGCATGGGTGGATGGATGGATGGATGGATGGATGGATGGAGACAGGTAGAAATAGACAGGATGGCAGAAAGAAAGAAACATGGATAGTTAGACATCTACTTAGCAGACACATGACCAACAGAAGGGGAGACAGAAAATCAGGAAAGAGGAAGGCAGACAGACAATGAGAAAATTAATAAGAAAGATAGATACATACGGACAGGAAAAAATATATATCAAAAGATACATAGGTAGGTAGGTAGGTGTGTGGAACAAGAAAGGGAGAGATAGAATATAGATTGAAGATAGATGATAGGTGGACAGACAGGCAGGCAGACCAATAGTATGTTTTTATTTAGGTTTATTTAAACTTAACAAAGTTCTAAGAAAGATATGGTATCTTCCGCATGTATTGATGGGGAAGTGGATTCACAGGGGTTTAGTGACTTCCTAAAGACCACACTTGAAGAGAATGGCAAAACCTCAACTCAAAACTAGCCCTGCCTTTCCCCGGGGTTTGTGCCAGCACAGCCTGCATGGATTCTCCAGCCCACATCACTTCAGCTGCTAAACAAAGTGCACCTTTCTACTCTTCTCTTGCTTGCATCTGCTTCCATGCTGGAGCCCAGACCCCTGTCATTTCTTGTATCTTATTTAATAGCTTCAGTAGGAAATGATGCTTGAAGTATGGTTTATTATGTGAGCAGGGGGCAAAGAGTTTGGGAGGCCTTAAAGTAGAGATGAGTGTCCTGCTCCTTCCCTCCCGGGTCCTGAGCTCCTAAGAGCCCTCATGACCATAGCCAGTTTTCCTTCTGGACAGTTTTCTACCCATGAGACCTTTTTCCTGTTAGTATTGTTTAACCATGCTATAACACATTAATATTCTGATGTGTCTTAGAGACACTTTCATGTTGACACCTGTAATGTAGTCCAGGTACTGATATAATAGGCTTGATTCAGCCAGTCTCCTATGGACAAACTTTTTTTACATTTCCAGCTATGCTGTAGGGAACATCCTTAGACATGCCTCTTTGTACACATAAGCAGAGTGTTCTCTCAGCAAGATACTGAGAGGCAGAATTGTACAGTTACAATTCTATATATGTATTCTATATTAAAATGTGTATTCTATATTAAAAACAATTTTAGATCCTAAAAAAATGCCCCCTGCTGACCTCACCACTAGCCCAATATTCCCCTACTAGCAGTGTTAAAAACTACCAATTTCACTTCACCAGGACTTGATGTTTTCAGGCTTTTTTTCCCTTGCCAATTTGATGCATGAGGGCTTGGGTGAGGGTGGTTAGTGATTATCTTGTCTAATTTGTATTTTCATCATTACGACTAAGGTTGATTCTCTTTTCATTTGTTGACTAGTCATTTGAGTTTTCTGTAAATTACATATTCATATAATATGTAAATTTTTTAATTCGTCCTTTGAATATCAATCCCTTGTTTTTATGTTTTTTCCAGAATTTCTTATTCTGTTATATAACTTTAAAATATCTATGATTTTTTTCTCATACAGAACTTTGTTTATTGTCTTTGGTTTTTGCTATTATCAGTTTTATCAACTTTATTTTGATGGTGTATTAGTCTGTTTTCACACTGCAATAAAGAGCTGCCCAAGATTGGGTAATTTATAAAGGAAAGAGGTTTAATTGGCTCACAGTTCAGCATGGCTGAGGAGTCCTCAGGAAACTTACAATCATGGCTGAACGTGAAGGGGAAGCAAAGCACATTTCTTTACAGGGCAGCAGGAAGGAGAAATGCAAGCAGTGGAAATGCCAGGCACTTAGAGAACCATCATATCTCATGAGAACTCATTCACTATCAGGAGAACTCACTCACTATCATGAGAACAGCATGGGAGAAACCACCCCCATGATCCAATGACCTCCACCTGGTCCCATCCTTGACACATGGGGATTACAATTCAAGATAAGATTTTGGGTGGGGACATAGCCAAATCATAGAATTCCACATCTGGCCCCTTCCAAATCAAATCTCATGTTCTCACATTTCAAGACATAATCATGCCTTTCCAACAGTCCCCCAAAGTCTTAACTTATTCCAGCATTAACCCAGAAGTCCGAGTCCAAAATTTCATCTGAGACAAGGCAAGTCCCTTCTGCCTATGAACCTGTAAAGTCAAAAGCAAATTAGTTACTTCCTAGATACAATGGGGGTACAAGCATTGGGTGAATACAGCCATTCCAAATTGGAGAAATTAGCCAAAACAAAGGGGCTGCAGGCCCCATGCAAGTCCAAAATCCAGTAGGGCAATGTTAAACCTTAAAGTTCCAAAATGATCTCCTCTGACTCCATGTCTCACATCCAGGTCATGCTGATGGAACAGGTGAGCTCCTATAGCCTTGGGCAGCTCCATCCCTGTGGTATTGCAGGGTATAGACCCACTCCTGGCTGCTTTCACAGCCTTGTGTTGAGTGTCTGCAACTTTTCTAGGTGCACAGTACAAGCTGTTGGTGGATCTACCATTCTGGGATCTGGAGCATAGTGGCTCTCTTCTCACAGCTCCACTAAGCAGTACCTCAGTGGGGACTCTGTATGGGGGCTGTGACCCCACATTTCCCCTCTGCACTGCCCTAGCAGAGGTTCTTCATGAGGGCTTTGCCCCTGCAGCAAACTTTTGCCTGGACATCCAAGCATTTCCATAGATCCTCTGAAATCTAGGCAGAGGTTAACCTCAATTCTTGACTTCTGTGCAGCTGCAGGCCAAACACCACATGAAAGCTGCCAAGGCTTGGGGCTTGCACCCTCTGAAGCAACAACCTGAGCTGTACATTGGCCCGTTTTAGCCACAGCTGGGACACAGAGCACCAAGTCCTAAGACTGCACAAAGCAGCAAGGCCCTGGGCCCGACCCACAAAACCGCTTTTTTCCTCCTAGGCCTCCTGGCTTGTGATGGGAGGGGCTGCTGTGAAGACCTCTGACATGCACTGGAGACATTTTCCCCATTGTCTTGGTGATTAACATTTGGCTCCTCATTACTTACGTACATTTCTACAGCCAGCTTGAATTACTCCTCAAAAAATTGGTTTTTCTTTTCTATCGCATTGTCAGGCTGCAAATTTTCTGAACTTTTATGCTCTGCTTCCTTTTAAACATAAGTTCCAATTCCAAACCATATCTTTGTGAATGAATAAAACTAAATGCTTTTAAGAGCACCAAGTCATCTCTTGAACGCTTTGCTGCTTAGAAATTTCTTCCACCAGATACCCTAAATCATCTCTCTCAAGTTTAGAGTTCCACAGATCCCTAGGGTAGGGGCAAAATGCCACCAGTCTCTTTGCTAAAGCATAAAAAGGGTCACCTTTGCTCCAGTTCCCAACGAGTTCCTCATCTTCATCTGAGACCACCTCAGCCTGGACTTGATTATCCATCTCACTGTCAGCATTTTGATCAAAGCCACTCAGCAAGTCTAGGAAGTTCCAAAGTTTCCCACATCTTCCTGTCTTCTGAGCCCTCCAAACTGTTCCAGCCTCTGCCTGTACCCAGTTCTAAAGTCACTTCCACATTCTTGGGTATCTTTATAGCAGCGCCCCACTCTCTGTGGTACCAATTTACTCTATTAGTCTGTTTTGATACTGCTATAAAGAACTGCCTGAGACTGGGTAATTTACAAAGGAAAGAGATTTAATTGACTCACAGTTCAGCATGGTTGGGGAGTCCTTAGGAAACTTACAATCATGGTGGAAGGTGAAGGGGAAGCAAGATACCTTCTTTACAGGACAGCGGGAAGGAGAAATACAAGCAGGGGAAATGCCAGGCACTTATAAAAACCATCATATCTCGTGAGAACTCACTCATTATCATGAGAACAGCATAGGGGAAACCACTCCCATGATCCAATTACCTCCACCTGATCCCACCCTTGACACATGGGGATTATGGGGATTACAATTCAGGATGACATTTTGGGTGGGGACACAGCCAAACCATATTGGATGGACCTTCACTTTTTAGCTCTTAAAAAGGCTTTATTTATTAGTTAGGGCTGGCTAAATGCTAAAATGAACATCCCCACAAATCTCAGCACTTTAACACAAGGCAGCTTTATTTCTTGCCATGTGCCAGCCTGATAGAGACCACACCATCATGTAGGGACCCACATTTCTCCCATCCAGCAGCTCTACTATCCCCTGGGGTCACTGACTCCCTGCTGAATCCTCTCTAATGAGCTGAGCTGGCAAATAAGAGATAAGGGAGAAGTGGGGATGCAGTGGGAGACTGGGGCCAGGCCTGGAAATGGCTCAGGTTCCTTCCATGCCATATTCTATTTTGATGGAACTTAAGTCACGTGGCCACACCTTGCTTGGCCTTGGGAGGCCAAGAAATGTGACCTAGAAACACAAAGGCAAGGGCCATGGTCAACATCAGGCAGGGTCTCCAGCACACTTTATTACCACAAGGTCATAAATGTATTCACCTATACTTTTCTCTGGCACACTTACAGTTTTACTTCTTGTCTATGTGTATTTAATTCCTGTGAAATTTGTTGGTCAGTGATATGATGTAGGGAATCTTGCTTTATTTTTTCCAATTAGGTTTCCAACTTATTTTATAAATTTTATAATGTGGTCCTTTTCCCACAGGATTTTTAGAAATTTAGTATTCCCCACGTGTGTCATTCTGTCAGTTAGAGATGCTTTCAGCTTCGTCGGAGATGTTTAATTTCACAAGACAGAGTTGGGAGCCAGTGCACCATTGGGTTGACTGCTCAGTGATGTCATGGCAGCATCTTTCAGGTTCTCTTGACCCGTCCCTCATGGTCACAGGCCAGCACAGCTTCTCGTATCACATCACTTCAAGGTGGGAGGATTCTATGCATACCTCTTAGGAAGGCAAAACATTTGCCAAAAGTAGCCTAGCAGATTTCCTATTGCATTTTGGCAGCTCATGGAGGAGAAAGAACTGGCCACATGGATACTTTTAGCTGCAGGAAAAACTGGTAAAGCAGAAGTCAGAATTGTCTTGATTCACTTAGCCCAATCATCAGCCCATGTATTAAGCCCGTGGATTTACTACATGGGGCTGAGCACATTGTAGCCATGAGCAAAAGCAAAGGTCTGTTGGCAATAAGGAAGGGGAATGGGTATTGGATGGGAAGTTAAGGGCATCTGCCATTATCATCTACCAAATTCTCTCTCTTCCCCCACTACCCTCACACATCTCTGCATTTTCTGTTCTCCTCCACGGGTCCATGTGTCTCTGTCTATCCCTGTGTATCCATCACTTTAGTCACAATATCTTTATGTGTGAAGTGTGGGAGAACAAACATGCAACTTATTTTCTTCAAAATTGTCTTGGAATTACTGGCTTATTCTTCTAAGTTTTAGAAACTGTTTGTCAGCTTCCACAAAAAATTCTGTATTGATTGCATTCAATTTATTATACATATTAGAGAGGAACTGGCATCTTAACAATATAGTCTTCCCATCCGTTTATTGAAGTTCTCTTTCTATACCTCATTAAAGTTTTATTATTTAGGTTTCCTTCTTTTTGTGTGTTTTTCCTAATTAACTTACAGGAGATTTGGTGGGGGTTGGTTGGCTATTATGAAATAGATTTTTTTGTGTTGTTTTTAAAATTCTAACTTGGCTAATGTTGACATGTAGGAAGAGTGTTGATTTTTGGATGTTGATCTTGTTCCAGCCATTTAAAATGTTCTCATTTGTTGTAATACTTAGTCATGAGTTTGTTCTAAACCTTGATGGAAATGCTTCTAAAGTTTTCATTATTAGGTCTGATAAGTCCTAAAAAATTAGAATCAATATCATTTAATAAGTAGAAAAAAGGTTCCTTCTATTCCTGGTTTGTTTCAACTTGGTATAATGAATAACTGGGCTTTTTGGCATCTTTTAAGATGACCATATGGTTTTTCTCCTCAAATTTGTTAAGATAGTGTATTGGCATGAGAATCATGTTTGGCTGTTAGTAACAGAGAGGAGACATTATGGCAGATTTAACAAGAGGAGAATTCACTTCTCTCACATGTACGAGAATGAGGCACTCCAGGGTTGGTAATGGCATCTCCAGAACCCCACAGACTCAACTCCTTCCACCCTAATAACCCCCACAACCAAGCACCCAAGATGGCTGCAGCGGCTCCAAGGCTCTAATTTGTCTCTTTATCTCTTTTTCTGTGTTTTGGACTCATTTGCTAATCTTTAAGTTGTAAATCTATGTTTATAAATGGTATTTGCCTTGGGTTTTTTTTTTTTTCTATTGCCTCTTTTCTAGTTCAGACATCTGAGTCATTTTACCTTTATCTCTCAATTAGGAATACATTCAGCTACAAGTAACCAGACATTTGACTTAACTGGCTTGAAAAAGTAGATACTTAGATGAGAATTATAATAAGAAGTCCAGGGGTGGACTGTCTACGGCTGGTGCAAGCGTTCCATGATACCATCGGAAATAGCTTCCTACTCCACCCAACTTTTCTTGGGTTTTGTCCTCTTGCATCATGTTTTATACTCCCAGAATGGTGGGTGGACTTGCAGATGTTATTTCCTCACTCAAGGCAGAAAGAAGGGGAAAGGCATCACGAGAAAGGACTATTCCATTTAAGCCTGTCTCTTTCCATCAGGTAAGCAAGTGCTTTCCTCTAAACCCAACCAGTTGGAAACCCAACCATTTCCATCAGGTAGACTGGATCGTCGTCCAGCATGGCACATGCAGATTGGTGAATCACAGGTCAGGGAATAATGGGCTTTTACCAATTGCATTTCATCCCTGGGTGCTAGGAATTTTGTCTTTCTTTTCTGAAATCCAGGGTCTCAACTGCTCCCTGATAAACCAAGATTCAGTCTGCAGTAGGTGCAAGCGTATGCAGTGGACAACATCTAAGAAGCTGGGCTAGCACCTGCCCGTTGCCTTCTAGGCTCTGGATGTCAATTTTTTGTATCTTCATTTATTTTCCTAAAGTATGTAATTCCTGTCAGTTCTGTCTTCTGAAACTCTTATCAGCCTCCCACTGGCCTCATAACATAGGTAAGCTACTCACCCTGGCAGCCCCAGGGCTGGCCCTCACCTTCACCCCCAGCCTTTTGGCCACCGGCTCTCCTGGAGACACTGGGGTATCTGTGCCCGGCCACCACCCATGTTGCTCATCCAGCCCAGAATGCCCTCTTTGGACTTTTCCTTAATCCTCCTAAAAAATTTATCTTACCTTCAGCTGTCTTCATCTGCCAGGCACAGAGAACTGTTCCTTTCTTATATTCCAATGGGTTTACTTGTAAGCAGTATTAGAGTACTGATTCCAATCTAGGTGGAATTTTGGGTATTTTCATGTCTGCCCATCAGAATGGAGCATGAAGGTAGGTTTAGTGTTTTTAGTTTCCTTTTGTTCATTTATTCAGCATACTTATTATCCTGTATATTCCAGCTTGTGGTGATGTTAAGACAAATAAAACATGAACCCTGTCCTCCAGGGCAGCCTTCACAGACAGAAGAAGGAGGCAAGTAGGTTGGGGTGACAGCTCAATACGCAAAGTGTGCCCCACCACTTGTCACAATGACAATGGCAGGCCGGGAAAAGAGGCTGACCCATTAGGCTGTCTTTTCCTTGAAAATAAGGTGCCTTTACCCAGAAGAACTGATTTAATGATTGGAATCAATAGGAAAAGTAGCAACCTGATTTGTAAGGTTTTTGGATTTTTTTTAAACCCTTGTCAATGGCACATTGGTCTGATTCAGGCACATATTTTATGCCAGTGTAACAGCTAGATTTGTGAGCCTGAAGAATAAAAACATAAATCTTTCAAAGCAAAGCGGACTTGCAAGCATTCCAATGCTGAAGGTTTAGAATTGTCAGGCAAGCTCTGCTGCGCATTTTCAGGGATGAGATAATCTCTGTGACATGGAGGTTCTCTTGTAAGGTGATCTTTTCAGGGTGTGGGCACATTACACTGTTGCAAGATTGTAGTTTTCTACAAGTCAGAACAAGTGTCACCATGTTTCGTGGCCTTACAAAGTTCACTTTCGTGATTAAGTCTTTTCTTCAAAACTATTGATTATTATTCCTTGTGGATTCTTTAGGAATTGTCTACAAACTAGCCCAAATTTAGAATGGTTGGACTTAGGATTTTCTAACTTTAGGATAGATTTCTTGGGAGGTTACCCCATCGTAAGTCAAGGAGCATCTGGACTTAATGATGGTTCGACTTATTTCAACTTTAAGGTGGATTTATTGGAATATTAAATTCATTTCAACTTAATGTATTTTCAACTTAAGATAAGTTTATTGGTGTATAACCCCATCATAAATTGAGCATCTGTAGTTTTTATGAACAGTCTGTAACCTTTTTGGGATCATAAGCCCATGACTGTAATGACAGCTGTACACTTGCTGTCATAGGAGGAACCCTGGAAAAATTCTATATGCCATTGATGAGTATATCATTTCAGTGCACACAGGAGAAGGCTTCAGTAGGTCCTACACTTACTGCTATTCCCAAATATGTAAATTTTAGAAGAGACTTTTCTTCCATCTTTCCATACTGGGAGAAAACTATGAGAAGGTACAACTGAGTGAGTGTCAACAAAGGAAATGTTTTGCTTCCAATCATGCATCTGTGCACATAATATATTTCAAAGGCACCAGATGTTTTGACCTGACACCTTTTGAAGACACCCCGTTCCATTGTAAAGGGATAGTATTGTGTGATGGAATAATGGTGACTTTTGGATCAAAGTGAGTCTATGTGGGAATCCTTACTCTGCCACTGGGCACTCTGGGCTTTAGTAAAATGGAACTAAACCACTGTCCCTGTGGAATTGTTGCCTGTAGGAGAGTTAACTCACCCTTAAAGCAGTAAGCACGATCAATGTAATTGTGGGCACTCAGCAAGTAACATTTATTTTCCTTAGTGAGATATATAGGGGATTTAGGCCCATGGGAAGAATCTTTTTAACTGCATTCAAATAAATTTGAAAACCAAGTTAAGATGGATAAATCTCTAGGAAAATATGACCTAACAAAATTAAACCATATAGAGATAGAAAGACTGGGCAGAGCAATTTCCACAGGAAAAAATTAGAGGAAGGTGTAAAAGAGCTCCCTGAAAAAGAAGGACCAGGAAGATTGATTCGTGGGTCAAATCTACCAACCTTCAGATATCAAATGGCCCTGGTGCTACTTAGGTTAATCCAGAGCATTGAAAATAAAGTGAAACTTTCCATTTTGTTTTATGTATATAATATTAACTATAAAGCCTGACAAAGATTACACATAAAAGTAAAAACCATAGCTCAATCTAGTTTATTAATATTAATTTAAGAATTTTACAGAAATCCAAATGCCATATGTTCTTACTTAAAAGCAGGAGCTAAGCATTAAGTACACATGGACTCAAAGAAAGGAACAACAGACACTGGGACCTACTTGAGGATGGAGGGTGGGAAGAGGATGAGGATAAAAATACTACCTAACAGGTCCTATCCTTACTACCTGGGTGGCAAAATAATCTGTACACCAAACCCCCATGACATGCACTTTACCTATATAACAAACCTGTGCGTGTCCCCCGAACCTAAAGTAAAAGTTAGAAAAAAATAAACAAGTATTATGGGAATCATTTAAAAAAGAGTTTTAAATAAAAATTAGCAAAACCAAATCAAAAAGCACATAAAAAGAAACATCAATGAATGATTACAGGAGATTTATTCCAGAAACATGAGTTAGGTTCAGTATTAGGAAGCACATTAATATAATTCATCATAGTAGTAGATTTTATGAAAAAAATAGTATGAAAGTCAACATCTATCCATAATAAAACCACTCAGTAGAAGAGGTTCATGGATACTTTTTAAATGTGTGTGTGTCACTACCCAACTTCAAACTATACTACAAGACTACAGAAACCAAAACAGCATGGTACTGCTACAAAAAACAGACACATAGACCAATGGAACAGAATAGAGATCTTGGAAATAAGACCACACATCTGCAACCATCTGATTTTTGACAAAAACAAGCAATGAGGAAAGGATTCCCTATTTAATAAATGTTGCTGGGAAAACTGGCTAGCCATATGCAGAAAATTGAAACTGGATCCCTTCCTTACACCTTATACAAAAATTAACTCGATGGCTTAAAGATTTAAATGTAAAACCAAAACTATAAAAACCCTAGAAGAAAATCTAGGCAATGCCATTTAGGACATAGGCATGGGCAAAGATTTCATGACAAAAACATCAAAAGCAATTGCAATAAAAGCAAAGATTGGGATCTAATTAAACTAAAGAGCTTCTGCACAGCAAAAGAAGGTATTATCAGAGTGAACAGACAACCTACAGAATGGGAGTTGTTTTTTTTTTTTTTTTTTTTTTTTTTGAGACAGAGTCTCGCTCTGTCCCCCAGGCTGGAGTGCAGTGGCACGATCTCAGCTCACTGCAAGCTCCGCCTCCCGGGTTCATGCCATTCTCCTGTCTCAGCCTCCCAAGTAGCTGGGACTACAGGCGCCCGCCACCACACCCGGCTAATTTTTTTTTTGTATTTTTAGTAGAGACGGGGTTTCACCTTGTTAGCCAGGATGGTCTTGATCTCCTGACCTTGTGATCCACCCGCCTCAGCCTCCCAAAGTGCTGAGATTACAGGCGTGAGCCACCGCGCCCGGCCGGGAGAAGATTTTTATAATCTATCCATCTGACAAAGGTCTAATATCCAGAATCTACAAGGAACAAATTTACAAGAAAGAAACAAACCCATTAAAAAGTGGGCAAAGGATATGAACAGACACTCCTCAAAAGAAGACATTTAGGTGGCTAACAAACATACGAAATAGAGCTGAACATCACTGGTCATTACAGAAATGCAAAGCAAAACTGCAATGAGATACCATCTCATGCTATAGTCAGAATGACAATTATTAAAAAGTCAAGAAACAACAGATGCTGGCAAGGCTGTGGAGAAATAGGAATGCATTTACACTGTTAGTGGGAATGTAAATTAGTTCAACCATTGTGGAAAACAGTGTGGTGATTCCTCAAAGACGTAGAACCAGAAATACCATTTGACTTGGAAATCCCATTACTTTATATACCCAAAGGAATACAAATCATTCTGTTATAAAGATACATGCATGTGTGTGTTCATTTCAGCAGTATTCACAATAGCAAAGACATGGAATCAACCCAAATGCCCATCAGTGATAGACTGGATAAAGAAAATATGGGATCTTCATGGCTCTGACTCAGATGGACACAGCAGCATTCCGAGGCTTGCATCGTGAATTTTTAGCTCCAGATCGACTGCAAGAACAAACCAGCAATCCTGAGAGGACCCACAGACCCTCTGAAGGAAGCAGACTGCTCCTGCAGGACCCAGGAAACACCTCAAATACTGTGAGTGCCCACCTGCGGAAGTGGAAAAGGGAGATCCTGCTCTCCCGAACACACACCCCCAATGGAGAAATTGAAAGTCTTTTTGCAGGAGAAGTTTCCGACCTTAACTGGAGCTGAGTCAGTTTAGAGAACTGAGTGAAATACAGGGGTAGAGGAAGCAGTGGGAAAGGCCCTGGGAGCTCCCTGGGTCCCCAAGCAGGCCATTCCTGCCTGGCACCACAGGGATCCTTTGGGAGGGAAGCCAGAGGAGTAGGGAAAAACACCACAGAGAGAAGGAAGTCTCCAGCTGAACTTTGTAACAATTTGAACTGGGTGAGAAGCCTCTTTGCCAGAACTCAGGGGAGGGTGCGAATCTGTCCTGCAGACTCTCCACAGGCGGGGGTAGAACCAAGCCCCTTTCTTTCCAGCTGGGAAGCAGGTAACCTGGGGGAAGTTCTCAGCTCTGCTCACCCACTGCCTGGAAACAGACTTGGGGCTGTTACGGGAGGCACAGTGGGAGGAGACCGGCCCTTCGGACTGCATGGGAGCTGGGTGAGGCCTGCGACTGCCGGCTTTCCCTCACTTCCCTGACAGCCTGCATGACTCAGCAGAGGCAACCATAATCCTCGTAGGTACACAACTCCATTGACCTGGGAACCTCACCCCCCATCCCCCACAGCAGCCTCAGCAAGACGCACCCAAGGACAGTCTGAACTAAGACATACCCAACCCTGCCCCCACCTGATGGGCCTTCCCTATCCACCCTGGTAGCTGAATACAAATGGCATGTAATCTTGGGAGTTCTAGGGCCCCACCCACCACTGGTTCTTCTCCATGCTACCACAGCTGATGCTCCCTGGAAAGTGCCATCTCCTGGCAGGTGACCAACCAGCACAAAAATAGGATATTAAACCACCAAAGCTAAGAATCCTTGCAGAGTCCATTTGACCCCACCACCAGCTCCAGGAGAACAGGTGCTGGTGTCCACAGCTAAGACACCCATAGATGGTTTACATCACAGGACTCTGTACAGACGATACCCAGTACCAGTCTGGAGCCAGGTAGACTTGCTGGGTGGCTAGACCCAGAAGAGAGACAGCAATTGCTGCAGTTCGGCTGGCAGGAAGCCACAATTATAGGAAAACCAGGAGAGTATTACATCAAGGGAACACGCCATGAGACAAAAGAATCTGAACAACAGCCTTCAGCCGTAGACCTTCCCTCTGACAGAGCTTACCCAAATGAGAAGAAACCAGAAAACCAACCCTGCTAAGATGACCAAACAAGGCTCTTTAACACCCCCCAAAAAATCACACTAGTTCACCAGCAATGGATCCAAACCAAGAAGAAATCCCTGATTTACCTGAAAAATAATTCAGGAGGTTAGTTATTAAGCTAATCAGGGAGAGGCACCAGAGAAAGGCAAAGCCTAATGTGAGGAAATCCAAAAAACAATACAAGAAGTGAAGGGAGAAATATTCAAGGAAATAGATAGCTTAAAGAAAAAACTATCAAAACTGCAGGAAACACTGGACACACTTATAGAAATGCAAAATGCTTTGGAAAGTCTCAGCAATAGAATTGAACAAGTATAAGAAAGAAATTCAGAGCTCAAAGACAAGGTCTTTGAATTAACCCAATCCAACAAAGACAAAGAAAAAATAATAAGAAAATATGAACAAAGCCTCCAAGAAGGCTGGGACTATGTTCAACAACCAAACCTAAGAATAATCAGTGTTCCTGAGGAATAAGAGATTTCTAAAAGCTTGGAAAAATATATTTGGGGGGAATAATGGAGGAAAACTTCCCTGGCCTTCCCAGAGACCTAGACATTCAAATACAAGAAGCACAAAGAACACCTGGGAAATTCATCTCAAAAAGATCATCACTTAGGCACATTGTCATCAGATTATCTAAAGTTCAGATGAAGGAAAGAATCTTAAGAGCTGTGAGACAGAAGCACCAGGTAACCTATAAAGGAAAACCTATCAGACTAACAGCAGATTTCTCAGCAGAAACCCTACAAGCTAGAAAGGACTGGGGCCCTATCTTCAGTATCCTCAAACGAAACCATTTTCAGCTAAGAATTTTGTATGCAGCAAATTCCTATCATATATGATAGATATATACAGCCTTTCAGAAAATACAGAGAGAATTGACCACTACCAAGCCACCACTAGAAGAACTGCTAAAAGGAGCTCTAAATCTTGAAACAAATCCTAGAAACATATCAAAACAAAACTTTGTAAAGCATAAATCACACAGGACCTATAAAACAAAAATACAAGTTAAAAAGCAAAAACAAAAAATGAAAAAACCAAGGTACACAGGCAACAAATAGCACAATGAATGCAATGGTACCTGACATCTGAATAATAACATTGAATGTAAATGGCCTAAATGCTCCACTTAAAATATACAGAACTGCAAAATAAATAAGAACTCACCAGTGAACTACCTGCTGCCTTCAGTAGACTCACCTAATACATAAGGACTCACATAAACTTAAAGTAAAAGGGTGGAAAAAGGCATTTCATGCAAATGGACACCAAAAGCAAGCAGCAGTAGCTATTCTTATATCAGACAAAACAATCTTTAAAGCAACAGCAGTTAAAAGAGACACAGCGGGACCATTATATAATGTTAAAAGGCCTTGTCCAACAGGAAAATATCACAATCCTAAACATACATGCACCTAACACTGGAGCTCCCAAGTTTATACAACAATTACTAATAGACCTAAGAAATGAGATAGACAGCAACACAATAATAGTGGGGGACTTCAGTACTACACTGACAGTACTAGACAGGTCATCAAGATAGAAAGTCAAAGAAACAATGGATTTAAACTATACCTTGGAACAAATGGACTTAACAGATATGTACAGAACATTTCATCCAACAATCACGGAATACACATTCTATTCAACAGCACATGGAAGTTTCTCCAAGATAGACCATATGATAGGCCACAAAACGAGCCTCAGTAAATCTAAGAAAATTAAAATATATCAAGTACTCTCTCAGACCACAGTGGAATCAAACTGGAAATCAATTCCAAAAGCAACCTTCAAAACCATGCAAATACGTGGAAATTAAATAACCTGTTCCTGAATGATCATTGGGTCAAAAATGTAATCACGATGGAAATTTAAAAATTATTCAAACTCAACGACAATAATGACACAACCTGTCAAACCTCTGGGATACAGCAAAGGGGATACTAGTAGGAAAGTTCATAGCCCTAAACACCTATCAAAAAGACTGAAAGGGCAGAAACTGACATTCTAAAGTCACACCTCAAGGAGCTATAGAAACAAGAACAAACCAAACCCAAACCCAGCAGAAGAAAGGAAATAACCAAGATCAGAGCAGAACTAGACGAAATTGAAACAAAAAAAAATACAAAAGATAAATGAAACAAAAGCTGGTTTTTTGAAAAAATAAATAAAACTGATAGACAACTAGCAAGATTAACTAAGAAAAGAAGAGAGAAAATCTAAATAACCTCATTAAGAAACAAACGGGAGATATTACACCACAGAAATACAAAAGATGTGACACCACAGAAATACAAAGGATTATTCAAGGCTACTATGAACACCTTTACACACATAAACTAGAAAACCTGGAAGACATGGATAAATTCCTGGAAAAATACAATCCTCCTAGCTTAAATCAGGAAGAATTAGATACCCTGAACAGACCAATAACAAGCAGTGTGATTGAAATCTTAATTTAAAAATTACCAACAAAAGAAGTCCAGGACCAGATGGATTCACAGCAGAATTCGACTCTATTCCACAAGACAGAGAAAGAAGAAAGCCTCCCTAATTCATTCTATGAAGCCAGCCTCACCTTAATAGCAAAACCAGGAAAGGACATAACCAAAAAAGAAAACTACAGACTGATATCCTTGCTGAACATAGATGCTAAAATCCTTAACAAAATACTGGCTAACAGAATCCAACAACATATCAAAAAAATAATCCACCATGATCAAGTGGGTTTCATACCAGGGATGAAAGGATGATTTCACATACGCAAGTCAATAAACGCAATATACCACACAAACAGAAAATCGACATACAAGGGACATATCTCAATGTAATAAAAGCCATCTGTGACAAACCCATAGCCAACATAATACTGAATAGGAAAAGTTGAAAGCTTCCCTCTGAGAACTGGAACAAGACAAGGATGCCCACTCTCACCACTCCTCTTCAACATAGTACTGGAAGTCCTAGCCAGAGCAATCAGACAAGAGAAATAAAGGGCATCCACATCGGTGAAGAGGAAGTCAGACTGTCACTGTTTGCTGATAATATGATTGTTTACCTTGAAAACCCTAAAGACTCCTCCAGAAAGCTCCTAGAACTGATGAAAGAATTCAGCAAAGTTTCTGGATACAAGATTAATGTACACAAATTGGTAGCTCTTCTATACACCAGGAAAGACAAAGCGGAGAATCAAATCAATAACTCAACCTTTTTTATAACAGCTGCAAAAATAAAATCAAATACTTAGGAATATACCTAATCAAGGAGACGAAAGACCTCTACAAGGAAAACTATAGAACACTGGTGAAAGAAATCATAGATGACACAAACAATTGGAAACACATCCCATGTTCATGGATGGGTAGAATCAATATTGAGAAAATGACCATACTGCCAAAAGCAGTCTACAAATTCAGTGCAATCCCCATCAAAATACCACCATCATTCTTCACAGAATTAGAAACAGCAATTCTAAAATTCATATGGAACCAAAAAAAGAGCCTGCATAGCCAAAGTAAGACTAAGCAAAAAGAACAAATTTGGAGGCATCACACTACCTGATTTCAAACTATACTATAAGGCCGTAGTCACCAGAACAGCGTGGTAGTGGTATAAAAATAGGCACATAGAGCAATGGAAAACAATAGAGAACCCAGAAATACACCCAAATACTTACAGCCAACTGATCTTTGACAAAGCAAACAAAAACATAAAGTAGGGAAAAGACACCCTTTTGAACAAACGATGCTGGGATAATTGGCTAGCCACATGTAGGAGAATGAAACAGGATCCTCATCTCTCACCTTATACAAAAATCAACTCAAGAGGGATTAATGACTTATATCTAAGACCTGAAACTATAAAAGTTCTAGAAGATAACATTGGAAAACGCCTTGTAGACATTGGCTTAGGCAATGATTTCATGAGCAAGAACCCAAAAGCAAATGCAATAAAAACAAAGATAAATAGCTGGTACTCAATTAAACTAAAGAGCTTTTGCATGGTAAAAGGAACAGCCAGCAGAGTAAACAGACAACCCACAGAGTGGGAGAAAATCTTCACAATCTATACATCTGACAAAGGACTAATATCCAGAATCTACAACAAACTCAAATCAGTAAGAAAAAAAATCCCATCAAAATTGGGCTAAGGATATGAATAGAAAATTCTCAAAAGAAGATATAGAAATGTCCAACAAACCTATGAAAAAATGCTCAACATCTCTAATGATCAGGGAAATGGAAATCAAAACCACAATGTGATACCACCTTACTCCTGCAAGAATGGCCATAATAAAAAAAAAAATCAACAAACAGTAGATGTTGGCATGGATGTGGTGAACAGGGAGCACTTCCACACTGCTGGTGGGAATGTAAACTAGTGCAGCCACTATGGAAAACAGTGTGGAGACTCCTTAAAGAACTAAAAGTAGAGCTACCATTTGATCCAGCAATCCCACTATTTGGTATCTACCCAGAGGAAAAGAAATCGTTATACGAAAAAGATACTTGCACATGCATGTTTGTAGCAGCACAATTCACAATTGCAAAATCATGGAACCAACCCAAATGCCATCAATCAATGAGTGCATAAGCAAACTATAGTATATTTATACAATGGAATACTAGTCTGCCATAAAAAGAAATGAATTAACATCATTTGCAGTGACCTGGATGAGACTGGAGACTATTATTCTAAGTGAAGTAACTCAGGAATGGAAAACCAAACATCCTATGTTCTCACTGATATGTGGGAGCTAAGCTATGAGGACGCAAAGGCATAAGAATGATACAATGGACTTTGGGGACTTGGGGGGAAGGATGGGAGGGGAGCAAAGGATAAAAGACTACAAATAGCATTCTGTGTATACTGCTCAGGTGATGGGTGCACCAAAATCTCACAAATCGCAACTAAAGAACTTACTCATGTAACCAAACACCACCTGTACCCCAATAACTTATGGAAAAATAAAATTTTTTTAAAGAAAATGTGGTGCATATACACCATGGAATACTATGCAGCCATAAAAAGGAAACAGATCATGTCCTTTGCAGGGACATGGTTGGAACTGAAAGCCATTATCCTCAGCAAACTAACACAGGAACAGAAAACGAAACACCACATGTTCTCACTTATAAGTGAGAGCAAACAATGAGAACACATGGACACAGGGAGGGGAACAACACACCCTGCGGCCTGTCGGGGGGATGTGGGGGATGGTGAGCATCAGGATAAATAATGCATTTAGGGCTTAATACCCAGGTGATGGGCTGATAGGTGCAACAAACCACCATGGCACACATTTACCTATGTAACAAACCTGCACATCCTGCACATGTATCCTGGAACTTTAAATTAAATTTAAAAAAATTTGTGTGTGTGTGTGTATGTGTGTGTTTAGCCCAAGACCCAACACCCAGCATCTTTTTCAGTGTGGAAACACCAAAGTTATTCCCACTAAAGTTAGGAGCAAAGCAAAGATGCCCATAACCTCTCATAATATGTAATATTATATTGAATGCATTAATCAAGGAAATCAGACAGGATTTGGCAATAGAGAGATACTCCATCTCAAAAAAAAAGAGTTAACACAAACTATATTTGCATTTGATATGTTGTGTATCTGGAAAACTAAAAAAACTATGCAAATTTGCTATAAATTGTAAGAACTTAGTAAAATAGCAAGATATAATTTTAGCACACAGAAATCAATAGCTTTGATTTGAGCAGTATAAATTGAAAGAGTAACTGTGTAATATGCTATCATTCCTGATTTTATTAGGAACTAGGATTTGGTGCGGGAAGGAGGTTCATCTGTAAAAGAGATTAGGTTAAGTAAAAACTCCTAAGTCTTCAATTTGAATTAGAAATATTAGAATGAACTCAAAATTTATTTTTAAAACAAACATATTTCTTAACTCTCCAAGAAGTCCTGTAAACGATGACTAAACCACTAGTTATGGGTACACCAAGCATCCAGATTGTGGTCTTGAAAAACCATTCTCAATAAAAAAGAGTCATAGTTCTTTGGAGAAATGTTGAATTCTAGATCCGGAACAGTAAATGTAGAAAAGGGACCTGAAACATTTTGTCACACAAAATATGTAGAAAAGACTCTATCAGCTACACTAGTGTCAAGGGAACTTGATTCAGGACTTAAGCATCAATAAAGACAACAACTGCTCTATATTGGATAGATTGAAATGCATAAAATATGTTTAAATTGATGAATGCAAAATACTTCAAAAAAAAGAAGTAACAAATTGATCCCATGGAAGGAAGCTAGTGAACCAACTCGTCCAAGTAAAATGATGAATTAAAAGGTCATAAATAAGCATCTATCTTGCCTTTTCTATTAGATGTCTACCACTGGGTGACCAAATAGTAGATTAGTAGAAGTTTCCCTTTAAGAATTCCAGCTAATAAATAAAGAATGAATGAATGAATTATGCTGCCAGTATATGCAACCCCTCTTGAATTGCTGGGTCTAGGCAATGAACATCAGTGGCTGCTACCATCACAGGCAGAGACAGATACTCAGTGCCAACTGATGGAAGAAGACAGCACCAAAATGTGCCCCAAATTGAATCTGAATCTGATCGAGTCTTATATCCCAGTGCTGATTTACATGAAATAGAGAGGACAGAGGAGCATGTGACATGGCACCATACGAGCAATCAGTAAAAGCCAGATGATAGAAAACTCTAGAGAAAAATATATATATAAGATTTTTCAACAGAGGAAAAAAGATGGAGGCAAAATCTGTAGATTAAAAAAGACATATCAACCAAGTACAATAAGAGATCTTACTTGAATTCTAATTCAAACAAACTGAAAAACTAAATATGTGAACTTACAACATTTGATATCATTGGAAATTTGCATACTGGATATTGCACTGAAGAATTATTGTTAATTTTTGGGTGGGATTATGGTACTGTGGTTTGTTGTAAAGAGTCTCTTAGAGAGAGATGGAAGTAGTTGTGGATGAAATAACGTGTTATCTGGAATTTCCTTCAAAATTATGTGAGCAGGGGAAGGGTTGGAGATAGAGAAGAAGCATGGTTGGCTAAGAGTTGATGATTGTCATGCCTGAGGGATGGGTACATTGGCTTTAATATCCTTTTCTGTCTACTTTTATACATATTTAAATTTTTATTGGAAAAATACTTTTAAAATATGTACCATCAGGTAATTCTGTGTTCTCCTTGTTAGCCTAAAAATCTAAGCTCAAGAGTAGAGAGACTGGAATGTTGAGGTGCCATTTACAATTTCTAGTGCCCCACTTTCTCCTGTCAGTTAAACTACTGTTTAACTTGTATTAAGAACCGTTAAAGAATTTGATATGTCATTGATGAGTATATAATTTCAATGCATATAAGACAAAACCCCAGTAGATCCTACACTTACTGCTATTCCCAAAGTTACACATTTTAGGAGAGACTTTTCTTCCATCTTTCCATACTAGGAGAAAATTATGAAAAAGTACAATGAGTGAGTGTCAACTAAGGAAATGTTTTGCTTCCAATCATGCATCTATGCACATATTTTATCTTAAAGGCACCAGATGCTCTGAGAGCTGGCATAAGACCCAGTCATGGCCCCTGAACAGAAGGCATGTCTCCCTCCCATTAAGCCCATTGGGTGTCCAGCCCGCGGCACCTGCTGGACAAGTGAAATGGGCTCAAAGCCCACACGTGTGCCTTCTCCGAGCCTCAGGTACAAGTGGTGGGTCCCGGCACTGCCCACTGTTGCTGCTGGAGCCTTCCTCAGTTCCTACAAGACAATGTGTTTGAGCGTATCAGCTTCAACAAGGGGAAAACTAAAGAGTGAAATGATCCTGCAACAATGTGAAGAACTTCAGTGTGCCCCACAGACATTCCTATAGCCACTTTTGTTTGATTTTCACACAGCCCTATCTGTCGCTGTCTGGCCAAACTTCTCTTCTTATTCCTAAGAAGCACCTTTCCTCTCCTCACCCAGGGCTTTTTACACTGAATTTCCTGGAGAAATTGCTTCATCACAGTCCAAATTACTCTTAGACTCATCTTTAGCTGGTGTTGTGGAGGTTATGTAAGTAATATACGTGGCCAAGCTTTGGAAATGAGAATGTGCTCTACGCATTTGAATGTTTGGCAGAGCCAACCTTCCCAGAACTCATGCCCCCGCACTGAAAGACACCGGGCTTTCTTAATTTTCATCTGAACCATGAAGACGCTCTGGAAGATGTGTTTCCCTAATGTGGCATCCACAGAAGCCTTTGTCCCCTAGTGCACCACGCTTGCCCAAGGTCACAAGGGCGTCTGGCAAGGGATGGACCACACAGTCTCTTGGAATGTTGACCTGTGAGTTGAGACATCCAATTCATTTCACCACGGGAACCCAGGCATCTGATCTTCTCACCAGGGTGGGCTTCCTCGCCAGGCCGGACAAGATGAACGCATGCCTGACCTTTTTTCATATTTAACCATTCACCCCCTTAACAGGGATGTATAAATGTATGGGTAGTCAAGGGTGGATTCTCAATACCAGAACAGTACATTTGCCTATTGTTTTAATCTATGTCAATGGTAATAATAGTAATAGTGCATGTTCTTTCAGTGTCATCTCACTGTATCCTTACTGCAATTCTAAGAGGCAGGGTTGTTCTCACCCTCATTGCTCAGATGTGACAACCAAGGCTTCAAGAAGTGAAGTGGCCTTTCCAGGGTTGCAGGGGCTTTGCACCCAGCCAGGCCATCAGCTCCCAAGCCTGTGCTCGACCCCAGATCTGTTCATCCACCCCTCTGTTCCCTTATCCCTGTGTTCAGTGTGCTTTATCATCAAACAGACCTGATGAGGGTGAGCTCCCACTCCCCACTCACTTGTGTTCCCCTGCCCGTGGCCCTCCCCTCGCTGGCCCTCTCTGAGGTCAGGCTCTCTGGCTGTGATGGGTGTTCACTTGGCTGCCTCCAAACCACCTGCCTCCCAGGCAGCAGCTTTGAGCTCATGCCAGGGCCTGGCAGCCCTGCAGAGCCAGGGGCAAAGGAAAAATGGTCATGCCAACCTTGCCTTCATTTAAAAGGCTGATATTTTGTTCCTCAAAGATATTTTTGCGCTAATTTTTATTTTTGCAGATATAGCACTAAAATGTTGTTTATGTCGATTCCTGAGTGTTTTTGCACCCCCTTAGATTCTGCAGCAGTGGCAGGTGCCTCCTCGCCTCACCTTAGAGTTGGCCCTGCTGTGTGCCAGGCACTGTGGGCAGGAGGATAGAAAGGAGGATGAAGTGGATCCCAGCTCTCAGGCAGCTGGCCCTCTGTTGAAAGAGATGTTAAAAGCATTCACTACCCTCTTCACTGCCCTGAGAGTGAAGAGTAACCTCCAGGCACTCATTCACCCATAGTCTTCCTGTACCTGTCCCCAGGGATCAGACCACAAGCCTCTGCCATCATCTCCCAGTCTCATTCTCCATCCACCCGTTTTATTGCCTTCCAGTGTCGAGTTGTAACATCTACAGACAAATATAATGCAGGAATGTTTTATTTGAGCTTCATTGAAACAGAAGTTTATTTAATTTATTTATTTATTTATTTATTTATTCATTCATTCATTGGAGATGGAATTTCGCTCTTGTTGCCCAGGCTGGAGTGCAATGGCGTGATCTTGGCTCACTGTAACCTCCACCTCTCGGGTTCAAGCAATTCTCCTGCCTCAGCCTCCCAAGTAGCTGGGATTACAGGTGTCTGCCACCACACCTGGCTCTTCTTCTTCTTCTTTTTTTTTTGTATTATTAGTAGAGACGGGGTTTCCCCGTTTTGGCCAGGCTGCCCTCGAACTCCAGACCTCAGGTGATCTACCAGCCTTGGCCTCCCGAAGTGCTGGGATTACAGGTGTAATCCACTGCACCTGGCCAAAACAGAAGTTAATGAAAAATGGATCCTGAGGTAGTTTGGTCTTTATCCTGCTACACCTCTGTCTTCCAATTTTACTCTCTCTGGTTGGACCACTTCCTCCACTAAGTGTCTTCCAAATCCAGCAGTTGGTCTCTGAGACCTGTATGTGTGTGTCTGTCCCTTTCTGCTTACTGGGGAGATCCTGGGAAAGCTCAGGGGGCTCATAGTTCCCACAGAGTCCCTGCAGTCATGTCCTGAACAGATTAGCAGCTCCATGAAGGTTGCTTAAGTAATCAATGAACACTGCAACCTCGGATACGGGAGAGAAGACGGAATTGAAGGCAGGAGCCCCCACCAGTTTAACCCTCTGTGATTCCAAGCCAAGGCACTAGAGGTAGGCCCCTTATATCTGCCTTCAGCAAGCTGGTGGCAGCAGTTTTCTTGCTCAGTGGAGCCCTGGGAAGGCAAGGGTGGTCTCAGGGTCCCTGTTGAGAGTTCATTCACTGGCTCATAATTAATGTATATTGAGCATGTACTATGGGCCAGTACATTTTGTGCAGAATTCCTTAAAATTTCATAATAACTGTTAGATACAATTATAATTGTATTGATGAGGAAACTGAGGCACAGAGAGGTGATATAACATGCCCAAGGTCACACAAAGTGGTGGAACCATTTTGGCCCCAAGGGACTGATTCCAGGGCCAACCCTCTGTCCCCACATGGCACTGCCCCTCCTAAGGCAAAGTCACCATGCATTGTTGGGACACATTACTCTCCCCGGGGTGGCTGATGAGACCTTCAGAGATGTTCTGTCCAAGGGCTAGTTTGCACGGAGGAGAGCAGGAATGCAGGGCCAGGGCACGGCCACCCAGAGCCTCATGCTGTTCAAAGCGGCTGAGTGAGTGCTTTAGACCACACAAGGCAGGTCGAGAGGCACAGTGCATGCTTGGGAGGATGGCACGGGGCAGTGGGTGAGGATGGCCCAGGTGGCTGGGGTCAAGTGTCCCTACCAGCCCAGCCTCTCCCATATCATCATGGGACATGAATGTGAGGGTGTGGTGATGGTGGCAGTGTGAGGTTTAAGAAATACATCTAGAAGGCCAGGTGTGGTGGCTCACGCCTGCAATCCCAGCACTCTGGGAGGCTGAGGTGAGTGGATCACGAGGTCAGGAGATCGAGACCATCCTGGCTAACATGGTGAAACCCTGTCTCTACTAAAAATACACAAAAAAATGTTAGCTGGGCATGGTGGCGGGCGCCTGTAGTCTCAGCTACTTGGGAGGCTGAGGCAGGGAGAATGGCATGAACCTGGGAGGCGGAGCTTCCAGTGAGCCGAGATCACGCCACTGCACTCCAGCCTGGGCAACACAGCAAGACTCTATCTCAAAAAAAAAAAAAAAGAAAAAAAACAGCTCTGTGCTGTGCAAGTGATCCTCACTGAAATAGATGTGCTTGCTAAAATGAGGAAAGCTGAGATGGCCAGGCCTGGGCATGGGACATGGTGGTCAGCTGGCAAGTGGGGACCTGTAGGGCCCAGGAAGACAGAGTACATGCCTCAGGCAATTGGCCAAGGCCAAGATCCAGCCTCCTGTGACAAAAAGCCAAGCCTTCGGCCTCAGTCTGAGGGTAAGGAGATCACATGCTCTTGTTCTCTGATCTGTCCCCCAGGTGGCAGTGACGAAAGAAGAGACTCTCCCGGCCGAGGCCCCAGTGCATGGAGAGAAGGAAGAAATCAATTTCCTAATTGGTACCATATACATCAGGTCAAATAATTTCTTATTTTCTAGCCGCATCAACTAAAAATTATACCCAATAGGAGCTGTGTGCAAGATGGGGTGGTCACAGTGAATGTCTCTGAGGGTACAGACCTCCCTGCCTGAGACCCTCAGTCCTCAGGGTCTTGCACGTTAGGTGAGCTCATTTCCTGCATTCCTACAGAAAATCAGGAGGGCTCAGAGAGGTGAAGCCCATGTCACAGCTGGACAGGGGCAGGGCCAGGGTCAAATCAGGCTATGTGCCTGGCTCTAAAGCATGGGCCACTGACACAGGACCTACTCCACCAAGCAGCACCCATCCCAGTGAGTTACTGTGAAAGAAAGAACAGAGGACAGTCATCAATAGCATGGGATTCAAACTCATCCCACAATATGTAAAATTAATTACATACTTCCTAGCATAAAATTTTCCATTGCCTGTAATGGGGTCTGCAAGCTTTTTCCATAAAGTTCCAGGAAGTACATCTTTTCAGTTTTGTGGGCCTTAAGGATCTCTGTTTTAACTACTCAACTCAGCCAGGTGCAAAAGCAGCCACAGATGCTATGCAAATGAGTGGGTATGGCTGTGTTCCCATAAAACTTCATTTACAAAAATGGGTGGCAGACCACATGTGGCCCATAGTCTATAACTTGCAGACCTCTTATCTACACAAACACAAGGATGCATTTGCACTCCACCGGCAAAGATTGAGCACCCACTGGGGCCCCAGCACCATTCACTAGTGTAAGTTACTCTCACTTGTAATGTCACAGTTGCTTTTCCCCAGCAATCAGCTGCTACAGTCAGCCTGGGTCAACCTGCTGCATATCCGTTGTATTTCTCTGGCTGGGATCATGCTGCCTGGGAAATCTGACATTCTTAAGAATGTTGTTGGATTGATGGCAGCTCTTAGAGGGATGGTAGATAGTTCAGTAGCCATCTTCAGCAAGTATGGTATTTCCGTCAACTGTGGATTAACCTTGGCTATTAGTCTTTCCTAATAGCCAAGTAAGGGGTGAGAGCTGAGGGGGTAGGATGGCACACTGATAAAGGCATAATTGGAATAGAGTGGGTAACATTCATCACATTGTGGAAGTATTACAAGTCTATACAATTCGGAAGAGGATTAGAAATCTAGCAACTCCAGTTGAATTTTTCTAGGTATACTTAGGTGTTTGAAATTTTAAAATAGTCTTTTTTCCTCATCAGTTACTGGAATTAATAAAATGTAACTTCAGGAGCACTGGAGATAGTGATGACCCCTTGCCTTAGTCTATCTGGGCTGCTATGTCAAAATACAATAGCTTGGGAGGCTTATGAACAACAGAAATGTATTCCACACAGTACTAAAGGCTGGGAAGTCTAAGGTCAGGGAACCAGCAGATTTGGTGTCTAGTGAGGGCCCATTTCCTGCTTCATAGATGGCACTGTCTTTCTCCGTCACCTTGGAGATTAGATATCAACATATGAATTTTGGGAGGGAACACAAACATTTGGCTCATAATACCCCTTCTCTCACATGGCATGTACACAGGGATGAAATTTTAGTTAGCATTCTATAATATAATGTCTTGCATGAAGAATCAGGCAGTTGGACCAAACCAATTCTAAAAAATATGACAGCAGGTGGAAATGGCTCCACCCTCGAGGGTTCTCTCGCTCAGGTCTCTGCATGTAGTTGTCACTTGCAGCTCCATTTCCATCACGTGGTAAAATGCCCTTTCTCTTCTTTCCTGCAGATGGATGGTTTCTAGTGTGCTTCCAAACCCCACCTCGGCTGAGTGTTGGGCAGCACTTCTACATGATCCTATGACTCTTGATATGGACGCAGTCCTGTCAGACTTTGTTCGGTCCACGGGGGCAGAACCTGGTCTGGCCAGAGACCTGCTGGAAGGTAAGCCCACCTCCTTGTCCCCCACACCACCATTCTGGGCATAACCACCTTCCAAATAAGATTTCCAATAACTGACGACAGTGGTACTTGGACAGTATTTGGACTCTCAAAAGTGAAAGTGTTGGTGATAAAATTATTTTTGTTTTTCTTATTTTTATTTGGGTTATGAAATAGATCCCCCAACTCTTGACAGTAAAATAGCGTGAAGCACTAAGTGGGCTCTGCTTTGTGTTACATCTTACTGATGTCGAGTCAAAATTTTATCACTAATTATTATATTTAAGAAAATATATTCAATGGAGCAGAAATTATAAAACATTCAAGAAAATACTTTTATGGGAGGCCTTAGTTTCATATCTCTGTGTTAGTAGAGACGAAAATACTCTAGGCCAGGGTTTTTGGTGGAAAAAGCACCTACTATCCAGGAAAGTCACTGGGAATAATTCACAAGCAAGAAGACAGCCTTCATCCTCCAGCTTTTCATGTAGATACCATTTGCTGCGTGAGAAATGTGCATCCTCCGTATGTATGATGTTTTCAGATATGTATTCAGCCATAACCATAGTGAACTAAAATGAAAGTTTAGTTTCTATGTCTCTAAAATGGCTTTACCTTTCTTTTTTTTTTCTGATGGTGGCAGTGGTATGTAAAGGTGGGAGGGACCAGTTACAACTTCTCAGGACAGTCAGCTGTGTGAGAGGAGAGAACTTTGTAATGTTTACTCTTTGCTTCAAATGTATAAACTGCAATTTGTGGAGTTAGTAAATACTTGGTCAAGAATTGTAAGTCACAATGATTCTTTAAGTCACTTAGGGAAAATAAGAATTATTGTACATTTGCAGAAGTGGAGAGAACTATTCAATCATATTGAAAATTAAGAACCACCTACTGGAGGATTATCAAAAAATGGCAATGGCAAAAGCATAGTTTTTAAATTTTCCCCAACCTATTAGAATTTCAAACCAACTCCAAGTTTAGAATAAAATATGCTGAGAGTTTTTGCAATCTATGGAAATCAAAATATGATTCTCCCTTCCTGCTATTTATATTATATAATGTCTCCCTGTCAGTTTCCATTATTTTCATTAAGTGGGCAGCAGAGTGGAGAAGCAGGCTTGGAATAAGGTCGGCAGTGAAATCCGAGTTTGAGTTCAGATTCAGCCACTTATCAACTATGAGATATAGGACAAATTATTTTACTTCCCTTACCCTGAGATTTCTTCTATGTTGAGCTTAACCCACCTTACAAGGTGACTGTGAATATTAGAAGTTGTGATATAAAATGTGTGGTAAAGAAGCAGCATGTAGCAGATGCTCAAAAAAGTATAGAAGACCATGCTTGTGGTGGCCATTATTGTAATTAGTACTAACATCAGTATTAATGTCTAGACAGCCTTAAATAGGAAGCAAGAGTTGTCATCTCTTTTCTTTATTTTTTTACTTATATTTTTCACATTAAGATACAGAAAAATTGAGTTTTTTGTGTCTAGTTCTATGAACTTTAACACATGTATGGATTTGTGTTATTACTACCACATTCAGGACACAGAAGCACTTCATCCCCTCCAGATTCTCTGTCCTGATGTCTTTTATAATCAGACCCTCCCCTACCCCAACCACTGGCAGTCAGTGCTCTGTTTTCTATCACTAGTTTTGTCTCTTTGCAAGAATGTCAGATAAATGTCCTACAGAGCCTAATCTTCTGAAACTGGCTCCTTTTCATGCAGGGAGATCATTTTGAGACTCATCAAGTCATGTGTCAGTAGCCGGTTCCTTTTTGTTGCTGAGTAGTATTCCATTCTGCAGGTACACCAGAATTTCTCCACTCATCTGTCCAGGGGCATTTCAGTTGTTTTCCGTTTTTGGCAGTTAGACTAGAGCTTCTGGAAACATTTAAGAACGGGATTTTGTGAATATAGTTTTAATTTTTCTTTTTCTTCTTTTTTTTTTTTTTTTTTTTTTTTTTGGTGAGAGAGTCTCACTCTAGCCCAGGCTGGAGTGCAGTGGCGCTATCTCGGCTCATTGCAACCTCCACCTCCTGGGTCCCAGTTCAATCAATTTTCCTGCCTTAGCCTCCTGAGTAGCTGGGATTACAGCCGCGCACCACCATGCCCAGCTAATTTTTGTATTTTTAGTAGAGACGGGATTTCACCATATTTGGCCAAGCTGGTCTTGAACTCCTGACCTTGTGATCTGCCCACCTCAGCCTCCCAAAGTGCTGGGATTATAGGTGTAAGCCACCCTGCCTGGCCTAGTTTTAATTTTTCTAAGCTAAATACATGTTAACTTTGTAAGAAACTGCCAACCTGTTTTCCAGAGTGCTGCACCATTTTGCATTCCTACCAGCAGTGTCTGAGAGCTCCAGCTGCCCCACATCCTTGTCAACACTTGGTATTTCTTCCTTTTTTGTTTTTTCATTTTAACCATTTGATAGCTGTGTGATGGTATTTCTTCATGGTTTTAATTTTCATTTCCCTAATAATTAATGACGTTGAAAATTTTCATGCTGTTTATTTTCCATCTTTTTATTCTCTTTCGTGAAATGTCTGTTCAGGCTTTTTGCCTATGTCTAAATTGAATTGTTTACTTGAGATTTAAGAGTTCTTTACATATTCTGAGTATAAATCTTTTGTTCAGATATGGGATTTGTGAATATCTTCTCCCAATCTGTGCTTGACTTTTCAGTCTCTTAACAGGGCCTTTTACAGAGCACAGTTTTAAATTCTGATGCGTTCCAACGACTTTTTTCTGGTATGGATCATGCTTTGAGTGACATGTCTGAGAAATTTTGCATAACTCCAGGTCATGAAGATTTTCTTGTAGTTGGTCTTTTAAAAGTTTTATACTGTCATGTTTTACATTTAGATCTACGATCCATTTGAGATGATTTTTGTATAATATGTGAGATTTAGGTCCAGATTCAGTTTTATGCATACGGATATCCAATTGTTTCAACATCACTTATTGAAAATATCCTCCTTCTTTCATTGAAATTGAATTGCCATTGCAATTTGACAAAAAGCCAACTGAGGGTATTTGTAAGGAATATATTTCTGGACAGTGGTTCTGTTCCATTGATCATTATGTCTGTTCTTTTATCAAAACTGTGCCATATTGATTTCTATAGCTTTGTAATGAGTCTTAAAATCAGATAGTGTGATTTTTCTAAATTTATTCTTCTTTTTCAAGAGTGTTTCAGCTATTCTTTTTTTTTTTTTTGCCTTTCTATGTGAACTTTAGGATCTGCTTACCTCTATCTACTCTAAACTGTTTTGCTGAGATTTTGTCTACAATTTTAGTAAATCTACAACTCAATCCTATGTTATGTCTTTCAGTCCATGAAGGAGTGCCATAATTTCCATTTGCTTGGGCCTCCATTAAGTTCTTTCGTCAACATTTTATGGTTTTTGGCATGTAGATCCTATACATCTTTTGTTATATGTGTATTGGGGGTCGGGGTTGTAAGCTATTGTATGTGGTATTTTTTATTTCAGTTTCTACTTGTTCATTGGCAATGTACAGAAATATAACTGATTTTTGTGTGTTGATCTTGCATCCTGCAATCTTGCTAAAGCTAAACTCAGTTTGTTCTAGGAGGGGTGTGTGTGTGTGTGTGTGTGTGTGTTCCTTGGGATTTTATACATAGGTGATCATGTTATCTGTGAGTAAGGACAGTTTTATTTCTTCCTTTCCAGTCTCTAGGCCTTTCTGGTTTTCTTGTCTTATTTCACTGACGAAGACTATTCAAAAGGTTAAATAGCGGTGTTAAGAAAGAAGATCCTTGTGTTGTTCTTAATCTCTGAGAACAAGCAGTATTTCACCATTAAGTAGAATGTTGGCTATAGGTTTTAGTAGATGGTCTTTATCAGGTGAAGAAAATTTCTTTCTATTCCAAGTTTGCTGAGAGTTTTATAATAAATAGATACTGAATTTTTAAAATGAAGATCAAGTGGGTTTTTTGCTTTAAACTGTTGCTATACTAGATTAAACTGATTGCCTTCTAGTGGTAAACCAGACTTTCAGCTATTTCTTTCCATGTTTCTATGTTCTGCCCTTTTTTTCTTTCCTTCTGGGACTCAGATGATAGGAAGCTCGGCCCTTTTGTTATTACCTAAGGTCTCTATGGTTCTGTTCAAGGTTTTCAAACTTTGTCTGTTACTCAGATTCAGTCATTTCTATTAATTTATTTATGAACTGACTGACTACTTCCTCCATCATCTTCATCCCAGTAGTGAGCCCAGCCAGTGTGTTTTCTATTTTTGTAGTTGATTTTTTCATTTCTAATATTTCCACTTAGTTCTTCTTCATATCTTCCATTTCTTTGCAAAATTTTCTATATGTTTTAAGAGTACCCTCCTTTACTTGTACAATATTTTTAACAACTGCTTGAAAATCTTTGTCAAATAATTCCAGTATCTGTTTCATCTCAGAGTAGCTGTTGGCTTTTTGTATGCTGAGTATGGTTTCAGTATGCTGAATTGTATCCTAGACATTTTAAATACTATGTTTTGAGATTCTGGTTATTGTTAAAATCTTACAGTGAACATTATTAACTTTATTTTAGAAGATAATCACCCCAAATGGGTTCAGACCACAAATTCCAAGTTCCTGCAAGACTTGTGTGGATTGTGGTTGCTGTGAGTCTGTGAGATGTGGATCTGTCTCGCACAAGCGCCACCTAGTGGCCAGCCTGGGACTCTGGTGGTAATCTATCCCACATTTCAGCACTCAAAGTCTGTGTGGTCCGTGTAGGGTCGGATCCATACATGTAGAGCTCAAGGGTAAGCCCAAGAGTTCATGAGCAACTTTCAGGGGTTGCTCTCCCGAAGCCCTTCCTCATTGTAACCTGCCCAGTAGTGTCTGGGTCCCTGGGCTCTACCTTTTCAGCCCTCCAGCCAGCTTGGGTGGTTGAGGCTTGATTTACCCTACTCTCTGGTGCACTTGACTGAACCACGTCAGAGCTAAGCAGCGAGAAGCCAGAGAGAAAAAGCATGAAGGTTTCCCCACCCTCTGGGGACCTCAGACTCTCTGGTTGGAAAGGAAGTTTGCCTGGCCTGATGACTTTAATTATCTGCCATTTCTCACTAGGGCCACAAAATTTCTTGAGGTCTGGGGCACAGAGAAGAAAAAATTTTAGAAGAAAAAGAAAAAAAAAAAGGATAAATTAGAGATTTCCAGACTTTCTTAGAACGGTAGAGACCCCTTTCCTGCTTCTGTACCCGAGTTGCTGGGCTTTTCCTGGAATTAGTGCCCACTCTGGGTTAGGAGCTGCATTGACTCCACACTGGGGAGACTGGAGGAAGGGAAGTGTCTCGCTCACCTCCAGCTCTGTGGCACTTCCAACTGTGGTCTCCTTTCTGCATCGGCACCTCCAACTGTGATCCACCTTCCTGAGCCCGGTCGCTGCTGCCTGCACGCTGTCCAGGGGTCCCGACTGCACCCAGTGGGACAGAGGGTGGCAGTGGTGAGTGCTCACTCACCTCACCCGCTGCTGGGTCCTGCCCTTGGCTTTCACAGGTAAGAGGACTGTGGTTCCATTGTGTATGATGGATTATTTAAGGTGTCAAAGTTATTTGGGTGAAGATTTCTCTAAAGCCAGTGTTTCAAAGAATGAAATATTTTTGTTGTAAGTCCTCAGAAAGATCTGTATTGGGAGGATGTCAGTAATGTAGGAATTTAGAGGGGAGATGTCTAAACAGACATAAATCCTCATGGTGGCAGAAGCTGAGTGGAAGGTACGTGGTCCTCATTTGTAACTTCTTGTATTTTTATTTATTTCAAAATAAAAAGTTAAACACTGCAATGATGGGAATCACAGTACAGCAGAGGGAGGCCAGTAAGAGAAAGGAGGAGCAGAGGCTGATCACAACCTTGGTAAACTGAGGCAAGTGAACACTGACCTGCCTCCAAACAGAAGAGGGTGGCCTTGCCTGTTCACCTGCTTCCTGTGTTACCAGATCAAACTTGGGTCTGGCTCTCTGGCGCAGCAAAGCCAAAAACTGACATCAAGGTTGCAGTAAGAGAAAGTGAGACATTTATTGCAGGGCTGGAAGCCAGGAGAATTGGGCAGCTCATGTTTAAGCCCTGAATCCCCCAGTGCCATATAGGTAAGCGTTTTTACAGGCAGGAAGAGGCTGGGCGTGGTGGCTCATGCCTGTAATCCTAGCACTTTGGGAGACCTAGGCTGGTGGATCACCTGAGGTCAGGAGTTCGAGACCAGCCTGGCTAACATGGTGAAACCCTGTCTCTCCTACAGACACAAAAATTAGCTGGGTGTGGTGGCATACACCTGTAATCCCAGCTACTCAGAAGGCTGAGGCAGGAGAATCGCTTAAACCCAGGAGGCGGAGGTTGTAGTGAGCTGAGACCGCACCATTACACTCCAGCCTGGCGACAGAGCGAGACTCCATCTTGAAAACATAATAATAATAAAATAAAGGCAGGGGGCAGAAGTTACAGGCAAAGATATAAATCAATACACGGAGGCTGTACATTGGTTTGACCTAAAAAGACAGGACATCTTGAACCAGATGTGGGGCGGAGGGCATAGGTCATAGGTAGATTTGAAGATTTTCTGATTTACAATGGGTTAAGGAGACGAAGCTTTGTCTGCAAATTTGTGATCAGCAGAAAAGAATGTTAGCTCTGGTCTCTGGGCATGACTTCCTCCAGGCCCCTCAGTAGGAAATTTAGAACAAAGAGTGGTGGTCCAAACTCAGTCCTCAGTTTCCCCTGTCTGAGGTCTGCATGCCAGCAGATAGCACTTTTCATTTGTTGGTGTCTTGGTTTCTGGAAATCAACTTAAGGACTTCTGTTAAAATGTTATCTTTAGTCTCTATGGGAACTTTGGTCTATTCTGTGACTTAAACTTCCCTGGCTATTGTTTTAAGTTATTCTTCCCTTCTTGCTTCAGTTGCTCATTTACTTCCCTGTGCTGGCTAGGTACCTGGAAATGCCTTTGAAGGAACTTAAGATTTCCTTTTATTTCCATGCTTGGGGGCAGGTGCCCGGCAAGCCCCTAAGAGGGGTCTCTGCTCCATCTCATCTTCATATCAGCCCCTTGCATGTCCCTGAAGTGGTTCTCCAAAACAAATTCTAGTCAGGTAACTCCATTTCCTCCAATTTTTCATACTCCATCCCCATTACCTGCAAAATAAACTTCTCCAACTGGTACTCCAGCCCTTCAGCATCTAGTCGTATTCCGTCCCTCCCCTCATTACCTGAGGCATCTCTTCACCATCCCTTTCCCTGACTTGACACCCACCTCTGTGCTTCTGCCTCTACCCATTGCTCCTGCTGCTCCTCCCCCTGCACACACTGCCTGCCTGTTGAAATTCAGCTCTCCCTCCACGATGGATCATGAACTCCCCGACAGCAAGGACCATACAAGGTTTTGTTCACTGTTTGCCCAACACCCAGCACGTATGAGTCCCTCAGTAGAGTGATCTATTAATAGCTGCTGAGGTGCAGTGATGAGCAGCCAGACAGAAATTGCCCACATGGAGACAGATGGAAATAAGTTATATAGTGTGTTAGCCATTAGTGCTGTGGAGATAACTAAGTCGGGGAGAAGGAAGCAGGTATGAGTGTGTACAGTTTTAAATTAGGGTTGTCAGGGAAGGCTTCACTTAAAAAAAATGGGATCTGAGCAAAGATTTGAGGTGAGAAAGCAAGCCACGTGGATGTCTGGAGGAAGAAGTTTCTATGACGAGGTAAGGATTCACTGATAATTCCTTGCCCTCCTGTGGAACTTTGTGGACTTCTGCTGCAGCTTGTATTTGGTTGTGCCTTATTTTATAATTCATCACATGCTTATCAAGCTGGATTTGCCCAGTCTTGAGCACATGCCATTGATTTAGCAGAGTTCACGGCTCTGGCGTTTTCAAGTGTGTGCAATTAGAGGACTGCCATGGGCAAATCCCACACCCTTGAATGGGAACAAAAAGGTGGTCTAGGGACCATGAATCCTAAGCAGGAGTTAACACTCGACCACAAGGTGTGATGGCCCTTGGCCGGGGCTGGGACCATCAGTGGGTCTAGAAATACTGAAAGGAAACCGCTGGCTGCCCTTCCAAGTGTCCTGTTCCCACTAGGGAGAGCTCTGCCGTTAGACCAGACATATTTGGGGGAAAAATGGCAAAAAAAATAAAAATAAACATCTCCAGATCAGAATTCTAAGATACTCCCTCTCGCCTGGCCTCATTCAGGAAGACACATTCTTCCTTTAGAGAGATGAGTGTATTTAAATACTCTTAAACAGACCCATTAAGACCATTTGCAGTGAGTTTCCTTGTGTCACGCTGATCAATTAAGTAGATCTTATTTCCTTCATTTCCTTCCTATTGGGGAAGCTTGTAACCCCCAGGTATCATCACTGGCCTATTTTGTTGGTTTTATTCAAGAGTCTGTGCCATTGTGGCTGCTTGAAATTAAACACTTTGGCCAGGCTTGGTGGCTCATGCCTGTAATCCCAGCACTTCGGGAGGCCAAGGCAGGCAGATCACGAGGTCAGGAGTTCGAGACCAGCCTGACCAACATGGTGAAACCCTGTCTCTACTAAAAATACAAAAATTAGCCGGGTGTGGTGGTGCATACCTGTAATTCCAGCTACTCAAGAGGCTGAGGCAGGAGAATTGCTTGAACCCAGGAGGCATAGGTTGCAGTGAGCCGAGATCGCGCCATTGTACTCCAGCCTCCGCAACAGAGTGGGACTCTGTCTCAAAAAAAAAAAAAAAAAAAAAAAAAGGAAAAGAAGGAAAGAAAGGGAGAGAGAGAAAGAGAGAAAGAAAGACACTTCCTCTCTGGAAAGCCAGCCGTATTCATCCCAGCGTCTTTCTTGGTGTCTGTGCATGGATAAAGCCTCCCCATTCCCCCGTGCCCCCCACCACTTTGTGTCCTTTCACTTTGCTTCACTTATGTGCCCACCACTCCAGGGCTCCCTGAGGTCCAGGAATTCCATGCCATTCCCTTTCACATGGCTGAGAGCCCCAGCCCTGTGGATGAGCTGTCCTGAGTGGGCACTCAGTAATGTGGGCGTAACTGAACCAAGCTGAAGAGGGAAGGAGCAAAAAACAACCAGAAGCCCTCAGATTCAGAGTCATGTCGTTAAACACTTTTTAAAATAAAAAATTAGCTGTGCAAACTGAAATCAATTTAAACTATTTTCTTTGACTAGGCAGGAAAGAGGAGGCTGCTACATATTAAGAACTCCCACTTAAGCCAAACCTTCATGTTTCCAATCTCCAAGCAGGCATTGAGGGCCTCTGGGCTGCGTGTGGGAGAGCCAGGAAGAAAGAAGAGTAGGCCCTGCCTTCAAGGTCCTTCCTGCCTAAAGCAATCTATAGGCAGCTGTGTTCTAACAAAACTTTTATTTATAAAACAGGCAGCCAGCCAGCCTGCCTATGGGCAGTAGTTTGCCAACCTGTGCTGTAGATTAAAAGAGGCTTAAGAGATCTGTCAGATAGTGATAATGTATGCACATTATTTGAATACTGATTCCAACAAACTAAAAAAGAAAAATTATAAGACAATCTGGGAAATGTGAGCACTTAACATTTACTGGATATTTGATGATATTAAAGAATAACTACTTTTAGATATGATATTTTTATTATGATAGTGCTAAGAAAAATAAGATACATACTGACGTGGATGGATGAAGTAATATCATGCAGGGGTTTTCTGGGGACAGGCGAATGGGTGGGAGAGGAGATGAAACAATATTATCCATGAGTTGATTTTGATTAAACCTGAATAGTAGATGCAAACAGGTTTATTATAAGTGATGTACGAATGTTTCCATAATAAAAAGTTTTAAAACAGACAGCACCAGGAAACCTCCACTTCCAGCCAAGATGAAGTATCAGAATGTGGGTGTGCCCTCCTGCCTGAAAAAGAAAAAGATAAATATGATAAACAAGACACTGAACGTTAGATAGTGAAGGACAGTAGTCCCCAAGAGATTGGAAACAAACAAGGTTAGTCCTATAATTGCCCAGCTCACTGCCTTGAGAAAGTTTCTAATCCGTGGTACAGGGAGGAGGAACCCAGAGGAAGCTTGCCTGACTCCACAGTGGAAGGAGACAGAGCTTAGAGTCCCAGGAGTCCAGGAGGCTGGAGTCCTCAGGTCAGAGCCTGAGAGCGGAGACAGCTACACAGAGAGAACTGCAGCGATTCACAGAGGGTTTGCCTGTGCCACTCAGCCAAGTGCCGATCAGTGCCTGTGTGTGAGGAAGCTGTGTGCAGCTGGGGAGAGAACCACCTGAGAGGATTAGAGGAAACAGTGCCTGGGGCTGATACAGAGCCATGGAAAGTGCCTGTGCTCACCAGCCAGGCCGGACAAGCACTGAATATAATACCTAGAAGGATCTTGCCTCAGTAATTGGGAATAATTAGCCCTGTAATAAAAACTTTTCTAGGGCTAGACACAGTAGCTCATACCTGTAATCCCAACACTTTCGGAGGCCAAGCCAGGAGGATGGCTTGAGGACAAGAGTTCAAGACCAGCCTGAACAACATAGCAAGACCTCTGTCTCTACAAAAATCTTCTAAAAATTAGCTGGGCATCGTGGCATATGCCTGTGGTCCTGGCTACTCAGGAGGCTGAGTTGAGGAGATCACTTGAGCCCAAGAGTTCGAGGTTATGGTGAGCTATGATCGCACTGCTGACTCCAGCCTAGGCAACACTAAGACCCTGACTCTAAAAAAATAAAAGTAAATAAATCACTCTGATCATACCTAATGAACCTTAAAAGCAAGAAGCAAGATCCACAAGGATCACAGTGAAATGGCCTCATTGCCTGATCCAAAGTTCTTGATCTCACAGCCAAGGAAGTCAAGGACACGGCCACACCAAGGGTGAGGTTAGAGCAGAAGCAGAAGTTTATTAGGCAAAAGAAAGATAACAGCTCTCTGCAGCAGAGAGGGATTAAAAGCGTTGCCATTCAGCAGTGAAATTCAAGGGTTTTTATAAGCTAGCTAGTGGGGAGGTGAGGTGTTATCTTACCTACATAGGGTGTGAAAAACCCCAGGTGTGCCATCTGCGTAGAGCATGAATCTCTGGCATCCCCCACCCCACCCTTTTATTATACAGGCAGGTCTTTTGCCTGAGCTACTCCACGTTGCTTTCCTACTGTGTATGTGCTTCAAAGGGGGAGGTGGAGCCTCCATGGTGGACACACCTGGCCTCAGGTACCCCTTTCTGTCTGTGCAGCTGCAAGCATCCCCCGATGCAAACTCCAGCTTCCTTATCTGTTTGCAGCCAGGTCTTCCAGGCTGCTTTCTGTTAGAAGAGGAGTGATTTCCTGGGCTGCTTTTTGGTAGAAGGGAAGTTCTGCCGAGGACTCTCTGCCCTAACTATCTGCCTAGCTGGTCTCTTTTTACCTCCTCTCTCAAGAGTGTTTCCAAGAAATGTAACTTCATTCTACAACAAAGCTCAATAACATTTATAGAAATATAAACTTGTCCAGCACCAAATAATGTAAAAGTCTTGCTGTCTGGCACCCAATCAGAAGTTATCAGGAATGCAAAGTAGCAGGAACATAGGACCCATAATGAGGAGAAACTGTTCAATCAAAGTCAAACCAGAACTGCTAGAGATGTTAAAATTATCAGACAAGGGCACTAAAAGTTATTAATAACTGTACTCTATAGAATAGAATAAGGTACATATTGAGATGCTGTTCAGATGTTTAAGTAAAGATATGGAACATACTTTTTAAAGCTTGAGCTGAACTTCCAGAGATGAAGACTACATCTGAGATGAAAAAGTAACTCAATGGAATTAACAGCACATTGCTTAATACAAAAAAAGAGAAAGGTTAGTGAACATGAAGACATAGCAATGGAAAATATCCAAAATGGAACACAGAAAAAAATAGAAGTAAAGAAATATTAAAGGCATCAGTGAAAGCCAGGTGCAGTGGTGCATATCCGTAATCCCAGCTACTTAGGAGGTTGAAGCAGAATTATTGCTTGAGCCCAGGAGTTTGAGGCTAGCCTGGGCTACATAATGAGACCCTCATCTCTAAAAAAGAAAAAATAATTAAAAATTAAATCATCTGTGAGCTGTGGAAAAATGTAAGCAGCCTAAAATAAGTGTAATTGGAATCCTTGAAGGAGAGGCATGAACAATAGGAAAAAATGATTCAAGGAAACAGTACCTCTAAGAAAATGTATAAGTTAAACACCTCTATTAGAAAAGAAGCAGGGCCTCAAATCAGTTACCTTAATTTTTATCTTGAAAACTAGAAAAAAAAAAGCAAATTAAACCCAGACAGAAGAAATGAAATAATAAAGACCAGAACAAAAAACAATGAAATAGTAAATGGAAAAATAAATTAAACCCAGACAGAAGAAATGAAATAATAAAGACCAGAACAAAAAACAATGAAATAGTAAATGGAAAAATAGTAGAGAAAGTCAGTGAAACCAAAAGTGGGGTCTTTGAGATCAATAAAATTGATAAACCCATAGCCACATAATCAGAGGAAAAAGAAGATACAAATTAACAATATCAAGAATGAAAGAGATGACCTCAGTACAGATTCTCAAGATATTAAAAGGATTATAAAGGAATATTATAAACAATTCTATGCCAATAAATGCAGCAAGTTAAATGAAATTCACAAATTATTTGAAAGGTACAAAATACCAAAGCCTATACAAGAAAAAAAATAAATGATTTGAATAGCTCTATGTTTATTAATGAAATCTAAGTTGTAGTTTAAAACTTTCTCACAAAGATAACTGCAAGCATCTATAGCTTCATTGGTAAATTCTACCACACATATAAAGGAAAAATTTTACCAGCTCTTCCAGGAAATTGAAAAGGGTTTGTACTTCTCAACTCATTCATTCTTTGCGCCAGCATTACCCTAATACAAAACCAAGAAAGACTACAGACAAATATTCCTCATGAAGAAAAGTGTGAAAATACTGAAAAAAATTTTAGCAAATCGAATTTGGCATTATATAAAAAGGATACTACATCATGACCAAGTGGGTTTTATCCCAAGAATGCAAAACTAGTTTAACATTCAAAAACCAATCAACATAATTTTCCATATTAATATACTGAGAAACAGAAGGTATACAATCATCTCAGTAAATGCAGAAAGAGCCTTTGGTAAAATCCACATTCGTTCTTGATTTTTAGAAAACACTCAGAAAACTAGGAATAGAAGAAAACCTCCTCAATCTTATATAAAGTATTTACAAAAAAGCCTACAGCTAACCTGACACCTAGTGATGAAAGAAAGCTTTTCCCCAAAGATCAAGAGGGAAATAAGGATGCCCTCTTTCACCACTTCTATCCAACATTTTCCTGGACATTCTAGCCAGTGCAGTCAAACAATAAATTATAATTAAAAAGCATCCAGATTGGAAAAGAAGAAGCAAACTATCTTTATTCACAGGTGACATGATGACATATGTAGAATATCTAATGGAATTTAAAAGCATTTTTTGGAACTAGTAAGTGAAGTTAGCAGTGTTGTAAGATAGAAAATCAATATAGAGAGGTCAGTTGCATTTTTACAATTGCAATGAATAATTGCATTATTTTTAAAAATAAATTTTAAAAATACTTTATTCAGTAGCATCCAAAAATATAAAATGTGAATAAATTTACAATTGAAACTTCAAAAGATTGCTTAAAGAGATGAAAAACCTAAATAAAGGGTTAAGTGTACCATATACAGGGTCAAAAGACTCAATATTATTAAGATGTTGGTTCTCCCCAGATCGCTTTAAATTCAGTACGATCTCAATAACAATCCAAACCAGCTTTTTATGTAGAAATTAACAAGTTGACTTTAAAATCCATACATAAATCCAAGGATAGAGAATAAACAAAACAAACTTTGAAAAATTGGAATAAAGTTAGAAGGCGTATTAGTTCTCACATTGCTATGAAGAGATACCCAAGACTGGGTAATTTATAAAGGAAAGAGGCTTAGTTGACTCACAGTTCCACATTACTGGGGAGGCCTCAGGAAACTTACAGTCATGGTGGAAGACAAAGGAGAAGCAGGCACCTTCTTCACAGGGCAGCAGGACGGAGTGAGTGCAAGCAGGGGAGATGCCAGACACTTATAAAACCTTCAGATCTTGTGAGACTCACTCATTATTCACAAGAACAGCATGGGGGAAACTGCCCCCATGATCCAATGACCTCCACTCAGTCCTGCCCTTGACACGTGGAGATTATGGGGATTTCAATTCAAAGTGAGATTTGGGTGGGGACATAGAGCCAAACTATATCAGAAGTCTGACAATACCTGATATTAAAACTCATAAGAGTACAGTAATCAAAACTGTGATATTGATCAAATGTTCAACATGAAGACTATCATTAATAATATTGCATAGTGTACTAGAAAATTTGCTCTTACTACTCACAGACATACACACACATATGCACAAAGGGGTAACCGTGAAATGATGAATAAGCTAATGTGCTTGACTATAATAACCATTTCACTATGTATAAGTGTATCAGAACATCATATCATATACCTTAATATATACAGTAAAGTAGTTTTTTTAATGTAGAGAATTAGATCAATGAAACAAATTGGAAAGTTAAGAAACAGTTTACATATGTGGACAACTGATCTTCAATAAGGATACAAAAGTAATTCAGTGCAAAAAAATCATCTTTTCAACAAATTGTGGGATAATTGGATTTATATATGCAAAAGAAGTGAACTTTGGTTTACATCTCACTCATATGCAAAAATTACCTTAAAATGGATGGTATCCCTAAATATAAAACCTAAAGCTAAAAAAGTCTTCTAGAAAAAAACACAGGAGAAAATCTTTTTATTTTATTTTTATTATTTTTTTTATTTCCTTAGATTATTGGCATACAGGTGGTGTTTGGTTACATGAGTAAGTTCTTTAGTGGGGATTTGTGAGATTTTGGTGCACCCATCACCCAAGCAGTATACACTGAACCCTATTTGTAGTCTTTTATCCCTGAGTCCTCAAAGTCCATTGTGTCATTCTTCTGCCTTTGCATCCTCATAGCTTAGCTGCCACTTATAAGTCAGAACATACGATGTTTGGTTTTCCATTCCTGAGTTACTTCACTTAGAATAATAGTCTCCAGTCTCATCCAGGTCGCTCAAATGCCATTAATTCATGAGAAAATCTTTTTAACCTTGTCTTAGGAAAAGATTTTCTAGAGACAATACCCCATGAACAATCCATAAAAGAAAAAATTAATAAATTGGACTTCATTTAAAACTTAAACTGCTTTTTGAGGATAGTGCTAAGAGAATGAACAGATAAACTACAAGTTGGAAGAAAGTACTGCAAATCATATATGTGGTAAAGTACTTGTTTCTAAAATATGTAAAGAGCTCTCATGACTCAATTATTTTTGTAAAAACTATCCAATTAAAAATAAGCAAAAGCTTTGAACAGACTTCACCAAAGAAGATACATGGATAGCAAATAAGCAGGTGAAAAGACGCTCAACATCATTAATCCTTAGGGAAATATAACTTAAAGCCAGAATGAGATAGCACTACACACCTATGAGAATGACTAAAACCAACAATACTGAGCATACCAAATCTCAGCAAGGATGTGGAAAAACTGGTAAATTTGTACGCTGCTGGTTTTGAATGGAAAGTGGTGCAGCCACTTTAGAAAACAATTCAGCAAGTTCTTCAAAATTAGACATGTACCTAGTGTACAATCCAGCAAATTTTACTCCTATTTATTTACTTAAGAAAACCGAAAGCCTTTGCCCATAGCAAAGCTTGTACACAGATGTTTTTAGCATTCTTAGTGAGGGCTAAAAAACTGGAAGCAACCTAAATGCCCATCACAGGTAAACAGGTAAACAAATGGTGGTAGATACATACACTGGAATGCTACTCGGCTCTCAATCCAAAGGAGTGAATTATTGATAACGTGCAACAACAGTGATGATTCTCAAAATAATTACATGAAGTGAAAGAAGTGAGACAAAAAAAAAACTACATGTTGTGCAATTCCACTTATGTAAAGTCTAGGAAATGCATAGTGATCTATAGCGATGGAATGCAGGTCAGTGATTGCCTCAGATAGGGCTGAGGGCAGCAGTGAGCAGTGGGGATTACAAAGCAGCTGAGGAATTTTTTTTTTTTTTTTTTTTTTTTTTTTTTTTTAGAGGGAGGCTGGAGTGCGGTGGTGCGACCTCGTCTCACTGCAAGCTCTGCCTCCTGGGTTCATGCCATTCTCCTGCCTCAGCCTCCTGAGTAGCTGGGACTACAGGCGTCCGCCACCATGCCTGGCTAATTTTTTGTAGTTTAGTAGAGATGGGGTTTCACTGTGTTAGCCGGGATGGTCTTGATCTCCTGACCTCATGATTCGCCCACCTCAGCCTCCCAAAGCGCTGGGATTATAGGCGTGAGCCACCGCGCCTGGCCTGAGCAATCTTTTGAGAGTGGTAGATATGTATGGTATCTTGCGGTGATAACAGACCTCAGAGGTATTGCAGATTCAGTTCCAGACCACTGCAATAAATATAGCAATAAAGCAAGTCGCATGAATTTTTTGGTTTTCTAGTGCATATAGAAATTATGTTGGCTAGGCACAGTGGCTCACACCTGTAGTCCCAACACTTTGAGAGCCAAGGAGGATGGATAGCTTGAGCCCGGAGTTCCAGACCAGCTTGGGCAGCATGGTGAGACCTCGTCTCTATTGAGAAAAAAAAAAAAACCCTACAAAAATCAGCCTGGTTTGGTGGTGCATGCCTGTAGTCCCAGCTACTGGGGAGGCTGAGGTGGGAGGATTGCTTGAGTTGAGGAGACAGAGGTTGCAGTGAGTAGAAATAGTGCCACTCTACTCCAGTCTGGGTGACAGAGCAAGACCCTGTCTCAAAAAAAAAAGTTATGTTTATACTATTCTGTAGTCTACTAAGTGTTCAATAGCATTATATCTAAAAAAGTACATAACTTGATTTGAAAAAATACTTCATTGCCAAAAATGCTAACAATCATCTGAGCCTTCAGTGAGTCATAATCTTTTTGCTGGTGGAGGGTCTTGCCTCAATGTTTATGGCTGCTAACTGATCAGGGTGGTGATTGCTGAAGGTTGGGGTGGCTGTGACAATTTTTTAAAATAAGACAATCATGAAGTTTGATGCATTTAATTGACTCTTCCTCTCATGAAAGATTTCTCTGTAGCATGTGTGATGCTATTTGATAGCATTTTACCCACAGTGGAACTTCTTTCAAAATTGAAGTCAGTCCTCTGAAACCTTGCTGCTGCTTTATCAAATGCATTTTGTAATTTCTAAATCCTTTTTGTCATTTCAGCAATGTTCACAGCATCTTTACCGGGAGCAGATTCCATCTCAAGAAACCACTTCCCTTGCTCATCCATAAGAAGCAACTCCCCAACTTGAGATTGTAGCAATTTAGTCACATCTTCAGACTCCACTTCTAATTCCAGTTCTCTTCCACGACATCTGCAGTTAATTCTTCCACTGAAGTCTTGGACCCCACAAAGTCATCCATGAGAGTTGGAATCCACTTCTTACAACCTCCTGTTAATGTCGATAATTTGACCTCCTCCCATGAATCATAGATGTTCTTATTGACTTCTAGAGTTGTGAATCCTTTCCAGAAGGTTTTCAATGTACTTTGCCCAGATCTATCAGAGGAATCACTGTCTATGGCAGTTATAGCCTTATAAAATGTATTTCTTAAGTAATAAGAGTTGCAAGTCAAAATTACTCCTTGATCCGTGGAGTACAGAATGGATGTTGTATTAGCAGACATGAAAACATTGATCTTGAACATCTTCATCAGAGCTCTTGGGTAACTAGGTGCATTGTCAAATGAGCAGTAATATTTTGAAAGAAATCTTTCTTTCTGAGCAGCATGTCTCAGCAATGAGCTTAAAATATTCAGTAAACCAAGGTATCAACAGATGTGCTGTGCCCAGGCTTCTTTGTTCCTATAGAGCACAGGAAGAGTAGATTTAGTGTCATTCTTAAGGGCACTAGAACTTTCAGAATGATAAATGAGCATTTGTTTCAACTTAAAGTCACCAGCTACAATTGTCCCTGTCTGTAGAAGCTTTGAAGCCAGGCAGAGACTTATTCTCATCTAGCCTAGATAACATCTTCTTCCAATAGAGGGCTGTGTTGTCTACATTGAACATCTGTTGTATAGTGTAGCCACCTTAATCAGCGATGTTAACTAGATCTTCTAAGATCTAGAGATCTTGCTGCAGCTTCTCCATCAGCACTTGCCACTTCCCCAGTGCTATAACATAAAACTTTTATGTTATTGAAGATGGCTTTTTTCCTTAAACCTCATGAACCAACCTCTGCTAGCTTCTAACTTTTCTATTCTTTTTTTTTTTTCCATTTGAACAACTTGACATTTTAGGGTTGTTAATAGCCTAACTTTAATATGTTGTGTCTCAAGGAATACGGAGGCCTGAGGAGAGGGAGACCGGAGAATCACTGGTCAGTGGAGCAGTCAGAACACACACAACGTTTATTAAGTTCATCGGTATGTGTGGGTGTGGTTCGTGGTGCCCCAGAACCAGAACTGTTGTAATTACAACAGTAACATCAAAGATCACTGAGCACAGGTCACTATAACAAATATAATCCTAATGGAAAAGTTTGAAATACTGTGAGAATTCCCAAAATGTGACACAGAGATGCACAGTGAGTGCATGCTGTTTGAAAAATGATGCCAATAAACTTGCTCAGCACAGGGTTGCCACAAACCTTTAATTTGTAAAAAGAAAATGCAGTATCTTCAAAGGGCAATACAGTAAAGCACAGTAAAATGAGGTGTGTCTGTATGGACACGTGTCAGCTTCTCAAATTGTAAACTTTAAATATGTGCATTTTATTTGGTGTCAATTGTATAAAGCGATTAAATTTTTAAAAGGACTGATGCAGACAGCACCTGGCATCTGGGATAAAGTGTATCATTTTCCTCTTTATGGCAGGAACTGCCACGCCCCCTGTTTTCATGCTGCTGGAGACCAGCCGGCAGGTGGGGGGCAGTGGCTCTCCTTGTCAATCCTGGGCATGCAGGTGACAGTGCAGGGAGAGTGCCCTTCCCACATGGCCCCCGTTTGTAGCCACAGCTGTCCCTGCAAAAACTGTGCAGCCTGAAGTGAATTAACAAGACAGTTTTCAGATCTTCACTTGCTTGTGGGTTTCACATGTCACATTTAACCTCCAGTTACATCGACTTTTTCAAACCCCACTTAGGCATCTTAGAATTTTATCATTTGCATTCTTTTATGTTGAATAAGAGAGTTGTAGTACATGCCCCACTGTCTGCTTTCTGAAACATCCAGGTTGGAGTTAGCGCCTTCACACACTCTCCCTGGAAGCACCAGGCGCCATCCTCAGTGCAGCGGCAAGGCGGTGTCGGGGCTCTCTGCCCCCAGGTCTCTCCCCGCCTGGTTCCATTGGCTGCTGGGAAGGATGTTTGGATGGGAGGTCTTTGTGTTTTCAGGCAGGAAATATTATTTGCTCCGCTAGCCCTAGGCCTTACTAATTTACTGTGCAGTCTTCAACAAATTTCTTGATCTTCTGCTCTCTGTTTTCTCATCTGTAAAATTGAGGGCAGTGAGCAAGGTGACCTGTAGGTCCCAGGAGCGCCAAGGTAGTGCCGTATTTAGTACCAGGTTTTCCTAAGAGGAAATGGGGGCTACTTGGGGTCAAAACAAAGGAGAGTCTTTCTAGATAGGGAAGGACTAGCAGTGGGTCAAAACTTGCCAAGAAGGACTATGAAGGGAGCTTTGCTTGGGGTTTAAAAGCTCTGATCACAGACTTGGAGGGGCTCAAACCCCTCGCTTTAGAAGGCAGAAACCAAGAACCACTAAGGACCTAGGACTTGCTGACGGTGTCTTTGGAGTTAAAGGTGGAACTGAAGTTAGAGCTGATTTTCTTCCTGTCACATCCAGTAAGACTGGGAATGGTTGGGTGCCAGAGGCAGGTTCCAGAAGGTGGGAAGAGTCCTGTCTGCATCCCCAGGGTCCTAACCTTGAGGAAAGCTTGCTGTCCTTTTGTCCTGCTTCACACTCCCTTTGGTTAAAGGTTTCACTCAGAGCCCGATGGAAACCTTCAGGAAAAAAGGGCCCCAAACCGAGGCGAGGACACTGGGGAAGCCTTGGGTGGTTTCTGTGTGGGGCGGCCCCTGCTCTGTGAAGCACAGGGGAATAGGACTCCATCGCTGTCATCGTCACTCATGCCCTGGTGCAGACCTGCAGGAACATTGCCTGCTGTATACAGGGCAAATGGGCACTGTGCCGGGAGAAGCCTGTAGGAAGAGAGGCCTGGAGGGATGAGGAGGGAACTCCGACCATGAGCATGCACGGAGCTCCGTGAAGGAGGGCCTTGACAGACAGAGGCATGGTGGGTGGAGACGGGTGGAGAACATCCGGGCAGAACACAGAGCATGCGCCGTGGCGTGCTGGCAGGGACGTATATGCTGTGTAAAGGCAGGGAGTAGGTCCAGGTGCCCTGGGAAGAGTGTGTGTAGAGAAACGTCGTGGAAGAGGAGACGCCAAGGAAGACCCGATGCGAGGTCATGGCTGGTTTGCGTGCTTTGTGGAAACTGCCATAGACTGGCTTTTGTCAGCAATGGCAGAGAGAGGGGGTTGCATTTTTCTCCTTTTAGTTTGCTTTTGAGGTCTCCCTCTCTCTGTAGAGTGGCTGTGAACTCCAGCCCTGCCCTGATGGGGCTCCAGGGGAGGTGGTTGTGCATGTTTATGATGTGCCTTCACGGGGTACTTCTTTATCCTGGTGGATGGCAGAATCCCTGTGTCTGACCTGTGCCCAGGTCTCTCATGAGAAACTTGTTTACCCTCTTAGATACCCTTGAGTCTCTTGTCTGTGTCTGGTGTATTTATTTATTTAGCCTACCAAGATAGCCACTCTTCAGGAGAGTTCTGAATTTGGAAAGAAGTTAGGATCAGGTGTGTTGGTCAAGTGAGACACAGAGGAGGCCACTCAACAAAACCCATGAAATACCAGAAGCAGTGAGTTCCTCGCAGGTCCAGAGAGAAGAGGGCAGCACGCTGGACTGGGGGAGCCGTCAGGACCCTTGTGCTCGCCAGCAGGTGGGGAGCAAGAGAGATGGAGTGTGGGCCCTGAGAGCTGAAGCCTTTATGGGGTCCAGGCCATCACCCCAGCAGGTTCCCAAGAAGTTGTAATTCGTTGGCTTAGATCAGGTAGGCACAAGTTACGGGAGGCCATGTTGTGAGGGAGAGGTGGTCATGGCAGCATATCTGGGCAGTCCATGCCGGGTGTGAGGGTCTGCAGGGTGGGTCAAGTAGGTTGCATCTAGCTGTCCCTTAGGGACTTGGTCACCAGGAGGCAGCTATATAAGGCACATCTCTGGATCGACCATTTTGAGGGCCTGGGAAGAGGTGGAGACGTGGAAACTTTCAAGGATGACTAAGCCCTGCTTCTGGTATGAGAAAGTCCAACATATATTCAAAATAGGTACCAAGAAAGCATAACATTGTAAGAATTCACTGCAGTGGATCATCTGAAGGGTCTAAGGTGAGAAATGAATATGTAGTGTAGAAGTTGAAGAGGCATCCACAGGAATGATCTCTAATGAACTGGATCTGCCTCCAAGATAGAGATCAAAATTGGTTTAAAACAAATACAAGCCAGGTGCAGTGGATCACGCCTGTAATTCCAGCACTTTGGGAGGCCAAGGCAGGAGAATCACTTGAGGCGAGGAGTTGGAGCCTAGCCTGGGCAATATAGTACGACCCTGTCTTTACTAAAAATGCAAAAATTAACCACGTATGGTGGCTCACACCTGTAGTCCTGGCTACTGAGGAGGCTGATGCAGGAGAATCATTTGAACCCAGGAGGTCAAGGCTGCAGTGAGCTATGATTGCACCACTGCAATCCAGCCTGGACAACACAGTGAGACCCTGCCTCACAAAAATTATATTCTGATTTTCTGAGTCCATGAACACATTGTCCAAATGGATTTTTCTAGCTCCTCCAAGTTACAGATAGTTCCACGCACACACAGAACTCACCACTCTCAAATATTTTCCCCACTAGTATACTATTAAATTTTTCAAACATGCAAAAGATGAAAGAATTGCTCAGTGAACACCATGTACCCACCACCTAGATTCTACAATTAACATTTTACCCTACTTTCTTTATCACATATATGTACCTATCCATCTATCCATTCTTCCATGAATCCATCAATTCATCTAATTTTTTATATATTTCAAGTTAAGTTGCAGATATGTAGCTTATGTTTCACCTTAAATGTTTCTGCCTGGCTATTATTAACTGGAGTGCAATATGTTTTTGGTTCTTCTTTATGGTAAAATCTATGTTCAGTGAAATGCACAAGACTTAGGTATGCCATTAATAGGTTTTGACGAATAGACAAACCTTGTGTCTGAAACTGTAATAAAAAAATCAAACACTACCTTGCTTTCAAAAAGTTTCCTCACTTCTTTTCTTGGTCAAAACCCCTCCCCACCTCAGCCCACCCCTCAGCAACCATTGTTCTCAATTTTTTTTTTTGCATTCCTAGATTGATTTTGCTTGTTCCATAACCTCGTATAAATGAAAGTGTACAGTGTGCAAGGTTTGTGTCTGGTTTTTCCACCAAGCACATTTCTGAAATTCATCTATGTTGAGTATATTAGCAGTTCATTTCTTTTGAAGAAAGAATGAAGTGTGCTAAGTAGTGTTTCATTGTGTGGCTATACCACAGTTTTTTTTTTATCCATCACTATTTGATGGGTATCTGGGTGGTTTCTGGCTTTGGCTACTATCAGTAAAGCTACTACAGACATTTCTGTAAAAGTCTTTTTATGGAGATGTGGCTTTGTTTTTCTTGGGTAAACACCTATTAGTGAACTCTCTGGATCCCAGGTAGATGTAGCCGGGGTCATAGGCAGAGGTATGTTGAGTATTACAGAAACTGCTAGGCCTTTTCAATTGTGTTCATATTGTTTTATACTCCCACTGTAACAACATACGAGAGTCCTGCTTGCTCCATCATCTTTGATGTTTAGTGTTGTCAGTCTTTTTAACTTTAGCCATTCTAGTGCATTTGTATGTCATTCCATTGCAGTTCTTTTTTTTTTTTTTTTTTTTTAATCAGTAATGTTTAGTCAAAGTCTGATATTGTGGTGTACTAGTCATCTATTGCCGCATACAAAATCATCCCAAAATTTAGCAGCCTAAGATAACCATCATATATTTCTTACACCATTTCTGAGGCTCATAAATCCAAGCGTGGCGTAACTGGCTCACGGTCCTTCTCGAGGTTGCAGTCCAGCTGGGGCTGCAGGACCTTCTTCCATCCCCACTCGCAGGGCTGCTGGTGGCCTCAGTTCTTCACTGGCGGTCAGCAGGAGACCTCAGAGCCTCACCACAGCCTCTTCCCTGGCTGCCTGGGCAACCTCGTAAGGCATCAGTTGACTTCCCTCAGAGCAAGTGATCAGAGAGAGATAAAGAGACAGCTTACGATGGAAGCCACAGTCTGTCATGGAGTAATCTCGGAAGTGACATCCCATCGCATGGGCTATAATCCATCGGTCATACAGACTAACCCTAGTACAAAGTGGAGGGGGCCACACAGAAGGATCCTTGGGGGCTATCTTGGAGGGTGGCCACCCCGTGGGGAGAAGGTGGAAGCAGCCGCCTCAGGGAGGCAGATTGTAATCAGGACCCATAGGAGTAGCAGGGAGCCCATGTGTTTCTGTGCAGTTTGCTGAAGCCAGTCAGAACATCCTGAGTCTGACTTATCACCCTTCTCTGACCTGCTGGGGTTCCTGAACCAAGTAGTTTAACTTGCCAAGCCTTAGTTTCTGCAGTTATAAAATGGTGGTATGAATGAATGAAACAAGGTATCCGCAACACTGAAATGGAACATAATAGGGCCTGAACAGAGGACAGTTATGAATATTTCCATACAAAATGCAATTTCATGCCCTTCATCAATGGTCATTTTCTCATTTTACTTTTGAGGACTAGATTTGCCAAAGTCCCTCTGGGGCCAACCCAGTACACCACTGAGAAGCCCTTTGAAAAAGCCAGCTTTATCATCGTTTTGTTTTTATTTCTTGATATTTGGAAAGTTTTCTTCCTTCTGCTTCTATGTGTCCTCTGCCTAACTAGTCATGGTGACTCCTTGGATAGTATTCTCCATGGTTTCTTGTAAAATATTGATGCTTACCTTGCAATCTTGCAGCTTTTAGCATGAATTATTTTGCCGATTATAATCAGGCCTCTAGGAATAAACACCACTGATTTTAATTTAATGTTAAATTTGTACTAAGAGTGAATCATAATGGTCGGACTAATCTAAATGGTGCAAGTATATAAAACTACATGTCCATGTGCTCAGTTCCTGCTTGTTTATGTTTTGTTATAAAGTAACAGCTTTTTAACATCAAATATATTCCAAGTAGCCACCTTACATTCACACTGCAAAACCTACTACAAAGCAAAGCCAACAAGACAAAGTCAAAATATTTCAAAGTTTCTTACTGAAGTATTGCATACCTCTAGAAATCACAACATAACTGTACAACTTAATGAATTCTCAGAAAATATAGCATCGGTGCAAATATCATTGAAATCAAATCGGTGGGGCAGTTCCAAGTTGGCCGAATAGGAACAGCTCCAGTCTATAGCTCCCAGCGTGAGCGACGCAGAAGACAGGTGATTTCTGCATTTCCAACTGAGGTACCGGGTTCATCTCACTGGGGCTTGTCAGACAGTGGGTGCAGCACACCGAGCATGAGCCGAAGCAGGGCGAAGCATCGCCTCACCCGGGAAGTGCAAGGGGTCAGGGAATTCCCTTTCCTAGCCAAGCAAAGCTGTGACAGATGGCACCTGGAAAATCAGGTCACTCCCACCCTAATACTGCGCTTTTCCAATGGTCTTAGCAAATGGCACACCAGGAGATTATATCCCATGCATGGCTCAGAGGGTCCCATGCCCACGGAGCCTCGCTCATTGCTAGCACAGCAGTCTGAGATCAAACTGCAAGACAGCAGCGAGGCTAGGGGAGGGGCGCCTGCCATTGGTGAGGCTTGAGTAGGTAAACAAAGCGGCCGGGAAGCTCGAACTGGGTGGATCCCACTGCAGCTCAAGGAGGCCTGCCTGCCTCTGTAGACTCCACCTCCGGGGGCAGGGCATAGCCGAACAAAAGGCAGCAGAAACCTCTGCAGACTTAAATGTCCCTGACAGCTTTAAAGAGAGTAGTGGTTCTCCCAGCATGGAGTTTGAGATCTGAGAACGGACAGACTGCCTCCTCAAGTGGGTCCCTGACCTCCGAGTAGCCAAACTGGGAGGCACCCCCCCAGTAGGAGCAGACTGACACCTCACACAGCTAGGTACCCCTCTGAGACGCAACTTCCAGAGGAATGATCAGGCAGCAACGTTTGCTGTTCAGCAATATTTGCTGTTCTGCAGCCTCCGCTGCTGATACCCAGGCAAACAGGGTCTGGAGTGGACCTCCAGCAAACTCCAACAGACCTGCAGCTGAGGGTCCTGACTGTTAGAAGGAAAACTAACAAGCAGAAAGGACATCCACACCAAAACCCCATCTGTATGTCACCATCATCAAAGACCAAAGGTAGATAAAACCACAAAGATAGAGAAAAAACAGAGCAGAAAAACTGAGCAGAAAGGACATCCACACCAAAACCCCATCTGTATGTCACCATCATCAAAGACCAAAGGTAGATAAAACCACAAAGATAGAGAAAAAACAGAGCAGAAAAACTGAAAATTCTAAAAATCAGAGCACCTCTCCTCCTCCAAAGGAACGCAGCTCCTCACGAGCAATGGAACAAAGCTGGATGGAGAATGACTTTGACGAGTTGAAATAAGAAGGCTTCAGATGATCAAACTTTTCTGAGCTAAAGGAGGAAGTTTGAACCCATTGCAAAGAAGTTAAAAACCTTGAAAAAAGATTAGACGAATAGCTAACTAGAATAACCAGTGCAGAGAAGTCCTTAAATGACCTGATGGAGGTGAAAACCATGGCACGAGAACTGCGTGACGAATACAGAAGCTTCAGTAGCTGATTCGATCAACTGGAAGAAAGGGTATCAGTGATTGAAGATCAAATGAATGAAATGAAGGGAGAAGAGAAGCTTAGAGAAAAAAGAATAAAAAGAAACAAACAAAGCCTCCAAGAAATATGGGACTATGTGAAAAGACCAAATCCACGTCTGATTGGTGTACCTGAAAGTGAGGGGGAGAATGAAACCAAGTTGGAAAACACTCTGCAGGATATTATCCAGGAGAACTTCCCCAACCTAGCAAGGCAGGCCAGCATTCAAATTCAGGAAATACAGAGAACACCACAAAGATACTCCTTGAGAAGAGCTACTCCAAGACACATAATTGTCAGATTCACCAAAGTTGAAATGAAGGAAAAAATGTTAAGGGCATCCAGAGAGAAAAGTCAGGTTACCCACAAAGGGAAGCCCATCAGACTAACAGCTGATCTCTCAGCAGAAACTCTACAAGCCAGAAGAGAGTGGGGGCCAATATTCACCATTCTTGAAGAAAAGAATTTTCAACCCAGAATTTCATATCCTGTGAAACTAATCTTCATAAGTGAAGGAGAAATAAAATCCTTTACAGACAAGCAAATGCTGAGAGATTTTGCCACCACCAGACCTGCCCTACAAGAGCTCCTGAAGGAAGCACTAAATGTGGAAAGGAACAACTGGTACAGTCACTGCAAAAACATGCCAAATTGAAAAGACCATTGATGCTAGGAAGAAACTGCATCAACTAACGAGCAAAATAACCAGCTAACATCATAATGACAGTATCAGATTCACACATAACAATATTAACTTTAAATGTAAATGGGCTAAATGCTCCAATTAAAAGACACAGACTGGCAAATTGGATAAAGAGTCAAGACTCAGTGTGCTGTATTCAGGAAATACATCTCACATGCAGAGACACACATAGGCTCCAAATAAAGGGATGGAGGAAGATCTACCAAGCAAATGGAAAACAAAAAAAGGTAGGGGTTGCAATCCTCGTCTCTGATAAAATAGACTTTAAACCAACAAAGATCAAAAGAGACAAAGAAGGCCATTACATAATGGTAAAGGGATCAATTCAACAAGAAGAGCTAACTATCCTAAATATATATGCACCCAATACAGGAGCACCCAGATTCATAAAGCAAGTCCTTAGAGACCTACAAAGAGACTTAGACTCCCACACAATAATAATGGGAGACTTTAACACCCCACTGTCAACATTAGACAGATCAATGAGACAGAAAGTTAACTAGGATATCCAGGAACTGAACTCAGCTCTGCACCAAGCAGAACTAATAGACATCTACAGAACTCTCCACCCCAAAATCAACAGAATATACATTCTTCTCAGCACATCACACTTATTCCAAAATTGAACACATAATTGGAAGTAAAGCACTCCTCAGCAAATGTAACAGAACAGAAATTATAGCAAACTGTCTCTCAGACCACAGTGCAATCAAACTAGAACTCAGGATTAAGAAACTCACTCAAAACCGCTCAACTACATGGAAACCGAACAACCTGCTTCTGAATGACTATGGGGTACATAATGAAATGAAGGCAGAAATAAAGGTGTTCTTTGAAACCAGTGAGAATAAAGACACAACATACCAGAATCTCTGGGACACATTTAAAGCAGTGTGTAGAGAGAAATTTATAGCACTAAATGCCCACAAGAGAAAGCAGGAAAGATCCAAAATTGACACCCTAACATCACAATTAAAAGAACTAGAGAAGCAAGAGCAAACACATTGAAAAGCTAGCAGAAGGCAAGAAATAGTAACTAAGATCAGAGCAGAACTGAAGGAGATAGAGACACCAAAAACCCTTCAAAAAATCAATGAATCCAGGAGCTGGTTTTTTGAAAAGATCAACAAAATTGATAGACTGCTAGCAAGACTAATAAAGAAGAAAAGAGAGAAGAATCAAATAGACGCAATAAAAAATGATAAAGGGGATATCACCACCAATCCCACAGAAATACAAACTACCATCAGAGAATACTATAAACACCTCTACACAAATAAACCAGAAAATCTAGAAGAAATGGATAAATTCCTGGACACATACACCCTCCCAAGACTAAACCAGGAAGAAGCTGAATCTCTGAATAGACCAATACCAGGCTCTGAAATTGAGGCAATAATTAATAGGCTACCAAACAAAAAAAGTCCAGGACCAGACGGATTCACAGCTAATTTCTACCAGAGGTACAAGGAGAAGCTGGTACCATTCCTTCTGAAACTATTCCAATCAATAGAAAAAGAGGGAATCCTTCCTAACTCATTTTATGAGGCCAGCATCATCCTGATACCAAAGCCTGGCAGAGACACACGCAAAAAAGAGAATTTTAGACTAATATCCCTGATGAACATCGATGCAAAAATCCTCGATAAAATACTGGCAAACCGAATCCATTAGCACATCAAAAAGCTTATCCACCATGATCAAGTGGGCTTCATCCCTGGCATGCAAGGCTGGTTCAACATACACAAATCAATAAGCGTAATCCAGTATATAAACAGAACCAAAGACAAAAACAACATGATTATCTCAATAGATGCAGAAAAGGCCTTTGACAAAATTCAGCAGCCGTTCATGCTAAAAACTCTCAATAAATTAGGTATTGATGGGACGTATCTCAAAATAATAAGAGCTATTTATGACAAACCCACAGCCAATATCATACTGAATGGGCAAAAACTGGAAGCATTCCCTTCAAAAACTGGCACAAGACAGGGATGCCCTCTCTTACCACTCCTATTCTACATAGTGTTGGGAGTTCTGGCCGGGGCAATCAGGCAGGAGAAAGAAATAAAGAGCATTCAATTAGGAAAAGAGGAAGTCAAATTGTCCCTGTTTGCAGATAACATGATTGTATATCTAGAAAACCCCACTGTCTCAGCCCAAAATCTCCTTAAGCTGATAAGCAACTTCAGCAAAGTCTCAGGATACAAAATCAATGTGCAAAAATCACAAAGCATTCTTATACACCAATAACAGACAAACAGAGAGCCAAATCATGAGTGAACTCCCATTCACAATTGCTTCAAAGAGAATAAAATATCTGGGAATCCAACTTACAAGGGATGTGAAGGACCTCTTCAAGGAGAACTACAAACCACTGCTCAATGAAATAAAAGAGGATACAAACAATTGGAAGAACATTCCATGCTCATGGGTAGGAAGAATCAATATTGTGAAAATGGCCATACTACCCAAGGTAATTTATAGATTCAATGCCATCCCCACCAAGCTACCAATGACTTTCTTCACAGAATTGGAAAAAACTACTTTAAAGTTCATATGGAACCAAAAAAGAGCCCTCATTGCCAAGTCAATCCTAAGCCAAAAGAACAAAGCTGGAGGCATCACACTACCTGACTTCAAACTATACTACAAGGCTACAGTAACTCTGTTTTGGTACTGGTACCAAAACAGAGATATAGACCAATGGAACAGAACAGAGCCCTCAGAAATGATGCTGCATATCTACAACTATCTGATCTTTGACGAATCTGACAAAAATAAGAAATGGGGAAACAATTCCCTATTTAATAAATGGTGCTGGGAAGATTGGCTAGCCATATGTAGAAAGCTGAAACTGGATCCCTTCCTTACACCTTATACAAAAATTAATTCAGGATGGATTAAAGACTTAAATATTAGATCTAAAACCATAAAAACCCTAGAAGAAAACCTAGGCAATACCATTCAGGACATAGGCATGGGCAAGGACTTCATGTCTAAAACACCAAAAGCAATGGCAACAAAAGCCAAAATTGACAAATGGGATCTAATTACGCTAAAGAGCTTCTGCACAGCAAAGGAAACCACCTTCAGTGTGAACAGGCAACCTACAGAATGGGAGAAAATTTTTGCAACCTACTCATCTGACAAAGGGCTAATATCCAGAATCTACAATGAACTCCAACAAATTTACAAGAAAAAAACAACCCCATCAAAATTGGGCAAAGGATATGAACAGACACTTCTCAAAAGAAGACATTTATGCAGCCAAAAAACACATGAAAAAATGCTCACTATCACTGGCCATCAGAGAAATGCAAATCAAAACCACAATGAGATACCATCTCACACCAGTTAGAATGGCAATCATTAAAAAGTCAGGAAACAACAGGTGCTGGAGAGGATGTGGAGAAATAGGAACACTTTTACACTGTGGGTGGGACCATAACGTAAACTAGTTCAACCATTGTGGAAGTCAGTGTGGCAATTCCTCAGGGATCTAGAACTAGAAATACCATTTGATCCAGCCATCCCATTACTGGGTATATACCCAAAGGATTACAAATCATGCTGCTATAAAGACACATGCACACATATGTTTATTGCAGCACTATTCACAACAGCAAAGACTTGGAACCAACCCAAATGTCCAACAATGATAGACTGGATTAAGAAAATGTGGCACATATACACCATGGAATACTATGCAGCCATAAAAAGTGATGAGTTCATGTCCTTTGTAGGGACGTGGATGAAGCTGGAAACCATCATTCTGAGCAAACTATCGCAAGGACAAAAAACCAACCACTGCATGTTCTCACTCATAGGTGGGAATTGAACAATGAGAACACATGGACACAGGAAGGGGAACATCACACACTGGGGCCTGTTGTGGGATGGGGGGAGGGGGGAGGGATAGCATTAGGAGATATAACTCATGCTAAATGACGAGTTAATGGGTGCAGCACACCAACATGGCACATGTATACATATGTAACCAACCTGCACGTTGTGCACATGTACCCTAAAACTTAAAGTATAATAATAATAATAAAATAGACATTTCTTTGGATTTGGTAAGATGGAGTTATCAGTGACTCGTAAATAACAAATTGAGATGGGAGCCAGATTGGGGTGATTTTATAGAAAACTAGAGGGGAGCAAGAGGTGAATCTACATCTAGATAAGCCTTTTTTTTTTTTTTTTTTTTTTGAGACAGAGTCTTGCTCTGTCACCCAGGCTGGAGTGCAGTGGTGTGATCGGTTCACTGCAACTTCCGCCTCTCAGGTTCAAGTGATTCTCCTGCCTCAGCCTCCCAAGTAGCTGGGGATTACAGGCATGTGCCACCACACCTGGCTAATTTTTGTATTTTTCATAGAGATGAGGTTTCCTCATGTTGGCCAGGCTGGTCTTGAACTCCTGACCTCAAGTGATCCCCCCAACTTGGCCTCCCAAAGTGCTGGGATTACAGGCATGAGCCACCACACCTGGCTATCAATCTGTGCCTATCCCACCAGTAATGCCTGTGTTAGCCTGTTTTGCTTTGTTATAAAGGAATACCTGAGGCAGGATAATTTATAAAGAAAAGAGGTTTATTTGGCTAACAGTTCTGCAGGCTATAGAAGAAGCATGGTGCCAGCATCTGCTTCTGGTGAGGGCTTCAGGCTGCTTCCACTCATGGCAGAAGGTGAAGGGGAGTAGACATCACATGGTGAGAGAGACAGAAAGAGAGAGGAGGGAGGTGCCAGATTCTTTTTAACAGCCAGATCTCCTGAGAACTAAGATTACTCTTTTTATTTTATTTATGTTTTTATTATTTATTTATTTATTTATTTTGACAGAGTTTCACTCTTGTTGACCAAGCTGGAGTGCAGTGGTGAGGTCTTGGCTCACCTGGGCATCTGCCTCCTGGGTTTGGGTGGTTCTCCTGCCTCAGCCTCCCGAGTGGGTGGGACTGCAGGCATGCTCAGCTAATTTTGCTTTTTTTTTTTTTTTTTTTTTTTTTGGTGGAGATGGGGTTTCTCCATGTTAGTCAGGCTGGTCTCAATCTCCTGACCTCAAGTTATGTGCCTGCCTCAGCCTCTCTGGGTGCTGGGATTGGAACAGGAATTAAAAGACATTTAAAAATGTGTAAGCAAAAACAGTTGTATGTTAAAAAAAAAAAACAAAAAAAAAAACCATTTCCCCCTGAGAATGAGAAAGAGCTGGAGTCCTTTAAAAGAAACTGCCTGTTTTTCTATGGCTAGTGAGCCTTATCTCTTCTCCCTTCCCAGGCATTATAAAACTCTAATTCCCTAACTGTGCAACTACAAGGTCACTAAACAAATTGGTGCATTTAAAACCCTTTAGCCACACAAGTTCTCCAAGTCCCCACCAGATTAGCTAGATACAGAGTGCTGATTGATACATCCACAAACCCCAAGCTAGACACAGAGTGCTGACTGGTCCATTTACAATCCTTTAGCTAGACATAAAAGTTCTCCAAGTCCCCACTAGATTAGCTAGACAGAGTGCTGATTGGTGCATTTGCAAACCTTGAGCTAGACACAGAGTGCTGATTGGTGCATTTACAATCCTTTAGCTAGACATAAAAGTTCTCCAAGTCCCCACCAGATTAGCTAGATACAGACTGCTGATTGGTGCATCCACGAACCCCAAGCTAGACACAGAGTGCTGACTGGTGCATATACAATCCTCTGGCTAGACATAAAAGTTCTCCAAGTCCACACCTGACTCAGGAGCCCACCTGGCTTCACCTAGTGGATCCCACGCCAGGGCTGTGGGTGGAGCTGCCCGCCAGTCCGGCACCATGCGCCTGCACTCCTTGGCCCTTGGGCGGTCAATGGGACCTGGCGCTGCGGAGCAGGGGGCCGCGCCTGTTTGGGAGGCTCGGGCGGCGTCGGAGCCCACCGAGGGGAGAGGGGGTCTCGAGCATGGCGGGCTGCATTCTTACATACAAAAATTGAGAAAATTCATCACCAGCAGAATTGCACTACAAAAATATTGAAGGAAATTATTCAGGCAGAAAAAAATGATGAGAAGAAAATTAAATCTATACAAAAAAACAAAGAATAAAAAAGTAAATATGTGAATAAATATAATGAATTGTTTTCCTTAATTTTTGAACCTATTTTAAACATAAGCTGCTGTTGTTTTTCTTTTTGAGACACAGGGTCTCACTGTGTCACCCACACTGACGTACAGTGGCAGGATTACAGCTCACTGCAGTCTCAATCTCCCAGGCTCAAGCAATCTTTCCACCTCAGCCTCCCAAGCAGCTGCGACAACAGACATGTGCCACCATGCCCAGCTAATTTTTTTTTAATTTTTAATAGAGATAAGGTCTCATTATGTTGCCCAGGCTGATCTTGAACTCCTGGTCTCAAGTAATCCTCCTGCCTTGGCTTCACAGAGTGCTGAGATGACAAGCATGAGCCACTATGCCCAGCCAAACATAGCTGTTTAAAGCAGAAATAACAACAACGAATTGTGAGCTTTATAACATATGTAGACATAAAATGTATGACAATATTAGGAAGGGTAGAAGGAGAATGCTAGATTATTCTGGTGTGAGGTTCTTAGGAATTTGCATATCATTATGTACATTATATAAATAAGGCTATGATACAAAGCTCTAATATACATGCGGTTCATATATATGAATTTGTATATCATTACTTGAAAGTCAACTGTGATAAATTAGAGTTATACACTGTTAAAAAAAGATGTATAGGCCAGGTGCAGTGGCTCACACCTGTAATCCCAGCACTTTCGGAGGCCGAGGCGGGCAGATCAAAAGGTCAGGAGTTCAAGACCAGCCTGTCCAACATGGTGAAACCCCGTCTCTACTAAAAATACAAAAATTAGCCAGGCGTGGTGGCACGCGCCTGTAATCTCAGCTACTCCGGAGGCCGAGGCAGAAGAATTGCTTGAACCCAGGAGGTAGAGGTTGCAGTGAGCCGACATTGTGCCACTGCACTCCAGCCTGGGCAACAGAGAAGAATCCATCTAAAAAAAAAAAAAGAATTTGGTGCTACTTTATAGATGTTTTTAAGGTTTTTTTTTGTTTGTTTGTTTTTTTCAAATTTTATATACAGTATTTTTAGTTGCTTTCAGAGGGATAGGGTTGTCCAGGTAGCTTGCCCACCATACTGCAAGAAATGAAAATCCTACGTTCTTGATTCAGTGAATTACTAAAACAATAAAATGTGTTAAAAAAAAAATTCCAGGTACCTTGAAGCCCTTAGAGGAAAGATCAATCCACAAATGTGAAACAACTAATGTTTAAGTATAAAATAGAAAACATACTCAATGAAAACATTAACAGCAAGAGATAGACACATTTAATTTTTAAAACACTGCAATATATTTCAGATGTTAATTTTGGTGCTGTTTGTTGGAAAGTAGGCATGGAGACTAAAATTATATTTGTGTGTGGTGCTATGTTTAGTTCTGTTTTTTATTTTAAAAATAAATACAGATAATCAGTTTCCCCATATCACGGAGTCAAAGTGTGTCTTCTCTCCCCTGCTCTGCAGTGTCACCTCTGTCACATCAATGGACATGTCTCTTTCTAGGCTCTATTTGGTTGTGTTGGCCTACTTATCTCTGTGCCACACTATCTCAATTAATAGTCTTTACTTTTAATATATATTTTCAATATATGCAATGTTTTGGCCTACCATTAATATCTTTTTTCAAGAATTTATGTTTGCCCTTTTTCATTTGCATGTAATTTCTAAAATCAACTTTAGTTTACCTATTGGGATGTTGACTGAGAATACATCTATAAATTTGAGGAAGATTAATTGATATTAGTGTAAAATAGAAAACATAATGAAAACATTAACAGTAAGAGACAGACACATTTAATTTTAAAAGCACTGCAATAAGATGACAGCTGACAGTTCCTTTGAATTCTTCATCACATTCAGCTAATGTGTTTATTAGTTAAGTTAGCTCTCCACTATAGGTCCAATTCTTTATAGTTAACATTTATGAAATTATATTTATATATCATATACTGGCTGGGTATAGGAAAGACACTGCCCTGTCTTTATTTATTGGGAAAGAGAAACGGCTTTTTATCCCTAGTTCTGTACCCCAGCTTTTTATTGTTTTGTAACTTCATTTTCTTTGTTTCTTTCTTGTGTCATTATTGAATCATTTAAGGCTATGAACTTTCCTTTCGATGTAGTGTTAGCAATAGCCCATTAGTTCTGACATGTAATGTTTCCGTTATTGTTACAGACTGTTTCAGGTCTCCTTTTAAAATTTTCCTTCCATCTAGGATTGTTTGTGAGCTGGTTTAAAACTTTCCAGGTGTGTGGGATTTTATTGCCTTTACTCTCCTTTGTTGAAATAAAGTTGCATTACCTAATAGTCAAGAATGTGGTCTGTTCTCTGTCTCTTTCTTTAATGTTGTGGCAATGGCCAGGAGTGGTGGCTCACACCTCTAATCCCAGCACTTTGGGAGGTGAAAGCAGGAGGATAGCTTGAGCTTAGGAGTTCAAGACCAGCCTAGGCAACTTAATGAGACCCTATCTCTTTTTTAAAAAAATTTAAGACAAAAATAAAATAAACTTGTGGTTATATGTAAGATAAATAAAGAAAACATAAAATTGACCATTTTAACTTAATAGTGTATAGTTCTGTGGCATCAGTCCATTCACACTGTTGGGCTAGTTCTCATTTTTACAGCTATGGAAATGTTAGTTGGCTTATTTCCTCTTCTCCCCCCCTCACATTAAAAAGTCAGTAATGTGTCTTGCTGAGCATGGGCCATTATTCCATTCATTCATTCATTCATTCATTCATTCATTTGAGACAGGGTCTTGCTCTGTTGCCCAGGCTAGAGGGCAATAGTGTGATCATAGCTCACTGCAGCCTCGAGCTCCTGGGCTCAACCAATCCTTCTGTCTCAACCTCCAGAGTAGCTGGGACTACAGGTGTGCACCACTACACTGGGCTAATTTTAAAATTTTTTTGTAGCGATGGAGTCTCGTTATGTTGCCCGGACTGGTCTCGAACTCTTGGCCCCAAGTGACTCTCCCACCTAGCCCTCCCATAGTGCTGGGATTATAGGTATAAACCACCACACCTGGCCTTTATTTATTTTTAAATTTTATTTTTAGAGATGGAGTCTCACCCTGTTGCCCAGGCTGGAATGCAGTAGCACAGTCATAGCTCACTACAGCCTCAAACTCCTAGGCTCAAATGATTCTAAGTAGGTAGGACTATAGGTCCACACTCAGCTAATATTTTTAATTTTTATGGTTCTCCTTGGTGTTCTGTTTATCCATTTACTGTTAGGAAGTAAATCCCCAAAGAGTATGTTTGCTTTGCCCAAGGGAGTCTTTTGCTACATACTGCTGTACATAATGAAAACTAAAACAGGGACTAACTTTTCAGCCTTGTGACCTTGTGGTGATTCAAACAGAAGCTTCATCAAAGGCAGATTCAGAAATGAACTTGGTGTGTGTAGGTGGCTATGCTTGGCATTATTGCCTATAAATAGTATGATAGGGATGATTTCAGTGTCCGCCAACAGGGAACTGGTTAAGTAAACTGTGGTACATCCAAATGATGCATACTGTGCAGATGAAAAGAAGAATGAGAAAGACTCTGTACTCGTCTAGGAGAACCCGGATATATTGTGTGTGTTTTTCTCCAGAGGAAAAAGGAATGGTATCATATGTGTGGTATGCTACTTTTTGTGTTGTAGAGAAGAGTAGAATAAGAATATACATGTGTATTTGCAAAGATAAATTCTGAAAAGATACATAAGAAACCAATTAAAAGTGTTTGGCTGTGGAAGGAGTATAAGACTGTGAATGGGATTTTACTGCACACTTTTATGGTTATATTTAAAAATTTTCTGAACTATGTACTTGTACACATGACCCTTTTAAAAATAAGTGAATGGAGGAATGAAGTAGGATTATGAGAAAGAGATAAGAACAAAGGATCTAAGGGGCTGCCCATCTTTTTATACCCAGTGAATATTAATACATAACCAATAGCAGCAAAAATTGGAAGAGTAGCCCCAGTAGGGTAGGGAGTCAGCCTTTCCTTTGTCTTTTCCTCAATTTCATATATTAAAAAAAATATTCTGAGAACAATAAAACAATTTGAAATAAAAATGTCTCCAGATCTCTTAAAATAAATGAAGATGGGGCAGCTTTACGTAGTGCACTTCCCAAAAATAGGCTGGTTTCCCTGAAGAGGAAGGGATTCTAGCCTACATGGGATACATACGGGAGAAAAAATAAGAAAAAGAGATTTAAACATAAATAAATGAAAATAACACTTCTCCCTGATTACAAAGGAAATCACATTCTTTTTAAAATAAGTTGGATGACAAATATTAAGAAAAATCTTTAATTTGCCACTCAAAACATTCCAGTTTGTTGCTTTTTTTTTTTTGGAGATGGAGTCTCGCTTTATTGCCCAGGCTGGAGTGCAGTGGCACAATCTCAGCTCACTGGAAGCTCTGCCTCCCGGGTTGACGCCATTCACCTGCCTCAGCCTACTGAGTAGCTGGGACTACAGGCACCCGCCACCACACCCAGCTAATTTTTTTTGTATTTTTAGTAGAGACGGGGTTTCACCGTGTCAGCCAGGACGGTCTGGATCACCTGACCTCGTGATCCGCCCCCTTCGGCCTGCCAAAGTGCTGGGATTACAGGCGTGAGCCACCGCGCCCAGCCGGTGTGTTGCTTTTTATATCTTTTTATACATGTAAACATTTTGAAAAGTAGAATCATAATAGATAATCTTTTGTCACTAACTATATTTTGGGCATATTTCTGTGGCAGTAAATATATCCTGGCATCATCATTTTTAATAGCTGGATGTATATTAAGTTAATCATTGGCACCCCAGAGGTGAATTTTCTTATATACACATTTTAATGGACTCGAGCAAGCATTTTTGGACTGAATTCATAGAAGTAGAATTTCTGGAGGGTAATAATTTTTAGGGTCTTTAATAGAAATTTTCAAATTATCCTCCAGGAAAAGTGGCTAAGTTTATACTCCCACCAACAGGGACAGAGCTCCAGGTTCCCCCTTCCATTTGTCATCGTTGTGCCTTTATACAGAAAATGTCATTGTTTTCATGACATTTCCTTGATTTCTAGTGCTTTTGAATCTTTTTTATATACCTATTGGCCATTTTTATTTTTGTGAGTAGTGCCTGTTTCTCTATTGCCCATTTTTTGTTGAAAATCATTTGTTTTTTGTTTCTGAGTAATTTTAAACATTTCTTTATAGGCTAAGGATACAAACTTTTTATTTGTCACTGAGGTTACAAAAACTTTCTCCTAGTAAGTAATTTGTCATTTCATTTTATTTTTTCTATTCTTTCTTCCTACCCTTCCCTTTCCTTTTTTTCCTTTCCTTTCTTTTTTCTTTCCTTTCTTTCCTTCCTTTTTTCCTTTTCTTTCTTTCTTTCCTTCCTTCTTTTCTTTTTCCTTTTCCCCTTCACTCCCTCCCTCCTTCCCTCCCTCCTTCCCTCCCTCCTTCCTTCCTTTCTTCCTTCTCCCTCCAAACTCCAAAGTCACATTTCACTTCATTTTTATCCTGCCAAATTTGAAAGCTTTTTAACTTAGTGATTTTTGTGTAAACAGGAGCAGGAGAGAATGTAATTATCTAGGTCTCGCTATGTCACCCAGGCTGGAGTGCAGTGCCATAATCATAGCTACTGCAGCCTCGAACTCCTGGGCAGAAGCAGTTTTCCCACCTCAGCCTGCTGACTAGCTAGGACTACAGGTGTGTGCCACCATGCCCAGCTGTTTTTTAAAATTTTTTGTAGAGATGTGAATTCGCTATGCTTCCCAGGCTTGTCTTGAACTCCTGACGTCAAGTAATCCTCCCACCTTGGCTTGTCAAAGTACTAGGATTACAGATGTGTACTACTGCTCCTGGCTGAGAGTTTAATTTTCTTTGCTAGTGATGTTCTTGGTATCTTTTCATATTTGAGGCTTTGGTGCTAGTGCTGAAGTATTACACTCACCATCCAAGGTTTATAGGACTTTTGTGTTAATATGGAACAGACAGAACTGTTTAGTTCTGCATCTTTGCAGGCACACAAAATGTGCCTACCAGGACGCTGCTTTATATCCATTGAAAGCAAGAAGTAATACAGTAAAACTTTGCCTGGCTAGAGGCTTTGAAGGAATGGAGTGTTCTGGTTGAATTCTATTAACTTGGAAGTATGAAGGTGAAAAAAATTCAGAACTTAAATTTCCTTGGAATGCAATTTGAAAATATAGCCAATGATTCCACTTTTCTTCTCTAGTAAGTTTGGACATTCCAATCTACTTGGTGTTTTATTATAGAACTCCTACTGTGCCTGAGACTTATATTGTGAAGATACTTTTTTAAAATTTTAGCTGTAAGAGGATGTAAATGGTTTTGTATGAAGTCAGGCTGGATGAGAACTAATACTTGTAAATATGTTTTTTAGACTAAACTTCTGACTGCCACTTGTTTTCTTATTGAACTCATAAAAATAAAACACATTGGATGGAGGGTGGGAGTAGGAAGGAGAGTTAAGTGTTTTAATTGCATGTCATTGTTTCATATCGAGATAGAATATATAGTATCCCTGGCTTTGGACCTACAGAAGAAACACATTTTTCTACCTGCTGTATGGCAGAGGTTCCTGAGCACCTGGAGGGATTACTGCGGCACAGATTGCTGAGTCCTACTCCAGAGATTCTGATTCACCACGTCCAGGGTAGGGCCTGAGAATTTGCACTTACAGAAAGTTCTCAGGTGCTGCTGCTGCTGCTGCTGCTGCTGCTAGTCCAGAGACTACATTACTGAGAACCACTCTTGTCTACTAACTGTAAACTGTAGCACTCTAAACAAAAGCTTAGTTTGGTCTGGCATAAGAAGCACACAGGTTATGGAGCAAATCATGAAAGATTCAACCCTTGATCCCAGCCTCGTGTGAAATTCAGGTAACAAGCAGTACACAGTGACATAACACAATTCTTGGTTTTCATGATTGTAAGTCATAGCCAAGTATCAAGTGAGAAATTCAGTTTCATTTGCAAGGCTTAGAGAAGCCAAGTGATTCTAGAAAAATGGACCTTGTATTTGTTTTAAATTGGTAAAGAGCTTTGAGTGCTTATTAAATTGAAAGCTTTTAAAATTTACTTTGTATTTTATTTTATTTCTTTTGAGATGGAGTCTCACTCTGTCACCCAGGCTGGAGTGCAGTGGCATGAGTTTGGCTCACTGCAACCTCCATCTCCTGGGTTCAAGTGATTCTCCTGCCTCAGCCTCCCGAATAGCTGGGATTACAGGCACCCACCACCACGCCTGGCTAGTTTTTGTACTTTTAGTAGAGATGGGGTTTCACCATGTTGGCCAGGCTGGTCTCAAACTCCTGACCTCAGGTGATCCACCCGCCTTGGGCTCCCAAAGTGCTGCGATTACAGGCGTGAGCCACTGCATCCGCCCCAAAAGCTTTGTGTTTTTACAGATATTAGACATGTTTCTTGTTTAAGAAAAAAAATCTTAACAGTAACGTAGGAGAATAAGATAAACATTTTTCCAAAAAAGAGAATCACTGTGATTATTTTATCTTACTGGAATGTTGGATAATATAGTCTTCTTCATTAATCATCAAGCATGCTATGGATTTTCCATTTTTATAGGATCTGTATCTCAGTTAAGGTAATACTGGTAATTTTTTTAATGGATTTGAAGATGAAAAATATAGGCCAAAATCATAGACCTTGCATAGAAGCTGGGTAATGAAGACAGCTCTGGAGGAACACATAGATACACATACACAGAAACACACATATATGTATATGTATATGTATATATATATATATGTATGTATAAAGTATACACACTTTTTTTTAAATTTTAAAGCAAAAGCTGGCCCCTCCCCTCTCACAGAGTGGGCGGGGACAGCGGTTGCCTGGGCAGCTTTCCTTGTGAGCCACAGGTCCCTCTGGACACACTGGGGCCCGGCCACGCCCCCTTTCCCTTTCATCTTTGTCATTGACCAATGGGCTTGGAGCATTAAGGCCACGCCCCTATTCTGCATTCTACTGGAGCCCTGGTTACGCCTCCTCTGGCTCAGTCACACGGCTGCCTGGTAGGTGACTGGATGCATTGATAGTGCTCACTGGGATTTCGCTGACGTGGCCCCAACCCTGCCTCCCTACCCACCCCACAATAGCAGAAGAAACTCGACAGAGCAAATTGGCTGTAGCCAATACAAAGGTAAAAATTCCAGGTCATCACCCCCCAACCCAGCCACAGATCCCCTCTGATGACAAGACCGCTGCCAGAGTCCATACCACTCCTGAGGCACACCGGACTGCCTCTGGGCTCCACCCACCAAAGTCTTGTCAGTCAGCCCTGCCCCTTCAGCAAGCAGCCCAGTCCCTGCCCTCTCCAATCACCCCATGGTGACTTTGGGTGGGTGACTCTTGGGGATTCCCACTCCATTACTGGGCCCTCACCTCCTACCGCCCCAAACTCAACCTCCCTGGGCTCTTTGGGCTCACATCTCCAAGGACCTTGGTCCCCCAGCCCCAGGCCCCGCCCTCGCCAGTCATCCCTGGGTGACTTTGGGCTGGTGACTCCTGAGGCTCCCTGCTGCAGACTCTGCCCTCCCCTCCTGCTGCCTCAAGGTCGACCTCCCTGGGCTCTTTGCGCTGGCGTCTCCAAGGAGCTGGGTCCCAACCCTGTGTTTCCCTCCCCCATCATGGAGCAGCAACTCAGACATCGTGCTGATGTCCCTCCCCACGACCAGGAGGGTGGAATGTAGTGATGTCACAATCCACCTGGGAACTGTCATTACTGCAAGACCAGCCTTTGATCTTATGACCCAGTCCCCTAAGCGTTGTCACCCCATTTCTGATTCCTCTGGTCACAGCACAAATTTCCAGCTGCAAAGGGAATGGAGATTATGGGACCTAGGAGCAAGAGGTTTCAGGCTGCCTTACTCCCTTAACATAGACACTGACAGTGGGAAAAGCCTACACTTCCCCCATGAGCTCAAAACGTTAACAGTGTCTCTGGGTGGCAATGGGAGAATTGGTTTGGTTTGGTTTTCTCCCAGGCTTCTACTTTCCAGAGAGATTTTAACTTTTTTCTCAGTTCTCCACCTCATATTCTAATTCTCCATGGTTCTGGGACCAGACTGCCCTTCAGTCAGTGGTCTCTGAAGTGAGATTTGCTCATCTTCTGTGGAATAGATCTTGGGAAACTGAACTTGACAGCTTGAATCTTCCTCATATTATCTCAACCTTGGGTACTTTGAGTGCCACAGAATAAATGTGGGACATCTTTCTGAAGCATCAGTTTCCCTTGATTCTCTTGAGATCAAGAGAAAAAACATGAATGTACTTAGGGATGACAGTCACATAGGCTTCTAAGAGTATACCAGACTTCTCTCTGAAATGAGGCTTGGTTTGTCATCTTTCTGATAAATTCCCAGATTTAACAAAAAGCCTGCCTTCTGCCATGAGGACACATTGATATAAAAGTTTGAGAGGTACTGGTGCACTTCTTCACACTAACAGACGTGTGAGGATGTATGACTCTAAACCACATGGCATACAGTTCCTGCCTACTTAATGTTTACTTTTCTACCTCTGCCTCTGGTTTTGGTCCCTGGCAGCTGCTGATTCTTGGCAAAACCCCAGAGCTTGGAGTCAGAAGACTGAGTTTCAAAGTCCCAGTATCGCCTTTTTCTTTTTTTTTCTTTTTTCTAGCCATGATATCAATCCCTCTCAGTCACTAAATGATTGTGACAACACCTTGTACAGTTGTTGGTGTCGTTAAATCAGATGGTGTATAAGAGTATTTTGTAAAAACTGTAAAGGAGGATGTGGCTGTAGGGGCTGACAGTTCTTATGAGTATTACTGCTCTTCTTTCCCACAGTTAAAAGAATATTGGCAGAAAAACAGCCCTAGAGTTCCAGAAGGAGCCAAGAGGAACAGGAAAACAAATGGCAGTATCCCTGAGACAGCCACTTCTGGTGGTTGCCAGTCACCTGGGGATGTGAGTCTTGGCTGGCCAGGCTTCTGGGGACAGGGGGCCCAAGGGGCAATAGAAGGTAATTGTTGAGATCACGGATGGACTGTTGGGTGATGGTTAAGAATTCTGGGTTTGGCCAGGTGTGCTGGCTCACGCCTGTAATCCTAGCACTTTGGGAGACCAAGGCAGGTGGATCACAAGGTCAGGAGATTGAGACCATCCTGGCTAACATGGTGAAACCCCGTCTCTACTAAAAAATACAAAGAAATTTGCCAGGCATGGTGGTGGGCGCCTGTAGTCCCAGCTACTCAGGAGGCTGAGGCAGGAGAATGGCGTGAACCCAGGAGGTGGAGCTTGCAGTAAGCCAAGATTGTGCCACTGCACTCTAGCCTGGGAAAGAGCGAGACTCCGTCTCAAAAAAAAAAAAAAAAAAAAAAAAAAATGGAATTCTGGGTTTGCATCCTGCCTCTCCGCCTGGTAGGGATATGATTTACGGCAAGTTGCTTGAGCTCTTTGGGCCTCTCTTTTTACATCTGTATAACAGAGATGGTATTGTTTGACTTCCATTTGTGAAGTTTAAATGAGATTTGTTTTTGTTGTTTTTATGTTAATCCCTAGTACATGGCCTGCCGTAAACACCCAGGACACCCAGCATTGCTGTTTGATTTTCCTCATCCCCAGTCTCAAGGGAAAGCCAGGACAATGAGAACAGTCACTTGCCATCAGGAGTCACTGAAAGGGCCCCAGGGTGGGATGATGTGGAGAAAAGAACCATGAGAGAAGTTGGCACAGAGTTATGGGACAAAGGGTCCAAGATAGGCAGAAAAGAAAATGTTGCCAGTTGATGGGGAAGAAAGGAAGTCAGAGGGCTCAGACACCGAGGGGGACAGAACATCTCCATGTGCACTCTCATCTCTTGTAGTCAGCAACAGGTATCCACGGGGAGGGCCCTACATCATCTGCTACCCTGAAGGATCTGGAGGTAGGAGGCTCTGGGCGGAGGTGCAGTGACCCTGCAGGCCAGCCCTCCATCCTCCTCACACAGTGGGGACTGGGTGCCCCTCTGCCAGCTGAGACAGCCCACACACCCCAGCCCTGATGATCGTTTTCTCTACCTCTCCCCCGACTCCTCCTCCACCTCCTCCTCTCTGCATGCGCCTCAGAGCCCGTGCCAAGAGCCAGCAGTAGTCCTGAACCCAAGGTCCGTAAAAATCAGTCAACTGAAGAACACCATCAAATCTTTGGTAAGAGTCCAGTGGGGTCCCCTGAGTCCACGCTGCCAATCCTGGGCTCCAGTTTCCCCTTAGGGCCCTGAAGAAAGTGCTGGGGGCCCCTGGTGCCAAGGACAAATAGGGAGCTGGGGTGCCCAGGCCTCACCTGGAGGGACCCCAGAGCATGCAGCATGGCTCTGCTTTTGCTGCCCTCTTTGCCGACTCTCTCCTCTCCAGACACCCCTGCTCGAGTCCTTGCTACACACGCCCTGGGGTTGTTGCCTCTCGGGGAATTACTAGCCTGACTGGTTGTCAGGGGCCCTGTATTTCTGCTGTGACTCAGTTCCTAATTTGCTCTTTGATTCTGGACAAGCCACCTCTCCTTTTTGGTCTTGTGTTTCCAGAGGAGGTAGTGAGTATCAAAGGTCTCTGTTAGCTCTGAGAGTCCGAGATTTAAAGGCCCCCTAGAATAGAAACCCAGGGCCAAGGGCTCCTGTCTGTCCTTTTCCATCCTATATCTGCTGTGAAGAATCATACCTGGCCCATACATGCTCAGTACACGTTTATTGAGTGAACCCACTTTTCTAAATCACAAGCTGCCAGAAGGAGGGGCCTTTCTGAAACTCCATCTCTAGGGGTTTATGTTACTGTCCTCTCAAGAGAGTCCTGATTCAGACTTTGAGTTCTGTGGCTGTGGGCAAAAACCAACAAAGACCCAAATCCTCTGTCCTTGGGAGCTTGAAGAGAGTTTACCAGTTCATGTTCCCATTGGGTCTGAGAACTTTGCCTTTAAAATCCATTCCTGACCCCTGCCTACCGCTTCCTGTCTGGGGAATAGAGTTGAGGGGGCCACCCTCCATCACCTTAATTTGACTCTTCCCACAGAAACAACAGAAGAAACAAGTGGAACATCAGCTGGAAGAAGTAACGTGATTTCTTTATTTGCTCGCGACACGACTGCTGGGTTTGGGGGGCACTCAGACATAGAGGCCTCAGTCTCATCTCGCCCACTCCCAGCCTGGGGAAGGAGGCTCACCCCTCAGATTCCACCCCATCCCCACAGGGTCCCTGATAACCTGGTCCCATGGGTGGGCCTGTCCTGGGGCATTGGTGGCATTCTGGGGGCATGTCTCTTGCTGTGCCGTCTCTGCGTCTCCCTGGTAAGAGCTCTGTCTTCCTCTTCCTATAGGAAAAGCAAACGAGAAACAAAAAGCCAAAAGGGAGCTAGAGGTGAGTGGAGGGCGTGAAGCTTCCTCCTGTCCTCCGGGGAGAGTGTTTCTTTCCTTCTCTTTCAGCACTTGCTTGGTTTTTCTCCCAAAGGTTCAAATCCAGAGGTTGAACATACAGAAAAAGTAACTAAATACGGACCTATATGACACGAAATGTTCTCTCAGATACTTTGAAGGTAGGAATCTGGGCACCCTGTCATCCTTCAACCTGGCACTTTGACGGGTCTTCACGGGGAGTCGTTTGGGCCCCATCTCAACTCTCTCATTACTGAAGAGTCCAAGGATCTGGCGGGCTGCCTGCAATATTCATTGCAGTGTATAGGAGAGTTAGAGCGGGCTCTCTCTGCTGTCACCACCACAGAGGAGAAGGAGATCAGTGTGAGTTCAACCACTTGCCCTGTCCCCTGGGTGCCCAGCTTCACAGATGGAGGAGCGAGCCTAAAGGTCCCTTCTGCAGGTTGGAGTGTCCTGCCCAGAAGGCAGCATGGCCATTTCTCGCTGCTTTTTTGTATGGTTGTTAGAGGCAGCGTGGGGCTGAGTCAGCTGCTGTGGGTGAGTTGGGGGGCACTTTGGGGAGTGAGCACTGGACACAGAGATTGGAGGCCAAGTGCCTGCCCTGCCCTTACCTGGCTGTGGTCTCGGCCAAGTCCTAGGTGGGGTATTGGGTACTTGTACTGTGAAGGTACAGAAGAGTACCTTTAGTATGTTACCATTTCTGTAGAGAGAGGAAATGTGTGTGTGTGTGCATGTTTGTGTACATACTATGATAATATACATAAAACATGTCTGCAAGTGTTCATAAAAAATTCAGGAGAGAGCAACAGGGTGGCTGGGAGATACTTCCCTTCTGTACTTTCTGAGTTTGGGACTATGCGAATGTATCATCATTTCAAAAAGTGAACAAAAGATTAATTTTCCCCTTCCTATCTGTGCCCCCACCCCTAGCAAGAAAAATGGGTTTAGAGAATCAGATAGACCTGGGTGTTCAAATCCCAGCTCTGCCTAAGTGATCTTAGGCAAGCACTTAACCTCAAATACTCCATGTTTTTTCATCTACACAATAGAGGTCATCATAGTAACTGTCTCCTATGGTGGCGAGGATTAAATGGGATTGCTAGCATGGAACTCGTTGAAGCACTCCATAAAGGTTCAAACAGTGGTAATAATAACAGTAATAACCATAGCAATATTATCTGATCTCTCTGGGCCTCTGTTAGCCAGCTGTAAATTCGATCTCTTTCCCTGTCCCTTCCAACTTTTCTGAGTTCTTTTAAAAACCAGACCATGGGCTTGGAAATGCCTTGATCTTTACTGACCGAGTTGTATATTGAGCCTAGCCCTGGCCCTTTTAAGGGGTACTGTGTGGAATGTCCCGGCCTCCCCAGATTGGAACTTCTCACTCTTCGCCATCCAGTTCTCGAGCCGCAGCAGAGCACATACGGAGTGGGAGTTAGAGCAGTCCCTACAGGAGAAGGCACGGCTGAAGGCATAGCTAACACGGGTGAGGTTTTGCAGAGGGAGGGATGTGGAAGGAAGATGACCCCAGGTGGCCAGGAGCAGGTGAGGACCAGTGACAGCCCTTCCTAACTTCTGTGCCCATTCTTGCAGTTGAAGGAGTCGTTTCAACAAGTCCAATTACAGAGAGATAACTATGCTCAACAAATAAAAGGAGAGAGGGCCCGGTGGCAGCAGAGGATGAGAAAAATGTCGCAGGAGGTGAGATCTGACCCTTCAGCCCCCCCACATTAGATAGGTCACTGGATCTTTCTGGGCATCTGTAAAATGGGAATAGTAGAGCCAGAGGTGGTCATGGGTCTGGGCTTTGTGGAGGTGGGGGCAGAGAGGGAGAGGGCAGCCTGTCCAGCCTCCAGCCCCTCTCTCCAGGGCCCTTTCCCCCTGTGCTTTGGGCAGGTTTACACACTGAAGACAGAGAAGGAGCATTATACACATCGGGTAGAGGGGCTGGAGAGGAGCTTGTCCAAACTCAAAAACCAGATGGGTAAGATGGGGCTGGCGTGACCTGGGAGCAGGACTGGCATCAGAGGGCTGTGAGGGTGGCTTCGAATGCCCCAGGGAGGTGGGTGGATGGAAGGGAGAGGGAGGCAGAGGGAAAGAGGTCTGTGCTAGGAGACGGCAAGTCTTGTCATCTCCATGAGCCTCAGGGTCCTTATCAGCAAAGGGGGCCCATTGTCAGCCACCCACAGTTCTCTCTATCTGAAAGTGGCTTTGAAGACTGGCTACCATCCGGCTGTGAGGAATCATTAGCAGTGAGGCCAAGTTTGGGGAGCCTGAGAGGAGCTGTGTACCAAGAGGACGGTTTTTGTTTTGTTTTGTTTTGTTTGAGAATCCAGAAGCCCTTATTATCTGCTTCCTTTCTCAGCTGAACCCCTGCCTCCAGAGCCCCCAGCAGTGCCCTCTGAGGTGGAGCCGCAGCACCTGAGGAAGGAACTAGATAGAGTGGCAGGAGAGCTCCAGGTCCAGGTCAAAAACAATCAGCGCATAAGTCTCCTGAACTGGGGACAAGACGAGAGGATTCGAGAGCAGGAAGAGAGGCTTCGGAAGCAGGAGGAGAGGCTTTAGGAGCAGCATAAGAGGCTTCAGCAGCTGGCCGAGCCACAGAGCATCTTCAAGGAGCTGGTGCGTTGCCCCTCCTGGGGAGCCTGCCCTCCCAAGCCCTCTGGGCCTTTGTTTCCCCACCTCTAAAATGGGGCAGTGTAGCCCTCATGTGAAAGGTTACTTCTAAAGGCACCTGTGAGCCAGGTGGCTGTGGGAGAGAGGGGATGATTTTTCTAACCGGCCTCCAGCCTTCCCAGTGCCATGGGAGGCAGACACCAAGTTCTGGGGTCTCCAGCTGCAGTGGGTGGCTGCTGATTGCTTCTCTCTGTCCAGAACAATGAGAACAAGAGCGCACTGCAGTTGGAGCAGCAAGTAAAGGAGCTACAGGAGAAGCTTGGTGAGGTGAAGGACACGGAAACCTCCACCCCATCCAAAAAGGGCTGGGAGGCAGGCAGCAGCCTCTGGGGAGGGGAGGTACCAAGCCAGAGGCAGCTCCAGCCTGGGGGCTGGTGACCCCAGCACCATCCAGGGCAGTACTGTGACTGTTTCTTGCTTCCTGCCCTCTGACTTTTAGAGGTGGGTAGCCCTGGGCTCCTCTCAGGTCTGGACATCATCATCCCAGCTAGAGGCATGGAGCCCCCAATCACAGGGGAAGAGACAGTGCTATAACAGGCTCCTTATGCCAGCTGCAGTGGCTCACACCTGTAATCCCAGCACTTTGGGAGGCTGAGGCAGGAGAATCACTTGAGGTCGTGAGTTTGAGATCAGCCTGGCCAACATGGTAAAACCTCATGTCTACTAAAATTACAAAAATAAAAAATAAAAATTAGCAGGGCATTGTGGCGCATGCCTGTAATTCCACCTACTCTGGAGGCTGAGGCAGGAGAATCGCTTGAGCCCAGGAGGTGGAGGTTGCAGTGAGCTGAGATTGCACCACTGCACTCCAGCCTGGGCCACAGAGTGACACTCTTGTCGGAAAACAAAACAAAAAGTCTCCTTAGATTAAAACTGGATTCCAGCCTCGGTTCCACTGGTCACCATTCAAGTACTTTGCATCTCTAAGTCTCTGTTTCTTTAACTTCAAAGGGAAGTTAGCATTTTCCTTACAGAGGTGCTGAGGATTAAATGAGAAGAGGGTATGAGATTTGAGGCTGGGGAAGGAGGCATGGGGTTCTAGGAAAGGGAGGCAGTCACTTAGGCCTGGAGTAAGGGGACAGGGGCCTGGGCAGGCGACAGAGCCCCACAGTGCTGTTGCTACCCTGTTAATGGGCCCAGAATCTGGAAGCCAGCCACCACATGCCCTCACACCCAGGGTCTTCCTGCAGGTGGAGCTGAAGAGCCAAGAGGCTCAGAGTCTGCAGCAGCAGCCAGACCATTACCTGGGTCACCTGCAGCAGTACGTGGCCACCTATCAGCAGCAGGTGGCCGCCTATCAGCAGCTGACCTGTGAGAAGGAGGCGCTGTACAGGCAGTGCCTGCAACAGACCCAGCTAATGAAACAGCTGCAGCAGCAGGAAGTTTGGGGCAAAGCAGTGGCCGAGATGGCCTGCCAAAAGTTGCAGGAGACCCAGGGGAGGGAGCTGCCAAGGATGGGGCTGTGAGGGGGACGACCTGGCAAACTCCATCCCTTCTCACTCTGTCCTGGCCCCTTAGGAGCACCTGGAAGCGGCCAGCCAGCAGAACCAGCAGCTAACGGCCCAGCTGAGCCTCATGGCTCTCCCTGGGGAAGGTACGGGAGACTGCTCAGAGGAAGAGGAGAGAGCCCCAGGAGGAAGGGGGGACTGCTAGCAGCATAGGATTGAGGAGTTGGAAGAGACCTTTAGAACAGCTGGTCATTATGCCGACCGGGTGCCTGCACTAAGTTCGGCATCAGTGTGGTGACCTCCTGTGAGCGGGGGGTCACCAAGTTGCCTAAGGGTGGCTGAACTGGCCAAGGTCAGAAAGGGAGCAGGTCAGAACTCCCACATCGACCAGTAGTGGGAGTGTGCCTGGGCGGAATAGCAAGATCTTGATTCTTAAAAGTAAAAATAAAGAACAACAGCTCATTCCTCTCTGGGGAGGGGCTGGCTCAGGGTTACACAGTGAGGGTGGAGGTAGAGGTGGGCCCACAGTACCTCCCTTGTTGGGTTGTCTGAAGACCCCTCTGGCCACCCCCCACAGGACACGGAGGAGAACATCTGGACAGTGAGGGGGAGGAGGCACCTCGGCCCATGCCGAGTGTCCCAGAGGACCTGGAGAGCAGGGAGGCCATGGTGAGCCTGACTCCCCCTGCACCCATTTTGCCACCTTTCTCTGTGGTCCCTCCAAGACCCCTTTATGCTCTTCGTTTCCCTGCCTTCTGATTTCTCTGGACCCTCACCCCTTCTGGGAGCCAGTGGTCAGACACCATTTCACCTGTGACAAACGTGTACTCTCTGAGGCCCCAAGGGAAGGGCCTGCACTCCACCTCTCTGCCCCGTTTGCTCCGTGTATGCCCCTACAAGAATGCTCGCGTCTTGCCCTCAGGTGGCATTTTTCAAGTCCGCTGGAGCTAGTGCCCAGGAGAAGCAGGCACAGTTACAAGAGCAGGTGAAAGAGCAGAGGGTGTGCTGCCAGCGCCTGGCTCACCCGGTGGCCTCGGCCCAGAAGGAGCCAGAGGCAGCCAGAGGCCCTGGAGCCCCAGGGCCTGGGGGCGAGTCTGTGAGTGGGGAGACCCACCGGGCCCTGCAGGAAGTCACGGAGAAGCTGGCCCATGCCAGGACTCACCTCCGCCTTCTCCATGACTTGAAAATGCCACCTGAGGGCAGGTCGCTGCCGAGATGTGACTGCAATATTTTGGCTCCAGAGCAGCTTTATGGACCACCTGGAGGAGAAGGCAGACCTGAGTGAGCTGGTGAAGAAAAAAGAACTTTGCTTCATCCACCACTGGCGAGATAGATGCCATCAGTGAGTGGGAGGCCAGGGCACGGCAGGGGGAGCTGCAGGACCGTCGGAGGGGCCCCAGCGTCTGAGCCCTGTCCTCCCGCAGGAAAATCCATCACCTTTTATCAGAACCAGGGGGCCGTGCCAAAGATGCGGCACTGGTAGGAGGACACCATCAGGCTGGAGCTCAGGGAGGAGATGAAGGTAGGGTGTGCAACATCTCTGTGGGGGTGGGGGTGGGTGTGAGGGTGGGCGCAGGCAGCGGCATGGCAGCTGAGCACCCCTCCCTCCAGGTGAAGCTGCTGGAGCTGCAGCAGATGGTGTTGCGGCTTATAGCAACTACAACAATGGGCACAGAAAATTCCTGGCCACTGCCCAGAACCCTGCTGATGAGCCCGGTCCAGGAGCCCCAGCCCCCCAGGAGCTTGGGGCTGCAGGCAAGCATGGTGGTGAGTGGAGCCCTCAGGCGGGGTGGGCAGGCTGGAAGAGGGGGGCTCCCACTGTGCTCAGATCCCCGCCTCCCTCTCTCCAAAGATCTTTGTGAGGTGAGCCTCACCTCCTCTGCCCAAGGAGAGGCCACCTGGCCACATCCTGTTTTGTTCCATTTGTATTCCCACTTCATTTATATACATTCCTTCTTCCTCTGAATTATTTTGAAGTAAAACCTATATATCATATCATTTTTTAAATTACCTTATATGTATCTGTAGAAGACAAGGAATTTTAAAAAATGAATATACTCATAATGCCATTAAATACCAAAAAATACATTCTGAAAATAGCCACAAATTCAGAGTTTACATTTTCTTGACTTTCTCATAAGTGATTTTTTTCTAGGTTATCTATTTCAGATACCTGTTTGCTCATATTTACATTCCTAACTGAACAATGTCTGAAGAGGTACTTAAACCTGTCATAAAACACAAATGAGCTTATGACCAAATGCTTAGTGCCAGAAAAAACTTCAAACTGCAATATGAGTCTCTCCAAATACAGAAAGGACCAGTATTTTAAGAGGTGTGTTAACTAAAATGTTGCAGTGTATGGAGCAGAGCAGGAAGAACCTTTAAGTCCGAAACTTACAAGTAAATTTCATAGTTTCCGTGGTCCTTCCACAACAACCTCTGGCATCTGTTTTTTCTACAATGGAGGTAACAGTAGCTCTTTCAGAGCAGGAAAAGGCTTAGAGCAGTGCTAGAAGAGGGTGGTGGCTATATAAAGTTTAGCTATTTGTATATTGTAACAAACCACCTTTTTTTTTTTTTTAAGTCAGTAGTAGATTTCTTTTGGAAAAGTAGCCGCCTCCTGTCTAGAGATACCTGCAGTTCCACTAAGTGAACATTGGTGTCTGCTCACCTTTGCCTCTATTTCTCTCAATAATATACTCTTAAGCTGTTCCCTGATTTAGCAATTTTATACACTTTCTTTTTCTTTATTTTTTTTTCCTTTCCCTTTTCCTGAGACACTGTCCCGCTCTGTCGCCCAGTCTGGACTGCAGCAGCGCCAACATGGCTCACTGCCACCTTCACCCCCTGGCTCAAGCAATCCTCCTACATTAGCCTTCAGAGTAGCTGGGACTGCCCGCCGGGCCCACCAGGTCAGGCTAATCTTTATGGTTTTTGTTTTGTTTTTTTGTTAAGAGACCTGGTGTCGGGGTCAGGCGCAGTAACTCACGCCTGCAATCCCAGCACCCCAGAAGGTGGAGTCCGGCAGATCACCTGAGGTGAGGAGCGGGAGACCAGCCCGAGTAACATGGAGAAACCCAGTCTCTACCAAAAAAATAAAAAAATAAAAAACTAACTTGGCATGGTGGCTCACGCCTGCAATCCCAGCCACTCTGGAGGCTAAGGCAGGAGAACCACCCAAACCCGGGAGGTAGAGGCCGCGGGGAGCCGAGACCGGGCCACTGCACTCCAGCCTGGGCAACAAGAGCGAAACTCTGCCTCAAAAAAAAAAAAAAAAAAAAGACCGGTTTCACCACGTTGCCCAGGCCGGTCTGGAACTCCTAGGCTCAAGCGATCCTCAGTGCTCGGCCGTCCAAAGTCCCAGCTGGGATCACCAGCGTGAGCCACCACGCCAGGCCAATCTATTCCTTTCTGATTAATAAATTGGGCCGGTCACAGTGGCTCATGCCTGGAATCGCACCACCCCGAGAGGCTGAGGCGGGTGGATAACCTGCAGTCGGGAGTTTGAGACCAGCCTGACCAATGTGGCGAATACTCGTCTATACTAAAAAAAAAAAAAAAAAAAAATACAAAGTTAGCAGGCATGGTGGTTCACACCTGCAATTCCAGCCACTCGGGAGGCTGAGGCAGGAGAACCACCCAAACCGGGGAGGCGGAGGCCCAGTGAGCTGAGTCCACGCCACTGCACTCCAGCCTGGGCAACAAGAGCGTAACTCCACCTCAAAAAAAAAATACAAAAAAAAAAAGTGACCAGGTTTCACCGTGTTGCCCAGGCTGGTCTGGAACTCCTAGGCTCAAGCGATCTGCCGCGCTCGGCCGTCCAAATTCCTGGGGTCACAAGCATGAGCCACCACTCCAGGCCAATCTATTCCTTTCTAATTAATAAATTGGGCCAGGAATGGTGACTCAAGCCTGCAATCCCAGCACCCAGGGAGGCCGAGGCGGGCGGATCGCCTGCGGTCGGGAGTTTGAGATCAGCCTGACAAACATGAAGAAACCCCGTCTCTACCAAAAAAAAAAAAAAAAAAAAAAAAAAAAAAAAGCCGAGCATAGTGGCTCACACCTGCAATCCCAGCCACTTGGGAAGCTGAGGCAGGAGAACCAACCAAACCTGGAGGCGGAGGCCACAGGCAGCCGAGACCACGCCACTGCACTCCAGCCAGTCAGCAAGAGCGAAATTCTGTCTCAAAAAAAAAAAAAAAAGAGAAACCAAGTTTCATCATGTTGCCCAGGCCAGCCTGGAACTCCTAGGCTCAAGCGATCCCCCACGCTCAGCCATACAAATCCTGGGATCAGAATCATAAGCCACCATGCCAGGCCGATCAGTTGCTTTATGATTAATAAATTGGGCCTTGCGTGGTGACTCATGCCTGAAATCCCAGCACCCCTGGAGGCCGAGGCGGGCAGATAAGCTGAGATTAGGAGTTTGAGACTAGCCTGACCAACATGGAGAAACCCCATCTCCACCAAAAAAATAAAAAAAGAGCCGAGCATGATGGCTCACGCCTGCAATCCCAGCCACTAGGGAGGCTGTGGCAGGAGAACCACCCAAACCCGGGAGGCAGAGGCCCGGCGAGCTGAGTCCACACCACTGCACTCCAGCCTGGGCAACAAGAGCAGAACTCCGCCTCAAAAAACAAAAACAAAAACAAAAAACAAACAAAAAAAGTGACCCGGTTTCACCATGTTGCCCAGGCTGGTCTGGAACTCCTAGGCTCAAGGGATCCAACACGCTCGGCTGTCCAAATTCTTGGGATCACAAGCGTGAGCCACCACACCAGGCCAATCTATTCTTTTCTGATTAATAAATTGGGCTGGGTGCGGTGGCTCACACCTGCAATCCCAGCACCCCGGTGGCTCATGCTTACAATCCTGTAGCAGGATTTTTAAGGAATTAGAGAGACTGATGGGGTTTAGGAGGTTATTAATTAATTATTTACGTGCATTGGCCCAGTCGGATTAACATTTAAAGCACTGAGTTCTGAACAAGACTTACATTTTAAGCATTTTATGGGGTGGGGGTAGATCTGTGCAGGATGAAGCATATGATAGAAGTGAGAAACAAAGATAATTGTTCAGTTGAATCATGCATTATATTATTTTTTCCTTTTTTAGGAAAAATATATTTTGTAACTTGAGTTAGTTTAGTGACCTTGCAGTTGTACAGTTAGGGAATTAGGGTTTTTATAATGCCCGGGAAGGGAGGAGAGATAAGGCTCACTGCCATAGAAAAACAGGAGGTAGTAGTTTTTATTGAAGGACTCCAGCTCCTCTCTTTCTCAGGGGGAATTGGGTTTTTTTACATACAACTGAGTTTTTGTTTACACATTTTTTAATTTCTTTTAATTCCTGTTCCCATCCCAGCACCATGAGAGGCCGAGGCAGGCAGATAACCTGAGGTCGGGAGTTTGAGACCAGCCCCATGAACATGGAGAAGCCCCATCTCCACCAAAAAAAAAAAAAAAAAAAAATACAAAATACAAAATTAGCCGGGCATGGTGGCTCAGCCTGCAGTCCCAGCCACTCAGGAGACTGAGACAGGAATATTTTCTCCCTCCCTTAGATAAAAGATAGCATATACCATTGTGCACTTTATTTGTTTTTTGACCTGGGGTGGGGTCTCACTCTGTCACTGAGGCTGGAGTACAGTGGGGTGATCTTGGCTCACTGAAACCTCTGCCTCCTAGACTCAAGCTGTCTTCCCACCTCAGCCTCCAGGGTAGCTGGAACCACAGGTGTGTGCCACCACACCCAGCTATTTTTTTTGTATTTTTGGTAGTGACTGAGTTTTGCCATGCTGCCCAGGCTGATATCGAGCTCTTGGGTTCAGGCGATCCACCTGCCTCAGCCTCTCAGAATGTTTTCAAAGTGCTGGGAATTACAGGTGTGAGCCACTGCACCGGCCCATTTTGCACCTTTTTAAACTTCTCTCAGAGATGACTTCATATCTGTTTATAGAAATGTTCTTCATCTTTTTTTAAATTAGTACTTTGTAGTGTGGATGTACCACTTTTTTATTCAGTTAGGTTTTTTTTGACATTTGAGTGTTAGGTCTTTTTTTCTGACATTGTAAGACTAAAATATGAAAAGGAAAACTGGAAAAAATTTCAAAGAAAATTTACCTAACTGTCTTTGTGATCTTGTTGTAGGGAAACTTTTTGTAATGATTAGTATCCAGGATATGAAAAATAGCCTAATAATGAAAAGGAAAACTTAAGACAAAATGGGCATAGGATGTGAAGAGTTACTTTACAGAGGAAGAAATTGGAATGGTCAGTAAACGTGGGAAAAGATACTTGAACCAGAAACTCATGGATAAATTGAAAGTTAAAATGACTATTCTGTCATCTTCAGAGTGGCAAAAATATAAGTCTGACAGAATTGCTGGCAGAGATATGGGCCAGTGGAAACTCAGCTAGGTAAAGTGGAGCGCAATTTTATAATCTCTAATGAAGTTGAAGATGCACATACCTGAGCAAAAAAATACATGTGTACAAAGAAATTTGGAATAACTGTTTATCACAGTAGTGTTTGCAGTAATACAAGATGATGCAGAATGTAAGTTAACCAACAAGAGATTGGATAATTAAACTCATATCCATGTGGTGGAATATTATACAGCAATTAAACATGAACATACTAGATTAAAAAGAATTAACATGGGTAAATCTCATGAAGAAAACTTTGGGTAAAAAAGGCAAGCTGCAGAAGGATATGGGCAATATAATAACATATGTGAGTAGTTCATTTCCATATTTATGTTGTTTCAATGTTTAAAAAAAAAAAGAGTTATTGGCCGGGCGCGAAGGCTCACGCCTGTAATCCTAGCACTTTGGGAGGCTGAGGTGTATCGGGCAAAATTCACCCCCGATATTTCACATGGGTTCTTTTCTATTTTCCCCAAGTGTCGGCCAGTCTGAGAAATAAAGGGAAAGAGTACAAAAGAGAAATTTTAAAGCTGGGTGTCCGGAGGAGACATCACATGTGGGCAGGTTCCGTGATGCCCCCTGATCCGTAAAACCGGCAAGTTTTTATTAGCAATTTTCAAAAGGGGAGGGAGTGTACGAATAGGGTGTGGGTCACAGAGATCACATGCTTCACAAGGTAATAAAATATCACAAGGCAAGTGGAGGCAGGGCGAGATCACAGGACCACAGGACTGGGGCGAAATTAAAATTGCTAATGAAGTTTCAGACACGCGTTGTCATTGATAACATCTTATCAGGAAACAGGGTTTGAGAGCAGACAACTGGTCTGACCAAAATTTATTAGGCAGGAATTTCCTCATCCTAATAAGACTGGGAGCGCTATGGGAGACCGGGGCTTATTTCTTCCCTCTGCTGTGACTGTAAAAGACAGCCGTCCCCAAAGTGGCCATTTCAGAGGCCTCCCCTCAGGGACGCATTCTCTTTCTCAGGGATGTTCCTTGCTGAGAAAAAGAACTCAATGATATGTCTCCCATTTGCTTTTGAAAGAAGAGAAATATGGCTCTGTTCTGCCTGGCTCACTGGTAGTCAGAGTTTAAGGTTATCTCTCTTGTTCCCTGAACATTGCTGTTATCCTGTTGTTTTTTCAAGGTGCCCAGATTTCATATTGTTCAAACACACATGCTCTACAAACAATTTGTGCAGTTAACACAATCATCACAGGGTCCTGAGGTGACATACATCCTCCTCAGCTTACGAAGATGACGGGATTAAGAGATTAAAGTAAAGACAGGCATAGGAAATCACAAGGGTATTGATTGAGGAAGTGATAAGTGTCCATGAAATCTTCACAATTTATGTTCAGAGACTGCAGTAAAGACAGGCGTAAGAAATTATAAAAGTATTAATTTGGGGAACTAATAAATCTCCATGAAATCTTCACAATTTATGTTCTTCTGCCATGGCTTCAGCCGGTCCCTCCGTTCGGGGTCCCTGACTTCCTGCAACAGAGGTAGGTGGATCACCTGAGGTCAGGAGTTTGAGACCAGCCTGGCCAACATGGTGAAACCTCATTTTGGGGTGTGGTGGTGCACGCCTGTAATCCCATCTACTCGGTAGGCTGAGGCAGGATAATCACTTGAACCGGGGAGGCGGAGGTTGCAGTGAGCCCAGATTGCAACACTGTACTCCAGCCTGGGTGACAGAGCAAGACTCTGTCACCAAAAAAAAAAAAAAAAAATCTCTTAGTTTCTGATGGTTTTCCTGACCATATATGTGATGCCGAAGTTGCTTTTTTGTTGTCACACCTATTGGCATCAAGTGCTGAACTTTTCATGGAGTGGCAATTTTTTGGTAATAAAGCAACTTTCAAAATGAGTCTAAGTTTATCTCTGGAAAAGTTTGAAAGAATCAGTGAAGGTTCTTTTAGACAGTACCCATGTTCTACAGATCAGCCATTCTCTCTCTGTCTCTCAAATTTTCAGTAAACCTTTCCACATAGGATGTCAGCACGATTTTATTAATACATTAAATATATGTAAAATAAGGCAAATTAAGACACAACTCCATCAACTCTCATCTACTCTGGGCTTATTTCTCTTCATAGTACATAACACCATCTACGTCATATGCTTATTGTCTGTTTCTATTAGAGCAGGGTATTTTTGTTAGTGCTGTTAGTGTGCTCAGCATATACAGCAGCACTTGGCAGACAGTAGGTGCTGAATGAAAGAATGAAGAAGAACAGAACTCATTTTACTAAAGACATTTTGATATCACTTTTGGGATAGGATACTATACATTAAAGATGATACAGTGTTTATTCCAGAATGGTCTTAGCTACAGTGTTCACAGCACAGTATTTGTATACTTAACGCTGTTATCCATTCTACCTTCCTTTGAGGTTGGCATGAGAGTTGCCCGTCAGCGTATGTGTGCTCTTAGAAATCGGGGACAATACTATTCATTTTAAGCTTCTTGGCAGTGACGTGTACTTAACTAGATGGTGAACTCATAGGTGGAGGGGGAGTATCTAATGCTTTCGTATTCTGCTTTTCAGCAAATAAATATTACCGTACTGTGTGTGTAACATGAGCTATATAAGTGTGTGATGATTAAATTAGAAGATAGGGTTCTCTGCAATCCAGTTTTCCAAGATAAATTTTTGCCTTGTTTTTCTTAGGTAATAAAGGTACCATATTGACTGTTGATATATGCCTACTTAGTCATGCTTCTCTTGCAGTAATCTTATCAAATTGCCAGCTTTTTACTTTTTTAGAGAGACAGTCCTAGAATTGAGAATCCTCTTTTGCCTACATTCAAAATAGACTATATTACGTGGGTAGGAAATTTCTGGTGACCTACTTTTAATTTTTAAATTTAAAAAAATTTTAGCATAGTTTTAGATTTAGAAAATAGTTGCAAAGGTGGTATAGAGAGTTTCTGTGTACCACACAGGCACCCAGTTTCCCCTGTTGCTAACATCTTACATGATTATGGTATATTTGTCACAACTAACAAATCAATATTGATATATTATAACTAAACTGCATACTTTTAGGGGTAGTGACCCAGTTTTAAAGCTTATTTCCCACAATTTGTTAAAAATGACAATCAGCATTGAATGCCCATGGGTGGTGGCTTCCTGATTCTTCAAAGAAACTGAGTAATTTTGTAACCATTGGGACTTATCAGGAAATAAGGAACTCATAATAATGTGCGCTTAAATTTCCAGTGGAGGAATTGTACAGCTTAAAATATGTTTTTGTAAGTTGGGTATTAATAAAGAGGCTGGGTGGGGTTTGATCACTATTAATTCTGATTTATTTTGTTCCCTGGAAAATATGTTACTACCACATGGTCTACCCTTCATAGATAATCAATCCTAAGATCACTGGGTGGAAAAGGGTTGCCCTGTAGTAGGAAATGTGTCCTCCTGGGACTGAGTTGAGATTTAGTTTAGCACACAGTATAAGTAGCCAATGGCTGCTATGAGACTGACTTCTAGAATTCAAATTGGTATAAATTTAATCTAATTCTTTTCCCCAGGACTGCCCAATTTAAGATTAAGTTTTAAACTGGCGCTTATTAGAGATATGGCCATTTTGCCATTTCAGTGGAACCTTTTAATCAGCTTTAATGCTGTCTTAGGTAAAGTAAAAACTTAATCTAAGGGCTTTTCTAGTTTGCCATCCTCAAAGCAGAAAAAGCAGCAATGAAGCAGCACTGCCTCATATAGACTCTGCTTTTATTAAATTTGATTCAATAATCCTCTTCCAGTCATCTTTTGTGCTGCATATTTGAACCATAAAATAAACAAAAATTGTACCCAAATGAAAATTTCAAGTTATTTTAATGAAGCTCTGGAAACATCCCACAGCTCAGAAGATATTTTTTCCTAGTTTATTTTTTAAATTCTGGAAAGTAGGTCAGTAGACATACCCTGCTTTAATTGGTTTAATTAGAAGTGAAAAATTATAGGACTAACTCAATTTGAAGTATAGATTTCAATAAGAAGAATTATACTGGGATGAATATTATTTAAGGTTTTGAATTTAAGATGCATTTAATCAATGCTTATAATTTCCTCTTGAAAAGATTTATATTGCAAAAAGGAAGACTAAGTGTTGGAATATATCAATATACAGGGAAAAACTTTGCCATGAAATATAATATTTGATAAAATCATTTTAGAATTGTATCTCTAAATGGTATGCCTAAGAATATTGTTCTATAGGACCTTAATAGATATGCCTCGGGGGAAAAAAGTATTGTGTGCTCAAGTGAGTTTGAGATATACTGCATTAAATATAAGAAGTTGCCTTCAGGACTTCTCAGAGTCTTTAACACTTTCTGAATTTCTGAGACAAGATATATAGAGGGTACAGTACTTTGCAAACCTATTTATCCCTATACCACCTAGTAACATTTTTCAGGAAAATGTTTTGAGAACACGAATTGGACCTGTTTTAGGAATTTATACCTTTGACAATGTTGAGGACCTTGTTTTTTCCTATTATAATGATGATGTGATATTCACATATATTACTTTTTCCCAATTCTTTATCTTTAAGATATTTTTCCAATGTATTATATTCAACCCTCTGCTCAGTGCCTTCCTTCTGCTAACTGAAGTGGTGGTTTCCATCTGTTGCTACACATCAGAAATACCTGGCCCTGACCCTGGAGATTCTGTAAGAATAGAAATGCCAGAATACCTGCTCAGGATTCTGTATTTATTACAAACACCCAGGTGATTCTGATGCAGCCAACACTGGTCCTCCAACTGATGCTTTGGAATTGTTGAACTAAAAGCATGCCTTTTTTTCTAGATGGATGAGTAGATTGGGGCATAGTTTGTGGTCCTAGAACACATGGGTTAACCATCCATCCTAGTGAGAATGATAGCACAGGCCTCTGATGACCCCACGAGGTGCTGTGCTGGCTATAACCTAACATGAAACTATTATTATTCTTTAAGAAAAGCAGAATATGTCTAAATGGGCTTTTAGCCACCTTCCTAATAATGAAGTACCATATATATGATTACCATTTGTTTTAATTTCAAGTAATTCCCTTGTAGATGAGGTTTTATTTATTTATTTATTTGTGTGTTTGTTTGTTTGAGACGGAGTCTCGCTCTTTTGCCCAGGCCGGAGTGCAGTGGCGTGATCTCGGCTCACTGCAAGCTCCACCTCCTGGGTTCACGCCATTCTCCTGCCTCAGCCTCCCGAGTAGCTGGGACTACAGGCGCCCGCCACCATGCCCAGATAATTTTTTGTATTTTTGGTAGAGACGGGGTTTCACTGTGTTAGCCAGGATGGTCTGGATCTCCTGACCTCGTGATCCGCCCGCCTTGGCCTCCCAAAGTGCTGGGATTACAGGCGTGAGCCACCGTGCCCGGCCTGTTCTTTAAAAAGAATATTAGATTATATTTTCTAAATGTGCCAAGTATCTAAGAATATATTCTTTCACCTCCTGCTGATAAGAGTTATACATTTAACCTTAAGCAAATCTGCCAAGATTCTATGTCATTTATGCTTTGATTTATGTGAGTATTAATGTAGTTTCTGTGACTATTGTATGGTTATATATACCCTCCACCTAGTAAAACAGTTCCATATTCCTGGAAATGGTCTTTTACATCCCACAAATGTAGCTGGAAAGGAATAATATAAATACTAATGGTTTGAGAGACAACTAGTCTTGACATGTCTTGGTTGAATAGTGTTCTATAAGCAACAATATATGAAATACTAGACACACCCATTAAAAGTAGAAAATACCCACTACTGTTCTAAAATTATTCTGCAAGATCTCACCAATGCAATGAGACATAAAACAGAAATAATGGGTGTAATTATTGAAAATTGGAGATAAAATTTTTATTACTTGCAAACAAAATTCTCTGTGTCAAAAACCTGATAAATTAAACAATACAATTAATATGTTTAATAGAACTAATTACATATGAGAGGCATCCAAAATCCATTTTTTCTATACAAACATGGTTTGATATACACAGTCTTGTTTTATCTGTGTATTAATTGGTTGATGAAATAATAAATGGAAAAATCAAGTATGCATTATCAGGTTAAAGAAGCAGGAGAGACAGAGCCATAAAAACAAAGAGAGAAGAATGTTGTAAGGAGGGCTTAACGACCAGGATAAATGTTGTAGAGAGATCAATTAAAGTGATGGCCTAGAGATCACAGGCTTCCTTTGGCAGAGCCATGTTGGTGAAGTGAAGGAAGTGGAAGCCAGACCACAATGGTTGAAGAATGAATGTAATGTAAGAGCCAAGACATTTATTTGAGTTTGATAGTAATGAAAAAGGACGAGAATTTTCTTCTTGCTGTTGTTTTTGTCATTTCATGTTCAAAACCCTTTATCTCCCATGTGGGACTGAAAACTCCAAGATGGGATCTCTGTTTCTGTGAGGCCTGTAGTGCTTAGTACATCCTTGAATGTGTGAGGCTCTCATTGGTATAAGTTTAATTCCTGACTGTGGATGAAAGCTTTAAAACTTTGCGGGCAAAATACAGAATGAATTTCAGTGAGTTCCCATGTATTAAACAAGGTGGCGCTGGCTGGAGACATGCTGTCCCTGTGCCCACAGGAGTAGCAGTGCTGTGCTCATCTTCCTGACCCGCTCTTCACAGTCTTCACCGCCTTTCTTCAGGAGTCTCCCCTTTGGCTTTTCCACAGCTATGAAACCCACGTAGTCGGACACCCTGATGCTTCTCCTGCAGGGCGTGTGATGAGGAGGTGAGCTTGGCTTTGGAGTGCTGGGAACCTGAGGAATTGCCAAGGACCCAGAGCCCAGCCCTGACCACCCAGAGAGCCCAAAACACAATGAACAAATTGAATTTCCACAACAGAGTCATGCAAGACCGCCGCAGCGTGTGCATTTTCCTTCCCAATGATGAATCTCTGAACATCATCATAAATGTGAGTAGATCTCAATATAATTCTGATAGCTGGAGGATAGTGTATTTTCAGGTTTGCTGGAGGAAAAAAACTGGACTTTAAATAATTAAGACAAAATGATTGTATTAATTGACTTCTATGCTTAATCACTAATTTCACTTTTTATATTTCCCTTGACTTTTGGGGGAGAAATAGTCTTTGTCTCAAAAGTGGGCTTCAGTGACCTATGGGTCTGATGAAGCAACCAGGGATAATGAGACAAGGATATTTAATGGCAACATGCCAGCAATTATTATTAGTTAATTGAAAGCGTTTATGATTTTGGCCTGGGGCCAATGCTTTCCCCCTCTGCTGGGCTAACATGTGGGTAAGGGAGAGGAAAAGCTTTGTTTGACTTTTTAAATAAAAGTATTACGTAACTTTGAAATTTGTATAAAATTAAAAGATAGTAAAAACAACTATTCTAACAGAATTCAAAACCTGTTATGCTTCAGTGGAGAGATTATTCAAGATAAGTCCGTGGGAAATTGGGAGTACATTTCTACTGGCAAAGTTAGTGATAACTATGCACTTCTGACAAAATGTGAAATGGGGGGTATGGGCGTGTCATATCATCATGGTGCAGATACGTGGATGTGTGCTTCCAAACAATGGCAACCTAACTGACTGCTGGAACCATACAAAATACCTGAAACTACTCAGAAAGAAGGTGAAAATTGCATGCAAAAATTATTTGAAAAATATTGAGCTAACACAACATGAATTTTGAATTATAAGTGAGGTATTGTAACTCACCTACAGATGTGTTTTTTGTAATCAATATTCATGGACTCAGACTACACAGTAAAAGCTTACATAGAAATCATTCTATCTAAACTTTCTGGATATGAAAGTAACTTACTATGTGTTTTGCTACTATATCTTTATATGAATTTAAATCACATTTCCAAGTGGCTTACAGTAATCAAGGTTAATTTGTCACAAGGAAGATGCAAATTAAAACCACATTGCAATATCACTGCACACCCACTAGTACGGTTTAAAAGAAAAAAAAACAAAATATCAAGTATTGGTGAAAATGTGGAGCAAACAGAACTCTTTTTCAATAATGGCGGGTATGTAAAGTGGCACAAACACTTTGGAAACCTGTTTGGCATTATACTGTACTAAACCTGAACACATGCATTGTTTATGACCCAGGAATGCCCCTCCTGGGAACCAACAACAACGCATATATGTGTTGCATATGTTCACCAAAAGACATTTACAAGAATGTTCATAGCAGCACTATTTGAAATCGCCCCCAAGTAGAAGATGCACAAATATTTAACAGTAGTTAGATAAAGTGTGGTACGTTTATGCAATATAATACCATATAGAAACGAGAGTGAGGGATCTGCAAACTAATATGCAACTGTACAAATGAATCCCACAAATATAATGTTGGGTGGCAGAAGCCAGATGCAAATGAATACATGCTGTAGATTTCATTCTTTTACATTAAAAAAGCTAGTCACACAAAGTTATGCTGTTAGAAGAGAGTGATTTGGTCGGGCGCAGGGGTAGTTACAGGAAGGGAGTACACGGAGATTTCTGGTTGTTAGTTATGTTCAGTGTCAATCTAGGTGCTAAACAGGTACAATAAAGATTTTAGAATTCATCAATTTGCACACTTATGATAGATGCACTTTCCTGTATGTATATTTCAATACAATCTTTTAAAAAGTAAAATGACAAAAAGACACTATTAACAAAAATGACATATTACATTAACTGTTATACTAAGGAAAATATAAAAATGAGTTCTATAACAGGGGCTCTGCAGGTCATGTGGTCATGCCAAGGACCATATGTGCTCAAGATTCTCATGACATTTTGGAAGGAGGTTGGGCTTTCTTTATCTTTCCTTTCTTCTCTCCCTTCCCTTCCCTTCCCTATTTTTAAACCTAGGTTTGGTATTTTCCTGGGGTGATGGTGACTTTGGAAAATTGGGCCGGGGCGGAAGTGAAGGCTGCAACATTCCCCAGAACATTGAGAGACTAAATGGACAGGGGGTGTGCCAGATTGAGTGTGGAGCTCAGTTCCTACTGGCGCTCACCAAGTCTGGAGTGGTGTGGACATGGTACGTAAACGTCCTCCCCATCACAGTGTGCGTGCTTGTGCCGGTGCGTGCAGGGAACTTGGGCCTCGCCCCAGGACCACCCCGGCATGATTGTGACCTGTCATATTTTTACTTATGCATGCATCTTTGTCCTTTAAAGGATATTGAGTCGGGATTAGTGACAATAGTACAAGAAGAAATTTCCTATTGTAACTGGGTCATTTTGAAAATACTAGAAAAATTTTAGGCCACTTACCTTTCCTGTTTGGGCGAGATTTATAGGAAGTGTTTCTTCTGCTGAAGCCTAAGGATAAAATGAGAGCAAAATAGCCTTCTGAATCCTTTGATCCTGAGAAAGTTAACATGTATTTCTTGTTAAAGCTTATTATATTAATGTGCAAAAGAGCAGGTGCCCAGACTGGCCTTGGATGCTGTGTCAGGCCTTGCTGCCTCTGGTCATAACATTGGCACTATTTATTTATTTATTTATTTATTTATTTATTTATTTATTTATTTATTTGAGATGGAGTCTCGCTCTATCGCCCAGGCTGGAATGCAGTGGCACAATCTCAGCTCATTGCAAGCTCCGCCTCCGGGGTTCACACCATTCTCCTGCCTCAGCCTCCCGAGTAGCTGGGACTACAGGTGTCTGCCACCATGCCCGGCTAATTTTTTTGTATTTTTAGTAGAGATGGGGTTTCACCGTGTTAGCCAGGATGGTCTCAATCTCCTGACCTCGTGATCCACCCACCTCAGCCTCCCAAAGTGCTGGGATTACAGGCGTGAACCACCGCGACTGGCCAACATTGGCACTTTAAGAAAGATGTATACCAGATAGGACTTTGGATAGGTGTTTGCAGTAGTGTGTCTTATTTTCAGTCTATATGAAAACCTACAACAGTAACTTAAATATTGTAGAACATGTATTAAGGTATTAAGGTTTTTCCCAGCTGACTTAATAAGTTAATTTGAATTAATGGTGTATGATTTTGAATACAAGTTCGAAGACCTTGGGTGCTGTGTGTGATGTCATTGAGCTGGCTGTGAAAGATGTGAGACAATGAGTGTCTTCTTGTATCGCATGGTAAGACCATAACCGTATTGTAACACTCCACCACGGGCCTCCTCTCAGGGGAAAGGGGGATTACTTCAGGTTGGGCCACCGCTCTGACGTGCACGTTCGGAAGCCGCAGGTGGTGGAAGGGCTGAGAGGGAAGAAGATCGTGCATGTGGCTGTCGGGGCCCAGCATTGCCTGGCGGTCATGGACTCAGGGCAGGTAAGGCTGCAGGTGGCCTGGGGGTGGCGTGCCATCCTGACTTGGGGGACTTGGGGGTCACGACACGGCCCTCGTCCTGTTGAAATCGCAGCTGTTGATGAACTCAGCCGAGTCTTACTGCTTGAAGAACCATGGGGGCGGGACCCGTCCCTTTTGCCCGCTGGTGCATCTGCCTGCTTAGCAGCAGGGGTTGGGGGCGGGGTCCTCAGAAAAGAGGCGTTCCCACTCTGAAGTCCACGTGAAAAGTGTGTGGAAAGATTGTTATTCTTTTTATTATTATTTTTTTTTTGAGACAGAGTCTCGCTTTGTCGCCCAGGCTGGAGTGCAGTGGCGCGATCTCGGCTCACTGCAAGCTCCGCCTCCTGGGTTCACGCCATTCTCCTGCTTCAGCCTCCCGAGTAGCTGGGACTACAGGTGCCTGCCATCGCTACCAGCTAATTTTTTGTATTTTTAGTAGAGACAGGGTTTCACCGTGGTCTCGATCTCCTGACCTCGTGATCCACCCGCCTCGGCCTCCCAAAGTGCTGGGATTACAGGAGTGAGCCACCGTGCCCGGCCAAAAGATTGTTATTCTTGAAGATGCTCCTACTGCAAGGTATTAGCAAGACTTTGCTTTAGAGAATTGCTAACTGGCAGGAGGGATCCATGCCTCATTTTAGAGACAGAGCTGGTGCCTGACAAGTGTTACACTCTCTTCTGCTTGGAGAAGCATACGCTATGACCGGCCTGTGGATATTCAATTTAAAATTTTATTTATGAAAACAAAATTACCATTACTGTTTTTTTAGTCAAAATGAATTATACTTTATAATTCTATAAGGCCAAGGAGCAACTTACTTGAAAAATGAGCATATTATTTTTGGTCATTTTTCTTTGCAAAGTAAAAGGGAAAAAATTATTGCACTTTTTTGAAGAGAAGACCTTCTGTGTGTCTTGCAACAAAACAGAATTAATTGGATTAATATTAAGAAAATACTCTTTTTATGGTTATTGGCAAGCATTTTCATGGTTAGATTTTCTTCAGAATTGTAGTACACTGATGCCATTTTGTAAGATTGTGAAATGGTTTGTTTTTACTTTTCAGAACTCAATTCTTTCAACTACCATGGCATACACGTTAAGCATTTTGAAGTAAAAATTACATTAAAGAAAATGTCCTGAAATGTTGAAAAATTATAAGCATTTTTCCCCTCATAAACAGGTGTATGCTTGGGGTGACAATGACCACGGCCAGCAGGGCAATGGCACGACCACGGTTAACAGGAAGCCCACGCTCGTGCAAGGCTTAGAAGGCCAGAAGATCACACGCGTGGCTTGTGGGTCGTCCCACAGTGTGGCGTGGACAACTATGGATGTGGCCACGCCCTCTGTCCACGAGCCCGTCCTCTTCCAGACTGCAAGGGACCCTTTAGGTGCTTCCTATTTAGGTAACACAGATTTGCATCTTCTCTGAGATTTTCCAGTAGGTTACAGCAACCTTATATTTATTTAATTGTGCCAACACATTAGAGGTTGTAGTGCCGTGTTAACTACATTATGAATCTAAAGACACAGAAGAATTATGGTGTGCGCTCATGCGATTTATGCTGCTGGAATGAAAATTTTAGAAGAAAGTATGTTGCTGATTCTTGTATTTATGATCAGGTAAACTCACAGCGCTGTCCTTCTGTGTAAACAGGACTCCTAATAACTGCCTGAGAGATACAGGCACTGTACTGGGCTCTTTTGTATTTTTTAACAGCTTTATTCAGTTATAATTGACATATAATAAACTGCACCTATTTAAAGTATGCATTTTGATTGACTTTGGAATATGTATGATCCATGAAAGCATCAGCACAATCAAAGATAATGAACTCATACACTACCCCAGCGTTCCTCTCTGGCCCTCTGTACCCCTCCCTTTTGCTTTTAACTCCCTCCTTCCTGCCGTATGCACCAATTCTGTCACTAGAGATCAGTTTGCATGTTTTCTTTTTTGTTGTTGTTGTTGTTTTGTTGGGTGTTTTGTTTATTTGTTTGTTTTCTTTTTTTTTGTAGACCGGGTCTCACTCTGTCGCCCAGGCTGGAGTGCAGTGGCATGATCTCGGCTCACTGCAGCTTCCACCTCCTGGGCTCAAGTGATCCTCCCACCTTAGCCTCCCAAATAGCTGGGACTACAGGCACATGTCACCATGCCTGGCTAATTTTTGTTTGTTTGGTGGAGACATGGTTTTGCCATGTTGCTCAGGTTGGTCTGGAACTCCTGAGCTCAAGTGATCCTCCCACCTCGGCCTCCCAAAGTGCTGGGATCATAGGCAGGAGCCACTGTGGCAGGCCAGTTTGCATGTTTTACAGCTTACTATAAATGGACTCATACAGCATATACTCTTTTTAAAAATCTTACTTTTTCCACTCAGCATAATAATTTTGGGATTCACTTATGTTGCATGTATCAATAGTTTATTCTTTTAAATTGTTGAATAGTATCTTAAGATAAACAAATGCAATTTGTTTATCCATTTTTCTGTTGATGAATGTTTGGGCTGTTTCCAGTTTTTGACTATACAAGTGAAATTGCTAATGGACATTTCCGTACAAGTTTGTGTATGGACATCCACTTGAAATTCTCTTGGGTAAACTTCTAAGAGAGGAGTGGTTGGATCATATGGTAGGTGTATGTCTAGCTTCTTAAGATCACTACATACTGTTTTGCAAAGTGGATGTTCCAGAGGTCCAGATCCTCCACATTTTTGTCAACCCTTGATACGTTCAGTCTTTAATTTTAGTTATATTGACAGATGTATAGTGGTATCTCGTTGTGGTTTTAATCTGCATTTCCCTAATAACTAATGATCTCAAGCATCTTGCTTATTTACAAATCAGATACCTTTTTTGGTGAATGTCTGTTCAAGTCTTTTCCTATATTTAAATAGGTTGATTGTTTTCTTACTGAGTTTGAGAATTCCTTATATATTCTGGGTTACAAGTCCTTTGCCTAATATAGAATTTGCTAATATTTTCTGGCAATGTGGCTTGTCATTTTATTCTCTTCACAGGTGAATCTTAAAGATTAGAAGTTTTTAATTTTGATGAAGCCTAGTTTATTCATTTTATTCTTTTGTAGAGTGTACTTTTGATGTTGTGTCTACAAAACCTTTGCCTCAAGATTATAAAGATTCTCCTTCTATGTTCTGTTATAGAAGTTTTATAGTTTTAGATATGTGTATCTATGACCAGTTGATTAAATTTTATATATGGTGGGAGGTTCAGATTGAAAGGCTTTTTTGGGCATGATTGTCCAGTTGTTTCAGTTGTATTTGTTGAAAAACTATGCTTTTCCTAATGAATTGCCTTTTGCCTTTGTCAGAAATCAGTTGTCTGTAGATGTACGGATCTATTTCTGGACTCCCAGTATGTTTCATTGATTTATTCGTGTATTTTGTTGGCAATGCCACATTGTCTTGATTACTACAGCTTTATAAAAGGCTTGAACTCAGGTTGCAACAGTTTTTTAGCTTTGTTCTTTTTCAAATATATTTTGGCTGTTGCAGGCCCTTTGCATTTCCATATGACTTAAAATGAGCTTGTCAGTTTTTATAAAACCGCTTGCTTGGGAATTTGATATGGATTGCATTAACTCTGTAAGTCAATGTGAAAGGATGGATTCACAGTATTCAGTCTTCTAACCCATGAACATAGTGTTTCTCTTTATTTGTTAGGTGTTTAGTTTCTCTCAGCAATGTTTTCTAGTCCCAGTGTTGTATAGGTCTTGTATATCTTCTGTTAGATTATCTCTAAGAATTTCAGATTATTAAATGGTCTCTAAAAATATCATTTCTTCTACTGTATGGGAATATTCACATTGCTCCTTGCTAGCATGTAGAAATAAATACAATTTTTTTTTAAAGTGAACCTCATCTTGTCATACAAATATTTTGTTTTTTCCCCTTATCTCTCAGGAGGGGACATTTAGGCTCCAGCAGCATCTGCTTTTATGAAAAACTGGAATGTGACTTTCTGGCTGTGTTAGTTACTGGCTGTAAGAACTGGGGCGAGTAGCTTCGCCTTCCTGTGCTGTCTTTTCTGGGGTAGATGAAGATAAGGCTTGACTCTCCTCTTCTCCTTTCTGGTTCAAATTACTCAGTATCTTCTTAACATATAGCTCTTTTCATGTCACATTATGGTATAACTTTTGAGTTTGGCTTTTTCCACTCAGCCTAATCCTCTGGCAATTCATCCAAGTTGTTACATATTACGTAGTATGTTCAGTATTCCATCGAATACTCAATCATCGAAGGACATCTGGATTATTTCTAGGTTTTGGCTGTTACAAATAAAACTGCCATGTCATTCATACACAGGTGAATGTGAAAATTCACTTTTTGTGAAAATAAATTCTTATTTCCTTGACATAAATGCCCAAGAGTGTGATTGCTGGTCACGTGGTAATTATGTTTAGTTTGACAAGAAACTGCTCAACTGTTTTCCAGAATCGCTGTGCCATTTTATATTCTCATTAGCAGTGGAGGATGATCCAGTTTTTCCCATATCCTCACTATCTTTTTAAAATGTAGCCATACTGATAGATAGGTCATTGTATCTCATTGTGGTTTTAATATTTTCCTTATGGCTAATTATGTTAACCATCTTTTCATGTGCTTATTTACTGTCCATATCTCCTCTTTGGTAAAATATGTCTTCATGCCCTTTTCTAATTGGCTTTTTTTTTCTGTTGAGTTTAGAGAGTTCATTATATATTCTAGATGTTTCTAGTCCTTTGGCAGACATGTGTTATGCAAATGTTTTCTCCTGGTCTGTAGCTTGTCTTTTCATTTCCTTTCATTAAAAAAATGCTTAATTTTGATGAAGTCTAATTCATCAGTTTTTTCTTTTATAGATCATACTTTTGGTGTCAAGTCTATACTTTTGCCTAGTGCTAGATCCTAAAGACTGTCTCCTATTCTTTTCTAAAAGATTTATAGTTTTGTATTTTCTACTTAAGTCATGATCCATTTGGATTTAATTTTGCATAAGGTGTAGACTTAGGCTGAAGTTTGGGTTTTTTGCCCACAGACGTCCAGTTGCTCCACCACCACGTGCTGAAAGGCTGTCCTGCCTCCACTGAGTTGCTTTTGCCCATTTGTCAACAGTCAGTGAGGCATATTTGTGTGGTTCTATTTCTGCGTTCTCTGTTTATTCCTTTGATTCTTATGCCAGTACCACACAGTTTTGATTATGGTATTACAACAACTTTTGAAATTGGGTAGACTCGTTCCTCCTTCTTATTTTTCTATTTCTATTCTTGCTCCTTTGCCTTTCCATATACATTTTAGAATAATCTTGTCTCTTGACAAAAACTCTTGCTGGAATTCTGGTAGGAATTGCATTAAATCTGTGTATCAGTTTGGATGAGTTGACATAGACACATGTCCCAGCTCCACCTGGCTCCCTCCCTCTACTGAGACCTGGGAGTTCGCAGGGAAGTGAGCCTGATGGGACTTTATTGGTGAACATCTTCTCTCTTTGTTGTTTTGTATTCTTTTTTCATCTTGCCTTACCAGGGTAAGAAAATACAGGTAGTTATTGCAGCATTTTCATAGCTTATATGTATATAACATAAACGGTTGTAAGTGCATTTTATAAAAGCACCTACATCTTTTTGCAGTTACAGTTAAACTTTGCTGAAAATAGCTTCTTTATCGAAGTATGGATAAGTGGTTTTCTTATTCTGAAGGCCTGTTAATGAGCCTAATATGTGCCCTGTGAAATAGCAAAATGCAGATTGCAGTGTGTTTTGGAACTAACCTATAAGGTCAGATATTATAGAAATAGAGCAAACTGTGATCTTAAAAACAAAATGCAAATTTTATTTTCCTGTTATAGGCGTGCCTTCAGATGTCAATTCTTCTGCTGCCAGTAATAAAATAAGTGGTGCAAGTAATTCTAAGCCATATCACCCTTCTCTTGCCAAGATTCTCTTGTCATTGGATGGAAACCTGGCCAAACAGCAGGCCTTATCGCATATTCTTACAGCATTGCAAATCATGTATGCCAGGTAGGTTTCTGTGCTAATTTTTGAAATTCTGCAATTATGTGAGCTTCAGGTTTTTGTGATTTTTTTTTCATTGATCAGATGTCTCCAAGAATGTTGTATTGTTGTCTTTAAATGCTGTGTGTTGTAAGTCACGTGTTCTTTGATGGTGATTGATATCTTTGTGCATGTTTTAATAGGCATTGAAATATGAATTAGAAAACTAACTTGAACATTTTCACTATTCTTTTTGACCAGTAGACTCTAACCATTAATATTTGGGGGAAGAAAAGAATTAGGTGATACTAATTTATAGTGATGTCTAAGACGACTTAGCGTCCCCTTCACTCACTTTGAGAAGGCTGTTTTGCCAATGCAGCATTTTGCAGTATTTTTCTGCTGCTTTCCCACAGCCTAGATAAGTTGCCCATCTGCTAATGTATCACACATGTGGACCTGACAGGTGTCCTTACATAGGAAAATTAGTTTCAGAACAAAAACATTCAGTAGAGGCTATTGAGTCCTTGCTGCTCAGTATGTGGCTTTCAGTAAACACAAAATTGCCTGCTGGTCAATTATCCAGCCCTCAGGCTCTCACAGCAGCCCAAGAGGATTTCTTTCTCAGGGAGAGCCAGAGTCTCATTCTGGTCTGGTTTTTATGTTTGGCAGTTTTTCACCTGTCATTACTCTGGTTTTTCAAATAAATAGGATCCAGAGTAAACATTTTAGCTATTAGCCAAAGGATACATGGTAATAATGTTTGGTAGTTTTCCAAAACTCTTCTACATGTATTCAGTAAAAATGAGGAAACGCCTCAGTGCGTGCTAGTCCTGCCTCACCACTTCCTGTGGTGCAGTGGAGAAGGGGCAGCTCACCACAGGCCTGGCTTTGTGTCCTGACAGAGATGCCGTAGTGGGGGCCCTGATGCCGGCCGCCATGATCGCCCCGGTGGAGTGCCCCTCTGCGGCTGCTTCGGACGCATTTGCGATGGCTAGTCCCATGAATGGAGAAGAATGCATGCTGGCTGTTGATATCGAAGACAGACTGAGTCCAAATCCGTGGCAAGAAAAGAGAGAGGTAAAAGCGAATCGTAAAGCAGTGTTACATCAGAAAGGAAAAGGTGGCTACTTTGTGCCTAGGAAAGTCTCATCCTGTCATTTAGTTTAGGCTGTTTCTGTGCCTCCCGCTTTGATTTTTGGATTTACTTAGAAGAATATTCTCGGTGAAGGAGCTTTTAAAGTGCTTACGTGCAATTAGATTTCTTTTTTAAAAAAATCATGGCCGAGCGCGGTGGCTCACGCCTTTAATCCCAGCACTTTGGGAGGCCGAGGCGGGCGGATCACGAGGTCAGGAGATCCAGACCATCCTGGCTAACATGGTGAAACCCCGTCTCTACTAAAAATACAAAAAATTAGCCAGGCTGGTGGTGGGCGTCTGTGGTCCCAGCTACTCGGGAGGCTGAGGCAGGAGAATAGCATGAACCCGGGAAAGCAGAGCTGGCAGTGAGCCGAGATCGCGCCACTGCGCTTCAGCCTGGGTGACAGAGCAAGACTCTGTCAAAAAAAAAAAAAAAAAAAAAATATATATATATATATATAAGTTCACAGTCCTTTATCTGCAATTCTGAAACCTTAAAGTTCTGAACTTTAGTAACTTACTTTGGGGGAAAGAACCAACTTGAAGATACGTGAACTCATTTTAGTCTGGTTCATGTGACCTGCTGTGAATATTAATAGTTTTTCTTGAAAATATGAATGTACTCGACTTTGCACAATTGTCCTAGGCCCGACTGGGGGTGGTAGTGGCTATGTCGGGTAGGCACCATGTTACCTCTGTAAAATCTGGAACATTCCAAACAGCCCAAGTAGTTTTAAATAAAGCATTTGGGACTTGAGTAGGAAACGTGTTATGTTTTTGAGTTTTTCCACTTAAACTTCCCCTACTGTGCACTGTTCGACTAGATTGTTTCCTCTGAGGACGTGGTGACCCCCTCTGCAGTGACTCCATCGGCCCTCTCAGCCTCCGCTGGGCCATTTATCACAGTGACGGATGACCCGGGAGCTGCAAGCATCTTTGCAGAAACCATGACCAAAACTGAAGAGGTAAAGAGGCATTCTTTTTTCGCTTTGTATTGTGAAATTACCAAATGGCAGGTGGAGCCGCAGATCGATGACCCCAACAGCAACCTTGAGGAGGTGATTAATGAGGCAGAGGCCATCACCTCTGAGAACAGCCTGGGATGTAAGCAAGCCTTGAATACAGATTACCTTGATTCTGATTACCAAAGAGGACAGCTGTACCCTTTCTCCCTTGGCAGTGATCTCCAGGTGGCCGCGTTTATTCTCACAAATTCAGCCCGATGACTCAGTCCTTCCAGGAATGGTGGTACGTGAATCTCAACAGCCTAATGGACCAGGCTTTGACCCCACAGTGTGGCAGTGGGGAAGACCTATATATCCTCACAGGCACAGTGCCCTCAGACTACAAAGTTAAAGACAAAGTGGCTGGGCATGAGATGTCCTTCCTGGCTGCAGACACTTCATCCATTTCTCTGGGTGGCTACTTGGTGTGGAGGAAAGTCTTACTCTGTCACTCAGTTTAGGCAGTTTCTGTGCCTGTTAGGATTTTTGGCTTTAGTTAGAAGAATATTGTCTTTAAAAGAACTTCTAAAGTTTATAAGTAGAATTAGATTTTTTAAAAAAAATCATTAAATGCAAGTTCATAGTCCTTTATCTGCAATTCTGAAACGTTAAAGCTCTGATAGTCAGAAATTTTAGTAACTTACATGATCACCAAAACGATAAAGTACTTAAGTAGAGTTGAGCAGTCTTGAAAGCACAGCAAAGATTTATTTGGTGGATATTTTAGGGGCTTGTTATTTCTTCATCTGCTATTCATGAAGAACTAAAAAGCTGTAGGCTTCCTTTTTTCTACTTTTTTGAGACGAGTTACTTGGTGTAATTCTGAGAGATGAAATCGAGGTGAATTGCCTTAAGCACTATTATTATTTTTCATAAGTTTATTGCATTTGTGAGAGGGAAGGGTATGAATCAGAACTTCGATTTATAATAATGCTGAGCATTTGCCATGCACATCCCTGCATTCTCAGTACAGATAGGAGGGGTTACCTTTATATATGGATGAGGACACTGAGGCTGAGAGGTTATTACTGGCTTGAGGACACTCACTTTTCTGGTAGGTGGAAGAGATGGGTTGGAACCCTGAGTGCTCTGAGCCCCAGCTCCGTCATGACCCTTCTGCAGATGATGCGCTTGGCAGAGCAACCTTCTGAAGGCCAGAGCCCCTGGTCGACTCTGCATATGGGCGCTTGATGATGCCAACATCTGCTTTCAGTAACTCAACCAGGTTCCAGGAGAGACAGGAATAAGGATATGGCCGTTTTCATACTGCCCTTGCCAGATTGGCAAGATGGCTATTTCTGTGTCTTGCCCTGACCTGATATTTGCGACTCAAAAAGAGAGACAAATTTAGATTTAAAATCATGCCTATATGACAATGATATTAGTTATTAATATATAATATATTTACTAAGCAAAGCTATTTCTTACCTAAATGTGAGGAAAAATTGAAAAAAGAATAATCTATTTCTAAAAAGTATAGAATGGGCATTAGAAGAATTTTATTTTTTCTGGATTGAAAATTTTGGAGTTAATAGATTATTGCTATTATGATGTATTCTCTCATTTATTTTTAAAAATAACAGCTTATAATCACTCTTAACTTGAATTGTAAAAGATGTGAATCACCAATAATTTTTAAAATAAAATAAGAACACTGTGGATTGTTGAGAATGTGGTATGGGTCTGACCACTAGTGTACTGGGTCAAGAGGGGCAGCTGTGTTGGGGTTGGTGGTCCCTCCTGTCACAGACTCTCCCTGTCTCTGTCTGGCCTGGGCAGCTTGATGGTTCCTGATTCCCGCCCCTCCCACTGGGCTCCCTTGCCTTCTAAGATTGTGGTCATTTTCACGTACTGGGTGCTCCTTCCCTTGATGTTTTTGTTTCCGAGGCCAACTTTACTCACTAGGAAGTAATTTTGTCTTGGTGTAAAATGAAGCTATTGTCACCACGGTGTTTCATTTTATCACCTGGCACATATTAAGTGTTGTGTGTGTTGGGAGCCTTCCAACTACTTTTTTTTCTTTTCTTTTTGAGACAGAATATCTCTCTGTCGCTCAGGCTGGAGCGCAGTGGCACGATCTCAGCTCACTGCAACCTTCACCTCCTGAGTTCAAGCAGTTCTCCTGCCTCAGCCTCCTGAGTAGCTGGGACTACAGGTGCAGGCCACCAAGCCCAGCTAATCATTTGTATTTTTAGTAGAGACAGGGTTTCCCCATATTGGCCAGGCTGGTCTTGAACTCCTGACCTTAAGTGATCTGCCTGCCTCAGCCTCCCAAAGTGCTTGTATTACAGGTGTGAGCCACTGTGCTCCACCCAATGACTTTTTTTTTTTTTTTTTTTTGAGACGCAGTTTCGCTTGGGTCACCCAGGCTGGGGTGCAATAGTGCAATCTCAGGCTCACCACAATCTCTGCCTCCCAGGTTCAAGCGATTCTCCTGCCTCAGTCTCCTAAGTAGCTGGGATTACAGGCATGCGCCACCATGCCCGGCTAATTTTGTATTTTTAGTAGAGATGGGGTTTCTCCATGCTGGTCAGGCTGATCTTGAACTCCTGACCTCAGGTGATCCGCCTGCCTCGGCCTCCCACAGTGCTGGGATTACAGGCGTGAGCCACAGCGTCTGGCCCCAACGACTTTTTAATATAGATCATCTCTAAGCTTCACAGCATCTTACAAGCTCTGTGCTGTCTCTGTTTTATGTGCAAGGAAGCCAAGCCCTGATTTGAACTCAGTTTCTCAAACTCCAAGCCCTCCACTCTGCCACGCTGTCCTTGTGGAGCTCCTGAGCAGGACGGGCAGAGGTGGCATGCAGGTGACCAGGTGTGGGGCTGTTGGCCCCCTCATTCATGTCATTGCTTCCTCCCCAGGTGGCAGATATGCTGTTGGAGCTCTGTGTCACCGAGTTGGAGGATGTGGCCACAAGACTTGCAGAGCGGCCGCCTCTCTTCTCAGCCTGTGGTGGTGGAGAGTAGCCACCCTTACACCGACGACACCTCCACCAGTGGCACAGTGAAGATACCAGGTACGGGGGCTGGCCCCAGGGGGGAGCTGCAGCCTTTCCCACCTTCAGAATGATGTGATTCTGTAATTGCTTCAGTAGAAACAACCGTCTCCATTTTATAAAAAAAAGTTACAGACTTGCTTTAGAATCATTTTTCTCCCCTTTTCCAACAAACTTCTTTTGCACAATAAATCATGACACAGAAAGTCACACAAAGTAAATGTTTAGCTTCATGATAATCAGACAGATGCCCTAGTCATCATGACCCAGGTCTAGACATAACCTGTGGCAGATTCTGGAAGCCCTCAGCGTGTCCCCTGACGTCCCTCTGAGTGATGCTCTCCTGATGTTGAGCCATCACTGACTTGCATTTCTGGGCAGCTTCTTTTACCCATGTGTGTATCTTTCTTTTCTTTTTCTTTTCCTTTTCTTTTTAACAACTCAAGAAAAATTATTAAGAAGAAAATTGTTGAGGCCCCGGCCTTTGATCTGGCAGGCTTCACTGCAGCCTGGATCTGCTGACTGGACACGTGTGCTGCTGTTCAGTGTGTTCCTCAGGCCCGTCCTTCTGCAAGGTGCTGCCCGATTCGGAGGCCCATAAGTTCCGCCCCTTTTGCCAGCTCCTTAGTGGTTGTGACTCAGCCTCAGCAGGCACCTCCTGCCTGCCTGTCTTTCCTTTGTGACATCAGCAGTCCCTGAGGCTTATTAGCACCCGAGGCCGTTGGCCCATGAGGGGCTACAAATGGTGCTATTCTAGTGGAATCATTTCTTGCTTATTTATTAGCTGGAATACTTTCTTGTAAAGAGACATTTCCCCTCATCCTACAGTTGGTTGCCCAGGCAAACAGCACTGAGAAAGACAAGATAAAAGCTTGAGTCTTTCTTCTGTTTACCAGAGAATGAATTGGTTTTCTATCATTTCTTGAAGGTGACCTGTTTATTTTTAATATTACTATGAGCTCATGGATTGAAACATATGTGATTGTTTTACTGTATTGTGATTATCTTTGTTGAAGCTAAGATTATCCGTTTCTAGACAGTGGCAGCCTCTTCAGTGTGGCTCCCAAAGTGATTCCGGTGTTCTTCGGTAGCATCCAGGCAGTCTACAGAAGGTGTCCTCAGTTTTTTGTAGGTTGCCACTCTTCACCTGGGGTCTACCCTGGATTCTTTTGAGTTCATACTGATACTTAAAATTTTTTTCCTTTTGTTTTATATTTTATTTATGTATTTACTCGTTTAGAGACAGGATCTTGCTCTGTCACCCAGGCTGGAGTGCAGTAGTGCAATTATAGCTCACTGTGGCCTCGAATTCCTGGGCTCAAGTGATCCTCCTGCCTCAGCCTCCTGAGTAGCTAGGAGTACAGGCACATGCCACCTCACCTGGCTAATATGCTGATTCCTTCTACTCAAATTCAAAAGTACAAGGTCTGTGCTTCTGTTACATCTGCCTCTCCTTTCTTCCATATCAAATCCTGGTTCCAAGAGTGTTTGATAAAATATCTCATGATTTTTCATTTGCTTTAACATAACCACATTGCATACATGACAGACTTAGGATATAATTTCAATACTGCCAACATCAGTATAATTACTGAAATTCTTAAAAATCTTAGAATATGCCCTAATTTTTTCAAATTTATTAAAATAATTATACTGCATCTACAAGAGCACAATAGCTGTTACATACTATACTTTCTTTCAGTCTTCGAGTCTTAGTTTTACTGACTGGTCCTCATGGGGTCTGAAGTGCACTCTAGTGAATTCCTCATTAGCCCCTGAGATCAGACTTGTCCATGAGAGTTTTTGTCCTTTGAATTTGAAAGGTAGTTTTTCTGGGTATTAAAGCCTTGGATCATGTCTTTTTCCTCTGTGAAAGTGTGATAATGTTAGCATCTTTCCCCCTTAGAAGTCACGTGTGTTTTTTCAGTAATTTTGCTAGAATATACGTTGGTGTGGCCATTCTCAGTGATGTTCTCGGTTAGAAGTAATGTGTGTTTTTTGAGTAATTTTACTAGAATATACGTTGGTGTGGCCGTTCTCGGTGATGTTCTCGGTTAGAAGCCGTGTGTGTTTTTTTTTTTTTGTAATTTTACTAGAATATACGTCGGTGTGGCCATTCTCGGTGATGTTCTTGGTTAGAAGCCATGTGTGTTTTTTTTGTAATTTTACTAGAATATACATTGGTGTGGCCATTCTCAGTGATGTTCTCGGTTAGAAGCCGCGTGTGTTTTTTTGGTAATTTTACTAGAATATACGATTGTGTAGCCGTTCTCGGTGATGTTCTCGGTTAGAAGTCAGGTGTGTTTTTTCGGTAATTTTACTAGAATATACATTGGTGTGACCATTCTCGGTGATGTTCTCAGTTAGAAGCCGAGTGTGTTTTTTCAGTAATTTCACTAGAATGTATGTTCGTGTGGCCGTTCTCGGTAATGTTCTGGGTTGGAAGCCACGTGTGTTTTTTCGGTAGTTTTACTAGAATGTGCATTCGTGTGGCCGTTCTCGGTGGTGTTCTTGGTTAGGAGCCACGTGTGTTTTTTCGGTAGTTTTACTAGAATATACGTTCGTGTGGCCGTTCTTGGTGATGCTCTCAGTTAGGAGCTGCATGTGTTGTTTTGTTGCTTTCACTAGAATGTATGTTCATGTGGCCGTTCTCGGTGATGTTCTCGGTTAGAAGCTGCGTGTGTTTTTTCGGTGATTTCACTAGAATGTGCGTTCGTGTGCCTGTTCTCTGTGATGTTCTCGGGTAAGGGGTGCTCTTTTAGTCTGTCATCCCAAGTCTGTTTTGCAGGATGTTCTCTTGAATTGCAGTCTGCAGTGTTTGTTCTGTAGCATTGCTTAGCAGTCTTTTCTAGGGACGCTTGGTAACTCTCCATGCGTTGCATACCTCATGCCTTTTAGAGTTAGTGTTGGTTACTTTCTCTTTCAAGTACTTTTTACCTCTGTTTATTTTTTAAAAACTTCCTCTTTTTTTCCTATTTGTCTTAAGGTAGCATCTACTGTGTTTATTTGATTTTACACTCTGTTTTAGTCTCCATTGGAATGTAGTTTTGTTTTCATTGTAATTCTGTCTTCAGCTTTATTTAGTTTCTTCATTTTCCTAAGTCTGATTTATGTGGTTCTTTCACGTCTTGTATCATTTTTCTAATTTCACTCAATTTCTTTTGAGATGATAGATTATAGGGTTGACATGTTTTGGGGGCATATCTTTCTGGCCTGCTTTTATTGCCTATAGGGATGTTATTTTGTTCCTTATTCTCACTTTGTTTTGGAGACACAGTCTTGCTCTGTCACCCAGGCTGCAGTGCAGTGGCATGATTCTGACTCACTGCAGCCTCGACCTCCCAGGCTCAAGCCATCCTTCCCCATCAGCCTTCTGAGAAGCTGGGACTACAGGCTTGTGCCACCACGCTTGGCTAACTTATTTTTATTTTTTGTGGAGACGAGTCTCTCTATGTTGCCCAGTCTTGTCTCAAACTCCTGGGCTCAAGCGATCCTCCCAGCTGGGCCTCCCAAAGTGTTGAGAATTACAGGTGTGAGCCACCGTGCCCAGCCTATTCCCTTTTTCTAACAATAACTTTTTATTGTATTTGGTCTTATACTTGTATCTTGCTCATTTTTATGTGAAATCATTTTTCTTGAACTTTTAGAATGAGGTGAGATTCAGAAAAGCTTTGTCACTTTGTCACCTAGGTTGGAGTACAGTGGCACGATCTTGGCTCAGTACAGCCCCAACCTCTGGGCTCAAGCGATTCCCCTTCCTTAGCCTCCTGAGTAACTGGGACTATAGGCCGTGCCCAGCTAATTTTTAAAATTTTATATAGAGAAAGGATTTCACCATGTTGTCCGGGCCTGTCTTGAACTCCTGAGCTCAAGCGAGCTCCTGCCTAGGCCTCCCAAAGTGCTGGGATTACAGGCGTGTACCACTACATCTGGCTCAGAAAAGCATTTTTAAACTTTAAGCTATTACTTCATGATAGAAATTTAAAGAACAAAAGGTATTTCTAGTCAGCATTTGCCTAGATGAAAATCTTGTGACCCTTTTTCTCTTCTGTTTCTCTCTCGCTTTATATCCAGTCCACCAGCAAATCCTGTTTTCTCTGCTTTTAAAATATATTCCAAATTCAACCATTTTTCCCTCACTCTAGACATTCTGGGCTAGAGCACCGCGGGGTCTCACCCAGTTTATCATCCTAGCAACCACATACTAGCTGCCTCCCTGTGTTCCTGCTTCCACTCCCCACCTCCTGCGGCCCCCCCAGAATCAGCTCCCAACAGAGCATGCAGAGATAGTATCTTAAAACCAGTCCAAGCCTGTCAACCCTGTAACCGTAAGAGAGGACCTGAGCCCCTGCCCCACGTCCCTCCTTCTTCCCTCCTTCCTCCCCTGCCTCTTTCCCGGCCTCTCAGTGCCATCCTCTGCTAGATCTTCCAGCCTGAAGGAAAACTCTTGTGCCTCTGCTCGCACACCTCTCACACCAGATGTGCGGGTTCTCCACACCAAGCGGTTCTCCAGTTCTCTGGACACGCCAGAAGTTGAGGTGCTCCTCACCTCCAATGCCGCTCACTCCCCAGGTGACCCACAGCTGCCATCTGACTTGGCTGCACACTGGGCATTCCCACAGCCCCTGGTCAGTGTGATGTTCGCTGTAAAGCTTGATCAGGGGAGTGGAGTTGCAGTAGGAAAGTCTGCCCGGGAGTGACTGCACAAAACAAATTGGCCAAGTGGAAGTGTTTTCTGGCCTTCCAGTCCACAGACATAATCTTCAGTGGGGATGAGCTGGGGAAAGGGTGGTCAGTCTTGAGATGCTTGCCTTTGAGGCCAGTTCTTTCTGACTTTCTGCTATTCATTAGCTGTTAAATGTGGTTTTAATCTCACTGTTAACTCCTTGGTGCACTGTTTCTACTTTGGGTGCTGATCTGGAGTGGTTGCTATGTTTTGTGCTCGCCTGTCCTCCAGGTGCAGAAGGACTCAGGGTGGAATTTGACCGGCAGTGCTCCTCAGAGTGGCACCACGACCCTCTCACAATCATGGATGGCGTCAACAGGATCGTCTCCGTGTGGTCAGGTAAGGACAGGAGGTTGAGCCAGGATTGTCTCCATGCGGTCAGGTAAGAACAGGAGGTTGAGCAGGGCATGATCTGCCCACCTGTGTCTCCATAGACACAACCCTTCACATTTATAGGACAGAATGCTGCTACCATATTCTCATCGAAGTCTTGAGGAAGGGACAGTATGCTATGTAGCTGTGAAACACAGTAGGTTTGCTTGCCTCTTTCCCATACTTTTAAATACAGTAGTTATCTGTGATGTATGTACCACATCCCTGTCGGATGGGCCCTGCCTCACCAGACAGTTGCAGAAGGTGCTGGTGACGTGTGGGGTGCCAGGGCTCGTGCGAGGTCATGGTTGGCATAATACAGAGCTTCTTCAAGGGGTTTGTTTCTTACTGGCTGCAGTGAGGGCATGGCCATGTGTGGAGTGATTTCTGTGTGTAGGTGGAGGCAGCCACGTGTCCGGCTTGTCTCTGCTGCTGGGCTCCATGAGGCCAGCGGGGACACATCAGGACGTCTTTGGGGGCTTGTGAAATGCTCTTTTACCAAGTATTTTAGAATTGGCAGTGCAGGGGTGTGTGTATGCACCTTTTAAGACCTCTTTATCCTTCATCTCGAGTGTTTCCTGTAAAGGGCCAGGTAATGCAGCCTCTGTCATAACATGCAGACAGGATGCCAGTGAATGGGCGTGGCTGTGTCCCAGGAAAACTTTATTCACACAGCGTTACTTAGTTAAGTAAAGCTTTGCATGAAGTGGTGTGGTCCCAGTGGGCGTGGGTTTTTCTGGTGCTTTGACAGATGTTTGCCAGTGTAGTTTTCAGTAGTGTTGTTGGATGTGACCGTATTTCTGCATCCAGCAGAAAGTGCTTATGGGCCATCCCTGGGCTGCTGCCAGATGGTCATTCTGAAGCAGAAATCTGGAGGGGTTCTCTTGGCCTTCTGAGATGCTGTAGTACACCACCGCTCCTGTCCACAGCAGCCAGGCCCTCTGCTCCCTCGAGGGCGGCCTCCTCTGGGCTGTGCTGAACCACACACATGGGCCTTTTGATGGGAGAGCTAGGGTTCTTCCTTCTGCTGCCTGGCCACCTGGTTGTATCAGAGCATTCCCGGGAAACATCCCCATGGCCCCTGGCCTGGTGTGTGCTGGAGACCTGGAGGCCCACTCACTGTATCCTGGCTGGTGGGGTCATTTCCCCACTGGGCGATGGCTTCTGCCAGGGCAGTGTCTGCCCGCCTGCCCCAGTTTCCTAGGTACCTGGTACAGGGGCTGAATGCGTGTTTGCTGAAGAATGGTATGTATTAAAATGTGAATCCCAAGAGTGATGTGTCACTGTGCACTTCAGCTTGGGAGAGCTTGGATTGGAGGAACTTGCTCTTCATGCATGATGGAAATCATTCTGCTTTGTGTCTAAGGAAGTTTGTGTTGATTGGATGATGGAGTGAAGCTAACCCCGAGATTCACTTTCCTCCCCCAGACCGAGGGTGGTCCGACTGGTCCAGCTAGCTACGTATCCCGGGGGATGAGTTAAAATGGAAGTTCATCAGCGACGGGCCTGTGAACGGCTGGGGCTGGTGCTTCACCATCTATCCCATCATGCCAGCTGCTGGTAAGGGAGGGGCTTATGGCAATCAAAGTTAGATGACTGGCTGTGGATTGTTTCTGGAGTAACATGGACATGTGCACATTTCCATGTAGTGCCTGACGGCCTGCCTTCTGCTGTGTTGCGGTGAATGCTCCCACAGGCCCCGTTGAGGCGTGGAACAGAACACAGAGAACTGTCCCAGCCGTCCAACTATCAGGCTCACACTCCTCCTCACCTGGTGTGGAAGGAGTTGTTGCTGGTGTCATTCTTAGGCTTTTGGTTTACAGTGGAAGTGTGAGTGTGAAGAGCAAGGCTCACCGACTCGCAGTGGCATGCGTGGGCACACCAGCTGTTGCCTTCTGGTGGGTGGGGCTGGGTGGAGCCACCCTTGTTTGTTGGCTTCTTATGGGTTGGTCCCTAGCTTGTGAAACACAGGGGTGTTTACAGTGCTCATTCACAGGCCCTAAAGAACTCCTCTCTGACTGCTGCGTCCTCTCTTGTCCATCCACGGACTTGGTGACGTGTCTGTTAGACTTCCGACTCAACCTTGCCTCTAACAGAAGTGTCGTCCCTTGCCTTGTGGCCTTGCTGGCAGCTTGTGCACAGCTGAGTGGCCTAGGTAAATGCCACCATTACAGTTACATCTGTCTTCCTACTTGGAAGAAACCATCAGACTTCTGATACTTCTTTCTGCTCATTTCAGCCACCAGTCACAGAATGTGGGCCCTTCAGAAATTGAGGAAGCTGCTTACAACTGAATTTGGGCAATCAATTAACATAAATAGGCTGCTTGGAGAAAATGATGGGGAAGCAAGAGCTTTGGTATGGAGCATTCTAGTACAATTTCTAGATTTGTGACCTTTGGGGAATAAAATGTTGCTTTCGTAGTCTAAACCTCTAAATCATTGAGAAGAGTTGGGGAATTTCACATAAGAAAAAGGAGGCCTCGGACCGGGTGTGGTGGCTCACGCCTGTAATCCCAGCACTTTGGGAGGCCGAGGCGGGCGGATCACGAGGTTAGGAGATCAAGACCATCCTCACTAACACAGTGAAACCCCAACTCTACTAAAAATACAAAAAATTAGATGGGCGTGGTGGCAGGCGCCTGTAGTCCCAGGTACTCGGGAAATTGAGGCAGGAGAATTGCTTGAACCTGGGAGGTGGAGTTCGGAGTGAGCCGAGATGGCACCACTACACTCCAGCCTGGTGACAGAGCGAGACTCCGTCTCAAAAGAAAAAGAATAAGGAAGGCTTTGTCACATCCAGACTTTTTGTATGTTGCAGTGCATACTGAGTTCAAGTTGGACTTTGATTTTGTGAAAATCTGTCTCGACTGCCATGAACATAGGATTGTGTTGATTGGACTTGGACAATGAGGCTAACTGATTGGCCTCCCCTTTATTTTGCTGACTAAAGTAGTCCCTTTTGATCCTACACATGGGAGGAGACAGGCAGCGTTTGTGGGCCAGAGAGGGGCTATTTCTCTGGAAGCGGATGTACTGAAATCAAGACCAAACATTCTGAGATGAGTCTTTAAACTCCTCTTTTTTATTTTAGTGTTTATGTTCTTTTAGCTTTTTTCCTACTTGAGAATTTTGATAAGCTTTTTTTTTTTTTTTAGAAGAAATGGTACCAACATAATAAAACATTTGACCTTAGAGACAAATGGTCAGCCTCTCCTGTACTCTGGATTCCCACGATAGAATACTGTTCTGTTGTTTCTTAGAGTTTTACAGGTAGTGCTCTTGCTGCTTTGGTGAAAGGTCTTCCAGAAGCTTTGCAAAGGCAGTTTGAATATGAAGATCCTATTGTGAGGGGTGGCAAACAGCTGCTCCACAGCCCATTCTTTAAGGTAATGTTTCACTTCTTTTTTAAAGTGACAATAGAGCTATTTGACTGAAAGAGCCACTGAGAGTTGTCATGTGCAGTCTGTTTGTGTGTTTTAGGCCTCTGAGGGCAGCTGTAGGTTGCTGAAGTCAAATATGAAAAAATCTCAAGAAATGATCGTGTAATCTAAACCCTTAAACCATAAGCCTGTAACCGTTAGCATGCCTTGAGATGCACAGGTGTTCTTGTCACTTGATGCAGGCAACAAGTGTTGCAGCAGTTGTGTGGCACGTGGCTAGGAACTGTCAGAGATCGCCACATCACTGATGGTGGCCGTATCCTTGCTGTGCCCATGGCCGTCATCCTGGAATAGGAGGTCCTGCGGAAGGAGCCACAGAAACCTTGGCCTGTTCACTGCATTTCTGAGTGTCCCTGAGTTTGTCATTTTTGGTGCCTGCAGGTACTGGTAGCTCTTGCTTGTGACCTGGAGCTGGACACTCTGCCTTGCTGTGCCGAGACGCACAAGTGGGCCTGGTTCCGGAGGTACTGCATGGCCTCCCGCATTGCTGTGGCCCTTGACAAAAGAACACCATTGCCCCGTCTGTTTCTTGATGAGGTATTGCATGATATTTTGGAATCACTTTTGGGATGCAAAAACATTGTTTAGCTATAGTGTAACAAGATGCCAATATTATGAGACACAGAAAAATTTTCCTTGCCAAGGAATATCAAAGAAAATAACACATAGGTAGGGCCAGGCGCGGTGGCTCACGCCTGTAATCCCAGCACTTTGGGAGGCCGAGGCGGGTGGATCACGAGGTCAGGGGTTTGAGACCAGCCTGACCAACATGGTGAAACCCCGTCTCTACTAAAAATACAAAAATTAGCTTGGCGTAGTGGCGGGCGCTTGTAATCCCAGCCACTCAGGAGGCTGAGGCAGGAGAATTGCTTGAACCCGGGAGGCGGAGCTTGCAGTGAGCCGAGATCGCACCATAGAGAAAAAGAAAGAAAATAACACATAGGTGAAAATGAGTGAACTGACACTGTGAATTTCAGTTAAAGTTTATTTTTAGTGAACTACAGATAGAATGAGACTGTCTAGACATTTTTAATATGTTAGACTTGATGCAGTCATTATTGGTTTTGCCCAGGAACCATAACATTGCAATGTTGCTCTTCCCTCATATTTTCAGGCAGGGATTCCTTCTGTCTTTCCTTAGTATTTATTTATTTTGTTTGAGATGAGTGTTTGATTTGTAACATCATAATAATTTTGTTTAAGTGGCTAAGAAAATTCGTGAATTAATGGCAGACAGCGAAAACATGGGATGTTCTGCCTGAGAGCCAAGACATTTTTAAAAGAGAGCAAGATGAACAAGTTGTGCAGTGAATGAACAGGTTATTATATTAGAAACAAGCAGTAATGTCGATCTTGAACGCGAGAGGCTGTGTGCATTGTTCTTTCCCATGGCAAATGCTCACTTGATGTGTGTTGTAGGCGACCAGATGATTGGAATCTGTCTGCTGGTGGCAGTGGAACAATTTATGGTTGGGGACATGATCATAGGGGCCAGCTCGGGGGCATTGAAGGTGCAAAAGTCAAAATTCCCTCTCCCTGTGAAGCCCTCACAACTCTCAGACCCATGCAGTTAATCGGAGGGGAACAGACCCTCTGCTGTGACAGCTGATGGGAAGGTAAGGGTGCTTTTTCTGTGTCACAGGGTCACTGAGCCTGAGGCAGTTGTGGCTAACGGTGCTGTGTGGTTCTTAGCACAGGCAAGGATCTGCACTAAAACGTTTCTCAGGATTAATAGTACTGTGGTATGCAGGAAGCAGTTAGACTTCTAAGATATTTTTGCATAATCTTTAAATTTTTTTTTAAAAAATTTAAGATGGAGTTTTGCTCTTGTTGCCCAGGCTGGAGTGCAATGGCGCAATCTCAGCTCACTGCAACCTCCACCTCCTGGGTTCAAGTCATTCTCCTGCTTCAGCCTCCCGAGTAGCTGGGATTATAGGCGCCCGCCACCACACCTGGCTAACTTTTTTGTATTTTTAGTAGAGACAGGGTTTCACCATGTTGACCAGGCTGGTCTCGAAATCCTGACCTCAGGTGATCCGCCCACCTTGGCCTCCCAAAGTGCTGGGATTATAGGTGTGAGCCACCATGCCTGGCCAATTTTTTTTTTTTAATTTTGAAAATACATCATGTATACGAAAGTATTACAATTTTTGTTTGTGTATCACTCGTTAGATGTGTTTCTTCCTTGCTATTGTAAATACTTTTAAAAAATTTATTGCTGCTGGCCCGGTGCAGTGGCTCACACCTGTAATCCCAGCACTTTGGGAGCCCAAGATGGGTGGATCACCTGATGTCACGAGTTTGAGACCAGCCTGGCCAACATGGGGAACCCCGTCTCTACTAAAAATAAGCCAGGCGTGGTGATACGTGCCTGTAATCCCAGCTACTCGGGAGGCTGAGGCAGGAGAATCACTCAAACTTGGGAGGCGGAGGTTGCAGTGAGCCGAGATCACACCACCGCACTCCAGCCTGGGCGACAGAGCAATACTCTGTCACAAAGAAAAAAAAAAGAAAAAAAAAAAGATTGCCACTGATATATAGAAATATTGGATGTTTATATACTGACTTTATGTTTGGTGACCTACTTGAGTCTCTTCATTCTAGTGTATCTGAAGATTTCTTATATCTTCTTTATAGAGTGCCATAGTCTCTAAATGAATTCTGTTCCTTTCTGTCTAGCATACCTCTCTTTTATTTTTCCCATTTGTGTGGGAGAATGGGAGCTCATGGTGCGGGCTGGGGTTGTGATGTGATTCTGGGTAGGAGTGGGCAGAGGCTCCTGCCTTGATCCAGACTGGAGCAGGCACAGAAGGAGCGTTTCCAGGCTTCCAGTGGGGTTTGAGTAGAAGCCCTTGATTAGATTAGGCATGTTTCCTTCTGTTTCTGTTCATCAGTGGAGTGTTCAACACTCTTTCTATGTATTTTTGAAATGTTCTTTCATAGATGTTTTCTGTTTTTTTTTTTTTTTTTTTTTTTTTTGAGACAGAGTCTCACTCTGTCGCCCAGGCGGGAGTGCAGTGGCACAGTCTCGGCTCACTGCAACCTCTGCTTCCCGGGTTCAAGAGATTCTTCTACCTCAGCCTCCCGAGTAGCTGGGACAACAGGCGACTGCCACCATGCCCGGCTAATTTTTTTTTTTTTTTTTTTGTATTTTTAGTAGAGATGGGGTTTCACCATATTGGTCAGGCTGGTCTTGAACTCCTGACCTTGTGATCCGCCCGCCTCGGCCTCCCAAAGTGCTGGGATTACAGGCATGAGCCACCACACCTGGCCAATGTTTTCTAATGGATTGGTATAGTCAGTTGGATTAATTGGTTTTCTCATATTAAACAAACTTGCATTGTTTGGATAAATCCAGTTTGGTCAGGATATGTATCTGGCTTGTGTTTGTGATTGTTTTGTTTAGATTTTTGGGAGATCCTATTCATGAGTGAGATAGTCTCGTGTAATGTTCTGTCTCACACACATGTATCATTTCATAGTTTCTCTGGGTCAGGACTCTGGATGCAGCATAGCTCCATCCTCCAGCTCAGAATCTCAGCAGGCTGCAGTTGTCTTGAGGCTGTCCGAGCAAGGATTCAGTCCCTTGTGGACCTTTGGGCTGAGGCCTCAGTCCCTTATGAGCTGTTGGCAGAGCCTCCCCTCACTCAGCCCTTTGCCACGTGTCCATAGAGCGTCTCACAGCGTGGCAACTGACTGTCAGCGAGAGCAAGGGAGGCGCAGGAGGGAGCACCAGCAAGAGAGAGTGGAGGAAACAGAGCCCCGGTCCTGTGTAACTGAATCACAGAAGTGACCACACTCCATCGTTCTTGCCCTATTCTGCTCATCAGAAGCAGGTCATTAAGTCCAGCCCACACTCAGGGAGAGGGAGCTGTAGGCATACTTGGAGGTATGCAGGCTTGGTTCTAAACCAACACAATAAAGCAAGTGTCTTCACAAGTAAGTCACACAAATTTCTTGGTTTCCCAGTGGATATAAAAGTATGTGTATACTATAGTCTATTAAGTCACATCTTCAGGCTCCACTTCTAATTCTAGTTCTTTTGCTGTTTCCACCACATCTGAGGTCACTTCTTCCTCTCGTCTTGAACCTCTCAAGGTCATCCATGAGGGTTGGAATCCACTTCCACATCCCTGTTAATGTTGATATTTTCACCTCCTCCCATGAATCACAAATGTTCTTAATGGCATTTATAATGGTGCTGGCTTTCCAGAAGGTTTTCAATTTAGCTTGTCCACATCCATTAGAAGAATCACTATCTATGGCAGCTGTAGCCTTATGAAATGTATTTCTTTGTTTTTTTTTTTTTCTTTTTTTGAGACAGTCTTGCTCTGTAGCCCAGGCTGGAGTGCAGTGGCGTGATCTCTGCTCACTGCAAGCTCCACCTCCTGGGTTCACGCCATTCTCCTGCCTCAGCCTCCCAAGTAGCTGGGACTACAGGTGTCCGCCACCATGCCTGGCTAATTTTTTGTATTTTTTAGTAGAGACTGAAGTGTATTTCTTAAATAACAAGATTTGAAGTTGAAATTACTCCTTGATCCATGTGGCTGCAGAAAAGATGATGTGTTAGCAGGCATGAAAACAACTTTAATTTCTTTGTACATGTTCATCAGAGCTTTTGGGTGACCAGGTACATTGTCAATGAGCAGTAATATTTTGTAAGAAATCTTTTTTTCTGAGCAGTAGGCCTCAATAGTGGGCTTAAAATATTCAGTGAACCATGCTGTAAACAAATGTGCTGACTTCCAGGTTTTGTTCTATTTCTGGAGCACAGTCAGAGTGGAGTTAGCATAATTCTTAAGGGCCCTAAGATTTTCAGAATGGTCAATGAGCATTGACTTCAACGAATTCAACTAATATAGTCATCAGCTGCATTAGCCCCTAACAAAATATTTGAAGCTTTGAAGGCAAACATTGACTTCTCTCTAGCTATGAAAGTCCTAGCTGGCATCTTCTTCCAATAGACGGTTGTTCCATCTACGTTGAAAGCCTGTTGTTTAGCGTAGCCACCTTCATCACTGATCTTGGCTAGATCTTCTGGGTAACTTGCTGCAGCTTCTACATCAGCACTTGCTACTTTCCCTCACACTTTTATGTTATGAAGACGGCGTCTTTATTTACACCTCAGGAACCAATCTTTGCTACCTTCAGACTTTCCTTCTGCAGCTGTCTCACCTCTCTTAGCCTTCGTGGAATTGAAGAGAGTTAGAGCCTTGCTCTGGATTAGGCTTTGGCTTAAGGGAATGTTGTATCAGTTTTGATCTTCTGTCTATGCCAGTCAAACATTCTGTATATCAGCCATAAGACTGTTTTGCATTCTTATCATTTGTGTGTTTACTAGAGTTGCACTTAATTGTGCTTCAAGAACTTTTTCTTGGGTAACTGGTGCAAGAGGCCTAGCTTTCAGCCTGTCTTGGCTTTCAGTGTGCCTTCGTCACTAATCTTAATCATTTCTAGCTTTTGACTTAAAGTGAGAAATATGCAACTCTTCCTTTCACTTGAACTCTTAGAGGCTACTGCAGGGTTATTAAGTGGCCTAATTTCAATAAGTTATGTCTCAGGTACACAATAGGGAGGTCTGAGGAGAGGGAGAGAGATGGGAGAACAGCTGGTTGGCGGAACAATCAGAACATACACCACATTTATCATTTAAGTTCACCATCTTCTATGGGTGTGGTTTGTGGTGCCTCAAAACAAGTACAACAGTAACATCAAACATTACTGATCACAGATCATCATAACAGATAAAATAATGAAAAAGTTTAAAATATTGCAAGAATTATCAAAATGTGACATAGAGACAGTAAGTCAGCACATGCTGGTGGAAAAGTGGCGCCGTTAGAGTTGGTCAGTGCAGGGTTGCCGCAGACCTTCGGTTTGTAAAAAACAGTATCTGCGAGGTACAGTAAAGCGAGGCACAGTCAAATGGAGTGTGCCTGTGTACAGGAGCATGCATATTTGGAAGCAGGGATCACTGTGAACCGTGTCAGGGGCAGATTGCTAGCACAGGTGTCGAAGTGGTCTAGCCTCATAAAAAGGTTTGAAATATAGCCCCTCTTTGTCAATTCTCAGGAGAATTTTGTTTCTTTTCGTTGTTTCTCTGGTTATTTTAACATAGGTACTTAAAAACCTAAAGTTAATTAGTATTTTCCCCTCCTCCCAATCAGTGACCCCTTGTTACCCAGTGTTTGGGTTCTAACCTATTCCCCTCTGCCATAGACATTATTGTTGTTGTTTTGGTTGTTTTATATGGACTGTGGTTTTTTTCTGGAGTTAGCCAAATATTGCACATCTTTGCTTACTATCGTTTCTTACCATCGTTTGCTATGTCTCAGATCTTATAAAATCATTTCCTTCTCCTTTATCATATCTTTTTCAATTTACTTTAGTGAAATTCTTTCATTGGTTAATTCTGATTGTTTCAAAATATCTTCATTTTGTCCTTTTTCTAGGGTGGGGGTTGGTAAACACTTTCTGTAAAGGACACAATGGTATTTTCAGCTTTGGGCCATATAGTCTCTGTTGCAACTGCAAAAGTAGCCCTGGACATATTATAAATGAGTGGGTGTGGCTGTGTTCCCATAAAACTTCATTTACAGAAACAAATGATGGGCCTGATTCAGCCCATGGGCCATAATTTGCCAACTCCTGTTGTAGTTATGAATTCTCAGGAGCAAGCCTCTGTCTCCCTGTCAGTGCTGAGGCTGGGAAGGGCAGCTTTCTGTGGTGTTCTTCTTATTCACAGTCACTGAGGGGCAACCCTTTGGAGCCCCACTTTCTATAGGAAGTCCTTGGAGGCATGCTGCATTACCCTGCACCGTGTGCACCAGAGAGCCTCACACCCTCCCCGCCAGAAGCTGGCTTTGGGGGTGGGGCTCATTTATCCACCTGAGTTTGGGTTTCACTTCCTGCGTTGGGCCTTGTGGCTTCCTTACTATTATGTCAGCGTAGCAGCACGTTTGAAAGATGTCTAAAACAGCATGGAACAGCATTTAAGTTTTTATCAGGAGGCATGTTTGCCTTCATTTGGAAAATGGCAGTCTGATTGTGTGTGTGTGTCTTTTTAAATTAATCATGTTTTTTAAAAAATTAATCATAGATGTTTTGTGTCCTAAAACATTCCCACTTAGATGGAAAAAAAAAGCGTTTTTTCCCATGTGGTTTATACGCTGCCCTGCTGAAATATTAAAATGTATTTGTGTTCTTTTACGGGTATGTTTTGTGGCTGTTATTGTCAGAGATTTGCATATAGTAGATAATTAAATTGTTTTTTGCTTTTCTTGGTGTTAATTGTAGTTGGTATTCCAGACAAAAATCGAAGAGCTTCCAGGGAGAAGACTTTATTTTCACAGTATGTTTTCTGAATTTGGAATTTCTAATAGTCGTGTTTTTATTTCATTTCTAGAACTTTGATAGAGCATGTATAAAGGCATAAACATTCCTGTGATTTTTAACTTTAAATTTTATTTCTATGTGGTAAAAATGTCTAAAACATGGATTGTTTATGAATTACTAAATTTAGGGGATATTGAGATTAAAAACTGATGTTACTGTTGCTTTTTCTTTTATTAGCTGTATGCCACTGGGTATGGTGCAGGTGGCAGACTAGGCATTGAAGGGACAGAGTCGGTGTCTACCCCAACATTGCTTGAACCCATTCAGCATGTGTTTTATTTAGAAAGTAGCTATGAACTCGGGAGGAAAGCACTGCCTTGCCCTGTCTTCAGAAGGAGTTTACTCTTGGGGTGAGGCAGAAAGGAAGTTGGGGAATGGCAACAGAAGGTGTGATGTGAAAAAATTATTTCAACATTCTATTTGTCTTTGTTTGTTTTAATGCTGCTACAATTTATTGGCACTTCGTTTTTCAAGGCAACATTTGCAATAATCTGCTCAAACTAAATAATGTTAATGACTCATTTGGCAGCAATAGTTTTATGTTCCAATATGAAGCCTTACCCATATGACTCCTCTGTTGAGAAGAAAAAAAAGTCAATTCTGAGTTTTTGATGACAAGTACTAAGTAAGTGTTTTTTTGTCCTTCTCCCTTAAATCATCCACTGAATCACGTTTGGCATTTTGTGTAACGTGCGTGATACTAAAACTGCAAATACAGAGGAAATAGCAGGGGTGAGGAAGAAAGAACACACAATCGACACCATTTTTTAAACAAATGAACCAAACTCACAAGTTTTAAAAAATGAATGAGAACTACCAGCCAGATTGGAGTAACAGGGGCCTTCCTATCCTAGGAATAACTAAAACACCATATAAAATACATTAAACAGGTCCGGCATGGTGGCTCACGCCTGTTATCCCAGCACTTTGAGAAGCTGAGGTGGGCAGATTGCTTGAACTCAGGAGTTCAAAACCAGCCTGGGCAACATGACGAAACCCTATCTCTATGAAAAATAGAAAAACAATTAGCCAGATGTGGTGGTGCACACCTGAAGTCCCAGCTACTTGGGAGGTGGAGGTTGCAGTGAGCTGAGATTGTGCCACTGCACTCCAGCCTGGGTGACAGAGTGAGATCCTGTCATAAAAAATGAAATGAAATGAAATGAAGTGAAATGAAATAATGAAATGAAATGATGAAATGAAATGTGAGCTGAGATTGTGCCACTGCACTCCAGCCTGGGTGACAGAGTGAGATCCTGTCATATGAAATGAAATGAAATGAAGAAATGATGAAATGAAATATGAGCTGAGATTGTGCCACTGCACTCCAGCCTGGGTGACAGAGAGAGATCCTGTCATACGAAATAATGAAATGAAATGAAATGAAATGAAATGAAATAAATGAAATAAATGAAATGATGAAATGAAATAAAATGTGAGCTGAGATTGTGCCACTGCACTCCAGCCTGGGTGACAGAGTGAGATCCTGAGTGAGATCCTGTCATATGAAATGATGAAATGAAATGAAGAAATGAAATGTGAACTGAGATTGTGCCACTGCACTCCAGGCTGGGTGACAGAGTGAGATCCTGTTGAAAGAAATGAAATGAAATGAAGAAATGAAATGATGAAATGAAATGTGAACTGAGATTGTCCCACTGCACTCCAGGCTGGGTGACAGAGTGAGATCCTGTCAAAAGAAATGAAATGAAATGAAAAATGAAATGAAATGGTGAAATAAGTGAAATGAAATGAATGAAATGATGAAATGTGAGCTGAGATTGTGCCACTGCACTCCAGCCTGGGTGACAGAGAGAGATCCTGTCATATGAAATGAAATGAAATAAATGAAGAAATGAAATGATGAAATGAAATGTGAGCTGAGATTGTGCCACTGCACTGCAGCCTGGGTGACACAGTGAGATCCTGTCATATGAAATGAAATAAATGAAATGACATGAAATGATGAAATGTGAGCTTGAGATTGTGCCACTGCACTCCAGCCTGGGTGACAGAGTGAGATCCTGAGTGAGATCTTGTCATATGAAATGAAATGAAATAAATGAAATGAAATGAAATGGTGAAATGAAATCTGAACTGAGATTGTGCCACTGCACTCCAGGCTGGGTGACAGAGTGAGATCCTGTCGAAAGAAATGAAATAAGTGAAATGAAATGAAATGAAATGAAATGAATGAAATGATGAAATAAAATGTGAGCTGAGATTGTGCCACTGCACTCCAGCCTAGGTGACAGAGTGAGATCCTGTCGAAAGAAATGAAATAAGTAAAACGAAATGAAATGAATGAAATGATGAAATAAAATGTGAGCTGAGATTGTGCCACTGCACTCCAGCCTAGGTGACAGAGTGAGATCCTGTCTGTGAAATGAAATGAAATATGAAATGAAATGAAATGAAATAAATGAAATGACATGAAATGAAGAAATGAAATGATGAAATGAAATATGAGCTGAGATTGTGCCACTGCACTCCAGCCTGGGTGACAGAGTGAGATCCTGTCATATGAAATGAAATGAAATGATGAAATGAAATATGAGCTGAGATTGTGCCACTGCACTCCAGCCTGGGTGACAGAGATCCTGTCATATGAAATAATGAAATGAAATGAAATAAATGAAATGATGAAATGAAATAAAATGTGAGCTGAGATTGTGCCACTGCACTCCAGCCTGAGTGACAGAGTGAGATCCTGAGTGAGATCCTGTCATATGAAATGAAATGAAATAATGAAATGAAATAAATGAAATGAAGAAATGAAATGTGAACTGAGATTGTGCCACTGCACTCCAGGCTGGGTGACAGAGTGAGATCCTGTCGAAAGAAATGAAATGAATGAAATGAAGAAATGAAATGTGAACTGAGATTGTCCCACTGCACTCCAGGCTGGGTGACAGAGTGAGATCCTGTCGAAAGAAATGAAATGAAATGAAAAATGAAATGAAATGATGAAATAAGTGAAATGAAATGAAATGAAATGAATGAAATGATGAAATGTGAGCTGAGATTGTGCCACTGCACTCCAGCCTGGATGACAGAGAGAGATCCTGTCATATGAAATGAAATGAAATGAAATGAAGAAATGAAATGATGAAATGAAATGTGAGCTGAGATTGTCCCACTGCACTCCAGGCTGGGTGACAGAGTGAGATCCTGTCGAAAGAAATGAATTGAAATGAAAAATGAAATGAAATGATGAAATAAGTGAAATGAAATGAAATGAATGAAATGATGAAATGAAATGTGAGCTGAGATTGTGCCACTGCACTCCAGCCTGGATGACAGAGAGAGATCCTGTCATATGAAATAAAATAAATGAAATGAAATGAAATGAAGAAATGAAATGATGAAATGTGAGCTGAGATTGTGCCACTGCACTCCAGCCTGGGTGACACAGTGAGATCCTGAGTGAGATCCTGTCATATGAAATGAAATAAATGACATGAAATGAAATGAAATGATGAAATCTGAACTGAGATTGTGCCACTGCACTCCAGGCTGGGTGACAGAGTGAGATCCTGTCGAAAGAAATGAAATGAAATGAAATGAAATGAATGAAATGATGAAATAAAATGTGAGCTGAGATTGTGCCACTGCACTCCAGCCTGGGTGACAGAGTGAGATCCTGTCATATGAAATGAAATGAAATGAAATGAAATGAAATGAAATAATGAAATGAAATAAAATGAAATGAAATGTGAGCTGAGATTGTGCCACTGCACTGCAGCCTGGGTGACAGAGTGAGATCCTGTCATATGAAATGAAATGAAATAAATGAAATGAAATGAAATGAAATGAAGAAATGAAATGAAAGAAATGAAACAAAATGAAGAAATGAAATGTGAGCTGAGATTGTGCCACTGCACTCCAGCCTGGGTGACAGAGTGAGATCCTGTCTGAAATGAAATAAATGAAATGAAAGAAACGAAAGAAATGAAATGAAATAATGAAATGAAATGGTCCCAAAGCCATTGAATATCAGGCAACAAAATACAGTGTTCCGTGAGTCATGGGAAACAAAGACAGTTCTAAGGGATGATGTGTAATGGTACAAAAATATAGTTAGATAGAAGGAATAATATCAAGTATGATACCACAACAGGTGAGTATAGGCAACAATAACTTATTGTACATTTTAAAGTAACTAAATTATAATTGGATTGTTTGTAACACAGGAAAGGATAAATGCTTGAGGTGATGGATAACCCATTTACCCTGATATGATTACTACACATTGTATGCCTGAATCAAAATATTTCATATACTCTACTATGTACCCACAAAAATTAAAAAATTTTTAAATGAAAAATTAAAAAGAAAAAGGCAAGTTCTAAAAATTTCCCAATGGATTTCCTGTAGAAAGTTTCCAGACTGTGACACAGGAAGGAGAATGCCAGGCAGATCCTGGCACACCCCCTTAGTAGAGAGGAGACAGAACTGGAAATCCAGGGAGGCCAAGACATACAGAGTCTGTATACAGAGTACCAGAGCGGAGAGAGCTGCACAGAGAGGACTGCGGAGACCTGCAGAGCCTAATATGGCATTCACAGCTGTGAGGTTGAGGAACAGACCGCCCAAAGGGATGAGAAGGAATAGTCCCCAGAGCTCACACAGCAGGGAGTTGGAGCCTGCTCCCAAAACCTCACAATTTACAGGGCAACGATTAAAGTACTAAGAATGATGTTACCCAGTATTGGTGAAAAATTAGCGACAGACGAATTGTTGCTATCATCCCACCAACAAAGCTTAAAAGCAAGACCCGAAAGGATTAAACTACTTATAAGTAACTTATCACAGAGATCAAAGCTCAAGAATATATATATATTTTTTAATTTTTGTATTTTTATTTTTTTATTATACTTTAAGTTTTAGGGTACATGTGCACAATGTGCAGGTTTGTTACATATGTGTATACGTGTGCCATGTTGGTGTGCTACACCCATTAATTCATCATTTAATGTTAGGCATATCTCCTAATGCTATCCCTCACCCCTCCCCCACCCCACAACAGGCCCGGGTGTGTGATGTTCCCCTTCCTGTGTCCATGTGTTCTCATTGTTCAATTCCCACCTGTGAGTGAGAACATGCAGTGGTTGTTTTTTGGTCCTTGCAATAGTTTGCTGAGAATGATGGTTTCCAGCTTCATCCACGTCCCTACAAAGGACATGAACTCATCATTTTTTATGGCTGCATAGTATTCCATGGTGTGTATGTGCCACATTTTCTTAATCCAGTCTATCATTGTTGGACATTTGGGTTGGTTCCAAGTCTTTGCTGTTGTGAATAGTGCTGCATGTGTCTTTATAGCAGCATGTTTTATAATCCTTTGAGTATATACCCAGTAATGGGATGGCTGGATCAAATGGTATTTCTAGTTCTAGATCCCTGAGGAATCGCCACACTGTCTTCCACAATGGTTGAACTAGTTTACAGTCCCACCCACAGTGTAAAAGTGTTCCTATTTCTCCACATCCTCTCCAGCACCTGTTGTTTCCTGACCTTTTAATGATCGCCATTCTAACTGGTGTGAGATGGTGTCTCATTGTGGTTTTGATTTGCATTTCTCTGATGGCCAGTGATGATGAGCATTTTTTCATGTGTCTTTTGGCTGCATAAATGTCTTCTTTTGAGAAGTGTCTGTTCATATCCTTTGCCCACTTTTTGATGGGGTTTTTTTTTTCTTATAAATTTGTTGGAGTTCATTGTAGATTCTGGATATTAGACCTTTGTCAGATGAGTAGATTGCAAAAATTTTCTCCCATTCTGTAGGTTACCTGTTCACTCTGATGGTAGTTTCTTTTGCTGTGCAGAAGCTGTTTAGTTTAATTAGATCCCATTTGTCAATTTTGGCTTTTGTTGCCATTGCTTTTGGTGTTTTAGACATGAAGTCCTTGCCCATGCCTATGTCCTGAATGGTATTGCCTAGATTTTCTTCTAGGGTTTTTATGGTGTTAGGTCTAACATTTAAGTCTTCAGTCCATCTTGAATTAATTTTTGTATAAGGTGTAAGGAAGGGATCCAGTTTCAGCTTTCTACATATGGCTAGCCAGTTTTCCCAGCACCATTTCTTAAATAGGGAATCCTTTCCCCATTTCTTGTTTTCATCAGGTTTGTGAAATATCAGATAGTAGTAGATATGTGGCATTATTTCTGAGGGCTCTGTTCTGTTCCATTGGTCTATATCTCTGTTTTGGTACCAGTACCATGCTGTTTTGGTTACTGTAGCCTTGTAGTATAGTTTGAAGTCAGGTAGCGTGATGCCTCCAGCTTTGTTCTTTTGGCTTAGGATTGACTTGGCAATGAGGGCTCTTTTTTGATTCCATATGAATTTTAAAGTAGTTTTTTTCCAATTCTGTGAAGAAAGTCATTGGTAGCTTGATGGGGATGGCATTGAATCTGTAAATTACCTTGGGCAGTATGGCCATTTTCACGATATTGATTCTTCCTACCCATGAGCATGGAATGTTCTTCCAATTGTTTGTATCCTCTTTTATTTCCTTGAGCAGTGGTTTGTAGTTCTCCTTGAAGAGGTCCTTCACATCCCTTGTAAGTTGGATTCCTAGGTATTTTATTCTCTTTGAAGCAATTCTGAATGGGAGTTCACTCATGATTTGGCTCTGTGTTTGTCTGTTATTGGTGTATAAGAATGCTTGTGATTTTTGCACATTGATTTTGTATCCTGAGACTTTGCTGAAGTTGCCTGTCAGCTTAAGAGATTCTGGCCTGAGATGATGGGGTTTTCTGGATATACAATCATGTCATCTGCAAACAGGAACAATTTGACTTCCTCTTTTCCTAATTGAATGCCCTTTATTTCCTTCTCCTGCCTGATTTCCCTGGCCAGAACTTCCAACACTATGTTGAATAGGCATGGTGAGAGAGGGCATCCCTGTCTTGTGCCAGTTTTCAAAGGGAATGCTTCCAGTTTTTGCCCATTCAGTATGATATTGGCTGTGGGTTTGTCATAGATAGCTCTTATTATTTTTAGATACGTCCCATCAATACCTAATTTATTGAGAGTTTTTAGCATGAAGTGTTGTTAAATTTTGTCAAAGGCCTTTTCTGCATCTATTGAGATAATCATATTGTTTTTGTCGTTGATTCTGTTTATATGCTGGATTACATTTATTGATTTGTGTATGTTGAACCAGCCTTGCATGCCAGGGATGAAGCCCACTTGATCATGGTGGATAAGCTTTTTGATGTGCTGCTGGATTCGGGTTGCCAGTATTTTATTGAGGATTTTTGCATCAATGTTCATCAGGGATATTGGTCTAAAATTCTCTTTTTTTGTTGTGTCTCTGCCAGGCTCTGGTATCAGGATGATGCTGGCCTCATAAAATGAGTTAGGGAGGATTCCCTCTTTTTCTGGTGATTGGAATAGTTTCAGAAGGAATGGTACCAGCTCCTCTTTGTACCTCTGGTAGAATTAGGCTGTGAATCCATCTGGTCCTGGACTTTTTTTGGTTGGTAAGCTATTAATTATTGCCTCAATTTCAGAGCCTGTTATTGGTCTATTCAGAGGTTCAACTTCTTCCTGGTTTAGTCTTGGGAGGGTGTATGTGTCAAGGAATTTATCCATTTCTTCTAGATTTTCTAGTTTATTTGCATAGAGGTGTTTATAGTATTCTCTGATGGTAGTTTGTATTTCTGTGGGATTGTTGGTGATATCCCCTTTATCATTTTTTATTGCGTCTATTTGATTCTTCTCTCTTTTCTTCTTTATTAGTCTTGCTAGCAGTCTATCAATTTTGTTGATCTTTTCAAAAAACCAGCTCCTGGATTCACTGATTTTTTGAAGGGTTTTTTGTGTCTCTATTTCCTTCAGTTCTGCTCTGATGTTAGTTATTTCTTGCCTTCTGCTAGCTTTTGAATGTGTTTGCTCTTGCTTCTCTAGTTCTTTTAATTGTGATGTTAGGGTGTCAATTTTAGATCTTTCCTGCTTTCTCTTGTGGGCATTTAGTGCCATCAATTTCCCTCTACACACTGCTTTGAATGTGTCCCAGAGATTCTGGTTTTTGTGTCTTTGTTCTCATTGGTTTCAAAGAACATCTTTATTTCTGCCTTCATTTCGTTATGTACCCAGTAGTCATTCAGGAGCAGGTTGTTCAGTTTGCATATAGTTGAGCAGTTTTGATTGAGTTTCTTAATCCTGTGTTCTAGTTTGATTGCACTGTGGTCTGAGAGACAGTTTGCTATAATTTCTGTTCTTTTACATTTGCTGAGGAGTGCTTTACTTCCAACTATGTGGTCAATTTTGGAATAGGTGTGGTGTGGTGCTGAAAAGAATGTATATTCTGTTGATTTGGGGTGGAGAGTTCTGTAGATGTCTATTAGGTCTGCTTGGTGCAGAGCTGAGTTCAATTCCTGGATATCCTTGTTAACTTTCTGTCTCATTGATCTGTCTAATGTTGACAGTGGGGTGTTAAAGTCTCCCATTATTATTGTGTGGGAGTCTAAGTCTCTTTGTAGGTCTCTGAGGACTTGCTTTATGAATCTGGGTGCTCCTGTATTGGGTGCATATATATTTAGGATAGTTAGCTCTTCTTGTTGAATTGATCCCTTTACCATTATGTAATGGCCTTCTTTGTCTCTTTTGATCTTTGTTGGCTTAAAGTCTGTTTTATCTGAGACTAGGATTGCAACCCCTGCCTTTTTTTGTTTTCCATTTGCTTGGTAGATCTTCCTCCATCCCTTTATTTTGAGCCTATGTGTGTCTCTGCACGTGAGATGGGTTTCCTGAATACAGCACACTGATAGGTCTTGGCTCTTTATCCAATTTGCCAGTCTGTGTCTTTTAATTGGAGCATTTAGCCCATTTACATTTAAGGTTAATATTGTTATGTGTGAATTTGATCCTGTCATTATGATGTTAGCTGGTTATTTTGCTCATTAGTTGATGCAGTTTCTTCCTAGCCTCAATGGTCTTTACAGTCTGGCATGTTTTTGCAATGGCTGGTACTGGTTGTTCCTTTCCATGTTTAGTGCTTCCTTCGGGAGCTCTTTTAGGGCAGGCCTGGTGGTGACAAAATCTCTCAGCATTTGCTTGTCTGTAAAGTATTTTATTCCTGCTTCACTTATGAAGCTTAGTTTAGCTGGATATGAAATTCTGGGTTAAAAATTCTTTTCTTCAAGAATGTTGAATATTGGCCCCCACTGTCTTCTGGCTTGTAAGGTTTCTGCCGACAGATCAGCTGTTAGTCTGATGGGCTTCCCTCTGTGGGTAACCCAACCTTTCTCTCTGGCTGCCCTTAATATTTTTTCCTTCATTTCAACTTTGGTGAATCTGACAATTATGTGTCTTGGAGTTGCTCTTCTAGAGGATTATCTTTGTGGCGTTATGTGTATTTCCTGAATCTGAATGTTGGCCTGCCTTGCTAGATTGGGGAAGTTCTCCTGGATAATATCCTGTAGAGTGTTTTCCAACTTAGTTCCATTCTCCCCATCACTTTCAGGTACAGTAATCAGACATAGATTTGGTCTTTTTAAATAGTCCCATATTTCTTGGAGGCTTTGTTCATTTCTTTTCCTTGTTTTTTCTCTAAACTTCTCTTCTCACTTCATTTCATTCATTTGATCTTCCATCACTGATACCCTTACTTCCAGTTGATCGAATCGGCTCCTGAGGCTTGTGCATTCGTCACGTAGTTCTCATGCTGTGGTTTTCACCTCCATCAGGTCCCTTAAGGACTTCTTTGCATTGGTTATTCTAGTTAGGCATTTGTCTAATTTTTTTTCAAGGTTTTTAACTTCTTTGCCGTTGGTTCGAACTTCCTCCTTTAGCTCGGAGTAGTTTGATCATCTGAAACCTTCTTCTCTCAGCTCGTCAAAGTCATTCTCCATCCAGCTTTGTTCTGTTGCTGGTGAGGAGCTACGTTCCTTTGGAGGAGGAGAGGCACTCTGATTTTTAGAGTTTCCAGTTTTTCTGCTCTGTTTTTTTCCCATCTTTGTGGTTTTATCTACCTTTGGTCTTTGATGATGGTGATGTACAGTTGGGGTTTTGGTGTGGATGTCCTTTCTGTTTGTTAGTTTTCCTTCTAACAGTCAGAACCCTCAGCTGCAGGTCTGTAGGAGTTTGCTGGAGGTCTACTCCAGACCCTGTTTGCCTGGGTATCAGTCGCGGAGGCTGCAGAACAGCAGATATTGATGAACAGCAAATGTTGCTGCCTGATCATTCCTCTGGAAGTTTTGTCTCAGAGGAGTACCCGGCTGTGTGAGATGTCAGTTTGCCCTTACTGGGGTATGCCTCCCAGTTAGGCCACTCGGGGGTCAGGGACCCACTTGAGGAGGCAGTCTGTCCGTTCTCAGATCTCCAGCTGCATGCTGGGAGAACCACTACTCTCTTCAAAGCTGTCAGACAGGGGCATTTAAGTCTGCAGAGGTTTCTGCTGCGTTTTGTTTGGCTATGCCCTGCCCCCAGAGGTGGAGTCTACAGAGGAAGGCAGGCCTCCTTGAGCTGCAGTGGGCTCTACCCAGTTCAAGCTTTCTGGCCGCTTTGTTTACCTACTCAAGCCTCAGCAATGGCAGGCGTCCCTCCCCCAGCCTCACTGCTGCCTTGCAGTTTGATCTCAGACTGCTGTGCTAGCAATGAGCGAGGCTCTGTGGGCATAGGACCCTCCAAGCCAGGCACGGGATATAATCTCCTGGTGTGCTGTTTGCTAAGACTGTTGGAAAAGCGCAGTATTAGGGTGGGAGTGACCCGATTTCCCAGGTGCCATCTGTCACCCCTTTCTTTGACTAGGAAAGGGAATTCCCTGACCCCTTGCGCTTCCCGGGTGAGACGATGCCTCACCCGGCTTCGGCTCATGCTCGGTGCGCTGTACCCACTGTCCTGTGCCCACTTTCCAACACTCCCCAGTGAGATGAACCTGGTACCTCAGTTGGAAATGCAGAAATCACCCATCTTCTGTGTTGCTCATGCTGGGAGCTGTAGACTGGAGCTGTTCCTATTGGGCCATCTTGGCTCCACCCCAAAACCATGTCTTTAGGTGGCTAGAAGCCCATAACAAAAAAAAAAAAAAGAGAGAAAGAAAAAGTATTTATATAAGGAGAAGAAATGCTACTAATACTCCTAGAAAAATGCATTGATGATGATGATGAAGAAACAAAGTTTTGTAATTTAACCCAATTGGAAATCCAAAATTTACTAAAATAATTTATATAACAGAGATAAAAGTGCACTGATTGGCTTTCATACCTCTACAACATAGTTCCTGGATTAACGTTAGTATTGGCTTAAATATAGCAATTGACAGAACTTCATGGCTTTAATACTGGAGCTCAAATTAGAGTTACACCTGGGGATCCCACTAGATTTAAACAAGATGCCCTAATCATTTTATGAGAGTAGCTAAATATAAAGTAGAGAAAAATAGGTATGTTTCACTTTATATCTTTTCCTAAATTTCCCAATCATAATACCCATTGTTCTAAATTATGTTCCAACACAATGAATAACAAATTAAATTTAATTATTTGGCATTTACGAATTGGATTGATAAAACAGGACCCCATGTGCCCCAGGTTAAAATAGTTTATAAAGTTTAATATAACTAAAAACAACCTTTTCAAGGATTAAAATATCTTATATAAAAGAAAATTAGTAAAGGAATGATCATTCCCATTGCTTCTCCATTTAACAGCCCAATTTTGCCAATTCTTAGACCTGGGAAGAATGAAGATTGCCTCATAGTAGACTACTACAGCTAAAATGCTATGGTCCCATTTGTTAAGGCTCCCATATTCAATACCCAATATTATTTTGTTATGAGAAAAAAAACAGGACTATTTAGAAGAATGTCCCCACACCCTGGGAAGGGGCTAAGTGACCAAATAATAACTTGGACAAGTCCAGCTTGATGAGTACATGAGGCTTTTAGGACTTACATACAGGACATTCCTGGGCAGCAACAGGAAAACTCCAGAGACCTTCCCTGCCACACATTTCTAAGCTGCTTTTAAGCTAATTTTTTGGGTCATTGCCTACTGCATGCAATGAGATTATTTTTTCTTGGTAGGTTACCTGTACACTCCAGGATGTTTGGGTTCCCAGGAACACCTGTTCCTCAGCTGGAAACCATTGCCTTGGCTCACCAGTTGGCCCTCAGGGGCCAAGCAGAAGACCTACACCCTTAAGTAACCTGGTGGGGGGCCCATCACCCTATGCATTTAAATTTCTGATTCTATTCAATCGGCAACCAATAAAGATTTTCCTATTATGGAAGTGGCTAATATGTATTGTTCAGTATCTATTTCAAAAATTTCTCAGCCTCAGTTTGACTTCACCTCCAAAGGGATACAATAGGCCCTTCCAGACTACTGTGTGGAAAAAAGCTTCCTCATCACACACAATCTTTGCAGGAAAGATCTTAACTAAATCCAGCTTTCTCTGGAAAGAGAGGTATCTTACTCCATTCAGGCTGCCATAACAAAAAGTAAAGACTGAGTACTTTATAAAGAATAGATGTTTACTTCTCACAGTTCCAGGGACTGGAGAGTCCAAGATTTAGGTGCCAGTAGATTTGATACCTGCTGAGGGCCCATTTATTGATGCATAGATGGTGCCTTTCTGATGAGTCCTTATATGACAGAAGGGTGAGCTGGCTCTCTGGAGTCTGTTTTATTAGGGCATTAATACCATTCATGAGAGTTCTGCCTAATCACCTCCCAGAGACTCTACCTCCTAATACTATAACATTGGGAATTAGTATTTCAACATATGAATTTTGGAGGAGGGGCCCCATGGTTTTGCTAGGCATAACCCTAGTGGCAACTCTCTGTGTTGGCTCCAACCTTACGATAGCCCACTGCTTGAGTCTTGAGCCTGAGGCTCTGCCTGGCTTCATTCTTCAAAATCTATGTGGGGGTAGCCATACCCCCATGGTTTATGCATTTTGTACTTCTTTGGAGATGGCACCACATGTACCCTGCCAAGGTTTATCATCTGTGCTGTGTGGAGGGCAGACCACCATGTCCTGTGCTGCACCTGGGCACACTGGAGCCACAGCCGGTGTGGCCAAGGACAATTTTGCTCAAATTCAGGGAGCAGAGCTTTGAAATCATTCTTCCCTCCAGGTCCTTGCATAAGCCTGTAATGAGAGAGACAGATTCCATAATCTCCAAAATTCCTTCCTGGTCATTCTGTCATTGTTTTGAGAAATAGCACTTGGCTTGTGTTAGATTCCCAATCCATACCAGTCTCCTTATCAAATGGTCACTTGACCATGCCCTTGTTCTCTCCCTAAAAGGAGGATGAATCCTTCTCCTTCTCCTTCTTCTTCTAGGCAGGGTCTTGCTCTGTTGCCCAGGCTAGGGTGCAATGGTGCAATCATAGCTCACTGCAGTCTTAAACCCCTGGGCTCAACTATTCCTCCTGCCTTAGCCTCCCAAATATCTGGGACTACAGATGTGTGCTGCCACACTTGACTAAATTTTTAAATTATTTTAAAATTTTTTGTAGAGACAGAGTCTTACTCTGGTGACCAGGCCGATCTTGAACTCCTGGCCTCAAATGATCCTCCCACTTTGGCCTCCAAAAATGCTGGAATTACAGGTGTGAACCACAACACCTGGACAGCTTTCTTATTTTTTTTCAATGTGGATAGGCTGAGAATCAAAAATTTTAAGATCTGCTTCCCTTTTGATTAACAATAACATTTAGGCCATTTCTCTCTTCTTGAATTTTACTATAAGCCTTCAAGAAAAGCCAAGCTCCACCTTCAACACTTGACTTAGAAATTTCCTTTGTAAAATATCCATTCATTTTCTCAAAAATTCTACCTTCCATCAAACACTAGAATATGAACACAGTTCATCCAATTTTTTGTCACTTTATAATGAGAATTGTCTTTCTTCCAGTTTCCAATTACAATGACATGTTTCTCATTTCTGTCTGAAACCTCATCAGAATGGCTTTTATCATCCATATTTCTATGAACATTGGGTTTATGGCCATCTTGGCATTCTCAAAGAAGATTTACCCTTTCTCTGCAGCTCTCCTCCTCTCCTTCTGAGCCCTCACTGGAATTAATCATTTAAAGCCACTTGTGGAAACATAAGTGCTTGTTAGCGTGCACCTGAAAACTATTCCAGCTCCTAGTCATTACCTAGTTTCAAAGCTGCTACCACATTTCCATTATTTATTACAGCAACACCCTAACTTCTTGGAACCAATATTTTGTCTTAGTCTTTGGGGGATTCTCTAACAAAATACAATAGCCTGAATAGTTTATGAACAAAAGAAATGTATTTTTCACCTTCTGAAGGCTGGGAAGTCCAAAATCAAGGTGCCACCAAGTTTGTGTCCAGTGAGGGTTAATTTTCCCATCCATAGGTGGTACTATATTTTTGAGTCCTCATATGGCACAAGGGTCAAGCTTGCTCTCTGGGGACTCTTTTATAAGCACATTAATTCCATTTGTGATGGCTCTGCTCTCATGGCCTAATCATCTATTAAAGATCCTGCCTCCCAGTACCATCACATTTGGGGTTAGGATTGCAACACATGAATTTTGGAAGGACAGAAACAGTTTATAGCTCCAAGGTATACATTTTACTCTCAAATACAATGGTGGTCTCTTAGAAACAACATTCAATGAAATTATATTTTCCCAATAGGCCCCCAGGAAGCTGGATTAATTGGGAAGTCTTGTGGGCTCTTCAAATGACTCCTACTTAAGTTACAAAATAATAAATGAATTCCTAAGTGGCCTCTATCTTGTCCCAGACCTTAATCTCTCTTAAGTTAAAGATGCAGAACTGGCTTATAGCAACTTTAAAAAATCTTCTCATCACCATTATCTATATTTAAAGGGAGATTCAAACGGATCCCAGATTGAGGATACAACTCTCTTAGGTACTTTTGCTAATCAGATTGTTTCACAAGACAGGCACCTGTTCATCTGATATGGAACTCACTTCAACCTAAACTTACCCCCCAAATTTTCCTCAATTTTCATTTTATAAGGGATGGATAATTTATCTGAGCTCGTCCTCTGATTACACTCAGAAATTAAAATTATTGCCCAAAAGCCAGCCCGAAAAATGGCAGAATGAAAGATAGAAAACTACAGTTTGTAACTTAAACTCACATTCAGATATTGAGAGAATAAACACTATATTCCAAAATTATTGTAGGAAAACAGCCTGTTGCATGGCAAGAGTAATGCCATCTTGAAGCAAAACTGCCATAAGGACTGATGTTTCACTCCAGCATACCAAGGCATTCCAGCAGCAAGGTCAAGAAACAATGCCTGCAGCATAGCTAACTCCACATATAGAAACAATGCCTGCAGCATAGCTAACCCCTCATAAAGAAACAGTGCCTGCAGCATAGCTAATTCCTCATATAGAAACAATGCCTGCAGCATAGCTAACCCCTCAAAAACAATGCCTGCGACATAGCTAACTCCTCGAATAGAAACAATGCCTGCAACATAGCTAACTCATCATGTAGCAACAATGCCTTCAACATAGATAACTCGTCATATAAAAACAATGCCTGCAACATAGCTAACCCCTCATAAAGAAACAATCCCTGCAGCATAGCTAACCCTTCATAAAGATGCTTATCTAACTTCCCCAGTAGTCACCAGTTTCACTAAGGGGTCTCAGACATAACCAGCTGCAAATGTTTTACCCAAAGAAGGCTTGCTATATAAAGAATACTTTCTAGAGGGCGAGTGCAAGGATTCACCCTCTAGTGGCCGCCTGAAACATAGCTTCTGTTCATATTAAACGTTTCTTTCTAAGAATACGGATTTGTCAGCCTCTTTGGCCTTTCAGCTCCCTCAGCCTTTGAGGGTAGGTTTGCATATACCTGCCCTGGTAATAATATACACTAGAAAAATAATCATCATTAGATAACAAAAGCATCAAGTGTTGCTACACACTATTATGTTGACAATTGGTTTTATTACTATTGATTTGGGTGTTTTCATTGCAATCTGGTAGTCCAAACCCTCCAAGTAAGCCATTGTTTCAAATAGACATAGCAAATCCTGTGGTCCACAAGCCATCAAGTATTGTTAATACAGCCCCAAACCTCATCCACTTGCCTATCACCAACAAACCAAAAACTGGAGAAAAGAGTTCATACTAAGTGGCTAAATTGGAGGACCCACCTACAATCTAATGATGGATATCCAACCTCAGCCTCAAGATTTTAATTGGCAAAAAAACCTGACACCTTATTAACAACATACACGCAAATCAGGCTGTGTGATTTAAAACCTATTTGTAGTAAAATGTTTCTTATCACCCATCTGAGAAAAACCTTGGACTATTGGGAGATTCAGATTTAGACGCTATTAATTATAGTGTTAATTGTGCCAGTCAAGTTCCAGCACTTTGGTACAGTTACAGCAGCATGTTAGATGCAGACATTACCTTAGCTAGCTGTGCACCCACAAAGCCCCTTGACCTTAAGAATATTTGCAAGTCAAATTCCCAGGCACAACATTGCCTTCAAATTCCTCAAGTGGCTCAGCCTTGTTATAATACAATAGAGGAACAAAAACATGATTCATACCAACCCTAGTGGCTATCCACTTGGGAAGGATATCCCAGTCTCACATCCCAGATGACAGTGGTCTGCCTAGTCCAGGAATTCACTGCTGGAGATGACTTAACTTCAGAGAACATTGCCCCAGACCAATACTTCACCATTGGAGATGACTTCACCTCCTGCACTGGAGATTACTTTACCTTGTACGCTTAGCTTCCCCAACAATGCCAATGGGCTGCCCCTCCTAAGGCACTAACAAATATGAAATGGGATATTTATTGTGTTTCTTCCTTTGATATTATTTCTTTGATATTAGGAATTCTAGTATGTTTTCTGAGCTCACTTTTTGCTACACAATGATCCTAGTATATAAGATGGAGCTTGGACTCCTCTTAGGGGCCTGTGGGTTGCCTCGAGCACGAAAATAAGGAAAATCTTCAGTTCTTTCAAGGTAGCCCTGAGACATATGTAAGTGACTTGATAAGCTAGACAGTAATTATAGCTTTAAACAATGTCCAAAGAAGTTAAAATCTCCTATGGAAACTAAGGTAACATCTTTTTTTTTTTTTTTTTTTTTTTTTGAGACAGACTCTCGCTCTGTTGCACAGGCTGGAGTGCAGTGGCGCGATCTTGGCTCACTGCAAGCTCTGCACCCCGGGTTCACGCCATTCTCCTGCCTCAGCCTCCCAAGTAACTGGGACTACAGGTGCCCACCACCACACCTGGCTAATTTTTTGTATGTTTAGTAGAGACGGGGTTTCACTGTGTTAGCCAAGATGGTCTCGATCTCCTGACCTTGTGATCCACCCACCTTGGCCTCCCAAAGTGCTGGGATTACAGGTGTCAGCCACCGCACCCGGCTGGTGCTTCCTTTTTAGTTTTTTTTTTTTTTTTTTTTTTTGAGATGGAGTCTTGCTCTGTTACCCAGGCTGGACTGCAGTGGCACGGTCTCGGCTCATTGCAAGCTCTGCCTCCCGGGTTCAAGCCATTCTCTTGCCTCAGCCTCCAGAGTAGCTGGGATTACAGGCATGCGCCACCATGCCCGGCTAATTTTGTATTTTTAGTAGAGACGGGGTTTCTCCATGTTGGTCAGGCTGGTCTCAAACTCTCAACCTAAGGTGATCTGCCCACCTCTGCCTCCCAAAGTGCTGGGATTACAGGTGTGAGCCACTGCGCCTGGCCGCAAACCACTGATAATTCTTTTCCCAAAAAAAGTAGAAAATACCCAAATAGTATCATATATGAAATGGCTGGTATCATTACAGTTGATGCAAACACCAAAAAGATAAGATTATATTGTGAAGAATTTTATACTGTTAAATTTCAAAAGTAAATAAATTTGTTACATTCCTAGAAAAATATAAACTACTGGAAATGACGTGAAAAGAAATAAGAAAAATAAATTTTACTCTAGTTCCTAAAGAAAGTGATTGTATCAATAAAAGTTTTGCTTCTCCTTCTCTAAAATCTCCAGTCTCAGATGGCTGTATGATGAATTCTAAAAATTATTTTAAGATAAAAAATAATGTCAGTTTTATGCAAATACTTGCACAGAGAAGAAATGAGTAAACATTTCCAAATTCATTGTAGAATAACAGCTTAACCTGCTAAGGACATTACAAGACTGGAATAAAAAGGCTAATGTCACTCATAAACTTAGATTCAAATACTGTAATTAAAACATTAACAACTATAGTCTAATTATGAATAAAACATATGCAACATATATGTGATAAAAATATATCAACCAAGAAGTATTCATTCTGGGCATAAAAGCAAATTTAAACATTGGGAAATCTATTCATGTAAATGCTCATATTCAGGGAGTAAAAAAAGAAAAAGATATATACACATTCTTGTCTTCCCACAAGTCTCTAAGATAGTCCCTATTTCTTCTACTTTTTTCTTTCAGATCTTTAGGATGAATAATTTCTATTCATTTCTTTTCAAGTTTCCTGATTCTTCTTTCTGCAAAATAAAATGTGTTTGAACCCTTTCCAGTGAATTTTTATTTCTGTTACTGTAATTTTCCATGCTAGAATTTCTACTTGGTCCTTTCAAAAATTTTTATTTCTGTATTTATATTCTCTATTTGATGAGTTGTTTCATCACTCTTTACTTCTTCAAAAATGTCTTCTGCCACTTCTTTGAACATAATTATACTAGTTGCTTTGAAGTTTGTGTATGTCAAATCCAACATCTGGGTCCCCTTTACAATTTTCTGTGGACTGCTATTATTGTGTATGTGTGTGTCTAGATCACACTTTGTAGTTTCTTTGCATGTCTCATGTTTTTGTTGTTGAAAACTGGACATTTTCTGTAAGATATTATATCAACCCTGAATTCTATTTCTCTCAGAAGTAGTTATTGTTTGTTCAATGACTTGCCTGAGCTAATTCTAATTCCTCCAGAGTGTGTGGCTGCTTGTGCCTTTGCTATTTTTTTCTCCCTCATCATATTTTCATTTTCATGCCTGGCTTATTAGGAGTTGCCCCAGGTCAGCATACCTTAATGGTCAATGACTGGTTAGAGGCAGTACTGAAATTCTGTGAGCTAGTAAGGCTTCCACCATCTGCCAACGGATCCGTGTGTGGCATAGAAAACACATTCAATATTGGGCCATGCGCAGTGGCTCATGCCTGTAATCCCAGCACTTTGGGAGTCCAAGGCGGGCGGATCACGAGGTCAGGTGATCGAGATCATCCTGGCTAACACGGTGAAACCCCATCTCTACTAAAAATATAAAAAATTAGCCGGGCGTGGTGGTGGGCACCTGTAGTCCCAGCTACTCGGGAGGCTGAGGCAGGAGAATGGCGTGAACCTGGGAGGCGGAGCTTGCAGTGAGCCGAGATGGCACCACTGCACTCCAGCCTGGGCGACAGAGCGAGACTCTGTCTCAAACAAACAAAAAAACAAAAACACATTCAATATTTAGGCAGTTTACACATCTGTCCTAGCTTTTACTTTCTATGTTAGTAAGGCCTCAGATCCAGCCAGGAATGAGTCCCTTTGCTAGAGCCCTCTGTGGTGTCTCCTGGGCATGTGTGCAACATTGTATATGGGCACAGCCCTCCAGACCATCACAGATAAGTAGTATCTTATTAAATCTAACTCTGGCTGTCTCATTTCCTGGATTGGCCTTCTAAATTTCTGACTGAGATGCCAGTCTGTTACTTCCCCAACCAGTATTGTTATCTCAGGCTGGCTATGGTGTTGGCTTTCCCTGACTTTTTGCCACTAAGGTCACTCCTGTTTTTGGCAATGCCCCTGGCATGAAACTTTCTGTGTTCTGCTTTAAATAAAGTCAGATCCTTATGGCAGTGGAGCTGCCATTCCTTAATGCCTGCCACACGGGGGCAAGGAGGAGGGTACTGGGAATAGCTCCAGGCTAGAATGCCAACAAATCCAAGTGCCCTAACTGAGATTTTAGAATTTCTTAAGAAAATGTGTCTCAACTTGTTGTTTTGGTTAATCTCCGAAGTGCTTAAATGGTTGTTTGGGGCCAGGCCTGGTGGCTCACACTTGTAATCCCAGCACTTTGGGAGGCCGAGGTGGGTGGATCACGAGGTCGGGAGATTGACACCATCCTGGCTAACACGGTGAAACTCCATCTCTACTAAAAATACAAAAAATTAGCCAGGCGTGGTGGCGGGTGCCTGTAGTCCCAGCTACTCAGGAGGCTGAAGCAGGAGAATGTCGTGAACCCGGGAGGCGGAGCTTGCAGTGAGCCGAGATTGTGCCACTGCACTCCAGCCTGGGCGACAGAGCGAGACTCTGTCTCAAAAAAAAAAAAAAAAAAAAAAAAGGTTGTTTCTACATTTTAACCAAACGTTACCATTGCTTTCTGGAGAGAAGGTTTGCCAAGTTCGAGATTCACCCACTCTACAAGTCTTACCTTTACCTTACCTTGATTATTAAAAGTACCCAAACTATTTTCCCATGTTTATAAGCCAAATATTAAAACTTTAAAAATTGCTTTTTAAAATGTCAACATTCTGTTAGCATTCTTTTGCCTTTTATATTTTTAACCAAGTAAATCAGGCCATTATATTAATTCATAGGTAAACCTTGTTTTTTCCTAAATTCAGATTTAGCAAGTATTTGATGTATTTATCAGCTTAATCAAACTATAATTATTTGTTAGCTTACAATAATTGGAAGAGGCATATAAATTTTAAATTTTTTGAAGTCTCTTGGGGGTATAACTGAAGCTATATTTAGTTATGTATAGTATGCCTATTTTTGTGTATGTGAAAATCTTGTTACCTTTTCTGCAATTCCACTAAGGTGTTACTGGGCTAACAAGTAATACTTTTAGCCAATCAGCCTACAGTGCTTATGTGAAGTGGGTTTTCTACTTAGGCTCAACTGACACCAAAGCTCATAGAGCTATCATAAGCCATATATTAGTCAATGTCGTCTGGAGAAACAGAACCAACAGGATATATGTAGATATCTAGAACAAAGTTATTATGAGGAATTAGCTCAGGTGGTGATGGACACTGAGAAGTCCCACAGTCTACTGTTTTCAAGCTGAAGACTTAGGAAAGCATGTAGTGCAATTCCAGTCCAAACCCAAAGTTCTGAGAACTAGGGGTGCTAATGGTGTAAGCCCCAGTATGAATCCAAAGATCTGAGAACTGGGTGACTGACAGTGTAAGTCTAGGTCCATGTCTGAAGGTCCCAGAATCTAAAACACTGATGCCTGAGAACAGGAGAAAATAGAGATCCCAGATCTGGCAGAGACAAACAAACAAAAAAAAAACCCTGCCTTTCCTCCATGATTTTTTCTAATTAGCCGGGTGTGGTGGCGGGCGCCTGTAGTCCCAGGTGCAGATTGGAGGATGCCAACCTTTACTGGTGAGGGCCATCATCTTTACTCAGTCCACTGATTTAGATGCTAATGTCTTTCAGATACAGCCTCACAGAAACACTCAGAAATAATGTTTTACCAGCTAAGGGTCTCTTAGCCCAGCCAAGTGGACAAATAAAATTAACCATCACAAGTCTACCCTTTGTCAACTTTGTACCCATGTGTTTCTCATTAAACCATACTTAATCTCCAAACAAAGACAATGACAAGGTCATATTTCTGCCCAACATCATATAACTACCCTGTTTACAGCCATAAATGCACTAATCCCTTCCCAGGAAGAGGTGAAGTCCATGAGTAATGTTTACTCTTCTCCTGACATTGTATAACATAAATACTACTATGTAAAATCAATAATACTTAAAGACTATTAAGTAAAGTCAACACATGTTATTATACATAATAAGGGACTAAGAGAGGGGAAAAACAAAGATATTTGCTTAATATAGACATATATGAACACAACATATTTAGAAAATATAAGAAGGACATACTCATGACAGTTACAGCCTTGGTCTCTGTACTCACCATGTGGTCCTAGCAGGTGCTTATAACTCCCGTCTTCTACACCCATTCTATATTCCCTTTGCCTTCAGTGAGCACCTCAGCTTTTTATTAGATCCTTACCTAGTAGACCGACCCAAACTTTCATTCCTGTATCATCTGAGCTGTTAGTATTACTGCCTGGATTAGCTTGCTGCAGTTTTCCATTTATCTTAATCACAGGGATGGCACTACCAAGAAATGCCCTAAGGGATCCTCTGTATTATGAACATAATGCTTCCATACCTCCACTGTGGGGTAGCAGTCCAGTTTCCACTTGGAAGTTGGGACCAACTGCCCCAGCCAATAACATAACTCTCTTTTTGCCTATTAATGGAGAGGTATGAGAAACCCAAGGTGATGGGGTGGCAGTCTTAAATTTTACTTCAAATCATTATTGTGTCTCCTGTTGGAAGCATTTCTTCATATCCAACTAAGACCTCTAGGCCAGCAGGACATAAATTCACTGGAATAGTGAGAAAAATTTTTGCTAGTGGAACACTAGGTGTAATACTGAAGGATACCTTTCCCTTTCCCACCCCTTGATTTCTGAAATTGTAAATTCTGAATATTGGAGAAACAGCACTATATATTGGTCACAAATTCAGAGCATATATAGTCTTCTGGAAATGTTTTTCCTAGCCCTCCAAGCTGTTGCCACATAGCTGCCACTATAACTGAGTCTCTGAATGTCCATTCCACCATTCTACCAGACCAGGCTTCGGGATGGTGGGAGACATGGTAAGACCATTGAATTTCATGAGCATGAGCCCATTACCACACTTCTTTGACCATTGAATGAGCTACTTGATCAGAAGCAATACTGTGTGGAATACTATGATGGTGAATAATGCATTCTGTAAGTCCACAGATGCTAGTTGGCAGCAGAAGTATTGCATGTAGGGAAGTTGAATCCATGTCCATAGTAACTATCTGTTCCACTAAGAACAAAATGCTGCCCCTTCCATTATGGAAGTCGTTCAATGTAATCTACCACTAGGTAGCTGGCTGATCACCTTGGGAAATGGTGCCATATTAAGGACTCAGTGTTGGTCTTTGCTGTGGGTAGATTGGACACTCAGTGCTGGCCACAGGCAGGTCAGCCTTGGTGATTACGTTCATGTTACTGAGCCCATGCATAACCTCCATCCCTGCCACCATGGCCACTTTTTAAATGAAGCCAGTGGACAATGACAGGGGTGGCTGGGGAAAGGAGCTGAGTGGTATCCACAGAATGGGTCATCCTGTCCTCTTGATTATTAAAATTCTCCTCAATTGTTTATCCTTTGGTGAGCATTCACATAAGATACACGTATCTTCACATTATTTTTTTCCCACTCAGAGAGATCTGTCCCCACATGTCATTCCCAAATGTCTTTGTCACCAGTCTTCCATCATATTCCTTCCAAGTCCCTGGTCCTCCAGCTGAACTATTGGTCACAACCCAGGAATTGCATATAATTTCACAGCTGGCCTTTTCTCCCTCCAAGAAAAGTGCACAGCCAAGTGCCTTGTCTAACGTTCTGCCCACTGAGTAGATTTCCCTTCCACAGAGTTTGTCAGAGATATATCTTAGAAAAGCTCGACAGTGCTGCAGATGTTCACTTTTGGTGGTTTTTCCATATTGTGCAGAACCATCTGTAAACCAGGCATAAGTTTTTTTACTTATATATGTGGCTGTCAGTCAAATCTTAGATCAGAGCCAGTTTACAGACCTATACTCCCTTGAATGAAGGGGAGTCTCGTTTCCTGGGGGAGGGATCCTGGTACATTGAAAAATATATATATTGTTAATCTTTCTTGCAGTCCTCCCTTAAAGGAACCAACAGCCTTTATTTTTTAATTTTATTTATTTATTTTTTGAGCCATACTCTTACTGTGTTGCCCAGGCTGGAATTCAGTGGCGCGATCTTGGCTCATAGCAACCTCCGCCTCCCAGGTTCAAGCGATTCTCCTGCCTCAGCCTCCTGGATAGCTGTGATTACAGATGTGTGCCACCACACCCAGCTAACTTTTGTGTTTTTAGTAGAGACAGGGTTTCATCATGTTAGTCAGGCTGGTCTCGAACTCCTGATCTCATGATCCACCTGCCTCGGCCTCTCAAAGTGCTGGGATTACAGGCATGAGCCACTGCGCCCAGCCCCAACAGCCTTTAACTAGAGTAACTGCACTTGGGAAAAAAGAGATAATCAGATGTTTGGAGACAATTAAACACTGACTCTCAACTGACATTAATGTCAAAAGGCTCAAAACATCACTGTGGTCTATCAGTTACAGGAAGGGCCTATGAGGGTCAATGATCAATAGAGTTTTAGCTGAAGTCTATCTCACAGTGGGCCCAGGGTGTGCCTAAATCCATCTTGTGGTTATTTTCCCAGTTCCAAGAAGCATAATTGGAGTAGAAATAGCAGCAGGTCAAATCTACAAATTGGTTCCCTAACCTCTGGAGCGAGGGCTATTATCATAGGAAAGGCCAAGTAGAAACCACTGTAACTGCCTCTACCTAGGAACATAGTAAAACAAAACCGTACCATATACCTGGAGGGATTGCAAAGATCACTGCTGCCGTCAAAAACCTGAAAAGTGCGGTCGGTGTTGCAGGATTGACACTACCCTACTTCAAGACTTACCATAAAGCTACAGTGATTAGTGTGGTATTGGTGACAGAATAGAGGAATAGATCAATGAAACAGAATAGAGAGCCCCAAAACAGACACGCATAAATACAGGCAACTGATCATTGACAAACGGGCAAAGACAACACAATGGAGAAACGGTAGTCTTTTCAACAAACAAGCATCCTTTTGAAAAAAAAAAAAAAATTGAATCTGGGCACAGACCTTAACCCTGCATGGAAATTAACCCAAAATGGACCATAGACCTAACTGTAAACCACAAAACTATAAAACTCATAGAGTATAATACAAGAGAAAACATAGATGACCTTGAGTATGCTGATGGCTTTCTAGATGCAACACCAAAGGCATGATCCATGAAAGAAATAATTGATAAGCTACATACTCTATGAGTCTAACTATACGACAGTCTCTAAAAGGTAAAACTATGAGGACAGTGAAAATACCAGTAATTGGATGAATAGGCAGAGCACAGAAGATTTTTAGGACATTGAAAATACTGTGTAGTGATGGATACATGTTATCATACATTTGTCCAAACCCATAGAATGTATAATACAAGATTGAACCTTAGTGTAAACTATGGACTTTGGGTAATAATGATGTATCGATGTAGGCTTATCAATTGTAACAAATGCACCACTCTTGTAGCAAAGGTTGATAATGAAGGAGGCTAATCATGTATAGGTGGGTAGGAGATATGTGGAAAATCTTTGTACCTTTCTCTTAATTTTTCTGTAAACCTAAAACAGATTTTAAAAACAGTCTTTCATGGGGCTGGGTGCGGTGGCTCACGCCTGTAATCCCAGCACTTTGAGAGGCCGAGGCAGGCGGATCACAAGGTCAGGAGATCGAGACCATCCTGGCTAACACAGTGAAACCCCGTCTCTACTGAAAGTTAAAAAAATTAAAAAAAGTAGCCGGGTGTAGTGGCAGGTGCCTGTAGTCCCAGCTACTCGGAAGGCTGAGGCAGGAGAATGGCCTGAACCCAGGAGGTGGAGCTTGCAGTGAGCCGAGATCGCGCCACTGCACTGCGACAGAGCAAGACTCCGTCTCAAAAAAAAAAAAAAAAAAAAAAAAAAAAGGTGTAGAAATGGTGAGACCCACCACATCCCCATTCAACTTACTTACTTGGCCTGTGCTGGAAACATGTATCTTTGAGAATAACAGTGGGTTATCTTAACATTAACAAGCTGGTAACTCCGCTTGCAGCTGCTATACCGGTTGTGGTTTCATTGTTTGAATAGATTAAAATATACCCTGGTTTATGACATGCAGCCATTTGTCTGGAAAATGCCTTTTTCTCCTTCATATCTAAGATTAAAGACTACCAGAAAATGTTTGCAATACACTTTCTCTGTCCTACCTCAAGGTACAACAACTCTCCAGCTTTATGTCATAAATAATTTATAGGGACCTTGATGTTCTACAAGATTTTATGTTGGTCTGTTAATCATTGATAACATTATGCTGATTGGTCCTAGTTCGCAAAAAGTAGCAACTAATCTATACTTATTGGTAACACATTTGTGTGCCAAACGGTTGGAAACAAATTAAAAAAAAAACTCAGGGGCTTTTGGCCTCAGTAAACTTGGGTTCCAGTTGTATTGGGGGCATGTCAAGATAATTCTTCTAAGATGAATAATAACTTATTGCATCTGGCCCCTCCTACAATCAAAGGGAAAGGCACAATGTCTAATTGGCCTCTTTGTAATTTGGAAGCAACGTATTCTTCATTTGATTGTGCCACTCTGGCACATTTAATGAGGTGAACTTAAAAGCTGCTAGTTTTGAGTGGGGCCCAGAAGAAGAAAAGGTTCAGCAACAGTTCCAGGCTGCTGTGCAAGCTGCTCTGCTACTCGAGCCAGGTGATCCAACCGAGTCAGTGGTATTGAAGTGGCTGTGGCAGATAAGGATGCTTTTTCAGCCTTTGGCAGGCTACTGAAAGTAAATTATAACACAGACCCGTAGGATTCTGGAGTCAAGTCCTACCATCCTCTGTGGATAATTACTGTCCTTAAAGAAGCAGCTTTTGGCTTGCTACTGGGTCTTAGTAGAGACTAAACATTTAACCATGGGGTATCAACTTACCGTGCAATCTAAGGTGTCCATTATAAACTCAGTGTTGTCTGACCCACCAGGCCACAGAGTTGGGTGTGCACAGCAGAACTCCGTCATCAAATGGAAATGTTTTGTACAAAACTGGGTCTGAGCAGACTCTGAAAATGCAAGTAATTTATATGAGTAAGTGGCCCAAATGCCCATGGGCTCCATTTTGGCTATATTATCTTCTCTCTCTCATCCTGCCTCTACAGCCTCATGGAGACTTGTCTGTGATTGGTTGGCAGAGAAGGAGAAAACATCTACCTGGCCCTAGGGGGTTCTTTGTAATAGGCAGTCATAGCACTACAGTCCCATTCTGGAACATTCCTAAAGGACAGTGGTGAACACAAATCCTCCCAGTAGCCATGGTCAAGAAGTAAACCTGGCTATTCATTGTACTTGGAAGGAGAAATGGCCAGACTGAGTCACAGGCTATGGCAAGTGGTTTGGCTGGTTGGTCAGGTACTTTGAAAGAAATACAATTTGAAAACTGGTTACAAGGTCTGTGGAAGAGATATGTGGATAGACATTTCTGAGTGGGTAAAGAGCACGAATATATTTGTGTCTCATGTGAATGCTCATCAAACAGTGACCTTAGAAGAGGAGAATTACAACAATTAAGTGGACAGTGTGATCTGTTCTATGATTCTAGCTGGCCCCTTTCCCCAGCCATTCCTGTCATTGCCCACTGGTCTCATGAACCAAATAACCACAGTGGCAGGAATGAAGACTATGCATGGGCTCAGAAACATGGACTTTCACTCACCAAGGCCAGCATGACTGCAGCAACAACTAACTGCCAAATCGGCCAGCAGTAGGAACCAACACTGAGTCCCTGATATGGCACCATATCTTGGTTAAACATCTAGCTTCCTAGAGGAAGTTTGATTACATGGCCCCACTCCCATCATGGCAGCGTCAGTTTTTTGTTCTAACTGGAACACACACTTACTGTGGATGTGGATTTACATTCCCTTTACGCAGTGTTTCTGCCGGGAAACACAACAATGACTCTATTAGTGTGAACATTTAGACTGCCACCCAGATAGTTTGAGATCCTCATGTTTCAGAATCAATGGGTAAGGAAGGCAATTAACATACTGACTGTGATGATTGACACTAATTACCAAGGGGAAATTAGACTGTTACTCCACAAATGAGGTAAGAAAGAGTATTCTGCAAAACAGGAGATCCCTTTGGGTGACTTCTACTACTAACACGCACTGTGATAAATTCAATGGATAACTATGACAACCTAATTCAGACAGGACTAGGCCCACTACCTTCTGGAATAAATGTCTGGGTTATTCCACTAGGCAAAGAACTCTAATCAACCAATGGTCTGGCTGAGGGCACCAGAAATAAAGATTGAGTAGTGGAAGAAGGTGGCTATAAATACCAGGTATAATCATATGACCACTTACAGAAATGTGAATAATGACTGAGTATTTTTTATTGTATTATATATGTTTGTGATATATATTATGTGTATTGTATATAGTAATGTTATATATATGTTTGTGATATATATCACATATATCTATATGTCTCCCTCCCTCTCTTCTCTCTCTCTCTCCATATATATATCTTTCTTTCTTCCCTCTTTTATCATCTTATCATCTAACATAATATGTATCCATTTCACATCACAGTATTTAATATTGTTAACTTTACATCATAGCATTTAATTTATAGGATATCAAGAAGAGTGAATGTCATTAAGCACCTATCATCCTCTTCTGGGGAAAGGGTTAGTTTTTGTTTACACACAGCATAGTTGTGTCATGTTAGGCAGAACTATGACCTTGTTATTGTCTTTATTTGGAGATTAAGTATGGCTTAAGGAAATTTGTATGAATACATATTTGCAAGGGGTGAATTGAAATGGTTAATTTTATGTGTCATTCTGGGTAAGCGATGATACCCAGTTTAGTCAGCCAGCAGTACTGATGTTGTGAAGGCACTGTTTAGCAATGATAAACATTGAAATCAGTAGGCTTTTAGTAAAGCCTATTACTCTCCATAATATGGGTGACATCATTTGTATATTTGTCCCCTCCAAATCTCATGCTGAAATTTGATGCCCAGTGTTGGAAGTAGGGCCTGGTGGGAGGTGTTTGAGTCATGGGGACAGATCCCTTGTGAATGGCTTGGTGCCCTCCCCATCAGTTACCATGAGATCTGAGTGTTAAAAAGAGCCCAGCACCTCCTCCTCTCCCTCTTGCTCCCTCTCTCACCATGACACACCTGCTCCCCCTTAGCTTTCCACCACCATGAGTAAAAGTTTCCTAAGGCCTCACCAGAAGCAGATGCTGGCACCATGCTTCTTGTACGACCTGCAGAACCATGAGCCAAATAAACTTTCTTTCCTTATAAGTTGCCCAGCCTCAGGTATACCTTTATAGCAACACAAAACAGATTAATACAGTGGGTGAGCTTTATCCAATCAATTGAAGGCCTTAAGAGAAAACATTGAGGTTCCCTGAGAATTAAGAAATTCTACCAGAAATTTATTATCTCACAATTCCGAAGGCTAGAGGGTGGAATTAAGGTGTTGGCAGAGACATGCTTCCTCTGAAACCTGAAGGATAACCTTTCCTTACCTCTCTATAGCTTGTGCTGGTAGGCTGGCCATTTTTTGGCATTCCTTTGCTTGCACAATGCCAACCTTTGCTTTTGTTGTACCTGGCATTCTCCCTGTGTCTCTCTGTTGTCCACCCTCTGTGCATGTCTTCACATGGCATCTTCCTTTCCTATTAGAACACCAGAAACCCTGGAGTAGGACCCATCCTACCCCAGCATGTTCTCTTCTTAGCTACTTACATATACAATAATCCTGTAGGCAAATGAGGTCACATTTACAGATACCGGGGGTTAGGGCTCAAGCATATGTGTTTTGGGGGATGCAATTCAACCCATAAGTATGATTAAGAATACTGGGTTCAGGCCGGGCGCGGTGGCTCATGCCTGTAATCTGAGCACTTTGGGAGGCCCAGGCGGGCGGATACCGAGGTCAGGAGATCGAGACCATCCTGGCTAACACGGTGAAACTGAGTCTCTACTGAAAATACAAAAAAATTAGCTGGGCGTGGTGGTGGGCGCCTGTAGTCCCACCTACTCGGGAGGCTGAGGCAGAAGAATGGCGTGAACCCCGGAGGCAGAGGTTGCAGTGAGCCGAGATGGTGCCACTGCACTCCAGCCTGGGCGACAGAGCGAGACTCCGTCTCAAAACAAAACAAAACAAAACAAAAAGAATGCTGGGTTCACAGGTCATATTTTCCCTTCCTAATCTTTTATTAGTTATTTATTTATTTTTTGAGATGGAGTCTCGCTCTGTCGCCCAGGCTGGAGTGCAGTGGTGCCATCTCGGCTCACTGCAAGCTCTGTCTCCCGGGTTCAGGCCATTCTTCTGCCTCAGCCTCCCGAGTAGCTGGGACTACATGGGCCTGCCACCACCTCCGGCTAATTTTTTTGTACTTTTAGTAGAGACGGGGTTTCACCTTGTTAGCCAGGATGGTCTCGATCTCCTGACCTTGTGATCCGCCCGCCTCGGCCTCCCAAAGTACTGGCATTACAGGGGTGAACCACTGCGCCCCTCCCCTTTCCAATCTTTAACGATATTCTTCCACAGTCTTTCACTTGTTTCTCACAACAGATTTGCTGCCATCATTATTTTTGTTCCCTGTTTATAAAAATTTTTGTTCTCCATGTGTTTTCTTCTCTGACTTTTTTGAAGATATTTTATGTTCACTAGTTTGTAGAAAATTGATTATGATGTTCCTGGTATAGTTTCTTAACGTTTCTTGTGCTTGCAGTTCATTAATTTTCTTGTATGTCGATATTTTATTTTTCAGAAAATTTAGGAAAAAAATAACCATTATTTCTTCAATTCTGTTTCTGACTCTCCTGTTATCTTCATTGTGGGGTCTAATCACACATATATTATACTACTTGAAATTAACCCACATCTTTTTTTTTTTTTTTTTTTTTTTTTTTTTTTTTGAGACGGGGTCTTGCTCCGTAGCCCAGGCCGGAGTCCAGTGGCGCGATTTCGGCTCACTGCAAGCTCCGCCTCCTGGGTTCACACCATTCTCCTGCCTCAGCCTCTGGAGTAGTTGGGACTGCAGGGGCCCGCCACCATGCCCGGCTAATTTTTCGTATTTTTTATTAGAGACCGGGTTTCACCGTGTTAGCCAGGATAGTCTCAATCTCCTGACCTCGTGATCCGTCCACCTCAGCCTCCCAAAGTGCTGGGATTACAGGTATGAGCCACAGCGCCTAGCCGAAGTTAACCCACATCTTAATCATGCGTTTAATTTAAAAAGTTTTTTCTTTGTGATTCATTTTGAACAGTCTGTATTCCTCTATCTTGTGACTCACTAATCTTTACTTCTGCCATGTCCAATCTGCCATTAATGACACCCAGTGCAGTTTTCATCTCAGACATTTTTATTTTTATCTAGAAAAAAATCTAGGCCATTTTTATATGTCCTATGTCCTTACATGACTTCTTAAACATATGAACTATACTTATAGTAACTGTTTTATGCCCTTCTAATTTTAACATCTGTTTCAGTTATGGGTAACATTTGATTGGTTGACTCTTCCTCTTATTATGGGTTTCATTTGCCTGCTTCTTTGCACTCCTGGTAAACTTTTTTGGATACCAGATACTGTGATTTTAACCTTGTTTGGTGCTTGTCTTAGTTCATTCTGGCTGCTGTAACAAAATGCCAAAATTGAGTAGCTTGAAGAAGAGAAATTTAATAGTTGTAGAGGCTGAGAGCTCCAAGATCAAGGGAAAAGCAGACTTCAAGTCTGGTGAGGGCCTGCTTCCTGATTCACAGATAGCCATTGCATTGTTGTTGTGCAGTGGTCTCTTTATCCCCTTATAAGAGCACTAATTCCATTCATGAGGGCTCCACCCTCCTGACCTAGTCACCTCCCAATGTCCATGCCTCCTAATTTTATCACATTGGAGATTAGGTATAGATGCATGAATTTGAGGGGAGATACAAACATTCAGACCATAGCATTGCTAGATATATATTTTCAACTTTTATTACAGGTTTAGTGGGTACATGTAGAGGTTTATTACAGAGGTATATTGCATGATGCTGAGGTTGGAAATACGAATGAATCCATCTCCCTGGTAGTTCACAGAGTGCCCAATAGGTAGTTTTACAGCCCTTGCTCCCTCCTTTCTTTCCCCCACTTGTATTTCATAGTGTCTATTATTCTTATCTTTACGTCCATGGGTACTCAGTATTTACCTCACACTTATAAGTAAGAACATGCAATATTAGGCTTCAAGTTTCTGAATTAGTTTAGGATAATGGCCTCCAGCTGCATCCATGTTGCTGCAGATTTTATTCTTTTTATGGCTGTATAGTATTCCCTGGCATAGAGGTACCACATTTTCTTTATCCAATCCAGAGTTGATGTGCACCTGGGGTGATTCCATGTCTTTGCTATTGCAAATAGCACTGCGATGAACATACAGGTTCATGTGTCCTTTTAGTAGAATGACTTACTTTCCTTAGGGTATAAACCCATAATATAGTTGCTAGATCAAACAGTAGTTCCACTCTTAGTTCTCTGAGAAATCTCCAAACTGTTCTCCACAGTGGCTGGAGTAATTTACATTCCACCAGTGGTGAATAAGTATTCCCCTTTCTAAACAGCCTTGTTAGCCACTGCTGTCTTTAAGCTTTCTAACAAAAGCCATTCTGACTTGGTGTGAGATGGTTTTGATTTGCATTTTTCTGGTGATTGGTGATGATGGGCATTTTTTCATGTTTCTTGGCCACTTGTATGTCTCCTTTTGAGAAGTGATTGTTCATATCCTTTGCCCACTTTTTAATGAGGTTGTTTTTTTGCTTGTTGATTTCAGTTCCTTATAGATTCTAGATATAAGGCCTTCGCCAAATGCACAGTTTATGAATATTTTCTCCCATTCTGTAAATTATCTGTTTATACCCTTGATAGTTTCTCTTGCTGTGAAGAACTTATTTAGTGTAATTAGTTTCCATTTGTCAATTTTTGTTTTTGTTGCTATTGCTTTTTAGAACTTAGCCATAAATTGTTTGCCAAGGCCAATATTAAGAAAGGTATTTCCTAGATTTTCTTCTAATATTTGTATAGTTTGAGGTCTCACATTTACATCTTTAATCCATCTTGAGTTAACTTTTGTATATGGTGATAGGTAGGGGTCCAGTTTCATTCCTCTGCGTATGGCTAGTTAGTTGTCCTAGCATCATTTATTGAATACAGAGTCCTTTTCCCATTGCTTATTTTTGCTGACTTTGTCAAAGATCAGTTGGTTGTAGGTGTGTAACTTTATTTCTGCGTTCTCTATTCTGTTCCATTGGCCTATGTGTCTGTTTTTGTACCAGTACCAGAGTGCTGGATATTTTTATAATATTAAAATATTCCTGATGGTTGTTCTGGAATATAGTTAGGTTTCTTGAAACCAATTTGATTATTTTGGTTCTTGCTCTCAAAATCTGTCAGGGAAGACCAAAGCAATATTTGGTGTGAGGCTAATTAATACCCTAATCAATGCCCCAATGAATTATAACATTTACAAGTCTTATTTGTGGTACCAGTCTTTACTACCAGCCCTGTGTGTGTCCCAGGTGCTGTTTTTTCTAATCCTTTTGTATTGTTCTTTTACTAATGTTGAGTACTATGCAATAAAGGATTAATTCAGCAGGGCTGGGCTGTACACACACTGCACATTCCAAAGAAAGAATTGTCCCTTGCCTGGCTCCTGGAAGGTAACCTCTAAATCCTTGAGATAGCTTCCTGTTGTATTTCTTTGCCTGGTACATGTTTATTACCTGAGGATATAGGACTGCACCAGAAAGTTTATGCTGATGATGTGACTTATGGTGGGGCATTGGGCCAACTGGTATCAGCTTGGCCTCTTGAGGAGCTGGAAACAAAGACCAGATAAGCTTATATGACCAGCCTTGGATAAAAAAAAACAAGACATCAAGGCTCAGTGAGCTTCACTGTCTGGCAATACTTTATGTGTGTTGCACACACCGTTGGTGGTAAAATGAAGTGCTGTCCACATGACTCCAATGAGGGAAGACAAATGTGTACCCGGTTTCTTCTGGACGCTCTCCTAGGTGCTTTTTCCCATGGTTGATTTTACTCTATATCCTTTCACTGTGACAAATTTTAACTATGAGCATAACAGCTTTTCTGAGTTCTGTGAGTTCTTGTAGCAATGATTAAACCTGAGGGTGGTCTTGGCAACCCTCGAATACAGGTAGTTTTCTTGTACATATATCCTCAGATGAATACTTGATGGGAACCCTCTGGAATCTCTGGCTTTATCTTTCTGTGCAGCTGTCTCCTTTCTGACACTCTCCCACATGAGTTATAGTCCCCTTAGTCTCCTGAGACTAAATTCCATATCCTCAAATCTGGTAGTCTGCCATCCTACACTTGGGTTCCCCTTGCCTGCACCGTAGCTTGGGAACTCAAGCAGTAAAAGAGGAAAATGATAGGGATTATTGCATTTGTTTCTTGTCTCTCAGGGAATCATAGTTATTCAGTGCCTGTTACAGGATAGATTTTGTCTGCTCAAAAAAGTTTGTTGTTCTAACTCCCAGTACCCCAGAATGTTATCTTATTTAGAGATCAATCTTTACAAAGTTAATCAAGATACAATGAGGGCAGGCTCTAATGCATTATGACTGATGTCCTTATAAAAAAGAAAAATTTGGATATACAGACACACATAGAAGAAAGGGTATTTGAATAGACATAGGAGAAGAAGACAACCATCTAAAAGCCAAGGAGAGAGATTTAGAACAAATACTTCCCTCACATGTGACATCAACACTGCCAAGATCTAGATTTCAGACTTCTAATATCTGCACCTGTGAGATAATATATTTATGATGTTTAAGGCACCCAGTTTGTGTTACCTTGTTATGGCAGCCCCAGCAAACTAATACAGTGCCTGAGATCCAGTGTCTGAAACCATTATTTTATATTTTTGTCTGCTTATTTTCTTGTTTAAGGTGAGAGGGTCCTATTGTCCGAACGTTTGTGTCTCCCAAAATTTATACGTTGAAACATAATTAACATATGAATGTGATGGCATTGGGAGGTGGGGCCTTTGAGAGGTGATTAGGTTATGAGAAAAGAGCCCTCAGGACTAATGCTTTTTAAAAAGAGGCCCCAGAGAGCTGCCTTGCCCCTTCCACCATGTGTGGACACAGCTAGATGGCACCTGTGGACCAGAAAGCTGGCCCTCATCACTCACCCAGATTAAACTGGTAAGAAACATGATGGTATCAATAAGAGTTTATCAGAAAATAATATGTCATTCTAGAGGAATATACCAACATTTTAGACTTAAAGTTATTAATAAAAATAATTTGCCAGTTACAATTAATAGCACATAATGATAGCTAGTCAGAAAAGAAAATACAATATCAGGAATAGAATACAAGTAGTTGCGGAAGCCTAAAGTGATTTTTACTAATCCTCTTTTCTATAAACATCTTAAAAACTAGATAGAAATTTACAAAGCATCAATTTAAAGAAACTGAGGATGCCTGCTTCTGGCCAAGGTGGAATAATGCGGGCAGAATTTACCCCTTGTTTTATTACATTCTGACTGTTATAACAAAACATCATAAACCAGAAAACTTATAAACAGCAGAAATTTATTTCTCACAGTTATGAAGGCTGGGAAGTCCAAGATCAAGGTGCTAGAAGATTGAGTGTCTGATAAAAGTTTGTAGAGAGGCATGTTTAAAACACTTCTGGTTTGTCTGTTCAGTGAAGTATATGCATTGATGGCTCCAGTTCAGCTCTGTGTACCATTTCAACATTTTCCATATTTACCAGTCCCTGGGATTTGATATTTGTCCATCTGTAGTGGTGCTATTCAATAAGATAGCAAGTAGCTACATATGACTATGTAACATTAAAATAAAATTATTTAAACTTAAATACAATAACATTTTGTTCCTCAGTCACACTTTCCACATTTCAAACTGTCACAGTGTACATCAGCACAGAAAGTTTGGTTGGACTGTACTGCTCTAGATTCTCAATAACGCTAAAGTAACTTGATATGATTTACATTTTACAAGTATTACTCTGACTCTTCTGAGAGTGGCAAGGAACGGAGAAAGATAATAAAAGACAAGAGACTATTGTGATGATCCAAATTGGAGATGATAATAATTTTGCATCTGAGTTGTGGCAATGAACATGATTTAAAAAAAAAAAGTCAGGTAAAGGATATATTTCTAATAAACAGCTAATGGACTTGCTGAGGCTTTGCATGAAAACTCATGAGGATTCCAAAGTTTTTGTTTGAGCAAATAAAACAATGAAGTTACCATTTAGTAAGATGGGAAAGAAGGTGGCAGGAATAAATTTGAGACAATGAAGCAGATTATGAGTTAAGTTTAAAATGAGATGACAGAAGGGCAATTGGATACAACTATGAGATTCAGGGATAAGACTTCCTTGGAGATTAGAAGTTGAGAGTCATCAGTTTATGGATTGTATTTAAAACTGTTGACTTGAGAAAAGTGACATCAGCAACATGGAAGACCAGGATGCTCCCAGTCCACACCACCCACAGATGTATTAAAAAAAAAAAAAAAAAAACTGAAACTGGCTAAAATAACTTGAGAGGAGTTCTGGAAAACAGACCAATGTCTTCAGTAACCAAGTAAAAGTAAATGACCAGTCTTCTACATTCTTTCTATTTGTTTTGTTACTCATTAGCCATCCCTACATACCCTTCACCCTCTCACTACACTTGCCAGCCTCTGATAACCATCTTTCTGCTCTCTGTCTCTATTAGTTCACTGTTTTGATTTGTAGATCTTACAAATAAGTGAGAATGTGAAGTTTGTCTTACTGTGTCTGGGATATTAGTCCATTTTCACACTACTGTAAAGAACTACCTGAGACTGGGTAGTTTATAAAGAAAAGAGGTTTAATTGACTCACAGTTCCACATGGCTGGGCAGGTGACTGGAAACTTACAATCATGGTGGAAAATGAAGGGGAAGAAAGGAACGTCTTACATGGCGGCAGGAGAGAAAGAGAATGAGGGGGAAAGTCCTACTCTTTTAAACTATCAAATTTCATGAGAACTCACTCACTATCACAAGAACAGCATGGAGGAAATCTGCTGCCATGATCCAGTCACCTCCCACCAGGTCCATCTCTCAACACATGAGGATTACAATTTGACATAAGATTTGGGTGGGGATACAGAGCCAAACCATATCACCTGGCTTATTTCATTTAACATAATGACCTCCAGTTCCATCCACGTTTTTGCAAATAACAGGATCTCATTCTTTTTTATGGCTGAATAGTACTCCATTGTGATAAGTACCACATTTTCTTTATTCATTTTTCTATTGATGGACCCTTAGGTTGCTTCCAAATCTTAGCTATTATGAACAGTGCTGTAACAAACATGGGAGCAAATATATCTCTTAGATATACTGATTTCTTTTAGGTATATACCTAAAAGTAGAATTGCTGGATCATATGATAGCGCTATTGTTAATTTTTCTGAGGAACCTCCAAACTGTTCTCCATAGTGGTTGTATAATTTACATTCCCACCAATAGTGTATGGGGGTTCCTTTTTCTCCACATCCTCTCCAGCATTTGTTAATGCTTGTCTTTTGAGTAAAAGCCATTTTAACTGGGGTGAGATAATATCTCATTGTAGTTTTCATTTACATTTCTCTGATGATCAGTAATGTTGAGCACCTTTTCACATGCCTGTTGGTGATTTGTATGTCTTTTTTTGAAAAATGCTTATTCAAATAAAAATTTTGCCCATTTTTAATCAGTTTATTAGATTTTTTCCTATAGAGTTATTAGAGCTCGTTACATGTTCTGGTCATTAATCCCTTGTCATATATGTAGTTTGCAAATATTTTCTCCCATTCTATGTGTTGTCTCTTCACTTTGTCATTTGTTTCCTTTGTTGTACAGAAGCTTTTTAACTTGATGTGATCCCATTTTTTCCATTTTATTTTGGTTATCTGTACTTGTGGGGTATTACTCAAGAAATATTTGCCCAGACCAATGTCCTGGATAGTTCCCCTAATGTTTTCTAGTAGGAGTTGCATAGTTTGATGTATTAAGGTCTTTAATTGATTTTAATTTGATTTTTATATATGGCAGGAGATAGGGGTCTAGTTTTATTCTTCTACATACAGATAGCCACTTTTCCTAGCACCATTTATTGAAGAAATTGTCTTTTCCCCAGTGTGTGATCTTGGCACTTTTGTCAAAAATGAGTTCACTGTAGGTGTTTACATTTGTTTCTGGGTTCTCTATTCTGTTCCATTGGTCTGTGTCTGTTCTTATGCCGGTACCGTGCTGTTTTGGTTACTGTAGCTCTTTGAAGTCAGGTAATGTGATTCCTCCACTGTTGTTGTTTTTTTTTTTTTTTTTCTCTCTTGTTTGGAGATTCAAAGAGTTTAATTTTTCCCTAGAGCAAGATCAACAATTTTCACTGGGATAAAAGAATAAAGAACAAACTCAATAGCACCAAATGGGGTTTTAACACAGAAAACAGGGCCACTCCTTTTAAATGCAAATTTTTACATTAAAATATGTTTATAAATCATAGTAGTTCTTTTTCCTCTTGATTCAACATTTCTTCCTCCCCTAACAGGAGCCCTAGAACCTGAAGAGCATGTACATTACTAACCAGATACACAATCCACCCACCCTGTCCAAACTGGAATCTGATTACTAATGGACTTAGACTTGGGGCTGGCCCCAAGGGATGGGAAGCAGTAACTATGCTGTCAGGGAGAATGGGTACTGAGGAAGCCACCAGTCAAAAAGCCGAACGCTGTGCACTGGGTCCAGCATGACTTGCACACCCTGTTCACTGCACAGTTTCTGACCACCATGAACAGGGGAATCTTGGAACACCAGTCTCACTCGATGATGCCGCGTGTCCGTGCTCGCATTGACAGTAAACAGAGTAAATATCATTCCCATGACAATCGGAATAAAGATGAAATTGAGGGTGGTGACCTGCAGTAGGCAGCAGTCCTGGTCTCCATTGGTATGAACATCTTCGTACTGGATGGGAAGCTGCAATCCTCCTGTACACTTGCTCTTTAACCTAGCGGACTGTTTTTTGAACTTGAAGTTGAATTCCCGCATTGGTTCCTGTCTGTTCCCAATAATCTTTCTGCACCAGAAAAGTAAGCATTTGGAATTCTTTAATGTGCTGGGGGTGCTTTCTGGAATGGCTGGATTCTTGGAGATTCCAGCAGCAAATGGCTCATACATATGGTACAGAGATCAGACCACAATGTCCTCACAACGGATATAGGAGGTCAGCAATAGCCAAATATCCATGGGATACTCTTTTCCTCCAGCCCCGTCCAGTTCTTCTTTGTGCCTCTTGCTTTTCATTTTTCTGGAGACAGTTCTCTCATGGATGCTTTCCTCCTGGGCATCAGTCTCATCACTGCTGTCGATGATGTCACAGGGCTCACGAGCCCCAGAATGAGCTTCCTCTGCAGGAACCTGAGAGGCTTCCAAGCTTCAAAGAGATTTTACTTCCTGCTGAACAGCATTGGCTGCGGCTTTCTTGACTCATCCAGACCTCACGACCGCCAGATCCGAGTTGGCGTAATCCTCCACAGTCACTCGGCTGGAGCAGAGGAGCGACTTGAGTCGCTTTCCCCTCTTGGGCAGGGCAATCGTGTCTGGGCGAGGCCTGCCTAGTGGGCTGGGCCCCTGGGCCACGTCTGTGGCCTGGAGAGCGGGTCCCAGGAGCCGCAGGCCAGCTCCACCAGGCTCCGCGGGCATCCCGCACCGGAGGCCGCTAACTCTCGCCCACTGTTGTTCTTTTTGCTGAAATAACTGGCTGTTTTGAGTCTTTTGTGGTTCCATATAAATTTTAAGACTTTTTTCCCATTTATGTGAAGGATGTCATTGGTACTTTGATAGGAATTGCACTGAATTTCTAGATTGCTTTGGGTAGTACTGATATTTTAACAATATGGATTCTGCCAGTCTATTAACAAGGAATATATTTCCATTTTTTGTTGTCCTCTTCAATTTCTTTCATCAGTATTTTATAGTTTTTGAGAGGTGACAGCGTGCTGGCAGTCCTCAGAGCCCTTGCTTGCTCTCGGCACCTCCCCTGCCTAGGCTCCCACTTTGGTGGCATTTGAGGAGCCCTTCAGTCCCCCACTGCACTGTGGGAGCCCCTTTCTGGGGTGGCCAAGGCCGGAGCCCACTCCCTCAGCTTGCAGGGAGGTGTGGAGGGAGAGGCACGAGCGGGAACCGGGGCTGTGTGCGGCACTTGTGGGCCAGCTGGAGTTCCGGGTGGGCATGGGCTTGGTGGGCCCCGCACTCGGAGCAGCCAGCCAGCCCTGCTGGCCCCGGGCAGTGGGGGACTTAGCACCCTGGCCAGTGGCTGCGGAGGGTGTACTGGGTCCCCCAGCAGTGCTGGCCCACTGGCGCTGCGCTCGATTTCTCTTCAGGCCTTGGCTGCCTTCCCACGGGGCAGGGCTCGGGACCTGCAGCCCCCCATGCCTGAGCCTCCCACCCACTCCATGGGCTCCTGTGCGGCCCGAGCCTCCCCGACGAGCACCACCCCCTGCTCCACGGCGCCCAGTCCCATCGACCACCCAAGGGCTGAGGAATGCGAGCGCACGGCGCAGGACTGGCAGGCAGCTCCACCTGCAGCCCCGGTGCGGGATCCACTAGGTGAAGCCAGCTGGGCTCCTGAGTCTGGTGGGCACGTGGAGAGTCTTTATATCTAGCTCAGGGATTGTAAATACACCAATCAGCACCCTGTGTTTAGCTCAAGGTTTGTGAGTGCACCAATCGACACTGTATCTAGCTGCTCTGGTGAGGACGTGGAGAACCTTTATGTCTAGCTCAAGGATTGTAAATACACTAATCGGCACTCTGTATCTAGCTCAAGGTTTGTAAACACACCAATCAGCACCCTATGTTTAGCTCAAGGTTTGTGAGTGCACCAATCGACACTCTGTATCTAGCTGCTCTGGTGGGGCCTTGGAGAACCCGTGTGTGGAAACTCTGTATCTAATCTGATGGGGACGTGGAGAACCTTTGTATCTAGCTCAGGGATTGTAAACGCACCAATCAGCGCCCTGACAAAACAGGCCACTCGCTCTACCAATCAGCAGGATGCGGGTGGGGCCAGATAAGAGAATAAAAGCAGGCTGCCCGAGCCAGCATTGGCAACCCTCTCGGGTCCCCTTCCACACTGTGGAAGCTTTGTTCTTTCGCTCTTCGCAATAAATCTTGCTACTGCTCACTGTTTGCGTCCACGCTGCTTTTATGAGCTGTAACACTCACCATGAAGATCTGCAGCTTCATTCCTGAGCCCAGCGAGACCACGAGCCCACGGGGAGGAACGAACAACTCCAGACGCGCTACCTTAAGAGCTGTAACACTCACCGCAAAGGTCTGCAGCTTCACTCCTGAGCCAGCGAGACCACGAACCCACCAGAAGGAAGAAACTCCGAACACATCTGAACATCAGAAGGGACAGACTCCAGACACGCCACCTTAAGAGCTGTAACACTCACTGCGAGGGTCCACGGCTTCATTCTTGAAGTCAGTGAGACCAAGAACCCACCAATTCCAGACACATTTTCACTGTAGATATCTTTGACTTATTTGGTTAATTCCTAGGTGTTTAACATTTTTATGGCTGTTGTAAGTGGAATTATTCTTTTAAATTTCTTTCTCAGATTGTTCACTGTTGGTATATAGAAATGCTACTGATTTTTGTATGCTGATTTTGTACCATGAAATATTACTGAATTTGTTTACCAGTTCTAATAGGTTTTTGGTGAGTCTACGTTTTTCCATATATAAGAGCATATCATCCACAAACAAGCATAATGTGACTTCTTTCTTTCCAATTTAGATGTCCTTAATTTCCATCTCTTGTCTGATTGCTCTAGCTAGGACTTGCAGTAGTATGTTGTATAACGGTGGTGAGAGTGGGCATCCTAGTCATGTTCCAGATCTTAGAGGAGAGGCTTTCAGTTTTTTGCCATTCAGTAAAATACTAGCTGTGGACCTCTGTCATATATGGCTTTTATTATTTTGAGGCATATTCTATTTATATCCAGTTTTCTGTCTACATCCAGTTTTTGTGGGTTTTTATCATAAAGAAATTATCTGAAGATAAAATTGTTAAGCAAAAAGAAACCATAACTTTAAGGTTTAGAAAATTCTCAGCCAATTATCTTCCCCAAAATGAGAAAGTTTGTTTGGAAGAGAACATTAAATGTGTAGCCAAGTAGCCATTCGATAAGACCATTAGTATGAATACATACCACAGACCTAATCAGCCATCTCCACAGAAGCAAGGTACTTCAAGACAAGAGAAAAATGATTCTTCCCTCTCACATAATTCAGAGGTCATCAGGGCTGCCACTCCCACCACAGGCCCAGAGTGTAAGGGCTCCAAGGAAATCACTATTTCAGAGAGGCCACCAGCACCTTCAGGACCTTGGAGAGCTATGGGCCCAGGCAGAGAGCCACTGTGGTGGCAGGGCTGCCCAGAGCCCTTAGGACAAACCCTCCAAGAGCCTTCTGAGCTCAACTCCTACCCAGCAAGGCTGCAGAGGCAGGATCACCACCTCAGTAGGTCCAAAATGCGGGACTCCCACCCCAGTGGGCCTGGAGGACAGCAGCTAGGCAAAAAGGTTTATTGGAATTTTCCCTATTGGATTTTGGACATGCTCAGAACCTGTCATCATTTCTTCTTTCCCATTTCTCCCTTTTGGAAGGGAACTGTCTGTCCTATGACTGACTCACCATGGTATTTTGGAAACACTTAAACTTGTTTTGATTTCATAGGTTCACAGCCTCTTTTTTTTTTTTTTTTTTTTTTTAGACAGTCTCCCTCTGTCGCTCAGGCTGGAGTGCAGTGGCACTATCTTGGCTCACTGCAAACTCTGCCTCCCAGGTTCTAAGTGATTCTCCTGCCTCAGCCTTCAGGGCAGCTGGGATTACAGTCATGCACCACCACGCCCGGCCAATTTTGTATTTTTAGTAGAGACAGGGTTTCACCATGTTGGCCAGGCTGGTCTCAAACTTCTGACCTCAGGTGATCCACCCACCTTGGCCTCCGGAAATGTTGGGATTACAGGTGTGAGCCACTGCGTCCAGCCTAAGCCCATTTTATAAAGGAACTAATTGCATTTTCTTCTTGCATTCTACTATAAGCAGTCAGGAAGAATTAAGCCACTCCACTAACACTTCCCTTAGAAATCGTTTCAGCTCAGTATACAATTTTATCACTCACAGTTCTGTCTTTCTCAAAACACACTAGAACACAAGCACAGTTTAGCTAAGGTCTTTGCCACTTTATAACAAGGGTAGCTTTTCCTCCAGTCCCCAACAGCATGTTCCTAATTTCGGACTGAGGCCTCATCAGAATGGCCTTTATTGTCTGTATTTCTACCAATATTCTGTTCATGAGTACCTAGATACTCTCTAAGAAGATGCAAGCTTTCTCTATGACTCTTCTAGTTTTTTTCTTAGTCTTCACTGGAATAGCCTTTAAAAATCCATTCACAGCAATGTAGGCTTCTTCTAGCATGCACCTTAAAACTCTCCCAATCTCTACCCATGACCCAGTTCCAAAGCCCCTTCCACAGTTTTAAGTATTTGTTACAGGAACACCTCCACTTATTGGTACCAATTTCTGTCTTGGTACTGCTACAATAAACACCATACATGAAATGTCTTATAAACAACAGAAATTTATTTCTCACAGTTTTGGAGGCTGAGAAGACTAAGATTAAGGTATCAACAGATTCAGTGTCTGGTGAGAGCCTATTTCCTGGTTCACCAATGGCCATCTTTTGGTTGTGTCCTCACTTGATGAAAGCAGGGAATGGCGCTCGCTGGGAACTCTTTTATAAGGGAACTAATATTATTAGTGAGAGCTTCATCCTTATGACCTATTCAACTCTCAAAGGCCCCATCTCTAAATGCCATAATATTGAGGATTAAGTTTCAATATGTAAATGTCAGGGGAATACAAATATTCAGTCTACAGCAAGAAGTAAAAAGTAGTATCTATTGTAAGATTGAGCTATTTGATGATTACATGACCTTGAAAACAGCAGTTTTAATACAGTGAGTTCATAAAGAAAGTAGAAAATTATTGGAGATGGCAACTATACCCAAGATATTTTTTCTATAAAATGTAACCATAGAAATGAGCTCTTAACTGGAGAATAAAATCGCATTTAGAGGTTTTGTTTTCATTGATTGTTTTATTTTAAGGTAGAATTAACAGTAATTGTTTGTATACCAACTGGATAATTCCAACAAAGGCAAAATAAGAGATAGAGGAGAGGAAGAAGGGGGAAGTGTTGGATCCAAGTAACTAGGCAAGATGGGATGAGTGCACAAGTAAAACAGATGACCTTTGCTAGAATCTTAGGCAGTTCTCCCAAAGTTGAGGAGAAGTCAGAGTACACAACCTCAGGTGTGGGTAGTCAGTAAACATGGTGGTGGGAATATGTGAAAGTTCTTTTCTGATTGCTTCTAGTATCTTAATGAAATACCTAGCAAGGTGTTCTCAGCTGAGAGTGTGCATGTTGGATGGCGTTATGAAATAGTCATTCAGGAGAATGAAGGATTGGCTGGATAGAAAAATAATTTGAAGGCTGGTCAGCATTTAGGGCTCACTTAAGAATAATAATTGTATATTTATAATATTTAAAGGCATTTGAGTTTGGGCATAAATTTTAAATAGTGAATTGCCAGAGGAATACTATAAAGTCAGAGAGAAGTGAGATTCAAGGTGAGAGATAATATTGGCTATGGAATTTAAGTTGAATAAGGAAGAAATTGAGGCTATGAGGATGTCGAGGGATAATGAAAAAGCAGTAGGATTAATGGATTATTGTCTGAAGAGGTCAAAAAATGATGGACTTAGGGCAAATTATAAAAAGAAGTGGAATGCTTAAAGTTGAAAGTAGGGAACAGTTTGTTGCTATTGGTAATGAATAAATACCTTGAATATGAGTGGCTGAGATAAGGTGGAAAACACAATTATTAGAGGAGAGGAGTCTAGGAAGTGCATGTTCAAGGGTCATCTTTGTGGATCCTAAAGTAACCAAATTTTGTAAAAGAAAAACTTGAAGAAAATAGCAGTTCTCACAGAGATAAAATGTTTAGAGAATAAGGGTGTGGAGAACATTGATAATAGGGGCTGGTAGATACTAGCAATAATAAGGGTCTGGGATGGTATAGTATAATGCTATGATTCAAGACTGGGGACTTCTGAAGAAGCAGAAGAAAATCTGGTCTAGGACAGATAATGTTCTGTAAATGGCAATGAAAAACAAGAAATACACCAGCAGATAGTGTGAGGAGTGGAAAAGAATGCAGCCATCACTTGAGAAAGGCTGTAAAGGAAACAATTACTTCAAAGCAGGGCAAGGTTTTAGTTAAAGCAAAAATATCATAAAATGAGTTAAGATTATAATAGATTTTGATGGTGACTGATTCTTAATGCTTTTACTTCTAAATCAAATTGGTATCCATTGCCTCTAGTAATTCTGTATCAGTTTGCATGAATTCCATTAATCCTGACTGTTAATCTTTTAGCAGCTTCTGGGCTTCTTTATGTGTTTTTGTTAAATATAATTTCACTGAAGTCCAGAGTGAGTTGTTTGATTTCCCTAGGTGTCAGCAGTCATGTTGAAGTGAAGGCATTTTTTCTCTCCCCTGTCCCACCAACACAATGGGAATATGGTATAAAAGCAGCCAGGCTAATGGAATGGAGATGAGGCAGTTGAAGGAAGATTTTCGGTTCTCAGTCCCTACTAGTCTTTTCAGGCTCAAACACAGTGAAGATCAAGCTCAGCCATTCATTTTCTCCTTGTACTCATGGGAGCCAGGGAGATAAAAGGCCCTTGTGAAAGCTGATTACTCTGGCAGAGGCCACGAGATCTATGGGGCCAAGCTTTCAGCTTTTCACTCAAGAGCTCTCACGCTGGTATCTGGTGCTTTTTCTCTGTCCTGGATGCTCACAGAATCCAAAGCCTTCCTGGAACCCGACATCCAACTATCTGTAAGGCCCAGGAGCCATTTGTCTCTGGAAAGGCAGGTAGATTGGAGTCAGTGCTTGGCGTTTTGTTTTGTTTTGTTTTGTTTTGTTTTGTTTTTGAGACAGAGTTTCGCTCTGTCACCCAGGCTGGAGTGCAGTAGCATGATCTCGGCTCACTGCAAGCTCCGCCTCCTGGGTTCACGCCATTCTCCTGCCTCAGCCTCCCGAGTAGCTGGGACTACAGGCGCCCGCCACCATGCCCGGCTAATTTTTTGTATTTTTAGTAGAGATGGGGTTTCACCGTGTTAGCCAGGATGGTCTCGATCTCCTGACCTTGTGATCCACCTGCCTTGGCCTCTCAAAGTGCTGGGATTACAGACTTGAGCCACCGCGCCCAGCCAGTGCTTGGGTTTTAAGCTACCATTTTTCCAAAACCCCCTCTTCCACTGATTTTAGAAAGCATATACATGGCTTTAACCTCAGGGAAAATATCAAAATAAACCAAACCAGTTGGGGACCATTTTCTTTCTCTCAGAGGTATCTTGTTATGATGCTATTGTCCCAGGCCTATTTTTCACAGAAGCAAAGTAGATGATGGCATGGCAGTTAATTTTTACCTTCCAGTATGTTTCTATATATATATGTCTATGTATTGAATTTTTTATTTGCCTTCCAGCCCTACTAGGCCTGCCATCTAGAGAAAGAAAGCTCCAACCACCTCAGCCTGGAGTAACTATGGGAAATACAACTTTGTTTCCCCTCATGCTTTGTAAACCACCTCTTCCAGTTTGTGTTGTGTTGTGTTAGGCCATTCCTGCATTGCTATAAAGCAATACCTGAGACTGGGTAATTTATAAAGAAAAGAGGTTTAATTGGCTTATGGTTCTGCAAGCTTTACAGGAGGCATGGTGCTTGCATCTGCTTGGCTTCTAGAGAGGCCTCAGGAAGCTTACAATCATGGTGAAAGGTGCATCTCACAGGCTGAAAGCAGGATCAAGAAAGATATGGTTGTGGGGAGGTGCCACTATTAAATAACCAGGTCTTCTGAGAACTCATTATCATGAAGACCGCACCAAGTCACCCAGGATCCAAACACCTCCCGCCAGCACTGGGGATTACAATTCAACGTGAGATTTGGGTGGGGAGAAATATCCAGACTATTAATATATCAACAGCATTCCAGATTTGTTTCCTCAAAGTCATCTCTGACTGTCAAACAGCTTAAGTCATTGTGTAGGTAACCTCTTTTAGAAGGGGATAACCCTGCCTTGCAGAATTATTTGCTCAAGCCACCTGGCAATAATTCAGTGTTTCAGGAAACTCACTGGGGCTGTTTGCTGGATCAGAAATCAGCATTATGTCAAAGGGTATTCCAAAGGCAGTGGGAGAAATGGATGGAGTTCTGAGAGGGTCTGCTGCATGAGCACTCTGGGGACCCATGTCCAGGTGGACAATACTCTTCATGTTGTTACACAGACAAGTATAGATACTTTATTAAGATAGGTTTCTAAGAGTAAAACCTTCAAAGGACTATGTGGAAAGATTTGGGCGGTTTTATGTTATCTTTTGAATAGATCCAAAAACAATGTAGTTAGGACAAATGGCTGTCAATGATTTCCAAATTATTTTCACTAATGCATTACCATTACTACAAAAGTGTATATCAAGTCTCTGAAGGAAGTTAGAGTGAGGCAAAAGGAAGAAATATCAACCAGTGAAGCCCAGTGAAGTGGGCAATCTCCTGCTCCTTTCTAAATGCCAAAAACCTACACAATTAATAGTTTTTGTGCAGAGCAACTCCAATAAACATGAAAGGAAAACTTCTCTTACCCACACCAAGCACATGTTTTCCAAGTTGTGATGAGAACTGGTACAGCAGACTTCTCAAGATAAGAATGTTTTGAAGGACAAATACAAGCTTATACATCAAAACTACTTAATCTGAGAAAGAACTTGCTGGCATCCAAACCTTAGGAACTCAGTCCTGCATTGTCACTGCCTTTGACAAGGCTTACTGCACTACATGCTGTAAAGGCCTATGGGATGTGGTTATTAGGATTTCATCTGCAGGCTACCCAGGATGTCATATACCATTGATACTCCAGTGACAATTAACCAATTTATTAATGTGATGTTCCCCTTTACAATTAACCAACCTAGCAGATAGGTTGTCCATCAGGGTTTTTTCTTTTTATTTTATTTTTTTTTTTTTTTTGAGACAGAGTCTCGCTCTGTCGCCCAGGCTGGAGTGCAGTGGTGCGATCTCGGCCCACTGCAAGCTCTGCCTCCCGGGTTCACGCCATTCTCCTGCCTCAGCCTCCTGAGTAGCTGGGACTACAGGCGCCCACGACCACGCCCGGCTAATTTTTTGTGTTTTTAGTAGAGACGCGGTTTTACTGTGTTAGCCAGGATGGTCTCGATCTCCTGACCTTGTGATCCACCCGCCTCAGCCTCCCAAAGTGCTGGGATTACAGGCTGAGCCACTGCGCCCGGCTTTTTTCTTTTTTAGAAGTAATTATAGATTTAAAAATATTAATAGTTACAAAATAGTAGATAAGAGTCCCTGTGTACCCTTCAACTCACTTCCTATAATGAAAACCTCTTATGTAATCATAGCATAGTCATCCCTCAGTAGCCACTGGGGTTTTGTACAAGCACCCCCATAGACACCAAAATCCATGGATGTTCAAGTCCCTGACATAAAATGGTTTAGTATTTGCATATAACCTATGCACATCCTTTAAATCGGGAGCCCCCAGCTCCTGGGGCTGTTGACCACTATTGGTCTGTGGCCTTTTGGGAATCAGGCTGCACAGCAAGAGATGAGTAGTGTGCTCTGTAAATATATTTGTATTTATAATAAATGTAATCTGTATTTATAATACATGTAATAAATCTGTATGTAAAGCCCCTCCCTATTGCTTGCATGACCACCTGAGCTCCACCTCCTGTCAGATCAGCAGCAGCATTAGATTCTTGTAGGAGTGCAAACTCTACTGTGAACTGTGCATGTAAGGGATCTAGTTGCATGCTCCTTATGAGAGTCTAATGCGTGATGATCTGAAGTGGGACAGTTTCATACCAAAACCACCCCCGCAGCCCTTACCCCATCTGTGGAAAAATCGTTTCCCAGGAAACCATTCCCTGGTGCCAAAGATGTTGGGGACCACTGCTTTAAATCATTCTTAGATTACTTATAATACATAATACAATGTAAGTGCTACAGAAATAGTTGCTATTCCGCACTGTTTTTTGCAATTTGTATTTTTATTGTTGTATTGTTATCTTTATTGGTTTTGTTTTTGAGTATTTTCAATCAGCTGGTTGACTCTGCAGATGCAGAACTGCAGCTATAAAGGACCAACTCTACATTATCAAAACCACATTACAATTAACTTTACTACAGACCTCACTTGGATTCAGAAGTGTTTTTCTGCACTCTTTTTTATTCTTTGTGTATATGTGTATACTTCTAAGAAATTTATCACTGGTGTAGATACATATAACCAATAACATAATCAAGATATAGCATTATGCTGTCATCCGAAGAAAGGACCTCATGATATCCCTTTATAATCACACTCACCCCACTTCTCTAAGTCCCTGGCTACTGCTGATCTGTTCCCTATTTCTAGAATTTTGTCATGTTGAAAACCTTTTATAATGAAATTATATATTGTACAACCTTTTGACATTGCATTATTTATTTATTTATTTATTTATTTATTTATTTATTTTTGAGACGGAGTCTCACTCTGTCGCCTGGAAGGAGTGCAGTGGCGCGATCTTGGCTCACTGCAACCTCCACCTCCCAGGTTCAAGCAATTCTCCTGCCTCAGCCTCCCAAGTAGCTGGAACTACAGGCGCGTGCCACCATGCCCGGCTCATTTTTTGTATTTTTAGTAGAGACAGGGTTTCACCGTGTTGGCCAGGATGGTCTCGAACTCCAGACCTCATGATCTGCCCACCTCAGCCTCCCAAAGTGCTGGGATTACAGGCATGAGCCACCGCACCCGTCCTAAGATTGAATTTTTAAAGTTTAATTCCTTTGAGGTCATTGCAAATCATTCAACAGTTCATTGCTTTTTTATTACTAAGTACTAGTCCATTGTATGGCTGTACCATGGTTTGTTTAGCCATCCACCTGCTGAAGGACATTTGGGTTGTTTACAGTTTGGTTGTTAAAAATAAAGCTTCTGTGAAAACTCATGCACAAGTTTTTGCATGAATATCAGCTTTTATTTCTCTAGGGGAAGTGGCCATGAGTGCAGTTAGTGGGTAAACAGCTAAGCACGTTTCTAATTTGTGAAAACAACAACAACAACAACAACAAAAAAACACCAAGCTGTTTTTCAGGGTGGTTGTTCACCATTTTTGGACGGCACTATTCAGAGACCTGTAAACCTGCACTCTCCTGTGCACTGTTCAGCCTCAAGCGGTGAAAGTAACGTAGCAATTGGGCCAATTACCTCACAGCTGCTCAATTTATGAACTTATTTCAGCCTCCCCAGTAGCTGGGATTACAGGTGCGTGCCACCATGCCCAGCTAATTTTTGTATTTTTAGTAGAGATGTGGTTTCACCATACTGGCCAGGCTGGTCTCGAACTCCCGACCTCAGGTGATCCACCCACCTCAGCCTCCCAGAGAGCTGAGATTACAGGCGTGAGCCACTGCACCCGGCGTTAAATGCATTTTTGGCTTCTATTTTCAACTGATGATGGGCATTGTACATTGTAAAGACAATAAATCTTTCCATTAAATTAGTGGGAAAGGAGCTCAAAACCCAGCCTGGTGATTCATTATTTTAATGACTTCCTGCTTTACTGCAAAACCTCTCTCTTCATTCGGTGTTGGCATTTTGAGCCCCTGTTAAGGATATAGGCTCACAATGAAGCTTCTATAAATTTCTGGACCTCTGTCATGCTGGCATGTATGTCATTCTCCTTTAGGAATGATGAGGAGGCTGGCAAGCGGTTGCTCCAAGGGACGGGGGAATTTTTCAAACCTGAGCCGTCCAAGCTCAGCATGAATTGGAGTGGGCTGCTGACTCAGGCTAGCAGAGGCAGCCAGGAAATATGCAAATCTGCAATCCATTCTGCCAGGTCTGTCCCAGCAGGTGTCACTAAAAGGCAGCCCTGTGTGCTTCTGTCACTGTGACAGCCTTGACAAGGAAGATGGAGAGGAATAGAGACCCAGTGCTGAACTCCAAGCAGAGATGGGGCTTTTCTCTCTGCATATTTTCCCTCCCCTCCCAGCCTGCATCACCATTAACATATTGATTTATATTTGTATTATGAAACAAAAATGGTTGTAAACAGCTGTTCTTTCCTTTTACACACAATGCTAGCTCCTATTTAGATTCCTAAATGAATAATGTCTAAAGAGGTACTTAAACTGACATAAAACGCAGATGATCTTATGACCAAATGCTTAGTGCAAAAACAACAACAACAACAAAAAAACCCCTTCAAATTGCAAGAGAAGTTCCTCCAAATACAGAGAGGACAAGTATTGTAAGAGGTACCTTAACTAAAATGTGGCAATGTAAGGAGCAGAGCAGGAAGAACCTTTAAGTCTGAAACTTACAACAAGTCAATTTCATAGTCAGTTTCCGTGGGTCCTTCCACAACAACCTCTGGCATCCATTTTCTCTGCAATGGAGGTAACAACAGTAGCTATTTCAGAGCAGGAAAAGGCTTAGAGCAGTGCCAGAAGAGGGTCATGGCTATATAAAGTTTAGCTATTTGTATATTGTAACAAAGCTACAGTGTATTTTTTTTATTGGTAGTCAATAATAAATTTCTTTTGGAAAAGTAGCAGCCTCTTATTTAGTTTCTTTTTTTCCTTTCCCTTTTCCTGCCACAGAGTCCCGCTCTGTCGCCCAGTCTGGAGTGCAGCAGCTCCATTATAGCTTACTGCCACCTCGACCCCGGGCTCAAGCAATCCTTCTACATCAGCCTTCAGAGTAGCTGGGACTACCCGCGGGGCCCACCACACCCGGCTAATCTTTGTGGTTTTTGTTTTGTTTTTCCCTTAAGAGACCCTGTTTGGGGCCAGGCGCAGTGGCTCAGGCCTGCAGTCCCAGCACTTGGGACGCCCAGGCGGGCGGATCACCTGAGGTGAGGAGCTGGAGACCAGCCCGACCAACATGGAGAAACCCCATCTCTACTAAAAAAAAAATTACAGAATTAGCCGGGCATGGTGGCTCAGGCCTGCAATCCCAACACCCGGGGAGGCCGAGGCTGGCGGATCACCTGAGGTCGGGGGTTAGAAACCCTCCTGACCAACATGGAAAAACCCCGTCTGTACCAAAAACAAAAACAACAACAAAAACAAATACAAAATAGCTGGGCATGGTGGCTCACGCCTGCAATCCCAGCCACTCAGGAGGCTGAGGAAGGAGAACCACCTAAACCCGGGAGGTGGATGCCGTGGTGAGCCAAGACCGCGCCACTGCATTCGAGTCTGGGCAACAAGAGCAAAACTCCACCTCAACAACAACAAAAGCGACCGGGTTTCACCATGTTGCCTAGGCCCGTCTGGAACTCCTAGACTCCAGTGATCCGCCGCGCTGGGCCGTCCAAAGTCCTGGGATCACAAGCGTGAGCCACCACGCCAGGCCGATCTATTCCTTTCTGACTAATAAATTGGGCCTGGAGTGGTGGCTCACGCCTGCAATTCCAGCACCCGGGGAGGCGGAGGCGGGCACATCACATGAGGTTGGGAGTCTGAGACCAGCCTGACCAACATGGAGAAAACCCATCTCTACCAAAAAAAAAAAAAAAAAAGTACAAAATTAGCTGGGCATGGTGGCTCAAGCCTGCAATCCCAGCACCCCTAGAGGCTGAGGCGGGCGGATCACCTAAGGTCAGGAGTTTGGGACTAGCCTGACCAACATGGAGAAACCCCGTCTCTACAAAAGAAAAAAGAAAATTAGCTGGGCATGGTGGCTTATGCCTGCAATCCCAGCCGCTTGGGAGGCTGAGGCAGGAGAACGACCCAAATCTGGGAGGCGGAGGCCACGGGGAGCCCAGGCCACGCCACTGCACCCTGCCTGGGCAACAAGAGCAAAACTCCGCCTCAAAAAAGGAAAAAAAAAAAAAAAGAAAGAAAGGTTTCACCATGTTGCCCAGGCCGGTCTGGAGCTCCTAGGCTCCAGTGATCACCGCGCTCTGTCGTCCAAAGTCCTGGGATCACAAGCCTGAGCCTCCATGCCAGGCCGATCTATTCCTTTCTGATTAATAAATTACGCCGGGCGCGGTGGCTCACGCCTGCATTCCCAGCACCCCGGGAGGCCGAGGTGAGCAGATCACTTGAGGTCGGGAGTTTGAAACCAGCCTGACCAACATGGGGAAAACCCATCTCTACCAAAAAAAAAAAAAAATTAGCCGGGCATGATGGCTCGTGCCTGCAATCCCAGCCACTCGGGAGGCTGAGGCAGGAGAACCACCCAAACCCGGGAGGCGGAGGCTGCGGCGAGCCAAGACCACGCCACTGCACTCCAGCCTGGGCAACAAGAGCAAAACTCTGCCCCCCCCCCCCACACACACACCCACATCCGAACACACAAAAGAGAGAGAGACCAGGTTTCACCATGTTACCCAGGGCGGATGGAGTCTTGCTCTGTCGCCCAGGCTGGAGGGCAGTGGTGCCATCTCGGCTCTTGACAACCTCTGCCCCCTGGGTTCAAGCGATTCTCCTGCCTCAGCCTCCCAAGTATCTGGGACTACAGCTGTGTGCCACCATGCTCGGCTAATTTTTTTTTTCTAGTGGAGATGGGGTTTCGCCACATTGGCAGGGCTGGTCTTGAATTCCCGACCTCAGACAACTCACCCGCCTCAGCCTCCCAAAGTGCTGGGATTACAGGCGTGAGCCACCACACCCAGCCTTTATCTTTCTTTTCTCCTCCAAATCCCTGGCAAACAATGATCTTTACAGTTTGCCTTTTCCAGATTATCATATAAATGGAATCAATCATTCCAATTTATGTATGCAGGTTTTTCAAACTTCCTTATTTTCACCTAGAAATATGCATTTGAGATTCATCCATGTTTTGCATGATGCTTTTTGTTAATGACTAGTATTCCATTGTAGAAATGTACTGCAGTTTGTTTACGCATTCACTTATTGAAAAACATCTTATTTGCTTCGTTTTGGGTGAATATGAATATGGATGGCTGCTATAAACATTTGTGTACAGGTTTTGTGAGCACGTAAGTTTTCAAATCAGTATGCAAATGCCTAGGAACACCCTATTGTTGGATCATGTGATGAGACTATGTCTTACCTTGTAAGAAGCTGCCAAACTGCTGTCCTAAGTGGTTGTACTATTTTGCTTTCCCATAAGCAATACATGAGAGTTTCCAGCACCCCACGGATTTAACTATTAATAGCAATTGTAATTTCCTTGATTTTGGATTTTAGCAATTTTGATAGGTGTGTGGTGGTATCTCATTGTTGATTTAATTTGAATTTCCCAAAAAAAAGATATTTAGCAAATTTTTATATACTGATTTGTCGTCTGTATATCTTTTTTTTTTTTTTTTTTTTTTTGGTGAGACGGAGTCTCGCTCTGTGGCCCAGGCTGGAGTGCAGTGGGGCGGTCTCGGCTCACTCCAAGCTCCACCTCCCGGGTTCACACCATTCTCCTGCCTCAGCCTCTGGAGTAGCTGGGACTACAGGCGCCTGCCGCCACGCCCGGCTAAATTTTTTTTGTATTTTTGGTAGAGACGGGGTTTCACCGTCTTAGCCAGGATGGTCTCTATCTCCTGACCTCGTGATCCGCCCGCCTCAGCCTCCCAAAGTGCTGGGATTACAGGCGTTAGCCACCGCGCCCAGCCTGTATATCTTTTTTGATGAAGTGTCTCTTCAGATATTTTGCCCACTTTAAAAATCAAATTTTTATTTTTGAGATAAAATTTTGTAGATTCACATGAAGTTGTAGGAAATGGTACAGTGAGATCCTCTGTAGCCTTTATTGGGTTTCCCCCAGTGGTAACACTTGTAAAACTATGGTACAATATCACAACTTGATATTTAATTTGATGCAGTCAAGGTACAGAACATTTTATCTTTGTAGGGAATTGCCAAACTCATCAATAATGTATGGGTGATCCAGTTTCTCCACATCCTTGCCAGCATTTTATTGTTACTATTTTTTATTGTGATAGGTAATGATACTTCATTGTCACTTTAATGCATTTACCTAAAGGCTAATGATGTGGAGCATCTTTTCACATGGTTACCTGCCATCTGAATATCCTCTTCAGTGAAATATCTCTTTATGTCTTTTTCCCATTTTCTGATTGGATTATTTGTTTATCTGCTGAGGTTTTAGAGTTTGTTATATGTTCTATACATGAGTTCTTTTGTGAATATTGGCTTGCAAATATTTTTAGTGGTCTGTAATTATGTTTATTCCTGTTCATGGTCTTGCACAGAGCAAACACTTTTAATTTTGATAGAGTCCAACTTGCCATTTTCCCTTCAGTGGTTAATGCTTTTGGTCTAAAATAAGAGAGCTATTAACCCTAGATGCAAAGATTTTCTCCTATGTTTTCTGAAGTTTGGTAGTTTCAGTTTTGCATTTAAGTATATAATCCATTTTTTAGTTAATTTTTGTAAAAATGTGAGGTTCAGGCTGAGGTTCAATTTTTTGGCCTATGGATGTCCAGTTGCACCATCACCATTTACTGAAAAGGCTATCCTTCCTCTATTGAGCTGCTTTTGCAACTTTGTCAAAGATCAACTGGTTTTTGCTCATTTTATAATTGCGTTGCTTAATTTCTTATTGTTGAATTTTAAGAGTCATTTGTATATTTTGAACACAAGTCTTTTGTGATTTGAAAATATATTCTCAGTCTATGACTTGCCATTTCAGAATGGTAATGATGTATTTTTCTATTCCTAATTAATAGTTTAAAAAATCTTTTTATTTCAGTCGGGTAAAAGTTCCAGAAATGTGAAGTACAAAGATTTTTTTGATCCAGTTGAAAGTGATGAAGACATAGCAAGTGATCATGATGATGATCTGGGTTCAAACAAGTGGATGAAATTGCTGAAGAAGCAGCAGAAGAACTAAGCATTTCTGAAATGTGAGTATTTGAACCATCCTTTACATTGTGAGCTGGAATTGTCCAATCATGTATTGGTACTTGTGGTTTTCACATATGTTTGTTTTAAGAAGTTAGATTCTCTCCTATCAGATATTCTCAAGATAGCCAGAGGAAAGTCTGTGGATTTAAAAGGACATTAGAGATCATTTAATGAAGAAAAATATTACTGGCAGTAGCAATCAAACATTTCTTGCCAGGAACCTTGATTTGGTTTTGTACCCCAAAAATCCTGTTATTTTTGTGAGATTGATGGTTTGTATTATCAATTGATGAATAATTTATTTTCTATATATTGGACACTTTTGTTCTGTTTCTTACATAGCATGTCACTTAAATGATACCTTCTCTTCCGTAATACCTGAATGATTTTGGAACTTCTGAGTATTTGGTTGCATTAGGCATATAAAAGAAGAACTTTATTAAGGGAAAATATGTTTCCTTTTGTTTTTCTAATGGAAAGCAGTATATTTCTTTTTATAAGAGTTTTGGTAGTGTAGGGAGGAAGATGATGACCTGGAAGAAAGTGAAGACAGTAAACAATGTAAAGAAAGCTTGAAAAGAGTGACCTTCACTTTGCTGGATGATGAGGCAACTGAAGATGCAGGTGTTTTAAATGTAAAGAAAAATTCTGATGAAGTTAAATCCTCTTGAAAAAAGACAGGAAAAGGTAATTAGGAATTTAAGGAATTTTTAATGTGCTTGACATAACTGTGGAACTCACAGACTACTAACAAATCTTCCCTATCTTTCTTTTTTTTTTGAGAAGGAGTCTTACTCTGTCACCCAGGCTGGAGTGCAATGGTGTGATCTCAGCTCACTGCAGCCTCCACCTCCTGGGTTCAAATGATTCTGCCTCAGCCTCCTGAGTAGCTGAGATTAGAGGTGCATGCCACCATGCCTGACTAATTTTTGTACTTTTAGAAGACATGGGGTTTCACCGTGTTGGCCAGGCTGGTCTCGAACTCCTGACCTCAGGTGATCCTCCTACCTCAGCCTCCCAAAGTGCTGCGATTACGGGCGTGAGCCACCGCGCCCGGCGATTTTACAGGTATCATTACCTAGAATGAGGTGAAAGGACACGGTTAGGATTTTTTTTTAAGTGTAAGGTAAGTTAAAATAGTAAGAAACAGTAGTAGCGTAATACCTGGCCATGGCTGGAAGGTGGGTGCTGATGATGGGCATTGGAACAGACCTGGATACATCTCTGGCATCAGGGTCAGGAGGCAGTGAGCCTGTCGCTTCCTAGTTCTGGTGTTTTTTTTTTTTTCCATGTCTTAATAAACAAACAAACAAAAAGCCCTCTTAGCCATTTAGAATAAGCATTTGGGGCCAAGGGGAGCAGAGAGAAGTATGAAGTTTACTTTTTCTCTTCAGTAGAATAAAAATTGCTGTCCATTTTTTCAATGTGATTTGTCAGAATAAATCTTTAACGTATTACATGTAAATAAAAGAAAAAAAAGTCCCTACAATCCAAATGGATATTTGGATAATTTTACGAAGTCTATATTAACACTTTAGTTCTATCAGCCCACAATAAAGTCCCATATCCATGAAGCAGTTGCTACCCTTTACTCACTAGCCCCAGCCCCAACAATCCCCAGTCTGTGTCCTATCTTTGTGGATTTGCCTATTTTGCATATTTGATATAAATGGAGCCTTACAATACGCAGCCTTTCATTTCTGACTTCTTGCATTTAGCATCATGTTTTCAAGACTGTAGCATTTGCTTGTGCTTCATTTCTTTCTTATGGTTGTATGGTATTCCATTGCGGGAATGTACCATGCTTTATCTGTTCATCCATTGATGGCCATTCAGGCTGTTTCCACCTTTTGACTGTTAATCGTGCTGTGCACATGTATTTGTTTGAGTACCTGCTTTTAATTCTCTTGGTTTTACACCTCGGAGTGGTTGCTGGGTCAGATGGTAATTCTCTGTGTAGCTTTTTTTTTTTTTGAGACGGAGTCTCGCTCTGTCACCCAGGCTAGAGTGCAGTGGTGCGATCTCGGCTCACTGCAACCTCCGCCTCCTGGGTTCACACCATTCTCCTGCCTCAGCCTCCCGAGAAGCTGGGACTACAGGCACCCGCCACCACGCCTGGCTAATTTTTATACTTTTAGTAGAGACGGGGTTTCACCATGTTGGCCAGAATGGTTTTGATCTCTTGAACTTGTGATCCACCCGCCTCGGCCTCCCAGAGTGCTGGTATTACAGGCGTGAGCCACCACGACCAGCCCCAAGCTCTATTCTGAATGCAACAGGGAAAGGGGTCCTTTTAGAGCTTATGCTCAAAATCTTTGTCTCCCCTCCTCCCATCTCACTCAAAGTCAATGCTCAAATCCATACAATGACCTGCAGGGTCATACATCAGGTGCTGGCAAACAGTAGCTGGATGGCAAGTTAGCCAGCTATTTTTGTAAATAAAGTTTTATTGGAACAAAACCACACTCATATGTTACATATTGTCTATAGCTGCTTTCACACTAAAATAGCTGTGTTGCCTAGTTATGATGGAGGCCACATGGTCCCAAAAGCCTCAAACATTTACTCCCTGGCCCTTTACGGAACAAATTTGCTAACACTTGCCCTCCATGGTCTGGCTCTCTGCTGCCTCCCTGGCTTTGTTTTCTTCTGCCTCCTTGGGGTTCTTAGAGCCTGCTAGATAATCTTCTGCCTGACGGCTTTTACATGTGCTGTTGCTGTTTCCTGGCCTACCATGGCCTTCTCTCAGTCCACACTGTTACCTCCTTCAGGCCAATGTCAATCTTCAAATGTCATCTTTTCAGTGAGGACTTCCCTTACCACTCTTTCAAATTGTAACCTCAACCCTAAGATGTTTCTGGCTTTACTTGTCTTCAATTTCACCACATAGTTTACTTTTTATATTTCTCTATCTCCTTCCACCAGAATGTATCCTTCATGAGGAGTTCCCCTCCCTCCCATGAAGAATTTCCTCCCATTCCTCATTGTTCACTGCCACATATTTTCAGCATCTAAAATGTTACCTGGAATGAGGTAGGCAGTCAATACATTCTTGTTAATGAACTCCCTATTTATGTCCTTATTCTCTTTAGTTTGCTCATTTATGCACTCATTCAGTGTATATTTATCAATAATTACACAACGCTAGCCACTGCTGCAGGCAGCAGCGATTTTATAGTAAAGGCAACAAGCACAACCGCCTGATGTTAAGAAGCTTGCATTCTAGGTCATTCATGGTGGGCTGGAACACGCTGGTGTCAGTGCTTCAGGGCTGATTGTTAAACTTTCAGGTGTTAGGCTGGGCATGGTGGCTCACGCCTATAATCCCAGCACTTTGGGAGGCTGAGGCGGGCGGATCACGAGGTCAGGAGATCGAGATCATCCTGGCTAACACGGCGAAAACCCATCTCTACGAAAAATACAAAAAATTAGCTGGGTGTGGTGGCGGGTGCCTGTAGTCCCAGCTACTCAGGAGGCTGAGGCAGGAGAATGGAGTGAACCCTGGAGGTGGAGCTTGGAGTAAGCTGAGATCGCGCCCCTGCACTCCAGCCTGGGTGACAGAGCGAGACTCCATCTCAAAAAAAAAAAAAAAAAAAAAAAAAAATTCAGCTGTTAAACACAGCCATTATTGAAAGTTAAATAAATCATATAGCTTTACAAATAAATTACATTAAAAACAGAAGTCATAAATACTCAAGACGCATCACTTCCTAGTCGCCACATTTTATTTCTTGGTTCTTGATGTTATTATTTCAAGGGTATCAGATAACCGGTGATTAGTACTATCTTTTGGAAAACCCAGCTCAGTGGTTTTCCAACTGAAACTCCCTCTCGCTTATTCGCAGGAGTCAGCTTAAGTAGAGCTCCGCGTGTTGGTTGCAGAAGTCGCCTGTCTTCCCCGCAGGAGGCTGTTTGCTCGCTTTGACACTGAATGCTCCCCCAACAAACACGTTTAGCTTGCTTGCCCTTCTCACCGACTGCGGAGAGGAGTCTCAGAGTGCACAGTCGCAGAGAAGGCGTGCGGGGGCGTGCAGGGGCGCACAGGCGCCTGCCTCTGCGGGTGGGAAAGGAAGGAGGTGCCCGGGTTTCCGCTCCCAGGGCTCAGCCTGCCTTGGGCACCTACGGTATGGGAGCCTTTAACGTGGAAAGGAAAGGAGATCGATCACTCGAGCCTCCACTTGCCAAGCCTGTGGAAGCGAGACGCGGGGATCGGCTGGGAATGCCTGGAAGCGCCGGCGCGCGGAGCCAGGTGGGAGGTGCGAGGTGGCCGCGCGGGGATCTTGGGTGACAGGGCACCGAGGGAAGGAGGACGCGAGGGCAGCCAGGCCCTAGGGAGCAGGGAGAGTGGCTCGGGCTCAGTCGCGTGGCCCCAGGTGCGCGTCCCAGGTGCGCGGCCTTGACCCAGCAGCGTCCGCCGTGCTGGCCGGGGCCTCGGCTCCGCAGCAGAAGCCGCGGTGGTGGCAGCCGGCGCGGGCGCAGCTGCCCGCGGCTGGGGCGTTTCATCTGCGCCGGCCTATGGTGCGGGCATCGCCCTGGGCCACGCGCTGATCGTCTCCATCTCACTCAGAAAAAGTTACTCATACAGTGGTCTTGTAAAGGGTCTGAAGTGGTCAAATTGTCCCTTTTTAGAAACGGATAGTTTTAGGTCTTAAAGATGTCCTAGAAATTACCCTTACAAGCCCAGCTCTGTCATTTTATAGTAAGGGACACTAAGATCGCGTACAGAGCTTGTCGGAGGGGCTTGGTCTTCTGTCTCACGCTCAGGGTTGTCTCCTCGTTACAGGAGACCTTGCTCTTAAACGTTTCAGAGTTCGCTTTTCCCCTTGCTGAATTCATAAAAATGTTTTTAATTTATATGTGTTTCTTCTTGTAGGAAGAAGAAATTGTCGAGACGAATAACATGAGGTCATATAGAATCCCACTTTTGGTGATTTCAAGTCAAGAAAGTAAAAGTAAACCATTGCTATCTTTCACCTTAAATATCCTGTGTTTTATTGCTCAGAACATCCAGTTTTTCTAATACTCATGATGTCAGAAGGGAAACCTCCTGACAAAAAAAGGCCTCGTAGAAGCTTATCAATCAGCAAGAATAAGAAAAAAGCATCTAATTCTATTATTTCGTGTTTTAACAATGCACCACCTGCTAAACTTGCCTGCCCCGTTTGCAGTAAAATGGTGCCTAGATATGACTTAAACCGGCACCTTGATGAAATGTGTGCTAACAATGACTTCGTTCAAGTGGATCCAGGGCAGGTTGGCTTAATAAATTCAAATGTGTCTATGGTAGATTTAACCAGTGTTACCTTAGAAGATGTAACACCTAAGAAGTCACCACCACCAAAGACAAATTTAACCCCTGGCCAAAGTGATTCAGCAAAAAGGGAAGTAAAGCAGAAGATCAGTCCCTACTTTAAAAGTAATGATGTGGTGTGCAAAAATCAAGATGAGCTGAGAAATCGTAGTGTGAAAGTCATTTGTTTGGGAAGCCTAGCATCTAAATTGTCCAGAAAATACGTAAAGGCTAAAAAATCAATAGATAAGGATGAAGAATTTGCCGGTTCTAGTCCACAGAGTTCCAAATCCACAGTTGTTAAGAGCCTGATTGATAACTCTTCAGAAATTGAGGACGAGGATCAAATTTTGGAGAACAGTTCTCAAAAAGAAAACGTGTTTAAATGTGATTCTCTAAAGGAAGAGTGCATTCCTGAACATATGGTAAGAGGAAGTAAAATAATGGAAGCCGAAAGCCAAAAGGCTACCCGGGAATGTGAGAAATCAGCCCTCACCCCTGGATTCTCAGATAATGCGATCATGTTATTCTCACCAGATTTCACTCTTAGGAATACATTAAAGTCTACTTCAGAAGACAGTCTTGTAAAGCAAGAGTGTATCAAAGAAGTGGTTGAAAAACGTGAGGCATGTCATTGTGAAGAAGTAAAAATGACTGTTGCTTCAGAAGCTAAAATACAGCTGTCAGATTCAGAGGCAAAATCTCATAGTTCTGCAGATGATGCTTCTGCATGGAGTAACATCCAAGAGGCTCCTCTGCAGGATGACAGTTGCTTAAACAATGATATCCCTCACAGCATTCCTTTGGAGCAGGGGTCAAGCTGCAATGGTCCTGGTCAAACAACCGGTCATCCTTACTACCTTCGGAGTTTCCTTGTGGTGCTGAAAACCGTACTTGAGAATGAAGATGATATGTTGCTCTTTGATGAGCAGGAGAAGGGAATTGTAACTAAATTTTATCAGTTATCAGGTATCTTACGCACGTGTTTGTTTTCAAGTTTTCATTCCCCTTTTGCTGCTCTGATTGGGGCATGATGTGATGGGCAGTAATCTAGTGACCGCAAGGAGTCACTGTGGTGTTGTGAGCACCCTGTGGGAGTGTTCATGGGAGTTGGAGCATAGTCGAAGGTTTTATTGAGAGGGATGCATGGAAAAGAGACAAGATTTTGTCCCGGGTGATGTTTACTCCTGCTGAACTTTGGTTACATTGGAAGCAGCTGTTTTTCTTTTATAGGTACATTTGATAGTTATGAAACAACCTTTTCCAGATTAAAAAACAATATAATGTGACTTAGAAAAGCATACTTTGCATTTTGAGCGTGTAATCAGGCTTTCCATTAGGTTGTTTTGTTGTTCCTCAAAGATGAAAGTAGAATAAAATACAATACAGGAAGAAAACAAACCAACCTGAGGCATATTTTCTTTCTCCCAACAACATTTTAGATTTATGGACTGTGCCTTTTAAAGACAGGGTGTGGAGGAAATGGAAACTTTCAAGCTGAAATTGGTACATTAAAAATACTAGTCTATGCCTGAAGTCCTTGGCAGCCAGGGGTGGCTCCAAGCCAGCAGTGCAGGTTTGTAGTAAAAGCCACCCTTGTGTCTTTACGGTGTTATTCAGAGGGCCATGATGACTCTGTGGAACCATGTCCCTGAGGGCAGGAAAAAACATGGTAGTCACACTGTCGTTTAGTAAAATGCGGCCATGTGTGACTCCTCAGTAGATAAAAAAGAGAAAAATCCTGAACATTACTATTGATGTTCAAGGGAAGGATTTCTATTTTAAATTCGCACAGTGAAATTATGGTATTCCTTGGGTTACTTTTTAACATGTGAGCGATACTTCTCTGGGCACAGCTGTGTGTAGTATCCACTTCCATCTCTACTTTTGCTGTTCTCACCAGAAGATGGACATAATAGCACATTGGCTTTTCTATCCAAACTAGTCACAGATCTTTGGTTGGGTGCTGATTGCATTCCTGGAGTATTTCAGAGATTGGTGGCTCTGTAATTCCATGTAATTGAGAAATAGGAACAGTTTTCCTAGTGCAAGTTCTGCATATGCATGTGTCTTGCACTCCATGGAGAATCATGTACAATCTGTTGGTGTGTAGAAATAATTACTGCTAATTGTTTTTGCCTTTTTTTTTTTTTAATTTTAAGTTCTTTTAGAGACAAGGTTTCTGTCTGTTGCCCAGGCTGGAGTGCAGTGGTGTAATCATAGCTCACTGTGACCTTGAACTCTTGGTCCCAAGCGATCCTCCTGCCTCAGCCTCCCAAAGCACTGGGATTACAAGCATAAGCCATAGGCTGGGCATGGTGGCTCAGGCCTGTAATCCCAGCACTTTGGGAGGCCGAGGTGGGCAGATGGCCTGAGGTCAGGAGTTCGAGACTAGCCTGACCAACATGGTGAAACCCCGTCTCTACTAAAAATACAAAAATTAGCCGGGCATGGTGGTGGGCGCCTGTAATCCCAGCTGCTCTGGAGGCTGAGGCAGGAGAATGGCATGAACCCAGGAGGCAGAGCTTTCAGTGAGCCGAGACTGCACCATTGCACTCCAGCCTGGGCAACAAGAGCAAAACTCCATCTCAAAAAAAACAAAACAAAAACAAAACAAAAAAACAACCAAAAAAAACAACACCAGCATGAACCATCATGACAGGTCAATTTTGCCTTTTTAAAGAAGAAAGGAAAATAAATGTTGGAAATTTTCAAAATACAATTAAGCCATTTTAGAGTTGGCCGAAATTTAAAGATAATCTGGGTAATAGGGAGATTGAGACCAAACAGGTTAATTAAGAAGCTTGGTCAAGATTGCTGGGTTAGAGATGACTGCCCTACTGAAGCTAGACATTTTTTTTGGAAAATTATTTCAGATTATTTTCGATCAAATCAGAATAATGCATATTAAGCTAAGAGCAGAGAACAAAATAAGAATTCTGGGTAGGGCTTTTCTGAGGGAGTAGAAATGTTGATGTCTAGAAAATGGGGAACTTGATCTTAGAAGTTTTAAAATGACCAATAATTGTTACCAAATTTTTAAATGTACTTTCAAAATGGTTTATTCCATAAAATGAAGGCCTTATACATACAGTAAGCATATGTGTATTTCTAAATCGTACATTTATTCACCTTAGGTTTAAAAGGTAAATGCAGTGATTTTCAACATTTTTCTTAACTTTATTGCAGCTACTGGTCAGAAGTTATATGTAAGGCTCTTTCAACGTAAATTAAGCTGGATTAAGATGACCAAATTAGAGTATGAAGAGATTGCCTTAGACTTAACACCTGTGATTGAAGAATTGACGAATGCAGGCTTTCTACAGACAGGTATGACTAGTAGAAGGAGATGTGAAATGAAAATATGATCTGAAGAACTGAGCTTCTGCAGAATGATGGCAGTATTATTATGGTGCCCTCCCCGGGGTGGTGCCTGGTAACTTACTGTTTTTTAATTGAATTTTTAATCTTAGGACAACAAATTACTCATGTGATGCTAAAGCCATTCTTAGCCTGAGTTAAGAATACTAGAATAATGAGAGATGGTCTGCTGCTGTTTTCTTGACTGTGGCAGGTTTAGAATGAAAGTCACCTGGGCATAGACATGGGTGTGTGCCACAGAAGAAATACATCCCGGCCGGGCACGGTGGCTCATGCCTGTAATCCCAGCACTTTGGGAGGCCGAGGCAGGTGGATCACCTGAGGTTGGGGGTTCGAGACCAGCCTGACCAACATGGAGAAACCCCATCTCTACTAAAAATACAAAATTAGGTGTGGTGGCGCATGCCTGTAATCCCAGCTATTTGGGAGGCTGAGGCAGGAGAATCACTTGAACCCGGGAGGCTGAGGTTGCGGTGAGCTGAGATTGCACCATTGCATTTCAGCCTGGGCAACCAGAGTGAAACTCTGTCTCAAAAAAAATGGATACATCCCTTCTTGGCGCTCTCCTTCCAGCAAGAGCTTGACTCATCTTACTCAGAGTCCTCTTCTTTATGATAGAATAAAGCTGGTTGTTTGAAACCCATATTGCCTCTAAAAACTTCATCTGCCCCCCTTGCACACACATACAGTTCTTCGATTATGTTGATTGCCTTAAGCATTGTTGAATTGCTTTAAGCCTATGTGAACACTAAGGAGAGTCTATCTTCTGCAGTGATACCCTTCGTTGTCTTGTCAGTAGCATTCGTTAAGTACCTACCTATGTATTGGGTACAAAATTGTACTGTATTAGGAAAGGGAAATGTGAGCCTTGGGTTCAAGTTGCTGACATTTTAGACCAAAATAAGCGAATCAGCCAGCTGGTTTCTTTGGGGCAGAGTTTATTGTGGGGAGCAGTAAGTGGGGATGAAGCGAAGTGAGCAGGAAGTGTGTTAGGGTGGGGCTGGATGGCGTGGGATGGGGAAAGTTGCGGGAGAGGCATAAAAGCTCAGTGAAGGCGCTTGGTTGTGAATGGTTAGTGGTGGGACACAGGACCCTCTGCAGAGCAGCGCTTCCCACACATCAGTGCCAGCAGGGTCACCTGGGAACTTGATACTCAGTCCCCACCTGACTTGGAAAATGTGGTGCAGCTTCCGTAAATTCATATGTCTGACAGGCATGCCAGGTGACTGCTGCAGGTGAGCCTTGACTTACCTTCAAATGAGCAACAAAACCAGGATCCTAGTGGCTCACCGTGGCACTCAGTCAAGTGCAAGTCCCATCCATGCTCCAGCCCCATGGGGCCTGGCTCTGGCTGTCCCTCTCGCTTTCTGCCACGGCCACCCAGCCCTCAGTGTTCTTCACCAGGATGAGTGCATTCCTGTCTCAGAGCCTTGGACTGACTTTCCCCTCCACCCAGGTCAGTTTCCACCACGTGGCCACACGGCATAGTTCTCCTTTCCTTCCCCGCTGCGTGGTGTTACCTTGTCAAAGGTTTGCCTGACTACTGTGTGAAATACAGCCAGCCTCCTGCCAGCTTCAGTTTGCCTCCTGAGTTGTGTTTTTCTTTAGAGCGGTTATTACCACCTGATAAATTTGCCTATTCATTTAATTGTTACGCTGGGAGGCTAGCTCCTATGGATGGGATTTCTTTCACTGTAGCATGCCCGGGGCCTTAGAACATTACCAGGCCGACAGTGTACACCCAATAAATATTTGCTGAATGGAGGAAGAAGGCACTGCCCTAAACTTGTGAAGCCTTGAAGGCAAAGACCAGCGAGGTCTGACTGAGCCGAATTCCTAGGCCAAGGTTGGTGTCGGGGCCCACAGTAGCCGAACAGGCTCACGAATGCCGAGTGAGCAGGAGAGGCTTGTGGGAAGAAGAGGGCTGATGATCAGTTCTCTCTGACCTGGTTTGAGAGGTCCCATTTTGTAGGGGTTTTGTGACGAGAAAGGCAGGGAGTATATATTCCAAGCAGGTGTTGAGATGCCCAAACCATAATGGCTATCCATGTGTGTCTTTATTTTAGTTATGTTTTCCTTTAGATTTTAGTGAGAAATTCTATTATTTGATAACTTTTAAGAGATATAATAATAGTGTTATTAATACGTTAATAATACCATGTTAATAATTCCACATTTAATGATTGGTTTGGCCAACTAATTAAAATTTTCTTAGTAGCATTTCATTTTATTTTCATCTAACTAAGGTAAATAAAGCTAGAAAATAGTAAAATTTAAAAAAACTTTTTTTTTTAACCATTTCAGAATCTGAGTTGCAAGAACTCTCTGAAGTGCTTGAACTCCTTTCTGCTCCTGAACTAAAATCCCTAGCCAAGACCTTCCACTTGGTGAATCCCAATGGACAGAAACAGCAGCTGGTGGACGCCTTTCTCAAATTGGCCAAACAGCGTTCAGTCTGCACTTGGGGCAAGAATAAGCCTGGAATTGGTGCAGTGATTTTAAAAAGGTTTTGTTGGCTATTGTTACAGTAAAAACATTTAAAATGTTGATAGCACATATTAACTTACAGTAGATTGTATACTTGATTGAACTGTAATTGTTTATTTCAGTTGTAGTTAGATTGAGAAGGCTGGAAAAGCCTTAATTGCAATAGCCTGGATTCTTTCTTGGGTTATTATTCAAAATTTTTGTCGTAATACCGTACTAATTTCCAGGACCAAGAAAAATCGGAAGGCAATAGGCCTTTGGTAAATTGTAGTATTTTATTTTCCGAGAAAAATACAGTTTTAAGTGATTCTTATGGGATTTTAAGGTAAACTATTTAGTCAAATTTTTATTTTAGTTTTTGTTTACTAAACAAAGTATAATCAGGCAGTCTTAATGTGCAAGTTTTCCTGAGTTTAAACGTAACAATTTACCAAAAACTGTGAGTGGCTTCTTTTGTCCTTGAGAAGCCCTTGACCTGTTTCAGTTGAAAATTACAAAAACTTTTAGAATTGATTTCTTTTGCCCATGTTATTTATATAATCAAACTATATCAACTCTAGCCTGGGAATTCACTACTGTGGAGTCGAGGATGAAATGAGAGGATGCTTTTGAAAACACTTTAACATGATGTTGTTATTTATTTTATATATTTGTTTTGTATATTTCAGTTGTTATGAGCCCATCCTTGTTGGGGAGGTGCTATAAATACTAATCTTTAATGAAACATAGGTGTAATAAGGCAGACATTAAGAAAAATATAAATACCAACACTTGAAAAAAGCTCGTGTTATAGATTTTTAAAAAGTACTTCAATAAATTACATACTTGTAATTAATTGACTTGAGAAGTATAGAATCCTCATCTGTGTGGTATGTTAAATGTCTTCTAAGTCCTTTCTTTATCTAATTGTATTTCTTAAGTATTTGATGTTAACCTTATATGTAACATTTTATAAGCAAGTAAACATTAAATTTAGCCACCCTCTGGCTGGGCACAGTGGCTCACACCTGTAATCCCAGCACTTTGGGAGGCTGAGGCAGGTGGATCACAAGATCAGGAGTTCGAGACCAGCCTGGCCAATATGGTAAAACCCTGTCTCTACTAAAAATACAAAAATTAGCCTGGTGTGGTGGCAGGTGCCTGTAATCCCAGCTACTTGGGAGGCTGAGTCAGGAGAATTGCCTGAACCTGGGAGGTAGAGGTTGCAGTGAGCTGAGATCGCGCCACTGCACACCAGCCTGGGTGACAGAGTGAGACTCCATCTCAAAAAAAAAAAAAAAAATAGCAGCCCTTTCTTGGTATATGCACTTAGCATAGAACAGATAAAGTAAATAAGATGAACATATTTTATCTCTAACTTTGGACTTGTAGGAAAATAGAATCCTCAAGGCTGTTTTAGTTCTAGTGAAAACCACTGTCCTTTAAGGTTGTCCTTTATTTCTTCATTCTGATGGTAAAGCCCAGCAGTGGAATTTCAGAGTCCCTGCCAGCCCCACGCTAGGGCAGCGCCTGGTGCTTTTACTCTGCTGTTATGATAAAGAAACAGAAACAGCCACATTATTACAGAAAAAGGCACATTATTTATGCTTTCTTAATCCTTGCAGGAGTCACTGCTTAGTTTTCTGTGTTTAATGCTTCCTTTTGCAGACTGGAGGCTGTGTCCACTGGGGCATCCCCGGGACTCTGCGTGGAGGTGGATGAAATGGGTACTTTGGGGCAGTCTGTAGATGAGTGGCTCTCAGTTCAGTGGTGGTGTGATAGGAATCCCACCCCTTCCCCTTCAACTCCATGATGGTGGCACTCATCTCTCCCACACCCTCTGGGATGCAGTGCTGCTTTTGGTTTAATAGCTTCTGCACCAGAAGGGTGTGACATCTTTCACTAGCCAAGTGGTTCTCAACTGGGGGCATCTGGCATCATCTGGAGACATTTTTGGTTGTCAGTACTGGAGGTGGTGAAGCTAATGGCATCTAGTGACTAGAGGCCAGGGACAGGGCACTGCTGAGCATCCTATAATTTACAGGACAGCCCCTGACAACAAAGAATTACCTAGCCTAAATGTCAATAGTGCTGAAGCTGAAAAACCCTGCTATTGATGGTGTCTAAGCTGCTAGAGTCAGAGGGCCCACATGGTCCTGGATTTAATTTAGACCTCCAAGCCCACCTTGCAGACATCCAGAGTTGAACTGAATTCACTCCAATGTTATCCTAGAATAGAGATGCTGCTGGACCATTCTGTACACTAGAGAAGGGGTCTGCAACCCCCAGGCCATAGACCGATAACTGTCCATTGCCTGTTAGGAACTGGGCCACACAGCAGAAGGTGAGCAGTGTGCCAGAGAGCATGACCGCCTGAGCTTTGCCTCCTGTCAGATCAGCAGTGGCATTAGATTCTCATAGGAGTGTGAACCCTATTGTGAACTGCGCATGCGAGGGATCTAGGTTGCGTATTCCTTATGAGAATCTATTGCCTGATGATATGAAGTGGAACAGTTTCATCCCGAAACACCTCCCTCAACCCCAGTCCATGGAAAAATTCTCTTCCATGAAACCACTCCTTGGTGCCAAAAGCGTTGACTGCTGCGCTAGAGAACAGCACCAAACTTTGGCATATACATTTGCACCACGTCTTGGTACACAAAATCTGATGTTTTACCTGGAGCCTTTGATAATGACATTTTAAAGAAATACCATTATTTAATCTAAATCATCACTAGAATAAAAAATTGAGAATTGCTTCATGTTGACTAGGCAATACTTTTCTGAAAGTTTTCCTGGTATTTGAAGCACTCATGACCAGGGTAAACCCCAACCTACTGTGCAGCCGAGGAAGGAAGCACTTGTATGGAGCCAAACCATGTGTGGAACCATTTGGAGATGTACATTCATTTACTCCTGTGTATCCCTGGGTGAGCTCTCAGCCCCAGAGCAGTTAAGTAATGCTCCAGTGTTTAAAATAGTGAATGTCATTTCTCTTTATTTTAGATGAAAATAATTTGTAAAATCTGACATCCAAATGCTTAAAAAGCTAAAAGTTATTTCTACATTGTACATTTTTCAGAGCCAAAGCCTTGGCTGGACAGTCAGTACGAATCTGTAAAGGCCCCAGGGCTGTGTTTTCCCGCATCTTGCTACTGTTTTCGTTGACCGACTCAATGGAAGATGAAGACGCCGCTTGTGGAGGTCAGGGACAGCTTTCAACAGTCCTGTTGGTCAACCTCGGCCGAATGGAGTTTCCTAGTTACACCATCAATCGGAAAACCCACATCTTCCAAGACAGAGATGATCTTATCAGGTAAGATGATGTTAGCTCACTATAATGTCTATATGTGTATTTCACAATTTAGTAAAAGGTTTTGTTATTTTTTTCCAGCCAAAGTAGAAACATTAAGTCCACAGCCAAAACAGTTTTTAATCTTTTTTTGCCCCACTTGTATACATTTCTATGACTATAGGGAAAATGTAGAAGTGTGCTGAGATTATGGTTGCCAAAATCCAAGGAATTTTGAGTTAGAACTACAAAAACTTCTCTGGTTTATGTTTCCAAGTACCTTTGGAAGGGAGTATTTTTTGTTTGTTTGTTTGTCTTAATTTGAGACAGGATTTCGCCCAGGCTGGAGTGCGGTGGCATGATCACCGCTCACTGTAGCCTCAACCTCCTGGGCCCAAGTGATCCTCCCACCTCAGCCTCCCAAGTAGCTGGGACCACAGGCACATGCCACCACACTCAGCTAATTTTTGTATTTTTTTGGTAGAGATGGGGTTTCACCATGTTGCCCAGGCTGGTCTCAACTCCCGGACTCAAGCAATCCGCCCACCTTGGCCTCCCAAAGTGCTGGGATTATAGGCGTGAACCACCGCCCTCGGCCTGTATTTTTTTTGACACAGACATATTAACAAACTTGACTTAGGAATATGTTGTTGGCATGAACAAGACTGAATGTGAATATTTTCTTATTAGTAACACTTTAGGTAAAGCTATTAATAACTTGTATATTGTATATCATACATATGATAATTAGATATACAGATGATAAATTAGAAATTTTCACTAATTTATATTGGCACACGGATTTAGTGAAAATTTGGTTTGTCCAATAAAAGTAGATTTTGAACTAAAAGTAGAACTACCATGTGATCCAGCAATCCCACTACTGGGTAATATCCAAAGGAAAAGAAATAGGTATATTGAAGAGATATTTGTACTCCCATGTCTATTGCAGTCTATTCACAATAGCCAAGATAGGGAGTCAACCTAAGTGTCCATCAGTGGATGAATGGATAAAGAAAATGTGGTACATATACACAATGGAGTACTGTTCAGCCATAAAAAAGAATGAAATTCTCCATGGTGGCAACATGGCTGAGCTCAGAGGACATTATGTTATGTGAAATAAGCCAGGCACAGAAAGACAAATACTGCATGTTCTCACTCATATGTGGGAGGTAAAAAAGTGGATCTCACAGAAGTAGAGAGTAGAATAGTGGTTACCAGAGGCTGGGAGGGGAAGGGGGATAGGGAAAGGTTGGTTAACAGATACAAAAGTGCAGCTAGGTAGAAGGAATAAGTTCTGTTGTTCTGTAGCAGTGTAGGATGACTATAATTAACAACAGTTTATTATATATTTTTAAATAGAAGAATGGATTTAGAATATTCCCCACACAAAGAAATGATAAATGTTTGAGGTGATGCCTGGTATGGCAACACATGCCTATATTTCTAACTACTCGGGAGGCTGGGGCAGGAGGGTCACTTGAGTCCAGAAATTCGGGACTAGCCTGGGCAACATAATGAGACCCCATCTCTAAAACATTTTCAAAAAAGTTTGAGGTGCTGGATATGCTAATTACCCTAATTTGATCATTATACATTGTATACATGCATTGAAATATCACACTGTGCCACATAAATATGTGCAATTTTATGTTAATTAAAAATAATAATAGATGCCAAACAAATAATGGGATTACAGTATTAAAAAGCAGGTTTTGATAAGAAAGAATAGTGTAGGTCTTAGGAAAAAAAATTTGGATTTCCTTAAAAAAAACACCTTTGGTAAGAAAAATTAATTTGGATTTCCTAAAATGTCACTTTTGATTCTTGATTTGGATTTCTGACTCAAATTTAACCAAAATTGATTGTGATATTTGCTTTTAGGAAAGTCCTGTGTTTCTAGGAAAGCCAGGTGCTTTAAGAAGTAAGTTATTGAAATTTTTGAATCACAGCAGTGTCAGTATAATCTGATTTTGGCCCATTTTACCTTAGCTGTCAGGAAGCTCAGTATCTTATTTGTATTCAATGGGAATAACTTTTTTAGTTAAAATCTCTAATAAGACTGTTTATTCTTACCCTGTTTTCAGTTGTCTCATATCTTTTTTACCTTTTTTGTTTTTACTGGCTTTACGCTTTTCTGGCTTGTGAGAATGTATACTCTGAAGCCAAGTTCCAGTTTCTATACCAATGAACTGTGAACCCACCCTGTGCCTCAGTTTCCTCATCTGTCAAATGGGGAGAATAATAGTATATTCTTACAGACATGTGTGGGGTGCATGGGAAGTGCTTAAAGCCTGGGCTATGGGGAATGCCTACTACATGTTCATTATTATTTTAATTGTCATTCTTACTGTTATACCCAAGTTCTATGACAAAACCATGGTTGACAAGTTCAAAAGGCATCTCATATTCTTTCTAGAAAGTAAGTGTGCTGTAAATAATAAAAATAATGAGAACTCCCTTGGTTAAGCAGAGAGCCTTAAGATGTAAATGAAACTGGATTTAATTGACTTCTGGAAAGGTAATAGTATTCAATATCTGGTAATGTGATACCTGGCCAGGAAACCCTTGTTGTCTACCTCTGTACTTGAGATAATTTATCCTTTTAAAATGTTTCTTATTCATTCAGTACAAATGAGTGTTGAGTACCTTTTATGTGACTTGGTTAGGGGTTGTAGCAGTGAACAAGAGAGGGCCTCAGCCATCATGGGGCTATGTTTCCTGGGGAGATAGAAATTAACCACTATTTAAAGTGTGTGAGAAGTGCTGTGATAATTGAGGGACAGGCTGGATAAGTTCTTTATAGACAGAGTGGCCCTGGAGAGGTGACATTTGAAGTGGGACTTGAGGATGAGAATGAGGTAGCTGTGTCAGGGTCTGGGTGCCTGCGTCCCGGCCGCGAGATAGCATGTGCACAGGCCCTGAGGCAGGAAAGAGCTTGCTGAGTTGGAGGAACTCAGGAGACCCCTGGCTAAGATGTGGGGGTGGACAGGACTGGGTTGTTGGTAGCGGCAGTGGAGAGAAGTGAATGTGTATGAGGCAGTTTGGAAGCAGTAAAGACAAGACTTGATTCTGATGTGGGCGAGAAGGTGAGGAGTGGATCAAGGATGGCTCTGGTGTTTTGCCTTGGGGTGGGGCGCCATCCAGTGAAGGGGATTGGGAGAGGTGTTGGTGCTGGAGGCGTCAGTGTGTGGGGTGCTCTTCAGCCGTTTGGTTGAAGCTGTTGTGTGTGGCATTGGACTTGCGGTCAGGAGCTCAGGGAATGGGTCTGGCCTGGAAAAAGTCAACATTTTGAGAGTCACTGGCATATGGACAATGTTTGAAGCCATGGAACTGAATGAGCAGCATATTATAAAAGAATGAGATCTAAGAATTTGTGAGCAAACTTTTACATTTGGAGGCAATTTCTTTACTCTTACTTTACAGTGTTTGTACATAATGATATTATGTACTTCATGCTTTTCTTTTAGATGTGAGACCAAAATACAATGAACATGTACTCAAAGTGTTAACAGAATTTGTTGGTCAAATGTCTTTGTTTTTTGGTAGCTAAAGGAGCGATGAAAAATTGTCTTTCTTAAGCTAAGTTGTGTTGTAACATTTCAGCGTTGCCATCTCCCAAAGAGCATCCCTTAGTTATTTTGAAATATTCCAGGTAATCTTCTTAGCTTGGGCAGCATCCCTCTGGCTAGCTCTGATTGTAAATGATTAAATTATCAGATCTACATCTGACTATAATTCTGATGTCACTTACATGTTTGCTGTCATATTGTTGAATGAGTGAATGGATGAATGAATGGATGAGTGCCAAAATCAGGAATGATGAGCTGATCCATATCACATTTATAGAATGGAACATGTTATGTGATAATACAGCATAAATGTTTTTATCTTTCTAGTTGGGCTTTCTTATCAGTTCTGGGCCACTCCAGTGATTTGGTTAAGATAAATTATTATTAGAATAAAATTTAAGTGGCCCTCATATTTTAAAAAACACACTTTTACCTTTCAGAGTGAGATCTAGTGGCTAGGATGTGGTCATTCTATGGGAATGCTCATTCTTATTTGGAACTTGGATGGCATTTTCCTCCAGATATGCAGCAGCCACGCACATGCTGAGTGACATTTCTTCCGCAATGGCCAATGGGAACTGGGAAGAAGCTAAGGAGCTCGCTCAGTGTGCAAAAAGGGATTGGAACAGACTGAAAAACCACCCTTCTCTGAGGTGAGAGTTTTTCTAGGTACCTGCCAAAATTTATACATTGACCAAGTTGTTCCCAACACTTACAGTAATTTTCTTCATGAAGAATATACTCCTTTTTCTCTGTGGTTAAACCAGCTGTGGAATTGAATTTTGTGCGTGCTTTGCCTAGAATGAAAGTGCTGTGTGAAATAGAAGGAAATGTCTGAAGGTTTAAAGTGAATTTGATATAACTCAGATCCCTGGGCAACACACATGCCAACCCCATACTTGACTTGTCGCATGCCAACTGTAGGAGTGTTGGCCTCCCTGAGTACTGGTGAGCTGAACTGAAACGTGAGGGAAGCCAGCAGCAGGACGGATGTGGGAAGCATGGTAGGTGGGTTCCTCTGAGGGAAATTCAAGTAGGTGTTAAAAACTCTGCAAAAGACAGCTCAAGCGAACTTTCCAGGTACACAGCACATGATCTTTTATTTTGTTGAAAATGGTAAACATCTTCAATATTTATTAAGACATTTTTTCCTTTGTTGTTACATAGTGATGAGAAAAATTAGTATTTTCAGATGCCACTTTGAAAAAATCATTTAGGATATACAGTTGACCCTTGAATGATGCAGGGGTTGGGGTACCGACCCCTCAGACAGTCAAGAATCTGTGTGTAACATCTGACTTCCCCACTACTTAATTAATAGCTTACTGTTGACTGGAAGCCCTACCGATTACATAGTCAATTAACACACATTGGATATGTTATATGCATTATATGCTGTATTCTTACAATAAAGTAAGCTAGGGAAAAGAATATGTTATTAAGGAAAATCATAAGGGGGCTGGTACGGTGGCTCACGCCTGTAATCCCGGCACTTTGGGAGGCCGAGGCTGGCAGATCACCTGAGGTCGGGAGTCTGAGACCAGCCTGACCAACATGGAGAAACCTCGTCTCTACTAAAAATACAAAATTAGCCAGGCCTGGTGGTGCCTGCCTGTAATCCCAGCTACTCGGGAGGCTGAGGCAGGAGAATCACTTGAACCCAGGAGGTGGAGGTTGTGGTGAGCTGAGATCACGCCATTGCACTCCAGCCTGGGCCACGAGCAAAACTCCGTCTCAAAAAAAAAAAAAAAAAAAAAATCATAAGGGGCTGGGCGTGGTGGCTCATGCCTGTAATCCCAGCACTTTGGGAGGCAGAGGTGAGTGGATCACTTGAGGTCAGGAGTTCGAGACTAGCCTGGCCAACATGGTGAAACCTCGTCTCTACTAAAAATACAAAAATTAGGTGGGTGTTGTGACGAGTGTCTGTAATCCCAGCCTCGGAAGGCTGAGGCAGGAGAATCACATGAACCTGGGAGACAGAGGTTGTAATGAGCTGAGATCGCACCACTGTACTCCAGCCTGGGTGACAGAGCGAGACTCTGTCTCGGGGAAAAAAAAAAAAAAAAAGAAAATCATAAGGAAGAGAAAACATATTTACTGTTCGTTAAGTGGAAGTGGATCATCATGAAGGTCTTCATCCTTGTTGTCTTTACAGCAAATAGGCTGAGGACGAGGAGAGAGAGGAGGGCTTGGTCTTGCTGTCTCAGGGGTGGCAGAAGCAGAAGAAAATCCACATATAAGTGGACGTGTGCAGTTTAAACCCATGTTGTCCAGGGGTCAGCTGTATATTTATAGAGAAATAATATTGACTTAAAAATCACAAGAAGTTAGATTACTATAAACAGAGGTTGATAAACTTCTGTAAAAGGTCACATAGTGAATATTTTAGGCTTTGCAGGCCATATGGTTTCTGTGGCACCAACTTTACTCTGCTGTTTTAGTGCAAAAGCAGCCACAAGAAGTACGTATGCAAATGAATGAGCCTGGCTGTGTTCCAGTTAACTTCATTTGTGGACATTGAAATTTCAGTTTCATACAATTTTCGCATACCAAAGTGTATTATTCTCTTTATTTATTAACAATTTAAAAACATAAAAACCATTCTTAGTTTGCAGGACATAGAAAATCAGGTGGCAGACCCTGGGTTTGGCTGTGGGCCGGAGTTTGCTGACCTTGGTTTAGAATGATGAGTTCTCATCTTACTCCACTGTCTGAGTGACCTAGGACGTGGTAGCTGGCTGTGAGAATGTAGGTTTGTGGTGTAGAAAATTGTACACAACTGAAAGTATTTAGAATATACCTTTTTAAAAGATAGGAATTCAGTCTGCTTTGTCACTTGTTATTATTGTCTTATAATAAATTAACCAAATTATTAAACTACTGGTATATGTCTTCATTTTAGATGCCACGAAGATTTACCACTCTTCCTGCGGTGTTTCACTGTTGGGTGGATTTATACAAGGATTTTGTCTCGGTTTGTGGAAATACTGCAGAGACTTCACATGTATGAGGTTAGAGCACAGGTCCCTGCCCCCCACCATTACTGATGTGATGGCGTTAAACATGTGAAGGGACAGCTGTCGGGCTCTCAGCATTTCCTGCTTATTTGGTTAGCACACAGTAATATAATGGAGGCATATTTGTTTTGTTTTGTCTTTTTGAGACAGGGTCTCACTCCATCACCTAGGCTGGGGTGCAGTGGCAGGGTTCAGCTTACTGCAGCCTCTGCCTCCCGGGCTCAAGTCATCCTCTCACCTCAGCCTCCTGAGTAGCTGGGACTACAGGCGTGCGCCACCATGCCTAGCTAATTTTTGTATTTTTAGTAGAGGTGAGATTTCACCATGTTGCTCAGGCTGATCTCGAACTCCTGGGCTCAAGTGATTTGCCCACCTTGGCCTCTGATGCTTTGACAGTGGGGGCCTAAAGTGTTGGGATTACAGGTGTGAGCCACTGTGCCTGGCCAACGAGGGCATAGTTAATGTAGGCAGCCCGCTGTCTCTTGGATTAGTAGAGAGAAGATAGGTGAAGATGGACAGCTGTTCTGTTTGCCTGTGTGTTGATGAATCTGTGTCCCAGGATGGCCTGGGGGTGGCGGCCACCATCCTGGAGGGTGCCCCACAGGTCTGCAGCCTGAGCCTGAGTCTCTTTCAGAACTCCTTGTGAGACTTGGCAGGTCCCCAGAAATCTCTGAGGGACCTTTTGCTTCCTTTTGCTTCCCTGTCAGCTGTCATGGATTGTCTGGAGACAATTTATAATCACAAATCAGAAATTTGTCGTATCCTAAACTTTGTGAAATTGCTAGATTTCACTTTTGTTGTGTTTGATATTTCTATATTGAAAATGTTATCTCCAGACCAGGCATGGTCAAAAATATATATATACAAAACAAGAAGAAAAGAAAATGGGATCTTACAAAGAGGATGTGCTAAGCTGGTTTCTTGGCCTGGGGTCTGTGAATCCCAGGGGAGTGATGGGTGGGCTTTGGGGAAATCTGTGAATCTCAAACTTGCATGTGTATGGGGATTTATGCATTTTTCTGGGGTAAATCATTCCATATTACAAAGACATCCATGAGCCACAGAAGATTAACAAACAGAATGACCGAACAGTCTGTACATAATCTAGACCAGAGAATGTTCCTGTTGAGGTAGGGTGTTTGTATGAGGACACCCCTCATTACTTTCCTGCCCACCCCAAATCCCTCTTGCAGTTGGTCCTGTGACCTGCTGTGTTCCCAGAAGTATGTGGGTTTGCCAACTGTGACCAGTGCTCAGCTGCCTGGAACTTGACCCTGTGCGACTCTGCACTGGTTGACTGGTTTGCAGATAACACTCTGCAGCACTCACAGATGTCTGTACCCCAGTGCCAGCTGGCAGGGACCGGGTGAAGAGTGAGGATGCCTTAGGGAACTCATGCCCACTCCAGAAGGCACCTCAAAGTCCCTGTCCTGTCAGTTCGGGGTCCTTGGCCTCATTGTAGAATGGAAAGATACGCATTATAAATAGGCTTTACCAATCCTATGGGCTTGTAAATATCATTGCAGCTGGATTTTTTGTGAATCTAATGAGGTTTCTTTGTTATTGTTGCAATAGGAAGCCGTCAGAGAACTTGAAAGCCTTTTGTCTCAGAGAATTTATTGTCCTGACAGCAGAGGCCGATGGTGGGATCGACTGGCCCTTAATTTACACCAGCACTTGAAGCGCCTGGAACCGGTACTCAGTAACAAAACATATCTGAAACACCTTTTCATTTTAGAATCAACTTTTAAAATATGGCAAACTTAATGCCTTAAAATTTACATGTAATTAGAACATGTATTTCTTTTGTTAACATTCTTCTTTTGTCTGTGTTCTTCCAACCCCAAAAGAATACCAGGGATGCCAGCACAGCATGAGCATAGAGACTGGAAGCTTTTGTCTTCTCTTTGCTGATTGGCGAGATGGGCTTACTGTGGACTCTGTGCTGGCATTTAGGAATCAGGATCTAGGAATTAAGGGAAAGGGAGAGTCAGATGACTCAGCCGTCAGCAAGTCAGCAAGTGCCTTCAAGGAAGGTGTTTGTTTTGGAAATGGTGACTTTGTTGATTTGTAGCACAGGGTCTCTAGGTAGAAAGATTGGCGAGAAAGCGTTCCTTTCCCTATCTTATTGCAGGTCCTTTATGCGTGACTCTGTACTTCTGTGAGGTGTTTTGCTCTGCCATTTGGAAGCGTTGTTTGACCTTGAGCAGGCACCAGTGCTCCCTGTGGTGGCGATCTAGGGGCACTTGGAAGCACAGGGATTCTGTGGCCACCACAGCCAGGCGGGTGAGGCCGCAGAGCCTGTGCCTGTGGGCTAGGCAGCAACAGTGGTTCTTTGTGTGGCCGCCAGCAGGCCCCTCCCTGTCTCTATTCCAGCCCTGCATTTGAGTTGAATGGAGGGGACTGTGCCTCTGGGAGCTTTTGATTTTTTCAGTGGCCCATTAAGTGAATCAGGGTGATGTAGGGGTGGAAAAAAACGACCACTGGTTAGGAAATATGACATCTTGTTTTTATTGCCGTAAACTGAAAAAGTGCCTTGTTACCTCACGTATCAGGGAAAGAGCCAGTAAAGCTATTTCCTCTCATGGAGGAGGGTGTGGGGCTTCCTTACCACTCGGTGTTTACTGAGGCTGAAATAGCAAGAGAAAGCATCTGGTAGCCTAGAACCAAATACAGAAGGAGAAAGCTTGTGTTTCTGTCGCCTTTCTTTCAATGAAATAAAAGTTCAAGAGAGTACAGATTTCCCCTCTGTTCACAGTTCTGCTAGGGGGTAGACAAGCCACTGAGCTTATTTTTGAGATTTGAGCTAAGCCTAGTTCCTCCTAACCTCTGTTTCCAGAGGTCTTACTGGCCATAGCTCTTGTTATTTCATTAGTGTTCTTTGATCTTTACCTCAGTCTCCAGGGAAGGGATCGCCTAGCTGAGTGCTAATTCCTGCAAAGTGCTCTGCAGCCAGCCCCGGCCTGGCCAGGGCAGAGGTGGAGCCAGCTGGGCCCTCCCTCTCCGAGGCCAGGCTGCCGCTGCCCGGCACCGTCTTCTGCCAGCGAACAGGGTGCCCTTCAGAGTCTCATTCTCCCATCTTCATTTCCTTCAGCCACTCAACTCTGGATGGCCTGAGCCTTCACTGATTTTCAATTTCTTGGTTTTTATTTTTTCTTTCACTTTTTATGTTTCTATTGTGGTAAAATAAATTTAACATCCCTAAAATACAGCATTTTAGCCATTTTTAGGTGTACAGTTCAGTGGCATTCATGGTACTCATAGTGTTGTGTGACCATTGCCTCTCCACTTACCACTCCAAACAGAAACACTGCAGCCATTAGGCAACTACGCCCCGCTTTCCCTTCCCCAAGCCCTGGCGACGACGTCTCATCTACTTTTTGTGTCTGTAAATGTGCCTGTTCATTTCATTCATTTCATTGAAGTGGAATCCTACGATATTTGTGGTTTTATGTCTGGTGTATTTTGCTCAGCATCATGTTTCTGAGCTTCACCCGCATCGTGGCACATGTCAGGACTCCGTTCCTTCTCCAGGCTGAACACACTTCCACTGTAGCATCTGATACCACATTTTTCTAGCCACTCATTGGTTGATGGACACTGGGTTCCTTCCACCTTTTCGGCCATTTTGAAGAATGCTGCATGAACCTCTGTTTCAGTCCCTGGTTTCAATTCTTTTGGGAATACCTGAGAGTGGAACTGCTGGGTCCTGTGGTGATTCTGTGTTGAGCTTTTTGAGGAGTGGCTGAACTGTTTTTCACAGTGTTTACACCAGTGTCACATTCCCACCAGCAATGCGTGAGGTTTCTGGTTTCTCTACCTCCTTGTCAATGCTTATTTTCCATGTTTCTGATTATAGCCATCCTAGTGTGAAGTGGTATCTCCTTGTGGCTTTCTGTGTTTGTTTATTTGTCTGACTCTGAATCGCCTTGGGAAATACTTGTAATTCCTCCAAACCTTTGGCTCCTGTCCCTGTAAATAAGGAATCTGAAGCAGCTCCATGGTTCTTGACTGCATATGAGATTGACCTGGCGCTTTGATGTGGCCCCCATGCGTGGGCTCCTGCTCTGGAGGTTCTCATTGTGTGGATCCGGGGTGGGACACATGTTTTCCTACAAAGCTGCCTAGGTGATGTCCTGAGAACCACTGAGCTAAGTTTTCCTGTAAAGTCAGGTACCCCTGAGGTTCACACCCTTTGTGAGGGGCAGCTGCTGGGATCCACTGTCCACCTGGATTACAGCCCGGTCACGCTCCAGCACGTTGACTGTGAAGGCTCTGGTTGCCAGATGCATTGAAATCCTCAGAATAAGATCTAAGGAAACAGCCTAAATCTCTAGAAGTGCTGTTTGCTCATTTGCTAATCAGCAAAATTCAATAATAAACAGTGGGCTTTTCTGTCAAACTAAATGCATGGAAGCCGCCATGGGTTTTTTTAGGAGCCTGATGTGTGACCATGCTCTCTGCCAGACTATCAAGTGCATCACAGAGGGGCTGGCGGATCCGGAAGTCAGAACGGGACACCGCCTTTCACTGTATCAGCGAGCCGTGCGCCTGCGAGAGTCTCCGAGCTGTAAAAAGTTCAAGCACCTCTTCCAGCAGCTCCCAGAAATGGCTGTGCAAGATGTGAAACACGTGAGGAAAGAGCCTGTGGGTGCTTTGGACTTAGGCGCGTGTACCTGGTTTTTTTGGATCAGAAGCATCCTAAGAGCTGTTTTGAGTGTGTGTTTTCTTTTAGACTCGGAATAATCTAAAACTCGTTTTGGACGGCTGTGTGGCCATTGCTCCCAGTCTCCCCCTAACGCCCTCCTCCCTGAGGAGACTGGGTTGCTTGGTGTGGTCACACCCTGGGTTGAGTGACAGATCTCCTGAATGGGGCCTCTCAGCATCTGCCCCGGTTTCATTTACTCACTGGGGACCTGTAGAGCAGTTCTGGTGGTTGAGGCTCTCCCAGGGCCGGACCAGCGAACTGTCACATCCCCGCAGTTCTGCGTGTGTGAGCCCCACGCTGTGTGCTCTACTAAGTGACTGACTTTGTGGTAAGGGAGGTCAATCCTCACGATGCTACAGGCAGGTTTTCAGGGACTTTTGCTGACCTGAGGCTAATAGATGTTATTCTGCTGCTGTTTCAGGTGACCATCACAGGCAGGCTGTGCCCACAGCGTGGGATGTGCAAGTCTGTGTTTGTGATGGAGGCCGGGGAGGCCGCTGACCCCACCACGGTCCTGTGCTCTGTGGAGGAGCTGGCACTGGCCCATTACAGACGCAGCGGTTTTGACCAGGGTAACTGAGCAGGCTTTCTCTTGTGGCACCCAGCCCCGGGTGGACGAGCAGCAGCACTGGATGGGCTGTCAGCAGTGGGCTGCTGTCCTCTCTCTGTCCTCTGCTCACAGTGGAAGATGCTGTGGGCTGGGGGATGTCTTCCTATTCTTCCCCTTATCAATGATAAGGAGTAGGTCAGGGGTAGTTGTCCCACAGGGCCTGGCTCTGATCTTTTTTCTTTTATAAAAACTTATAAAAGTTATGGAAGGTACTGCACAAGCCTTTGTACAGAAGTCAGGGGGACAGTGTGCTCAACCCCACGGACACCCACTTCCATTCAGTGTTCCTTCTGTTCTCTCCTGCCCCTTCCCTGGGATTTTAGAAGCTGGCCCCAGATATCCTCTCAGGGGCCCTGCGGCCCATGCTAGTCGCTTTCGGGAACAGCCACTGAGCCTTCCGCCCTTGGGCCTGGCAGGACTCTCCCTGTGCCCGGGCTGCAGGGTTACCAGTGTTAAAAACACTGATATTTTCAGATGTGTGAAAATCAGGACATGATTTCAGTATTCCCCGAGTGTTCGGAAGATTAACAAGTACTATAGAAAGACAACCACAAGATAGGAGTTTACAAAGCCCAGGTTCTTTCTGATGAGTGTTGAGATTCATCTACATAATATCTTTATTACTTACAGGGAAGGGTGATGTTATTGGGGAAGACGTGCAAATGCCAGTGAAGACAGAGAGATACAGTAGGCCTGAAATGGTTAGAAATAGAAGAATAGAATGCACATTCAAGGCCCCGAGAGACGTGGAAACTGGACACTCGCTGGAGGAGGAAGCAGGCTGGGACGTGGGAGCGCTGAAATGCTTTCAGTTGAGCCATGAGCCTGAAAAACACACGATTCCTTTCCCAGAGTAGAAACTATTTTTCCCTGATTAAAATCGATGCCGTGAAACTGGGCTGAACTCTGGCTGCCAGGCTTTATGCCACAGGGAATTTTGTGTCAGAGCGATCTCAACCTCTTCTGGGAGGTGATTTCTGAAGTACTGCACCAAAAATGATTTCACTTATAACACAAATGCACAGCATGGACCACTTAGGAGTTAAGGAACGAACCAGGCACGGTAGCTTACACTTGTAATCCCAGCACTTGGGGAGGCTGAGACAGGAGGATCACTTGAACTCTGAAGACGGAGGTGGGAGGATCTCTTGACCCCAGGAGGTCAAGGCTGCAGTGAGCCAAGATTGTGCCACTGCACTCCAGTCTGGGTGACAGAGTGAGACCCTGTCTCAAAACAAAACAAACAAAGGAGTTCAGAAATGATCTGGCCTTTATATTCCTGCCTGATCGTCAGTGTATTCACCAGGACGGAACACTGACTGGAAATCAGGTCCTAGCTCCACTCCTGGCTGGGAAAGAGCATGAAGTGTTCTAGGAAGAAAAGTCCTCCTGGAAGACTTGGCAACAGCCAGGAGTCCTGAGTGAACCGCTGTCCTTTTGAATCCCTGAGACGGGCTGCAGGGATGAGGGGCTAGAACTGACAGGAAGACAGGACAGAGAGCAGCACAGCCTCAGAAGTGCAGGACAGAGGTGACCCAGGCAGGCATGACGGGCTGTGGCTTCCTGCCCTCTGCTCTCACAGCACCCCTGATCCCACTCACTGTGGTACCACGCAGATGGGTTGGGGCCTGTAAATGTCAGGTGGGACCAGCCAGAGGAGCTTTGCTGCCAGTACTGGCATGTCAGGATGGGGGTCTGGTGGTCAGCACCTCCTCTGGCCAGTGGTCTTGTGGGGAGAGGCATCCATGTGGCCTCCTCCTCTGTCGGGAGGGCTGATGTGCAGAGAAGTACGGACTTGGAGGGCAGCTGGATGAGCTGGGGCTTGCTCAGGGACACAGGTCTGTGTGTTGTGCCAAGGCTGACCCCCTCATCCCACACCAGACCCTGCCTCTGACTCTGTGACCTCAGCACCTGACTTCTGTCTCTCAGGTCATCTCCCAGTCAGTAAAACATTTGTGTGACGTGAGGAGGGGCACTGAAGTGGGTGATCTTTAAGGCCAGATGTCTCTGTAAAAGCCTTGACTATCGGAAGCACTGGGCTAGGGCAGTGTAGTACCCAGGGGGATGAGGTGCATCAGAGCAGCACCTGCTGAGGCCAAGAACGGAGGTGGCTGCTGCCGGCCTCCGGGAGGTCCCCTTAGGGAAGCATTTCTTCAGGGGTGGCCCAGGGACCTCCGGCATCAGGGCCTGCATGGGGATTCTGTGCCAGCCCAGCCCTGCTAAGTCCCAGCCTTGGGAACCTGAGGAGGGTATCTGCCTATTTTTCTTTTAAACATGTTTCTTAGGTTATTCACTAAAGTTTGAGAACCACTGCTTTGTGGCTTTGAAATGTTCATTTGAATTTTTCTATGATTACTAAGATTTTTGCCCTTAAGGCTCTGTATATAAACAACATACTGTATAAAATAAACTGGGAATGGCGTGAAAACAGCATTTGCTTCTGAATCTAAAATATTTCTATTATTTTCTTGAAATTGAGTGTGCAGTAGGTTATGGTGGTGTTTTGGAAGAAACAGATAAAACAGATTTTGTGTGTGTGTGTGTGTGTGTGTGTGTGTGTGTGACCTTGTCTTAGGGATTCATGGCGAAGGGTCCACCTTCAGCACCCTGTATGGCCTCCTCCTGTGGGACATCATCTTCATGGATGGGATTCCGGATGTCTTCAGAAACGCCTGTCAGGTACTCCAGTGCCCCTGCCCCACGAGTAGGTCCTTCTGCACACATCCGTGGCTCACGCCCACCTGGGCACCGTGTGTCCACAGCCAGCAGAAACCATCTCTGTTACGGTCCTTTGGGTCATCCACAGGTCAAGATGATAACTTATTTTAAAAATCTGAGTAATAGAATTTAAGATGTAAGTATGTGAAGTTTTAAACTTTAATTTAGCCTCCACCTTACATTTAGACCTTTCGTATAAAGTACCATCAGCATCAGCCCTCCCGAGCACCTGCCGTGTCGCAGGCACTGTGCCAAGGAGCTCACAGACATGGGCACATCTGCCTGTTCAGAGGTCCACCCAGCTAAGCGAAAAGCTGTTTTTGCAAATTATTACTCTAAAAAACAAGTTTAATAAATTGCTTTTATATCAATTAACTTTTACTTATCTTTTGAGAGAAAGAATGTATCGGTTGGCCGGTTTCCAAGTTTTGTATGTACTGACTAGTCCTCTGGTGAACACGGCTCTCTGCAGGCACAGTATGACAGCTTGCTTTCCCTGTGACACAGGCATTCCCCCTGGACTTGTGCACAGACAGCTTCTTCACAAGCAGACGCCCAGCCCTTGAGGCCAGGCTGCAGCTGATTCATGATGCCCCCGAGGAGAGCCTGCGGGCCTGGGTGGCAGCCACGTGGCATGAGCAGGAAGGCAGAGTGGCTTCCCTTGTCAGCTGGGATCGCTTCACGTCTCTTCAGCAAGCTCAGGTAATGGTTCACCTGCATGGCAGGATTTGCTCAGAAAGTTAACACCGCCCCAGTGCTGTCTTTTCAGCAACTTTATCAAAATACACATGTGTGTATATGTAAATACATGTATGTGTGTGCATATATATGATATATAGTATATATCATATATAAAATATATATTATATCTTTATTATATTTATTATATTATATATTATATATTACATATTACATATATAATATATATTATATATTATACAATATACAATATATAATATAATATATGAAATATATATTATATCATATAATATATATAAAATATATATTATATCATATATAATATATATAAAATATATAATATATTATATCATATATAATATAATATATAAAATATATAATATATTATATCATATATAATATAATATATAAAATATATAATATATTATATCATATATAATATAATATATAAAATATATATCATATATAATATATATAAAATATATAATATATATCATATATAATATATAAAATATATAATATATATCATATATAATATATAAAATATATAATATAATATATATCATATAATATATAAAATATATAATATATAAGATATCATATATAATATAATGTATAAAATATATAATAATATATATATTAATATTATATAAATTATATATATGAGAATACCCTATCCCCCTGGCCCCAATGCCACTGTTAGTGATGGAAACATACTAGGGTGTTAGAAAAGCCCCAGCTGTGCCTTTGCCACCCCTGAGTTGACAGCTTTCTTTTGCTTGCCCTGTGGCTGAGGCAGGGAGGATACCTTCTGTGTTCCTTCAACTGCTGCCCTCTATGAGGCCATGCTGTCGCGTTCCTGAGTGCATCCTCCACATCCCTCTTCCTCAGCGCTCCCCAGCATGGCCACGCTGGCAGAAGCCTGGAAACTGACCACAGGAGGACCAGTCTCCCACCACTTGCCAGTGGGATTCCAGCCATGGCTCTGCAGCTCTGGTACAAGCAGCAGAACAGCGCATGGTGGGCCTGGGGTCCATGTGCACTGAATTACATATACACTGAGCTTTTCTCCGTCTCGTGATCCCTGGAGCCTATTTCCATTCTCTGTCACGAGGGAAGTGGCTAACTGTCCTGTGTTTTGTGTTCAGGATCTTGTCTCCTGCCTGGGGGGCCCTGTGCTCAGTGGTGTGTGCAGGCACCTGGCTGCTGACTTTCGACACTGTCGAGGGGGCCTCCCCGACCTGGTGGTGTGGAACTCCCAGAGCCGTCACTTTAAGGTCAGTTGAGGCAGAATGGAAAGTCCTGTTGGTAACCTTATTAGCAACTGAATCAGAGGCCACAAGTAGGCATTTCTTGAGTGGCTGTTGGCAAGATTGAATTCCTTGAGAGCTTTTGGGCCGAGGGCCTGGGTTCCTGTGGGCCTGTCCCCTGCGACTGGCTTCATCAGAGCAGGCGGGTGAGAGGAGCCCCAGAGTGTGAGCAAGACAGAGCTCCATCTCTTATGACTTGATGTGGACATGATGTTCCATCACTCCTGCTGTATTCTGTGGTTAGGAACGAGTCTCTAGTCCAGCTGACACTCAAAGGGAGGGGGTCACAACGGGTGTGGACACCAGGAGCTATTTTAGAAGCTTACCGATAATTGTACATTTTAAAATGACTTAAAGAGTATAATGGTTTGTAACTCAAAGGATAAATGCTTGAGGGGACAGATACCCCATTCCCCTTGATGTGCTTAGTTCACATTGCATGCCTGTATCAAAACATCTCATGTACCCCATAAATATATACATCTACTATGTACCCACAAAAAATTTTTTAAAAAGCTCAGAGAGTGAACACTTCCTTGAACGCTGTCCACTAGCCCAGCCCTGCTGCCCATCACTGGTGATTTGTTTTCTCATTATTGAGTTTTGAGATTAAAAAATTATATATCCTGGATACAAGTCCTTTATCAGTGACATTTCATCCCAGTCTATGGCTTGTCTTTTCATTTTCTTAATAGTGTCTTTTGAAGAGCAGAGGTTTCAAAGTTTGACAAAATCCAACTTATTTGTTCTCTAGTGGATCATGCTTTTGGTGTCACATGTCAGAAATACTTGCCTAATCCAAGGTCACAAAGAGTTTCTCCTTTGTTTTCTTCTAGAAGTGTTATAGTTTTAGGTTTTACATTCAGTTTTATGATCATTTGAGACGCCATTTGTATACAGTGTGGGGCATGCACTGGAATTCATTTGTGGTGTGTGGATATCCACTTGTTCCAGCTCCATGTGTCAAGAAGACCATGCTTCCTCCACTGAATTCCCTCTGTATCTTTGTCAAAAATCAGTAACCCATATATATGTGGGTCTGTTTCTATATACTCTTCGGTTCCATTGATCTGTTTGTCTGTATTTCTTGATTATTGTAGCTTTAGATACATCTTGGAGTCAGGTAGTGTAAGTCCTATAATGACTTGTTTTTCAAAGTTGTTCTGGCTCTTTTGCATTTTTATTTGAATTATAACATCAAATTTTAAGTTTCCAAGAAAAAAAAAAGCCAGCTGAGGCCGGGTACGGTGGCTCACACCTGTAATCCCAGCACTTTGGGAGACAGAGGTGGGCGGATCACGAGGTCAGGAGATTGAGACCATCCTGGCTAACATGGTGAAACCCCGTCTCTACTAAAAATACAAAAAATTAGCCGGGTGTGGTGGCGGGCGCCTGTAGTCCCAGCTACTTGGGAGGCTGAGGCAGGAGAATCGCTTGAACTCAGGAGGTGGAGCTTGCAGTGAGCCGAGATTGCGCCACTGCACTCCAGCCTGGGCAACAGAGCGAGACTCCATCTCAAAAAAAAAAAAAAAAAAAAAGCCAGCTGAGATTTTAATTGGAATTCCTTTGAATCTGTAGACCAATCTGAGAGGAATTGGTATCTTAACAGCATTATTTTGATCAGCAAAAATGGGAGTTGATTTTGTAAAATATTAAGAATTTTTGCATATATGTTCATGAAGGATATTGAGCTGTACTTTTCTTTTCTTATTATCTCTTTGTTGGGTTTTGGTTTCAGAGTCATACCAGCATCAGAGTGGGATGGAATAGTTGGTGTAGAATTAGTATTATTCCCTAAACATTTGATAGAATTCCCCCAGTGAAGCAGTATGGGCCTGGAGATTTTGGGGGGAGGAAAATTTAAAGCTATAAATTAAATTTATTTTTAAACAACATAAGGCTGTTCATATTATCTGTTTCTTCTTGATTGCGCTTTGCTAGTTTGTGTCTTTCAAGGAATTTGTCCATTTCATTTAAGTATTGTCTTAAAGTTGTTTATATTTGTTTCTTTTCTTTTTTTTTTTTTTTGAGATGGAGTCTCGCTCTGTCGCCCAGACTGGAGTGTAGTAGCGTGAGTTAGCTCACTGCAACTTCCGCCTCCTGGGTTCAAGTGATTCTCGTGCCTCAGCCTCCCTAGTAGCTGGGATTACAGCTGTGCACCACCATGCCTGGATAATTTTTTTTTTTTTTTGTATTTTTAGTAGAGATGAGGTTTTGCCATGTTGGCCAGGCTGGTCTTGAACTCCTGGCTTCAGATCTGCCCACCTTGGCCTCCCAAAGTGCTGGGATTACAGGTGTGAGCCACCGCACACGGCCATGTATTTCTTACTGTATTTTAATATCTGTAGAATCTTTATCTCTGTCATGCTCTTATTCTTGATATTGGTAATTTGTGTCTTTTCTCTTTTTTCCCTAATGAGTCTGGCAGGAGGTTTATCAATTTACTGATTTTCTCGAAGAATCAGCTTTTGGTTTCATTTGTTTTTTTATTTCCTAGTTTCTCAAGGTGGAAGCTATGGTGATTGCTTTGAGAACTTCTTTTCTAATAGAGTTAGGTAGTGCTCCAAATTTCCTTCTCAGTGCTGCTTTATCTGAACCTCACAAATTTAGTAGTTGTTTTCATTTTCATTCAGTTCACAATACTTTCTGATTTCCCTTTTGACTCTTCTTTGATCCTTGGCTTATTTAGAAGTGAGTCATTTACATTTCCAAACACTTGAGAGATTTTCAGGTATCTTTCTGCTATTGATTTGTAATTTAACTCCATTGTATTCAGAGGACATATTTTGTATGATTTGAATCCCACTAAATTTGTTGAGACTTGTTTTATGGTCCAGAATATGGTATTCCCTGGTGAATATTCTGTTTGTACTTGAAAAGAATGTGTGTTTAGCATTTGTTGTGGGCAGTATTTTTAAATGTCAATTAGGTCAAGTTGGTTGATAGTGTTGTTTAAGTTGTCTGTGTCCTTACTGATTTCTTATTTACTTGTTCTATAAATTATTGAGAGAATATTGATATCTCTGATTATAATTGTGGTATTTCTTTTCTTTTTTTTTTTGTTTTTGTTTTTTGAGACAGACTCTCACTATCACCTAGGCTGGAGTGTAGTGGCAGTGCGATCCTGGATCGCTGCAGCCTTGATCTCCCAGGCTCAAGCAATTCTTCTGCCTCAGCCTGTTGAGTAGCCCGAACTATAGGCATGCACCATCATGCCCAGCTGATTTTTTTTATTTTTTGTAGAGATGGGGTTCCACCATGTTGCCCAGGCTGGTCTCAAACTCCTGGGCTCCACGTTGGCCTCCCAAAATGCTGAGAGTATACCGTGCCCAGCCAATTTGTGTATTTCTTCTTGCGTTTCTATCACTATTTGCTTCATGTATTTTGAAGGTCTGTTATAAGACGCATAGACTTTTAGGACTGTCATGTCCTCTTCATGAGTCTACCCTTTTATCATTATGCAGTGACCCCCCCTTTACACCTGGTAATCTTTGCTCTGAAATCAACTTTGTCCGATATTGTCAACATGTAGCCACTTCAGCCTTCTTTTTTTTAATGTTAACATGATACATTTTTCCATTCTTTTACTTTTGACCTGTTTTATCTTATTTTTAATGTGGATTTCCTGTAGGCATCATATAGTTGGGTCTTACTTTTGAATCCAACTTAACCTCTGTCTTTTAATGGGGTGTTTGGAACATTTACATTTAATTTGATTATTGATATCCTTAGCTTTAAATCCTGATACTTATTTTCTCTTTGTCTCAGAACTCTTTTGTCCCTTGTCTTTTTCCTGAGTAGCTGGAACCACAGGTGCACGCCACCATGCCTGGCTAATTTTTGTGGTTTTTGTATTTTTTAGAGATGGGGTTCCACCATGTTGCCCAGGCTGATCTCAAATCCCCAGGCTCAAGCAGTTCACCTGCCGTGGTCTCTTAGTGTTGGGATTGCAGGCATGAGCCACAGTGCCTGGCCCTGTCTTATTTTTAAAGATTGCATTTGATAGCTTTGCTGGCTTGTTAGCTGTAACTGTTCATTGTGTTGAAGTGGTTGCGTTAGTATATTATATATCTTAAACTTATCCACCTTCAGGTGATACACACTTTAGAGTAAAAAGAACCTTTCAATAATATATATCTTCCCTTCCAGCCTTTGTGGTGTTTTCATATATTTTACTTCTACGTGTTATATGTTCTATAACATATTATTTTTGCTTTCTACAGTTGATTAATGAGTCTGTATTTACTCATGTACATAGCATTTCCAGTGCTTGCTATTCTTTTGTGTAGATCCAGGTTTCTGTGTAGTCTCATTCTCCTGCTTGAAGAATTTCCTTTCACGCCTGTAATTCCAGCACTTTGGGAGGCTGAGGTGGGCGGATTGCTTGGGCTCAGGAGTTGGAGACCAGCTTGGGCAAACACAGTGAGACCTCATCTCTACAAAACGATAAACAAATTAGCTGGGTGTGGTGGTGTGCACTTGTAGTCCCAGCTGCTTGGGAGGCTGAGGTGAGAGAACTGCTTGAGGCTGGGAGGTCAAGGCTGCAGTGTGCTGAGATCATACCACTGTATACCAGCCTGGGCAACAGAGTGAGACCTTGTCTCAAAAAAAAAGAAAAAAAGAAAAAGAAAAAATTTCCATGTCTAGAAGTTCTGCTAGTAATGAATTACAGTAGTTAGCCCTCTGTATCCATGGTTTCTGCTTCTGTAGATGCAACCATGGACTGAAAGTATTTGGAAAAAAGAAAAACAATAAAAAGTAACTACAACAATAAACAAATCAAATAAAAATACAGCATAACAACTATTTTCATAGCATTTATATTAGGTATTATAAGTAGAGATGATTTAAAGTATATGAGAAGATGTGCTAGAATATGCAGATGCGATGCCATTTTATATCAGGGACTTTGAGCATCCATGGATTTTGGTAACAGAGGGGGTCCTTGAATCAGTCCCCCATGGATACTGAGGGATGGCTGTATTTAGGTTTTGTATGTCTTAGCCTTTATTTCACCTTTGTTTTTGAAAGATATTTTCTCCGTGCAATGAATTTTATGTTGACAGTTATTTTTCAATACTTTAAAAATATTAGTCTACTGTCTTCTAACTAGCATGGTTTCCAATCAGAGAATCTTTTTTTTTCCTCTGGCTTTAAAAATTCTGGCTGCTTTGACTATATCCCCTGATTATACAGTTGTGATATTTCCTAGGGTGCCGTTACATTTGTGTGCCTGGGATTCATTGATTTTCTTCAATCTTTGGGTTTACTGTTTTCATCAAATTTGGAAAATTTTTGGCCATTTTTTCTTTAAGTATTTTTTTTTCTCGTTCCTTTGGGGACTCTAATTAAATGTCCCTTAGGCTGCTAAATGCTGTATTTAAACAATTTTTTTCTATATTTTACCTATAGTTTTTATTGCTGTGTCTTCAAGTCTAGTGATGTGTAGTGAACAAAACACACAATTCTTGCCTTCATGAAGATGACATGTAGTATATATTTTTATCTTATGAATGCCATGAAAGAAGTGCATAGGGAGGATATACTTAGAGCTGTGACCTCTCCAGATCAGTTTAAGCTGAGCATTGAAAGGTAAGAAGTCAGGCATGTCAAGAACAGGGAGAAATGTCCCAGGCAGCGGGAACAGCAAGTAGCAAGTGGAAGTGAGGGCCTTGGGGTAGGGAAGAGACTGGTCATGGCAAGAAGGTTAGATTTAATTGAAAATGTAACAGAGTAATCGGAGGGTTTTAAGCAAGGAAGTAAAATCCAGTGCATGCTTTAAAACAATTTTTCATTTGCTATACTAAGAATCAGTTTACTCATCCTCTGTGAAGAACTGTCTAGTTTCTACAGAATAGAAGAATTTCTGAATAAATTTCTTAGCTACATACAGACGCTTCTCAACTTATGATGGCCTTATGTCCTGATAAATCCTACACATCAACTGAAAATATTGTTAAGTTGAAAATGCATTTAACATATTTATCCCACCAAACCTCATAGCTTAGCTTAGCCTACCTTAAATGTGCTCAGAATGTGTGCATTAGCCTACAGTTGGGCAGATCATGTAGTTCACTGCAAACCGTAGAGTACTGGTTATCCTCATGATCATGTGGCTGACTGGGAGCTGTGGCTCACTGCTGCTGCCCAGCATGGAGTATCATACTGGGAAAAGATCAACACTCAGAGTATGGTTTCTGTTGAATGTATATCACTTTTGCACCATTTTTAAGTCAAAAAATCCTAAGGTGAACCATTGTAAGTGAAGGACCATCCGTATATTTGTGTTACACTTACAAATACAGTGAGAGAGCAGAAGAGCCATTTAAATAGTTGTCAGTGACAACTACAACTTACTTGAATGGCTTTTCATTCAGTAAGATACTAATAACAACTTTTAAAAATTTCTTTTCCAGCTGGTGGAAGTTAAAGGCCCCAATGATCGTCTTTCACATAAGCAGATGATCTGGCTGGCTGAACTGCAGAAGCTGGGGGCTGAAGTAGAAGTCTGCCATGTGGTTGCAGTTGGAGCTAAGAGCCAAAGCCTTAGCTAAAAGGTATGGAATTGGGGATATTTGGTCATACATTAATGTAAGATTTTCAAGAGTATAAAACATGTTTTATTTAATTTTGTTATCGTGCATTATAAACCTGATAGTTTGACTTGTCATTTTACAGTGTCTGCATATCACAAAACAGTGTTTGCTTGAATACACTCATTGATTCCACACAGTGGGTAATAAACTTTTTTTTTTTTTTTTTTTTTGAGACAGAGTCTCGCTCTGTCACCCAGGCTGGAGTGCAGTGGTGTGATCTCGGCTCACTGCAACCTCCGCCTGCTAGGTTCAAGTGATTCTCCTGCCTCAGGGTCCCCAGTAGCTGGGACTACAGGTGTGCGCCACCACGCCTGGCTAAATTTTGTATTTTTAGTAGAGACGGGGTTTCACCATGTTGGTTGGCCAGGTTGGTCTGGAACTTCTGACCTCAACTGACCTACTCACCTTGGCCTCCCAAAGTGCTGGGGATTACAGGCATTGAGCCACTGTACCCAGCTCATAATGAACTTTTTTAAAAGAGAAAAATTTTGTTGACCATTATTGGAGCTGGATGCATCTATATGATTAGATGTGCAAAAAGCTGGAAAACTCAAAAACAAGTGATGATTCATCTTTAGGTTTTTTTTATAAAAAAGTAGTGGCTGGGCACAGTGGCTCATGCCTGTAATCCCAGCACTTTGGGAGGCTGAGCGAGGCAGGCGCATCATGAGGTCAAGAGATCGAGACCATCCTGGCCAACATGGTGAAACCCATCTCTACTAAAAATACAAAAAATTGGGTGGGCTTGGTGGCACACGCCTGTGGTCCCAGCTACTCAGGAGGCTGAGGCAGGAGGATGGCGTGAACCCGGGAGGTGGAGCTTGCAGTGAGCCGAGATTGCACCACTGCACTCCAGCCTGGGAGACAGAGCGAGACTCTGTCTCAAAAAAAAAAAAATTTAAAAACTAGCATAACCAGTGTTTCCTTCAAGTAATTAATTATATGGGAAACCGAGATTCTTGAATTAAGTTTTTCTTTACTGCCCTATACACATTTAGCTGTTAAACTTTTATGATTATCTAAGAAGGGCTGAAACAGTTGAAATTCCAATTTCTTTAGGAATCAAAACATTCTCATGAAGTTGTGTTGATTTATAACATGTAAATGCCTGTTCTACTGATTGGGCCCGGATCATGAAAGGAATGAAGTCTTTATCAGAGGCAGTTGTCCTTCATTGTCCATCTCCCTGGGACCATCCCTAATAACTAGATAGGGGTATTTTCTCTGTTGACAGTACAGTCAAATCGGCTGCTCATCACCATTGTGGGAGGGTCTCAGGCTGGGCAAGGGGGTGTGGTAGAAAGGTGATTTATCCATGCGCCAGGCCCGGGAGTCAGGGACTGGAACCCCAGTCTGTCTCTTGACTTCTTTGAAGCCTTCTTGGGGGAATATTACTCCCCAGTTTTTATATTTATTTATTGAATGGAAGGACCAGTTAGGGCATGATCTATCAATATCCACATGGCTTTAACTTTAGCCACTTCCGAATTGCTGTTAAAAAAAGTTACTGATCACTACCTGGCTTTAGAGGGCAAGCAGAAACATCCCATGGATGACACAGAAGTATGGGTAGGAGAAGATGCCTTCACCTCTTCTATCAATCACTGTGTTCCAGTAGATGATTTCATACTGACAACAACAAACAGTCGCTGTGGAATTTTATTAAGCCATCAAAATTTCCTTCACACTCAATACTGTTGAACAACAAGATAACACATCTTCTTGCTCATCCCACTTGAACTCAAGTCATCAATTTTAGGCACAAAGGTTTTAGTTTTCTCGGGAAATCAAGTTTTAACCACTTGAGGTTACTACTGCAGCAAGCAGATTTTGTTGACAAATGTGAACAGCTTTCACCCTCTGTTAGTACAAATTAATATCCTTTCCTTAAATAAAGTTAGTTAGCTATTTTTGGTTTCAAAATCAGTTTCCATCATAAAATAACAGCAAGACACTGTACACCTTTACGTTCAATACTAGAAATTTCACCCAGTGCATCAGCATCTGTGCGGCATTCCCTCAGCACGGGCTCTGCTGGCGGGCAGCAGGGGTGCTGAGCTCTCTCTAGTGCGCCCTGTGCAGCCACACCACTGCTGTCACCACATGTCCCTCTGACGGCAGAGGTGGTATAAGCAGCTTCACCCTGGCCCGACTGAAGGCTGTCATAGTTGTTTTTCATATTATGCACAATAAACTGTAGCACAATAATCATGATATAACAACTGTCCAGCAAAAATAAAAGTATTTTACATTTGATTATCATACAAAAATATGCATTTTTCTATTTTTAACCATTATTAATAGTACCTAATATTTTTAAACTTGTAAATTAACAACAATAAAATACTACAAGAGTTAAAATAAAATAAACGTGAAGGAAGAAAATTACAGAGGGAAAAATGCTCAATCCAAAACATTTAGTAATAATAAAAAAGCAGCTAAATGAAAAAGGGAGAATTGTGATTACACTGTCAATGGCAGGATACGCTGTGGTGTTATAAGGAGATTGGGTCTGGTTTCTAATCAAGGACTGTAAAATGTTTAATAATTCTATTTGTATAAACTGAAACTAGCCCTTATTTTCTAGGCAACAAGTTGGCAAAAACCTTGGGTTTACCCATAAAGTGAATTTCTTAAGATATTTTTTAAGAACTCCTGTCCTGTTATATCCAGAGACATTATCAAATTTTAAAAGGCAAATAATTCAAAAAGAAACAGCTATTCAGTACATATAAAGGTAAAATACAGTTATCTTGAAAACACTTGTTTTAGAAAAGGAAATAAGCTAACTAGACACTTTACTATAAAAATTTTCCATATCTTAGGATGGCAGTTTAAGAAACAGTCAAATTTGAAAGTATCCATGTTTTAAGCGGGGAATGAGGAGTGTGGGGGAGGTGGTGCCCCGTTTCACTGCTGTAAGAAGCTTCAGCTTTGACCGCTACAGTGGTAGGTAGGCTCTTGTCACACAGTTTGGAAATACTTTAGAGAGATTCAGATCAAGCAAACAACTGTGTCTGCTCATTCTCCTCAACTTTGCTGTCCAAAGTTGGGGGCTGGGGGAGCACTTCTGTCGCTCTTCAAATGGCAGTGTTTTGAGAGAATCCATTTTTTTATTTCTCCTCTATTCCTAAGCATTAGGAACTATGAGAGAAGGACATCTGTGCAGGTGCCCAACTCGTAACCTCATTAGTTATTTCCAGGGGGAAGTGCCAGCAATAGTTTACCACACTGGAAATACTGATGGCCAAGCCCAGCACGCCTCCCAGCAAGCCTTGTTTGTTTTTGAGGGCGAGTTTTGGCATAGATGGCACTCTCCTGTCTACAGCATACACCTCTGTGGAATCAGCACCCCAGAGGCCACTCCCCAGTGGCTTTCAGAGGAACAAGACTCTGGGGACTCCTGGCTATGAAGCTTAGTATGAAAAGCCTATTTCAAATATGCAATGGGATTTTCCCACCCCAATTTTAAAAAGTGAAATTATATTTTCTTCTGTAATATTTGTATCCTAAAGTCAAAGGCACTTCTAAGTTTAATTATCTGCAGCAAATGCTTTAAAATTAACAGTGCATATCATTTTAAAGTTGACCCTATGAAGTTAAAAGCAAACTCATGATTTCAAAACACAGTGATCTAAGGTTCCAAAGAAGGTGATCTAAAATCATAAATTCTGGCCCCAGAACACTGAACCTTCATCAGGTGAGTTCAATTAGAGATGACAGAAAGTAACCAGAAAAATACATGAATACTTCCTAAAACCTGCTGGAGGTTTTATCAGATGCTCCTAAAAATGACACGAAACACAAATTTCCTAACTTTCCTGTTGTCTGCTGCCTGGGGCTGCTAATGTGACTATCAGATAGCCTTCAGGAGGTGGTAGGAAAAATGGATGGAGACAAAAATGTAGCAGACAACATGAACAGTTTGATCACGGTTACAAGAGCCAGACCTGTAATGACAGAAAGAGGACAGGAACAAAATTTACATCTCTCTTAAAATAAGTGTGAAAGAAGCATGATTCAACATGTTTTTAAATATTAGTGCAAATTCCAACTATTATTCTTACATATAAAGTTATTAGAGATTCAAACGCCTAGGTTAGCAATGTTAATTCAGAGGAAAAAAGTTGACAGCTTCCCTCAAAATGTTCAGAAAACACCCTATTTTAGTCTTCATTTGCTAATGTCTCAGTAGACAACCATATTTTGGCCCCACTTAAAAATTTGCTTAATGGTGTTCCTAAAATGCTTCGTCTGCACAGATTCCCTACAGGAGAAAATGGAAATGAGGAGGAGAGAAACTCCGGTGTCCCCGAGGTGTCGGTGTGGTGAGGGCCGCTGGCGTTGAAGTACATCCTGCTCTGGCCCAGCTCCCCATAGCAGGCCTCCAGGGGGCCACTGCGCTGTTGCCGCAGCATCCTGCTCAGTACGTCGACTTCATCAGCCAGGAGGGAGAGCTTGTGAAAGGCTGTGATGGAGCCACCCAGGCTGATCTGGGCCTCGGGAACCCAGCGGAAGTAGCACAGTTTCCACAGTTTTATGTGTGTTCCAGAGACACGTGGCAGAATAACACCGTGCAGGTTGGCGGGTTTGGAAAACCATTCTCTAAAATACTGCTCCGTATCACTGTTCTGGCTGTCGGTTTGCTGAGCTGGATCTGGCTTTGGTTTTAATATCAATGAATTTCTCCTTGGAAGTAATTCTTGGTCACTGATGATTCCATTCTTTAAGGCAGACGGCATTCCTCTTAGTGTGGAGCTGTAGCTTTTCTATACAGAAGAGATTTTATTATGTTCCGGGGATTCCCTTTTTAGAAAGATTGAAGGATGCAATGGCAAATATAAACTCAATACTATGAAAAATTAATGGAATTTCAGCCTCAAAGAACATTTTCCTCCCTTCCTTTGTGTCCTTATTCTAATCCTCCTCCCCTGGAATTACACTTTTTTATGTGTTGACTCTACCTAGGCTGTTACTATCAGCCTGAATGGGGGCGGGATGAGAGTACCTCCTATCCACTAATTTGCTTAAGGATAAGTTCTAAGACGGGCTAGAAAAAACACTAGACCTGGTCGATTCTATCAAGAACAATGGCAAACTGAACAGAGGCAGTCAGGAGGCCAAATGTCTGATTCTTTGTTCTGTACCTTTCAGTAGTCTGCAAATTTTCTACCAAAAAAAATCCCAAGAATTTATTTGGGAATTATTAAAAAGGCAAACAATGAATGTTATTAGGACAAGAATATAGCAGTCAGGAGGCCATGACTACATCACAGCCAGGCGGCATTCCCTGCCACAGTGGCGGCTTGAATCATCAAGAAATGGATAAATGGGGCTTTAGTAAATCAGGCTTGCAGGCTCAAAGCTGCAATCTGCCCACTCTCAGGTACTGAGACTTTGTGGGCCTCAGACACCAGGAAGAAAGTTGGGATACAGTCATTTGAGTTAAAAAGGGAATGACCCCTCAGAAACCCACATTAGCAGTGTTACTCTTGGAACTGCCTTTACTTTTAACGCTCTCTGTTCTGAAAAAGAGGTGTTTGGTTACGTGTGAGCCAACATCACGTTTTGTTAGCTGTGATTTACCTTTGTCCGTTTAAAAGACTTCACGGAGCCATTCTGTATACAAGGTGTGCTCTTTCCAATGTAGAAGGGGTTATGGAAAAGGGTGCGATCCTTTGCTGTAAACTGGAGAGACCAGTCCCAAACAGAGGGGAATTTTAAGCCCTTCTCATCACCCAATTGGATGTTTTTGCTTATAGCAAATTCCTGCAAAATAAATAAATAAATATTTGCAAAACTAAAGATTCTCTCATGAATGCCTTTTTTCAGATGAGCCACTCATCATTATACAGGTTAAATGTTCTGTACTGCAGCCCTCAAAACCCACCAGAGTGGCACTTTCACTTCAAGAGAGGAGACGCTCCTGGCCTTTGAGCTCAGAGAGCCCCACAGTCCCCATGAACAAGGAGTGTGCTTTTCAGGTGCCCTCTGCCTTAGGACCCCAAGGAAGCCGTGCCCTTTGGGCAATAAGAATGTTATTAAGAGAAGTTTCACTAACATGATACGAGAAAGTCTTAAACATGTTGAATTTATTTCTATAATTACAGTATTTTACTTTTATGAGCACACGGTCAGTACATTTAAGTAGTTACCTGTTGGTAAGTGGATTAACAAAATCTTTGGATGGAAATCACTGCCACCAATTTTATAACTTACTTCGTAAGTGGGGAGCTACACTTCACTGAGCCAGTGATCTCAAATCACAGACCACAGACTCAGGGTAGGAAGGAAGGGATCAACTCCCTGTGGTCCTAGCATGTGGCTAAAACCATGGAGACCATGTACACAGGAGACCCCTCCTTCACAGGAGTCCACCTCTAGCCCGGACTCTGGGCGGGTGCAGCCTAGTTATCTGGCTTCCCACCACAGTAAACTGAGGCAACACAAGGCTACAGGGTGACAGCCAACCACCGCATTGTGAGGAAGACATGGAGCTCCTCTGGAAGGCAGCCCAGACCATTTCTATGAAGCACAGTCACATTTAGCAATGTGGAGAAAGGACTCTCATCTCAGCTGATTGATGGCAGCAGGCTACCACAGCAGTGTATACACAACAGTTCGCTGGAGGAAATAACCCCAGACACAAAGTCGCTGGATGATGGGAAATGTCTGATTCTTTGTTCTGTACCTTTCAGTACTCTCCAAATTTTCTACCAAAAAAAAACCCCCAAGAATTTATTTGGAAATTATTAAAAAGGCAAACAATGAATGTTATTAGGACAAGAATATAGCAGTCAGGAGGCCATGACTACATCACAGCCAGGTGGCATTCCCTGGCACAGTGGCGGCTTGAATCATCAAGAAATGGCTAAGCTGTGTAACAGCACAGGGCATTTTGTAAAGTTTTACAAAATTTTCTATTTCAAATAAGTAAAAATTCATTAAGCACCAAATACACATACTCTTAACAGTTTTGGCCAGGCGCAGTGGTGACTCATGCCTGTAATCCCAGCACTTTGGGAGGCCGAAGGCAGGCGGATCACGAGGTCAGGAGTTCAAGACCAGCCTGGCCAATATGGTGAAACCCCGTCTCTACTAAAAATACAAAAATTAGCCAGGCGTGGTGGCGTGCACCTGTAGTCCCAGCTACTCGGGAGGCTGTGGCAGGAGAATCACCTGAACCTGGAAGGCAGAGGTTGCAGTGAGCCGAGATCATGCCACTGCGCTCCAGCCTGGGTGATAGAGCAAGACTCTGTCTCAAAAAAAAAAAAAAAAAAAATTTAGTTACTTGACATTTCATCATGTACATGGATTAAAAACAATCCATTTGCTTCAAACACTGTTAAGAGCTGAAATCTAGTAAAACATGAACCCAAACGTGTTTTAATGGCCCTTCAGTAAGTATATAGAAAATGTCCTCTTGGCCAAGCACGGTGGCTCACGCCTGTAATCCCAGTACTTTGGGAAGCTGAGGTGGGCGGATTGCTTGAGTCCAGGAGTTCAAGACCAGACTGGGCAACATGGCGAAACCCTGACTCTACAAAAAAATACAAAAATTAGCTAGGCGTGGTGGCATGCGCCTGCAGTCCTAGCTACTCAGGTGGTTGAGGCGAGAGCAGTGCTTGGACCCAGGAGGCAGAGGTTGCAGTGAGCTGATATTGTACCACTGTACTCCAGCCTGGGTGACAGAGCCAAACTGTCTTAAAAAAAAAAAAAAAGATGTTCTCTTTTTTAAAAGGTAAAAATTAAAAATATTTATCCCAAGAGAGACCAGATTTTCTATAAACACTACCTGGCCACTAGCACCTAAGGTGGCCTCAGAATGGAAAAAAAAGGAAGAAATGCTTTGGGCTTTTGCCTGTGTGGAAGGGGCTGAGAACGGTTAAGAATCACGACCCTTAGACAATGACCAGTTCCTGCTAGGGAGGAAGGGAGAGGGGGATTCATGTTAGTATTTGTCAGAAAAGGCTTTTGAAAGAGCCAAATTAAAAAGAGCACTAGAACATGAACAGGGAAAGCAGAGGAAATACTTGTAGAAAGTATTTTTTACAGCTCCCTCAATACAATTCAGTAATGTTCATTCCTGGTGAGAAGTCTGTCCGCACACACAGCATCAGCCAAGCAGCAGAGGCAGTGGTGTCTGGGGGCTGGGAGTCCTCCACGCAGATACCCACCCATGCACTGCCCAGTCCCCAGACCCCAAAGTCTTTGTCCTCGCCTCACGCACCTTTTGCAGGCTCACACTGTCTGTGTGCGCACGGGGTAGTGACAGGAGACAATGGGGAAGAGCTGAAGGAGGCAAACAAGGCCAGGGGGAAAGCCTAGCTCGAGGCAGAGAGGGGCCCCAAGAATGATTATGGTGACGAAAAATAAAAACAAGCAACTGGGAGAGCATGTATTTTAGGAACAAATGAGCGTTCCATGCCTCAGGAGCCTCTAAGCCTGTATCACTGGTTCTCAGCACAGTATCTGGAAAGGTCAAACTTTCCTGGTGGGGTGGGCAGGGGACAGACTCTGGCTCTATCACCCAGGCTGGAGTGCAGTGGCACAGTCTCAGCTCACTGCAATCTCTGCCTCCTGGGCTTAAGCCATCCTCCCACCTCAGCCTCCCCAGTAGCTGGGACCACAGGTGCGCACCACCATGTCTGGCTAATTTTTGTATTTTTTGTAGAGACAGGCTGACGGTGTTGAGTTTCTTTGAGCCCTGGGTTCCCCAAAAGTGGCAATGCTGGACAATCTCTCCTGCCTTTTGTGTCCTGAGAACTCGCTCCTGTGGACTGAGACTGCCCTCCCTCCTGATTCCCCTGTCTTCTGACTATAAAATCCCAGGCCTTGTCCTTTTCTTTGGGATGCCCATTAATTAAGTTCTCCCTCCTGCAATAGCCTAAATAAAATCAGCTCCTTAACTGACCAGTGTATTTTGTCTTTTATACCAACAAATCCAGAATAATTCATATGTCTTTAGGAAAATTTGCATAATGATTCACAGTTTACAAAATGTTTCACCTCATACAATGAGACTAAAGGCATAAGTGTTAGTTTGACAGATCCATTTTACAGGTTAGCAACCTGGACTCTCAGGCTGAAGCCTGAGTGGAACATGGGCCTAGCACTTTTCCCAGACCAGGGCCAGAACTCAGGTTTCCCGCTCCCTAGGTCACACTGCCTAGCCCAGGGCCTTACGGCTGAGGCTGAAGACCCCGGAGCTCACTATGAGGGCAATCCTCTTCCTAGAAAGGCTTCCTGAAGGTCCACAAGAGCTGCCCCTTTCTGTTTCCCTCAATGGTCTCCACGGCATTTGTCAGCTTCTGTTGTTGGTTCGAGGTGGGTGAAATGGCACTTTGGTTCAGAATGGTTTCAAGTTTGGCTTGAGACCCTGCTTAGTCATAAATCCTCTACATCAATGAATTGTGACCAGAAACTTCAAACTCGTGAAGGAAAATAATCTTGTTTTGTACAACTTTTTATCCTACTGACCTAGGAAATAAATGTCGTGTAACAGGGCTTTTGTTTTTTACTACCCAATAGCCCAAATGTGAAATATAAATACAAAAGCATGACATTTAAGGTGGTTAAAGTAATTTACATCTTTAAAGGGGTTTACTACAAAACATTTACATTAGAGTAAAACAAAAAATGTTCATTCATAAAAATAATTTCCTAGATTTTTGTGTCTTCAAAATAATCCATTCAGAAATTTCAGCTGAAAATGGCAGTAAGAATTTTAAATCATAAGATTTTAAATAGGCAGTGAATTATACTTCAATTATGCCTCGATAAAGTTGTAAAAACAGGGAAAACGTAGCCACAGCCACAGGGTTGCTTACCGTGCTTTGCTTCACTCGCTGGTGAGGGGAGTTGAACAGGAAGGTGCCAAACAGTGAGATCCGGGTGCTGTCATACAACACTGCCAGGTAGGTTTCGGAGAACTCAAAAGCTGCAGGATATTGTTCTAACAGCTGCCAGGTGGCATCCAAGAATAGCAAAAATAAAGGAGACTGGCAAATACAAAGAGACAATGGGATCATTCAATGTTATCCTTCAGCCGTTCACATTTACTTCAAAATGTACTGCTGATGTTAAAGAAGAGATGAATGAGAAAACATCGAAGCCTAAAACACTTGCCTTCTAAGCTGAGCTATACACATCTATCAAACCCAAGAAGTAACATTCAACCGTGATAAACATCACAACCCTTATTTGCCCAGTACATGTAACAAGTTGAAACAGCAAAGCACACAGTTGAGCGGGTTGCCACTATATGAAGGGGGAAGAGCAAAATATGTGTTTAAGCATGTCTTAGAAACAATTCTTTAGATTATATAACAAAACAAAACCATCAACCAAACTTCTCTAATGTTTGGTTGATCCTGTAGGCTCAGCATCCAGAAAACATCCCCATATTTCAGAAAACACTTTGGGATGAGCCTAGGTCACGTGGTGTGTCCCCAAGTGCAGTAGCGGGTGACCACTATTTTTTATGAGACACCACAAGTCAAATGGCGCTCTCTGAAACAACCTTCTAAAAACTGATCTGACTGACCTGCCTGGCCGGTAAGATATTTGTAAGGCCTTCCGCAGCCTAACTAGAGATCCGAGGCAGCCACTAACTCCACAGCTGTTGCAAAGGTGGCCCTCTCAAACTTTTCATCTTAACCTATGTATCCCATTTTAAGAAAATATGATATTCCAAAAGTGATTTTTCAAAATAGCCAATGTGCTTGTTATCTGTTTTTCAGTATTTTATTCAGAATTTTTTCAGTAGTTTTCCACTTAGACAAATTCAATAGACAACTTTTAAAAATTTCACCTTCATAGTTACGATAATCTTTATAATAAGTACATCAATTTGAACTCTAATCCATTAGTTAGCTTTGGACTAAGGAAATTAAGTTGTACTAAATACAGTATTTTTTAAAAGCCCCTTCATCTTTTAATGACACAAATTTTATTTTGTGTATCCTTAAAGACTGATAAAAAGGCATCAAGATTTTGTTACCTCTTTCTCTGATCTCTTTAGATGGTTGCATCTGTCTAGAAACTGATATCCTGCCATGACCCACTCCTTCTGTATCAGACTCTGAAATCCAGTAATTGTCCTAAAATAGGGATCCAGCATCACTTGAACAAGAGAAGCTACACAACAGCTCAAGTCTCTTCCTTCCTCCTCTGTTAATAAAATGGAAAGAAAATGATTACAACATAGAAAAATGCTGAGAGAGAAAGGGAAGGAAAGGTAAACTAGATAATTTAGTATTCTGCACACCTAGGCTGCCTTCCAAATCTGTATAAGGAAATTTTACTGGATTCCAGCAACTCTAAAATATTACAGACTTGTAGATAAACTAAATTAGCATTTAATAGGAGATGGTCTTTTATACATGGATATTTGCCAGATAATAGAAGCTCATCACTCATACTTTTTACATTCGAATGGTTTGTGGTAGAAAACCCGTCTAGACTCCATTCTACTGCTCTTTTGTCAAGGTATTAAGTATAAGGTAATCTTTCTACTGACAGGCCACATGGCAATACTGAGAAGTGAATGGGGAGAGTGGGACTGTTCACTACCAACTGAAGCTGTGGCAAACGATTCCCTCCTGTCTTTTATAGTTGTTGTCCTTTCCAATAAGGCCAGAATTGCCACGCTATCAAAGTCAGCCAGGGAAATCAGAAGACAACTATTGACCAATATCCCTTATGATTACAGATGTAAAAATCAATAAAAATATGAGTAAACCAAATTATCCAGGAATGCAAAGTTGGTTTAACATCTGTCAATTGTAGTAACGTACCACAGTAATAAAGGACAAAACCAACACGATTATCTCATTAGATGCGGAAAAAGCATCTGATACAATTCTACCTTCATTCCTGATTAGGAATAAAAGTAAACATATTTAAACTGATCAGAGACATCCACAAAAACCTACAATTAATGTTATTCCCATTTCACTGGTGAAAGACTGGATACTCTCTCCCTAAGATCAGGAAGATGATAAGGATGTCTGTTCTCTACACTTCTCCATCTCATTGAACTGGAGAATCTAGCCAGAGCAATTAGGCAAGAAAAAGAAAATAAAAGGCATTCAGATCAGAAAGAAAAAGGTAAAAACTGTCTTTGAAGACAATATGATCCTGTATGTAAAAACTCCTACGGAATCCACAAAATAACTACTAGAATTAATAAATGAGGTCAGTAAGGTTACAGAAATTCTGTACACAACAATCTGAGTACATAGTAAACCTGAAAATGAAATTAACAATTATATTCACAGTGACATAAAAATAAAATACTTAAGAGATTTAACAAAATAAATATAAGACTTACATAATAAAACACTGCTGATAAAATGAAAGATCTAAATAAATGAAGCAGCATAATTCATAACAGCCACAAAGTGGAAACAACCCAAATGTCCATCAACAGGTAAATGGGTAAGCAAAATGCATTTACAAACAGTGGAATACAATTCAGAAATAAAAAGGAAAAGATTGCTGATACACACTACATGAATGAACCTCAAAAACATGTATGTTGAATGAAAGAAGCCAGCGGCAAAAGGCCACATATTGTATGATTCCATTTATATGAAATGCCCAGAAAGGGAAAATCTAGAGACAGAAAGATTAGTGGCTGCCTGGAGCTGGGACTTTTGGGGTGATGAAAAATTTCCAAAACTAGACTCTGTATATTTACTAAAATTTACTGAATTACAAATTAAAAATGGGTGAATTCCATAGTATGTAAATTTTTAACTAAACAAACTGTTTAAAAATAAACGTATATAAAAATGCTAGTAAAATGAAGGTTCAGTGCTACTTCTGAGGCCTTTTCTATTACAAATGCATGGAGAAATGGAGGATGAGTAGGGTTCTCCAATACGATGAGAACACCCACTGGATGAGAGAAATTGTGATTATTAGGCTCTGCATGCATTTGTGAGTTAAACACACACTCTATCAGTTCAGGATTACTTTATATGACACATTACTATTTGATTTTTTTCTAAGAGTCTTAAAGATTTTTGCCTTGTTAAAGTCAATCAAGTTTGGCAGTTGTTAAATGTACTTCTGCAAGCCTGGCCAGGCACGGTGGCTCACGCCTATAATCCTAGCACTTTGGGAGGCTGAGGTGGGCAGACCACCTGAGGGCAGGAGTTCGAGAGCAGCCTGGCCAACAAGGTGAAACCCCATCTCTAGTAAAAATACAAAAATTAGCCGGGCGTGGTGGTGCATGCTTGTAATCCCAGCTACTTGGGAGGCTGAAGCAGGAGAATCGCTTGAACCCAGGAGGTGGAGGTTGCAGTGAGCTGAGATCGTTCCACTGCACTCCAGCCTAGGTGACAGGAGCGAAACTCCATCTCAAAAAAAAAAAAAGTACTTCTGCAAGCTTAAGCAACATTTTGTATTCATATACTATGCAACATGAGTATATAGTCTTCCCTCAGTATCCATGGGGAACTCATTCCAGGGCCTCCTTTGGATACCAAGATCCACAAATGCTTAAGTCCTGGATATAAAATGATGTTAATATTTGCATATAACCTATGCACATCCTCCTGTACACTTTAAGTTACCTCTAGATTACTTATAACACCTAATACAATGTAAATGCTATGTAAACAGTTGTTATACTATACTGTTTAGAGAATAATGACAACAACAAAAAAGTCTGTTCATGTTCATTATGGCCAAAGCTTTCCCCCGCCAATATTTTCAGTCCTGGGTTGGTTGACCACAGATGGGGAAGCCATGGGTACAAAGGGCCCACTACTGTATTATACGAAGGTAGTTTTTAGTCTATTGAACTTTATCTGCAAACTTACAAATTCTATTAGCTGTAAGTTATTTAATATGTAATTATCCTTTGCTTAACTGAAAGATTTTTACATCACCGTTTATTCCTACCAAATATTACATTACTAGCTATTCAGCAGTTCAGTCTAAATTTCTTCATCTCAAACTGCTTCCTTAGAGTCATAATCTAGCATGAGCCAGAAGGTATTTAAACTAAAACAAATTTGTACAAATTAGACAGCAAAATTAGAGAGAGAGAATGCCCTGTCAAAATTAACACTAAGTATTAATCCATTAGGGGATGGGACCCACCCTTCCCATAAAATAGGAAGGATAATTTAATAAAGGGTAAAAACTGGACTACTTTCTATTCTTCTATTTGCAGTCCTTGTGCCACTGGTTTTTATTTATTTTTTTTTGAGTCTTGCTGTGTTGCCCAGGCTGGAGTGCAGTGGTGCGATCTCTGCTCACTGCAACCTCCGCCGCCTAGGTTCAAGTGATACTCCTGCCTCAGCCTCCCGAGTAGCTGAGACTACAGGCGCACACCACCACTCCTGACTAATTTTTGTATTTTTAGTAGAGACAAGGTTTCACCACGTTGGCCAGGCTGATCTCAAACTTCTGACCTCAAGTGATCCGCCCGCCTCGACCTCCCAAAGTCTGGGATTACAGGCTTCAGCCACTGCGCCCAGCCTGTGCCACTGTTTTACTCAAATGATGTGCAAAATCTGTAATGTATTTGATGGTACTGTAGTAAATAAGAAATAGCTAAAACTGATGTGATTTACTTGAATGGGGACAAGCAGTAAACCAAGGCTGGCTGGTATGGTGGTCATGGTGCTTTCAGGAGTTACTTTAGTTACCTTGTAGGACTACAGAGAGATGTTTGCTTTCTAGCATGTATACAAGTTCTGCTGAATGCTTAAGGAATGCCCTGAAGAGAGAAAAGGAAAAGTAGTGTTAAAAATCAAATTTCCACTACAAATACATAAAGTACTTGAAATCAAGCAAATCTAATTTCTCACTTTACAGATGCTCTCTGATCATGATATTCCCATAACTCATGACCCATGATAACCCACTGTAAGCTGAAAATACCCTAAACTGAGACTGTGTGGCTGACTGGCAGCTGTGGCTCCCTGCTGCTACTCAGCATCACAAGAGAGGATTGACTGCTTTCTACTGAAGGCACATAGCTTTCGCATTACCGTAAAGTTTCTTTAGTTACTTATACGATTTCTCAAAGGAGTATATTTTGTAATTTTTGTTTTCTTTTTAAGAGACAGGCTCTCATTTTGTCACCCACACTAGAGTGCAGTGGCATATCACAGCTCATTGTAACCCTGAACTCCTGGCCTCAAGTGATCCTCCTGCCTCCACCTCCTGAGCAGCTAGGACCACAGGCACGAGCCACCATGCCTGCCTAGTTTTAAAATTTTTTTGTGGAGATGGGCATCTCACTATGTTCCTCGGCTGGTTGTGAACTCCTGGCCTCAAGTGATCCTCCTGCCTCAGGCTCCCTAGGACAGCAGGCACATGCCACCATGCCTGGCTAGTTTCCAACTTTTTTGTGGAGATGGGGTCTCACTGTGTTGCTCAGGCTGGTTGTGAACTACTGGCCTCAAGTGATCTTCCTCCCCAGAGCTTTGGAATTACTGGCATGAGCTACCACAACCGGCCCCACTTTGTAAATTTTTTTTTTTGAGATGGAGACTTGCTCTATCACCCAGGCTGCAGTGCAGTGGCGTGATCTTGACTCAATGCAACCTCTGCCTCCCAGGTTCAAGTGATTCTCCTGCCTCAGCCTCCTGAGTAGCTGGGACTACAGGTGCGTGCCACCATGCTTGGCTAATTTTTGTATTTTTAGTAGAGACAAGGTTTCACCATGTTGGCCAGGCTGGTCTTGAACTCCTGACCTCAGGTGAGCCACCCGCCTTGGCCTCCCAAAGTGCTGGGATTACAGGCATGAGCCACCACGCCTGGCCTCATTTTGTACTTTTTCATCAGGGAAATTCATAAACCCTTTATGAAAAGGAAGGGGTTGACTTATGACAAAACTATAGAGATTGAGAAGAGATTAGTGGTAGTCAACAGACACAGATGGCGATGAGGGTGCACCTATAAGAAGGCTAGCACAGGGGAGCCTTGTCATGGAACAGGTCTGTATCTCCCTGTGGTGGTGGTTACGTGAACCTACACACGTGATAAAATCACACAGCTGTGTTAAGGGCATGCACACAGACGACAGCATGTATGAACTGGTGAGTAAGAGCTATCCAGTGTCCCAGTGTCAGCTTCCTGGTTTGGATGCTGTACTCTAGTTACGAGATGTTACTATTGGGGGAAGTTGGATGAAGAGTAAGTACATGGCCCTCTGTGCTATTTTTGTACCTCCAGTGAGTCTGTAGTTATCTCAAAATAAAAAGTTAAAGGAAAAGAAAGTAAAGAAGTACAAACCTTACATATTCTAACCATCGAGTATTTTCCAGTGAAGATAACCATTTCTCTTCAGTTTCTTCAAAAGGCTCTGTAATAAATTATATACATACACATTTTTACTTTTTATTTTATATGATCCCTATCAGAGTAAAGAGATACATCAGTTTCTAATATTTAAAAGTTAGCTTTAAGTAAATATCATGCATTTTCACTTTAATAACATGGAATAAGCATTTAAGAAGACATTACAATTCTGTAACAAAGCAAAACAAAGCATTCCCCTGGGGCTCCATCATCTTCTCTCTCGCTCTTTCAGGGAAATCTTGGAGTCCAACCAACTCTGACTCCCAACAGCTAAGAATTCCAGCCGTCCCTGCTCAGCCTATGCCTTGATCCTGGCCCTCCTGACCTGTGAGGTCAGCTGCCCAGGCCCTAGCCCTTGGCTTTCTCACTGCAAGCCTTGCCCTCCTGCTTCCCTGCCCCACCCCTGCTGCCAGTGGTGCCTCTGTGCATGGCTCACGTGGCCGAGGGCTAGCCACTGCATGAGGACAGGCATCCTCACTGCCCTGCCCAGAGTGCACATAATCATTCAGGACACTAGTTTTTTCAACAACTTGCCCCTGCCCCGCCCCTGCAAGGCCCTCCCCCAGGGAAGTGCTTACTCATTGCTCAAGATCTGCTGCAAGGCTGCCTTTGCTGACTCCCTGGTGACTTAGAGGATCTCTTGAGGAGGACCCACATTACACCAAAGATGCTTTCATGTGACTCATCCCGCAGGACACATGAAAGCCACCTGGTACGTTTGCTCAGATATATCAGAATTCTGATGCTACAGATATAACACAGCTGTTTGATACCCATGTCAAGTCACCTATCTCAAAGTATAACTGTATGTATTACAATCTTAATAAGTTTGTCTGTAAGGTAATACAGTGTTCTACTCAGCAAATGCTTTTATAAAAGTATTCTCCTATACCTTTCATCATCTGAAGGAAATTTAATACACTCATTTTTCCCCCTCTAAAACAAAAAGTAGTTTAAACTTAATTCCTTAGGAGGTTCTGAAGTTCTCATACAATAATATATAATTTGTGCAAATAGTTCCATAGACTCCTTAAATATATCTATTTCTACATTTTTAAGAACATCACTTTTCCTGACATCTCATGCAACTCTGTATCCTGTGTTCATTATATATATGAAATAAGAATGAAATTACCATTAACGCATAGCTGCTTCAGTTTTACAAATGCTGCCTGTACTTCTTGAATATTAGGCAAGGTCTTATCCAAATCTGATTTGTAAACATCACTTCTCTGTGGGTGACTTTTAGTTATTGCATTACAAATCCTAATAAAGACAAAAATACTTTAGTCATTACTCATTCATTTCAGCATATATTTATTTAACCCTTACTATAGACCAGGGGATAGAGAGAGGAATGAGACAGGTAAGGTCTCTGCCTTCATGGAGTTTACTTTTTTTTTTTTAAGACAGAACCATTGCTTATCTTATTTTTTAGTTTTAGAGACTATTCCATCAGGTTTCTCTGCATGATTTTTCTGTATTCTCATAAAACTGAGAGTGAAATCAAGGAGAAGACAGGTAAACTTTGTTTCCCTCTTAGCACCCAACTTCTCCCACCCATCTGGCTTTGACTACTGCAGAATGCTGCCATTCACCTCACTGCCACCCCCACGTGCAGTGCACAGAACAAATTAGATCATTTCCTTCTTTTTCTTTTTGAGACGGAGTCTCATACTGTCGCCCAGGCTGGAGTGCAGTGGCACCATCTCGGCTCACTGCAACCTCCCCCTCCCGGGTTCAAGCGATTCTCCTGCCTCACCCTCCCGAGTAGTTGGGATTACAGGCACCCGCCACCACACCTGGCTAAATTTCTGTATTTTTAGTAGAGGCGGGGTTTCACCATGTTGGCCAGGCTGGTCTCAAACTCCTGACCTTGTGATTCACCCCCCTTGGCCTCCCAAAGTGCTGGGATTACAGGCGTGAGCCACCGCGCCCGGGCTCATTCCCTTATTTCTGATGGGAGAAAATAAAGCACATCCATTGGAACACTTGCCTGGGAAACAGAAACACTGCCAAGGGGGGGGCGGGGCAGCACTGCATTTAGATTAAGGAGACCCTACACTCCCACATCTTTCCACATGATGTAGACAGAAGGATGGCAAACCAGATGCACATTCTCCAGCTCTAGAGAATGCAAAGCACCTATTCCCACAGTCTTAACGATTTGCTGTAGGATGAACTGCAAGTACAGACATTCACCAAAATTCCTCCCACCCTTCCTCTATTCTTAGGAGAGAATGGGCTACTATAAATATGTGCCATGGGGTCTCTAGATCTTTTCAAAGGAAACAGCCAGGACTGGGATTCCCATCTATATTCAATGGGTAACTTCCACACCACTTTAAAAAAAAAAACAAAACCCTGCTGTTGTTTTTTTTTTTTCCTGAATAGAAAAAGTAATATAAATTAGTGTGGAATGTTTAAAAACACCTAGAAAAGATAAGAAAAACAAAATCACTCAGAATTCTAAAATTTTGGTGCAATCTTTCTAGGTTTCCTCTATGCACCTTTATGTGTATGGAATTTAATGTAGGCATGAAAAATAAAATGGCGCTGTACATTTGCTTGATAAACTGATTTTTAAAAATTAAATAACAAGAATATGCTCCCATTTCATTAAAATATGTAATGTGTCATGAACCTGCATGTCATCTTTGTGCAAGGGCTATGCTAACCTTCCCTGTATCATTCCAATTTTACTACTGGTGTTGCCCAAGCAAGTGGGGGGTTGACATTCTTCGTGGGGTGGGGTAGATGATAAGATAAATGGGCTGTGGTGAATGCCATGGATGATGTAATCATGAGATTACAGGCTACTTTAGGTCACATGGTGAAAAACAGCTGCTCTGTGAAGATGGTACTGAAGCCGAAACCTAAATGAATAGAGAAGCAATGTAAAGATGTGGGGTGAAAATGTTCTAGGCAGAGGGCAGCTAGTGCAAGGGCCCTGTGGCAGGTAACAAGCATGGCTGCTGAGAAACCTAAAGAAGGCCAGTGGGGCTAGATGACACACCTGAGGGAAAAAGGTTAGGAGACGAGGTTGGACAAAAAAGAGGATCTGTTCTACTTATGAAGAATAGGATAGCTGAAAACACAAAAGGCATTAAAGTAATTTTCAGCTTAATAAATCACTGAAACTGCCACTGATTATAAGGTTTTATAACTAACTCTCACCCAACAATGCTACAATTGTCCCTTTAACAGCAAAATTCCTAACTGTGCACTTCATCAGCATGTATGCTAATGAAAACAAGGCTTGGAGTATGACACAGCAGACAGTTAATTCCAAATGGAGTTCAGGTAAATCAAAATCCACAGAGAATACGGACTCGTGTGAACTATAGTCACCTTCCTTTCCAGAAAACTGAAGGTCATTTGAGGGTCACTTGATGGTTATTTGCTTCAGTGAATATGGCTCTGTCAGTTACGGTACAGTGGAAAAACCCTACACTCTGGCTGTACCAAAAAGGACTGTGATACACAATTTCTGAGGCTCCATAAGCCTGTTTTATAAGATCTGTTCATTTACTCCTCATTTATTCAACAAGTATTGAATAAATATCATATATGCTTCCTGGGTGCTAAATATATAACGGTGTGCAAAACAGACATAGTCCCTCATCTCATGGAGTAAAAACGACAGGCGGTAATCAAACTGTAACACACACATATATAATTAAAAACTGAAATAAATGTTAAAAACTCAGGAGCTCTAAGAACATAGACTTTTGAGGTCTGATCAAACTTTAGAGGGGAGAGAAGGCTTATCTTGAGGAAATGATGTTTGAATTGAGATATAAAGAATGAGTGAGCCGGGTGCAGTGGCTCACGCCTGTAATCCCAGCACTTTGGTAGGCCGAGGCGGGTGGATCACCTGAGGTCAGGAGTTCGAGACCAGCCTGGCCGACATGGTGAAATCTTGTCTCTATTAAAAATACAAAAATCAGCTGGATGTGGTGGTGGGTGCCTGTAATCCCAGCTACTCAGGAGGCTGAGGCATGATAATCACTTGAACCCGGGAGCCGAGATCGTACCACTGCACTCCAGCATGGGTGACAGAGTGAGACTCTGTCTCAAAAAAAAAGAAACAAGGAGTGCCAAGTGGGTAAGCGTGGAGAGTGTTCCCAGATGAGTGCAAAGAAGGCAGTCCAGAAGGGAAGAGCGCTGGACAATGTCAGGAGGTTGAAAACACCAGGGAAAGTCCAGGGGGCTGGAGCCCAGGGGTGGAGGAGACATGGAAGGAGGAAATGATAGCACTTATAACACACAGGCAGAGGTGGAGCTGGGTTTGTGGAAGCACATGGGTTTGCAAGGTGTCTGAAAAGTGAAGTGAGAAAACCTGAGGAGGGATTGGTGATGGGGAAGGGAAAGAAAGAGGAAGGCATCCAGGATGACCCCCCGGTTTCTGAGAGCAGGCTGGGGGAGGGCATGGAGGCCATATCCTTGAGTTTGGTTTTGGACATAATGAGTTTAAGGGGTCTTTGAGACCTCCATGTAGAAGTCAAGGTAGACTGAAGATATAAATGTGTTGGTCACTAAAGCCACATTCTTGGGGAAACTTCTTTAGGAAAAGAATACAGAACATGAGGAAGCGGCCTTAGAATCTGTGTAATGTCTGGAGAGAAGAGGATGGGTCTGCAGAAGGCACGGAGTGCCAGTGAGGAAGAGGAGCTTCAGGAGAGTGGAGAGGAGCAGAGGCTGAGGGCCCAGGCGGGTTTAAGGAGAGAGTGATCAATAGTATTGCTCACTGCTATGAGCACAACTGAGAAAGGCCTCCTACTTTAATGACGTGGAGGTTACTAATGACCACAGCAGATGATGCCAGACTCGTCTGTGGTGGCTAATTAAAACCACTGTTCTAGCTATTGCAAATGTGTAGACCTAAATAAGACACATCAAACTACAAGAAAAGTTTGATTTATCCTGAAGTGTCTCAACTGGATATCACTGCACTTTGAAAGTATGTTATAGGAAATGCTATAGCAAGATGTCAGCAATGTAAGATCCACAAGTGTCTTACAAACCAAATAATTAAATTATATTTAGTGTAACTCCAATGTCAGTTAATTTTAATATTATCACATTCTTTTCAAAATGGCAATTCTTATATAAAACATGGTGCTAACTAATTAGTAAGACTATGCATTTTGTTATTTTCAATTAGTAGGGAACTCACTGTAGTTACACAACAAGTAAAACTATCTAAAGTGACAATGACCATTTCTCAATTACCTCTGGTCAATCTTCCTCTGCTGCAGCACGTCTTTGATGAGGGCCATTCGCACAAGAGCACTGCCGTTAGAGTGGCTCCAGCACCAGAGCTAGGGGAGAGGTAGAATCCTTACTTCACTGTGTAGAAACAATGGACGTCAGCATTCATAAAATCCAACAGAAATCACTTACTGGCATCCTTCTCCCAACAAAAGAATGGGAAAAGATCTTTAGATCTTGGTCTGCTAAAGAACTTGGCACTACAATGTATTCTGGAAGGCTGGAGGGGAAAAAAAAAATTATATGAGTGCTGTGCTAAAAGCAGGAATAGTGTGCTCCTGCAGACCCTATAAATAATTAAGCAAGTTGTCCGCATTTAATGTGCACCCCACTTAGTAGCCACATGGTGGGCACCATGGGGGGGCAGTGACGATCCTACACCTCTTAGTCTAAAATTGGTGCGATATGACCAATTCTTAAAAATCTAAATTTATAGCATGAGAAAATTCCAAAGAAGGTATTAGAAATATTTTCCAGAATGACTATTAAACATGTATGTGTTCACTGAAAAATATATCCACCTTTGTTCTCTTGACAGGCTATGGTTAAGGACACCAGGCAAACAAAAGAAAACCCCACAAATCTACCAGGAGCTTTAGCTCTCTTCTTAAGTCCCTCTTCTACCTTTCCCCATGCCTAAAAGGCACAGTCAGACTCTAGGACACTGATCAGACAATAATTACTAGTGGGCAAGCTCACTGCACCTCAAGACATCTTCCTTCTTTCCC